>NC_000018.10:65787528-67037528 GCF_000001405.40 Homo sapiens
TCAGGACATTTGGTCTAAGTAATGAGGGTCCAGACAGAAAAAGGACAAATTTAGAGCTGCTTTGATTTTAAATTCTACACAAGGAAAGACTGGATGGGCTTTCCAGATATATAAAGGCAGGAACTGCAAAGTCATAAGGCAGAGCTGTGATTACTCATTTAGTGGTCTGCTCTTCTCTCGGGTGAGAGAGGAGCTGCTCTCAGTTTTGCATTCTCAGCACCTAGCAGATGATCTGATGTGTGTGTTTTTAAAATACATTTCACAGGTGAACATAGCTACAATACTACAATTTTTAAGTAGTCTGAGCCTAACAGGACTATTCAGTCAGTAGATATATGAGTAATATATTTCCTGAAAAAGTTGGTGAAATTTAAGAGAAAGCGAGTAACCAGTTAGTGTGAAGAGTGGAGAAGAGTAAATCCCATTTACTTTTTAACAGATTAAATGATACTAAAATCAAGTGTTGAAATCATGTCTTAAAATATTAGGCAAAGAGAAAAAACATATATTAACTCTAAGGATCTTTTTTTCCCCACTATTTTTACTGAATTCCACCCTTCATTTGAACACACATTGAAAATAAGCTTGTATAATCAGGAATTGATTCAAGTTTATCAGGTGAACAACTTATTAAACTGTTCAGCTCTGGACACAGGACTGGTTGCTTGCAAAGCATGGGCTAAAATGAATATCCTGACTGGATGTACCAAGGACACACCACTAAAATTCATAGCAAATTTTACATTACTGTCTAAAATCATCAATTAAGTTTACAGACAGAAGTCTTGCACACAGGGAAAAATATGTGGTCATCATCACTGAAATAGTTGGCTTCTGAGTGCTTTAATCTACTCATCCTAAGTAACATATAAAAAATATGAAATTCTAAAAGAAAGAAAGAGAGAGGGAATGAGAGAGAAAGAAAAAGAAAGACCCTACATATCACATGGTGTGTAAAGTTCATGTTGGTAGCTGCAAGTCATGCTGTGTAGCGCGAGCAGGTATGTTTATAGATAATCACTTCAGATGCAGAGATCACAGGGGCCATCTGCCGGCTTGCTCAACTAATGCATTTGCTTGAGCCTCTAGCCACCTGCAGCCTTCTGAAAACACCACCTCGTGGACCAGATAGAGCTTTTTGCTGATGCCACTTGCCAGACACTTGTGCAGTTCAAAGAACAGAATAGTGAATGCTATTTTTATATATTTTTAATGGAAAAAAGGAAAGAGTTATACCTGCTTTCGCTTAGATGAAAAAGTTTCCAGTGAGTAAAAGTTTTCAATAAGAATCTATTCTGTACATTTCTGCCCTACCCAAGTTTAGATTTGACCTATAGCTAACACAGTTTGCCTAGTTGAAAATCAAACTTATGGGTTAAGGAAGTGTAAAAAACAAGAAGAAATACGTAGTCTATAATGGTCCTATACAAAGTTATATTATCATGAATATTTTTAAGGATATTTATTAATTTACTCTTTAAACAAATATTTATAGTTTATGTAGTTTGTACACCCATGTGGCCATACTGGGGATTTTAAATATGCAAAGAAATATTCTTGTCCTTCCTGCAGATTGTAATATGAGGAAACATACATATAATATCAGTGTTGTTTGCTGGTGAATTTTATTAATGTGCAGTGGGAGATTAAGGAAAGAGTATCAAAATCAGCCTGGGACATCAGGCAGGTCTTTAAAGAGGAGGTAATATTTCAGCTGAGCCTTGAAGGATGAGAAAGTGACTCCTAAATAAATGGGACTAGAGAAAAAGATAGTGTTGTTCAAAAGAAGCAGCTTATGCAAAGGCGTGGAGACTTGAGAAAATACAATCTGTTTAGGCGTCTGTAATTGATTCACATGGCCAAAGTATAGGACAAATAAAAACCAAGACAACCAGCAACAGCCAGCCACATCATGAAAGTTTAATACATGTGCTATTTTTTTGTTTGTTTTTTTTTGTTTGTTTTTTGATAAGTTTGAGGATGGTTCTGAGCCAATTTGCATTTTAGAAACATCAATTCTGTTACAGTCAAAGTCTGTAACATTTGGGATGGTGGGTAAGACAGGAGACAGAAAACCAAGTCGGTGAGAGTTTATTCCAGGCAGGATATGGTGAGGACTGAAAAATGGTCATGGATGAATTTAAAAGGATCAGATAAATAACAATTATTTGGAAAGTAGAATAGTTGTGAGATGTTTAACAGTTAAGTATGGAGTTGAGGATCTTAGGAGGCATCTAGGCAGAGGGAAAGGAGGTGGGGAGGTGTCTTACTCATTGTTGCATTTACAGCACCAGCAAGGGGACCTCTCACATAGTAGGTACTATTCAATGAATGACAAATCCACTGTTTCTGGCTCTAGGTACAATATATAAGATTAAGTTGCAGTTTGGCCATGTTAAATTTGAAGTTGCCTGAGGGAGGCTGGGCGCGGTGGCTCACACCTGTAATCCCAGCACTTTGGGAGGCCAAGGCAGACGGATCACGAGGTCAGAAGATCGAGAACATCCTGGCTAACATGGTAAAACCCTGCCTCTACTAAAAATACAAAAAAATTAGCCGGGCATGGTAGTGGGCGCCTGTAGTCCCAGGTGCTGAGGCAGGAGAATGGCGTGAACCCAGGAGGCAGAGTTTGCAGTGAGCCAAGATCGCGCCACTGCACTCCAGCCTGGGTGACAGAGTAAGACTCTCTCTCAAAAAAAAAAAAAAAAAAAAAAAGAAGTTGCCTGAGGGATATCTATGTGGAGGTGTGCATGCATGAAATAGTCAAATTCCTAAGTATAGAGGTATATGGGAAAAATAATTGAACCTAGTTGATGGTGAAGCATGCATTATTTAATGTCTCTCGATAAAGAAGAGTAGACTGTAAGCTTGATTGTTAACAGGGCCCCTTGAGAGTGAAGTGTAAGAATAAGTACTCTACAATACACTGATTTTTATATTCTCTTTCTCCTCCTCATTCTCTTTTTCTGTTCACCCAAGTAGTCAGGAATACTATTTTAAAAAATGCTACATTAAGTAGTCTTAGTAGTCTTTATAGGAAAATCATTGTTATAGACTTTGTATAAAAGGTAACTGATTGCCTGCAATCTCAGCACTTTGGGAGGCCAAGGCGGGAGGATCACTTGAGGTCAGGAGTCCAAGACCAGCCTGGCTAACATTGTGAAATCCTGTCTTTAATAAAAATACAAAAATTAGCCTGATGTGGTGTTGCACGCCTGTAATCCCAGCAGCTCAGGAGGCTGAGGCAAGAGAATCACCTGAACCACGGAAGCAGAGGTTGCAGTAAGCCGAGATTGCATCACTGCACTCCAGCTTAGGCAACAGAGTGAAACTCTGTCTCAAAACAAAACAAAATAAAACAAACAAACAAAAGGTAATTGATTAGTTTAAAATGGACCCACTAAAGTATGAAATTCCTATGAACAGTTGCTGTGTTTGTAAGGGTACATTATTTAGACACCTTGAACAGAAAAACAATCTCGTTACTTACAAAAAGGGCTTTCAAAAATGTAAAAAGTGTTTAACTTAAAGATTTCGTGAATATTTTTACTTATGAGGCAACTTTCCTTTACATTTATAAAATATTTGAAGAATGATTTAATCTGAATATTAGAAATGACACCTTTGTCTTTTAGTCTTTGGTTAGCATCTTCATTTGAAACATGAAACATCAGAGAGTACATGTATGTGTGTTTACATATGTGTGCATGTTTGTGTATGTTACAATGTTACACATTTAATCGGTCAGCTCTTTGTGTATATTTTTACATACAAATTAGTAGCACAGTTTGATCTGAAACCCTGTTCTTTCTATGTGATGTTCTTAATCCAGTAGCGCTAACATAATTCCCTTTATTTAATATTATGTGGTTTGTAAGCTATATTGTTTTACATTATTTCACTGGAGTCTTAAAAAAATGAGGTAGAGGAAGCATCGTTATCACTAGTTCATTTGTACATATGGGAAAGTTAAGCCGAGAGAAAGTTTAATAAGCAGTAGAGTCAAACCTCCTTGATCACAGACCATGCTCTCCATTCCACTCTGGGCCATTCTCTATTTAATCCCATGTCAGATGCTGTGAATTCTCAGTGCATGAACTAGTCCAATAATGTTACAGTGTAGCAAGCTTATGTCAAGACTTATTTTCTGTTCTTTAAAGATACAGAGAATGGCTGATAGAATTCTTAGGAGTCTTGTCACATGACGTAATGTATGTAATCCTGCGATGCTCACTCTGGGATTCTGTTCAGTAAACACTGTCCCTAGTTTCATAATTTCTTTAGAATATGGCAGAATTATTGGGGAAACAAATACAACTTGTCTGGTTTAAATTCCTTCTGCTCTAATGGTTGTGTGTATTCTCCAATCATCCTTATCTTTCATCTGTTTCTCTGTGGCCTTTATTTTCAATGGCTATCTCTGGCTTTTAATTAAGTGGCCTTTGACTAAATAAACTTTCTCTGCTTAGTACGCTAATGTGTTTATACTGTACGCAGACATTAAAGTTTGAAAACTACATTAACTATTTATCACATAGGGGCATGTTAGATCTTTTTCTTAAGTGCCCCTGAGGCTGATATTCTCTGCATTTAAAAATGGCTCTTAAAAGTTCTAGCTATACTCCATGGAGCCCCAGAATGTCTGCTGCAGCCAGTCTTTTTTTTTTTTTTTTTTTTTTTTTTAAGACTGACAAAATAGGGAAGACATCTTAGAGAATTTGGGAAAGAGAAGAAGAAAAGGACAAAGGAGGGTTTTCTGATTTCTGTACTCGGGAAGAGTGAATTGATAAGGCCCCTAGGGCTCAAAAGGAGGTCAATGTCTGTTGAATACAAGTGTAAAGAATCAAACAAGTAAACCTTGAAAAGGTTCCCGTGTCATTTCCCTCAGAGAAGCTTGCAGGTGAGGCAGCAGGCAATATTCCACCCTAGGGCTGCGTGTTAGCCATTTTACCTTACAGTGTTTTCACCTTATAATTTAAGAAAGGACAATGCAGATAGAAGAATCTATGTATCTTCCTTCTAAGGTAATATGTGTGTGGATAATACTGTGTTCTGGAATAGTAGGTTTTCAGCTTTTTTGCTTTTTCTTTACATGGCCACAGAGTTGCATTCTAATGTTGTAGCACTGTGCCCTCTAGAGAAGCAAACAAGAAAAAAAAAATCAAAACACTCTTCACTCTATCCGTTGTTACCCAGTCTCCAGAAGCCCTCTTATCCATGCAGGCTGATTCTGTTAGGCCTGCAAGAAAACTCAGCTCTTTGCCAATTTCCACAAAATACCCAATTACATCAAGCATTTTGTAACATTTTAAAAATCATTATTAAAGATAAGGGAGGCAGCGGGCAGTGCAGTACAGCATCCCTCTTAACAAATCCTCATCTGGTATTCTGCCCTTGGCTGTCCCACCTCTGAGACCCTGCCTTGGAGGGTTTAATGTATTTTCCTTGATGCTGTACTCCGTGGAGCATCAGCTACTGGTTTATCTCACTCTTCTTTAGTTGTACTGGGAGATTTAGTAATTATCTCTTACAACTTGAGCATTTGTGTGCAGTGGGTGAGTTTCTCACTCTCCACCCCATGAAGTTTATGAAACATTTTTTTTCTAAATAAATCTAAAAAACATTCTGAGGCCAGGCGCAGAGGCTCACACCTGTAATCTCAGCACTTTGGGAGGCTGAGGTGGCCAGACCACTTGAGCTCAAACGTTTGAGACCAGCCTGGGGCGAAACCCTGTCTCTACAAAAAATATAAAAATTGGCTGGTTGCGGTGTCACGTGTGTGTCATTTCAGCTTCTCCACAGGCTGTGGTGGGAGGATTGCTTGAGTCTGAGAGGTGGAGTCTTGTAGTGCCACTGTACTCCAGCCAGGGTAACAGCGACACCCAGTCTCAAAAAAAAAAAAAAAGAGAGGGAGAGAGAGAAAGTCCAGCAAATTCCAGCAAATACATTTATTTCTATTTTATTACAAAACAGAAATATTTCTCTCTGCATTAAAAGCCTGTAAAACAATATTATCACAGCTAAGTCTGTAGATCGGATCTCAAAAATTAGGTAAAGATTTATTGTTAATGGTGGTGATTATAAGTTGCCTAGAACATCTCATCACACTGTACTAATCACCAAAGTATCCTATCATTCAGTGTGATTGCAAAGGAGACTTGATTTTGTAAAGAAAATAAGAGTAAGATAATCTTAGAAGCTGTGAAGAAAACACATGCAGTAGCAGTAATAAACAAAATGCTGGCATTGACTGAAGCTGTTGTCATCATGTTTCTTTGAACAACACATAATATTCATGACTTCATGTGCTCGTAAGGAGCACATGAAAAGTGTAAGACTTTGATTTGGCTTTTCTTGATTTTTATTTTAGATGAGTGCAGAATATGAATAATTTTGCTATAGAATTTGATGCATTTGATTGTAGGAAAGCTGTGGGTGTTATATTGTTGCTTTGCAAAGCCTGGTGCATTCCCAGGGCAGAAGGGGGAATATAGAAGAATAGAGAATTAGAAGTAGGAAGTAGGAGACAAGAATCAGAAATAGCACATACTATCAATTATAAGATGCATCTTTTTCCACATTTTACCTTGCAAAATCAGGATACTTGTTATGATAAATAACATGTTAAAGTGATAATACACAGTTTTTTTTTCTTTTGTGGTAGTATATAAGATTATGGTGTACATTACAGTCAATGAGACCATACCATTGAACATATTGAATACTAAACTGATCTTTAATGTGGAAAGTTGTAGGGAACTATCGATGATTTTGTTCCAGAGAAGAATAGCGATGTGTTTTAATAAGATTCACATGACAATGATGTAATACTATGGATTAGAGATGTTGAGTAGGTGACCTTTTAAACATCTATAAGTCTTTTCTACTATACAAAGTATAAATTGCTGTGCTGTTAATCTATGTGAGAAATAAAACCATCCTTATTCAGAGCAGTAATGGGTGGAGTGGAGACAAAGAGAAAGGAGGTCATTGAGCTGTGGAGATGGAACATTGTGAATTGACAACCAGTTGGGGGTCGGGAGCAAGGGACAAGGAGGGGTTAGAAAAAAAAAAAAACCTGAAAATTTAGTTGTTTTAAGTTCACGTTTTTGCCTTAATAATGGTTGGATTTTTCGTGTGGGGAAATGAAAGAATCCAAGCTCTTCTAAGTCATCTCTTCCGAGAGGAGATGGGTGGGAGTGGAAATGGGCACACTCAGGGCGGTGTGGGGGGTGAGAATACAGGCTTCGTTGTTGGGGAGACCTGCAGTCAAGTCTGTGAAATTATTGTGTAAACTTGGGCAAAAGCCTGAATCCTCTTAATCATAGTTTTCTCATGTATAAAATTAGGACGGTAATGCCTACCACAAAACTTTGTCAGAAGAATTAAAGGTCCCTTTACCACAGTGTCTGACACGTAATTATGCTCAATAAATATTAGCTGTTAATTATTTGAATAAAAGAGCTATACAACAATTTGTGAAGTGGAGTGAATAAAATTCAGGGTTGCAAATATGAAGTAAAGTAGTATAAGGAACAGAGAAATAGTAGTGATGGGATTTTGAATTAGAATGGATCGAGTGTGCCAGGAAATTTTCCATCATGATTTCATCATTGCTAAAATGTTCCCATTTCACATAGTACTGAAGTTCAGAGTCAGCTCATAACAATGATTACTAATTTTTTTTATATTTGACACATGTCCATTCCGTTGTAGGATATGTTTTTAAAATTATAAGCAATGTAAAAGAAAGATGATTCAGTTGGCACTTTTTTTCCCCAACAGCAAAGGATGTTTTAGTTAATGGAAGCAACATTGATAATAGGGGAGGAAACACCCATCCAAAATTATGCCCTCTAGGAATGTTTCTCTATAATAATATCCCTCAGAAGCAGGTTTCTACCAGGAAATCATTATCATCCCAGTACTGCTGCAAGGAGTTTTGGGTAGTTCAAATTGAAATAGAATAATACATCTAAACTATGTATCTATAATGTGACAGGATGAAGTACAGAGAAAATGTATAACGTTGTAAATCTCAGAGAAATGAAGAGCAAATGAACACTCTTAGTGTGTATATTTGTGATACTAATTGGATTTGTGCATGATATTAGATAAATTATAATTAAGTACCATTCATAATATGTCCTTTCAAATAAATGCACTTGTCCTGAAGATTGCATGTTCAGGTAACATATTATATTGACACACTTGAAATGGTTTGGCTTTGTGTCCTCACCCAGATCTCATCTTGAATTGTAATCTCATGATCTCCTCATATCGTGGGAGGGATCCAGTGGGAGGTAATTGAATCATGGAGGCAGTTCCCCCATGCTGTTCTCATGATAGTGAGTTCTCACAAGATCTGAGTTTTATAAGGGACACTCCCTTTTGCTTAGCCCTCATTCTCTCTCCTGCCCCCCTGTGAAGAGGTACCTTCCACCATGATCGTAAGTTCCCTGAAGCCTACCCAGCCATGCAGAACTGTGAGTCAATTAAACCTTTTTTAAAATAAATAAATAAATAAATTACCCAGTCTCGGGTATTTCTTCATGGCAGTGTGAGAATGGACTAATATAATATCCTTTAAAGATATTTTGTGTATGTTATTGACATAGATTTTTAAATCAAAATTTAGTTTCTTCTGTTGAATTATCTTAATCAAATTGCAAGCTAGTATACACAAGAAAACACAGATCGTCACTCCCAAGCATCTGGAAATAAATAACCCAATGTCCTTTTTTCCACAAGCCATTACTAAATAGACATTTTGAAATTATAGAATAAATTTTTTTTGGATACAATAGTCTGAAAATGTTCTAAAAACACTCCTGACTTTCCCAAGGTGGCATAAGTACAAAATTCCTATGTGTCAAGTTATAAATTATTTTAAAATAAGGCAACATTACACACCCAGAACTCAGTCTCCCATGCCTTGTGCAGTTCCTGGGATGTACAATATACATTAGGTAGCTACTACATATTTATTGACTGTGTTAATTATTGTAGTTTACCCACATTTATTTAGACGAGATGTACAGAGTTTCGGGAATAGAAGAGATCTTTAAGACCCCTTGGTTCAACCTGTTTTGTAGATGAACAAAGTAAAGATCAGACAAAGTACCGATGGCCCCAGGTTGTCCAACATCAGAGCGACACAAGGGCACGAGACCCCGAATCCCATGGCTGTCATGCATGTTGGATAACACAGGCTTGAAGCAGTTTTAATATCATGCTGACTCGCTTGAGCAATTCTAATTATGTTGCTGAAGAGGTTGTTTGATTCATCTTGAATCCCAGTTCTATGGACTAATAAATAATCGAATATACTTCTATATTTGATACTCATTTGGGCAGAAGGAGTGAAGAGTCAAACTGTGAAATAAATGTAGCCGTTAAGAAAATAGGAAACCTATTACAGTTTAAAAATCTAAACAGAAATTAAACAGCTGAAAAGCTAAACAGAATTTTGCAGAAAGTAGTCTTCCTCAAGCAGTGGTGTTACTGATTCTTCCTTGCCTGTTCCTCAGTTCCGTGATGTGGTCCACTCTCTCCAGGTGGTGTTAGTGGTGGCCTCCTGTTAACACCAGAGCAACCAATATGCAAAAACAAAAACAACAACAGCAACAACAACAAAATCATGGCCAGTCTCTCCTAGGAAAACCAATATGCCTTTCCAGAGTCCATGGGATAATGTTAATGGCTATTTGAGAATGTCGTATTCTCCCATCAGCCTAATTATTGACTTTATTGTGGTCTTTGCCTGTTTCTTCCACCTCACTCTCTTTTTTCCCTTTTTCTTCCTATTGATTTCTGCCAATTTTATTACATTTCTTTATGAAAATGTTTATCCTTAGGGATTTAACAACTGCAGTCAAGATGGTTGGTGTGCAGGAAAGCAGGGGATGGAAGTTTCTCTGGTTGCAGAGATGAGTCCCCAAGAGGGCTTAGAAGAGACTTTGTTTTCCTCATCTATTTCTAAATAATATTTTGCTTAGAGAAGAAAACCTCTCTTAGGCGTCCTTAGGTCACCTGGGGCAGAGTATAGTCTTATTATTCTTTATATCTGCTCTATTTTAGAAGAGACAATTACATATCCCATGGAGGGTCTTGTTATGTGAACCAGGTTTGTTTTTCATTTAGAAGCATTAGTGTTCTGAAATTGAAATTATGCCAGAGACTTTTTGAGGTAAGCTTTTAAAAATTTGTAACTTCTCAGCAAATTATTTCAAACGTTCTGCAGACATGCTTATTTTCCCTCTTTTATAGCTAGTTAATAAACCTATTTCTCCTCTGTCTTTCAAAATGATAGTACAATGGAAGAACATTTACCTCAAACTTCCTCTGTATTTCTCTCTTCTTTTTAGGCCAGTGGCTCTTACCTTGGGTATGTAGTAGTTTGACCCAGGAAGATTTTACAAATAAAATAGCCTGGGAGTATGGATGGATATTCTGACTGAATTATTCAGTAGTGTAGTCTGAACATCACAGCACTTGAGCGAACATAAGATACTCAACCCTTGGCATAGAGAACTAAGGAGGAGGGCATGCAAACTGGGTCGCTGGCTTCCCTGAGCTAAGGCAATTTTGCTTCTTTCTCTTCTCAAATAAAGAACACCAGAATGAATTCTTCATGCTCTTGGGATTGGTCCATTCACAGTGTGAAGTTTCCATAAATCAAAGCATTTGAGAGCATGGAAAAATAAGAGTATGTCAGATATCTACTGAAAGAAACGAGTGACACACTGCCTGGGGCTACAACTTTTATGAATTTTGCCATTTGACAGCCTTTGCTTCAGTGGCTTCTTCTTCTGATCAGCAAGTACACATCTCTCAACAAATGACATAAATGTTCCCCTCTGTCACCTGTGCCTCTGAAGGAGAGAGCATGGTATGCATGAGTACCAAGGAGCCAAGCTCTGTGATTCATTAGTTACTGAGTTGGAAATGTGTGTGCATGCTGCAGGTCAGGTTGCATAAGAAACAGACCTGGACCAGGGATTTACCCATAGGGAATTTATTGGTGTGCATTCTTGGAATAAACACTTGTGAGGGAGAAAAGAAGGAAGTAGGATTGGGCAGTAAAAGTTGTTGAGCAAAGCAGCCTAGGACTTGGCTGACCTTGTGGGGAGGTCAGGAGTAGGGAAGGGTCTTCATAGTTGTCTTGAGCTAAAGGGAAAAGGAGGAGCTTTAAAGGCTCACAGCAGCCAATCACTGGATGTGGCCTGTTCTTAAGAAAGATGTGTTATCTTTGGTCAAGGTGGCTCTCTTCAACTGAGGATGATTTTTGGAAAGGCCTTAGCTGAGATGTGTTGGCCACCAGCACACGAATGTTTCATTTGGTGAGGCACGCAGGGGATCTGGGAGGCTTTCGTGACGTGCCCTAGAGTCAGCCCCTTGCACACTCATTTCCACTTGCTTCATGTGGTAAGTTCAGGAAACAGTTCCTGCATACATATGTTAGGCCCTCTTTCCTGCTGGAATTCACAAGAAGATTAGGAATCTCCAGGTTGCAAGTGGTACTCATCACATCCTTCTCATCTACAACTCCTCCTTGGACAGGCTCTTTGACTTGTCCATTTGCCATTAAGATGGACAAGAGAACATCAAGAGACACTCTAGTGCCCAGATACTAACAGAAGCCCCCATTAGGTAAGAGAAGCCCACCTGCTCCTGATGATCAAGATAGGTTACACCTACGAGGATTGTGACACTTGTCCTAGTCTGCTGGTCCCTTGGTGCCAGGAGTCCCAAGAGAATGGGGCAGACATACCTTGTGAACCTGGTAGGATCACCCTGCTGTAGGAAAGAGAAGCATACATCAACCCCCAGTGAGTCAACAGGAGTGAGGTAAGAAGGACAATCCTGGCCGGGTGCGGTGGCTCAAGCCTGTAATCCCAGCACTTTGGGAGGCCGAGGTGGGCGGATCACGAGGTCAGGAGATCGAGACCATCCTGGCTAAAGAGGTGAAACCCCGTCTCTACTAAAAACACAAAAATTAGCCGGGCATGGTGGCGGGTGCCTGTAGTCCCAGCTACTCGGGAGGCTGAGGCAGGAGAATGACGTGAACCCAGGAGGCGGAGCTTGCAGTGAGCTGAGATCTCGCCACTGCAGTGCAGCCTGGGTGACAGAGCGAGACTCTGTGTCAAAAAAAAAAAAAGTACAATCCCACTCTGATCCTTTGGTTCTTGGTCTTCAGTGTTCTACTTACCCCCAGAAGCTGTGTGACATACCCACAGTGAATACTCCCCAAATTAGCTTCTCATTCTTTTGGGTTTCCCTGAAACATGAACTATGGCAAAAAGGAAATTGTTTGCCCTCTCTCTCTCATGAATGATTGAAATAGTTTTCGTGTGATTTAGAATTTAAGTATAGCCACTATAAAAAATATATCAACACATGCTATTTTATGGGTACATAAATATACACTGCATACTTCTTCTTCTGTACTATTTTTAGTTACAGAAAGGACAGTTCCCTTTTGAGTAAAATATATAAAACAAATCAAAACAGATTAAATTTTATGTAACAACTCTAGAAGACATTTTCTTTTTACTTTTTATTTTTTTGAGACGAAGTCTTATTCTGTCGCCCAGGCTGGAGTGAAGTGGTGTGATCTTGGCTCACTGCAACCTCCATCTCCCAGGTTCAAGTGATTCTCCTGCCTCAGCCTCCCGAGTAGCTGGGACTACAGGTGCGTGCCACCTTGCCTGGCTTATTTTTTGTATTTTTAATAGAGACAGGGTTTCACCATGTTAGCCAGGATGGTCTCGATCTCCTGACCTTGTGATCCTCCCGCCTTAGCCTCCCAGAGTGCTGGGATTACAGCCGTCAGCCACAGTGGCCAGCCAACTCTAGAAGGCATTTTAAATTCAATATACTTAAAAGTAATTAACTATTTCCAGCACCAATATTATTGATAAAAACCGGTTTGTGTGCTGGTGGTGTTTCTGACCTGGAGTGCTGGTTGAAAATAGATTTCTGGTCCCAAATCAAAGATTCTAGTTCTGTAGACCTCAGGCAGAGCTCAAAAATTTGCATTTTAACCAACATCCCACTTGATGTTAGAAACTAGAAACCTACATACTAAATTTCACAAAATAATAAAGTGATTAGCAAAATAGTAGGAGAAGATGAATAAACTATTCTATACTCTTTAAAATTTTTTAAATTATTTAAATAGATGTTTATAGAATATAGGTTATAATATATTTATGTGATAAGACCTCTTTTTATAGATCTCATGCCAAAATTAATTATTCTGTATTATACCTTGGTGGATTCTGTGTGTTACTCAGTCAGAGTATCCCTAGAAAGGAATTGATTTCATCTTTTAGTCAAGTCTATTCCTGGAAATCAAGTTCCTCCCCTTCATTGTGAAACTAACTCTTAGGAGCATCCTTTTTGTCCCAACTTAAATATCATTTCTTTAAAAAGCACTTCCCTGAACCCCGGGCTCAGCTTGGTTTTCCTGCCATATGATTTCTTGGTGTTCTTGCTTTTGTGTGGTCACCAAAATTACAATTATTTGTTCAACTTTCTACACTGATAGCATACCCCACTGTAAGCTCATGAAGGCGGGGGTTACTTGATTCAAGACTTTAGGCTCCCTCTTGTTACCCCTTCTGGTTTTCATCCACAAGTCCCAATAAGCCAGACATATAGTAGATAGTCCATAGTTATTTTTAATAGGTGATTAGTATATGTTGAGTGTTTAGATGAAGAAACAAACAGGCTAGATTCAATTTATCAGGACAATCTAGTTTAGGCATCGGGATATGCAAATTGTATCCATCTAGTCCACATAATAGCTACTGTGCACTAGATGATACTAGTTTTAACGTGGTACTTCAAATAACAGCTAAAGGGACACTTTTAATCTGTAATTTTTACAAAGATGCTAGAAAGGATGAACTAGACAAATACTAAACACCCAAGAGAGAATCATTGAGACCAACTTTTCTAAATAAATATTACCGAATAGCAATGTATATGCACACTTTTGATGGATTTAGAGTTAACAGTCAGAGCCTCCTTACCAAGATCTAGTTAGTAAGTTTAAGAGTTGAATGGCTAAGTCACCATCTGTCCTCTTCTTGGCTAGCTCCTTTTCAGTTTGCCCTCCTTGTTCTGTGTTATCGCTGACGTTCTGTGTTTGTCCATATCTTTGTCTAGGCATTGGCTTCCATTAGGCCACATTGAACAAATATTATTCTTATATCAGAATTGAAAAGATACTTTAGAAAATTCTCTCTTTAGATGATACAAGTGTTGACATTTTCTCCCCTTAACCAAATGCAGACTCTAAAATTTTATTTCCATTGCTTTAGCTGTTATTGTTGGTATTTTCTAATGGACAAAGCAGTGTAGTGCAGACAACTCCAAGAAATAGTTTGCAAACACCTTATGCTATTGGTGTCTGCGACACGTACATGCATACCTTCTCCAAAATGCCAGGTACAAAACATTTGTGCAAGTCTTAAGGATGAGCTCTCAGATTGCTCTCTGCCTTCATTGTGGTGAGTTTCTTCCAGTCATCTCTAATGTTATGACAGGGAAGAAGTGTTAGATGGACTTTTGCCTAGAAGCATTCAAAAGAGTTTTCATGTAGGGTTTTTATTCATGGGCCCAGTGCTTCTCAATGGACCTGTGATGAAAGGCTAAGGGGTTTTTTGTTGTTGGTTGTGTTTTTGTGCACACATTTGTTTTTTAAGAACACACTATACTATTGTCACTGGATGCTAGTTTTGTAAAATGCAATAAAAATAAATTTCTTAGATGAAAAAATCAGTTCCCATTATTTTCATTATTGTATTTGGGTTCAACAGACATGAAATTATTTGGTGAGCTGACTATAACAGTTTCTAAGCCATTCCTCTCAAATTCTGTTTTTATCTTAATTCAGAAAAACCAATACCTCACTTTGAGTGGTGATACTTTTGCCTTGGTTATAGACGTTTTCTGCTCAACCAGCCCCATTTTAAAAAGTAAAATTAAAAGTTCTTCTTTTGATAAAGAGCTTAGCCTCTCCAGGGGTTGCTTTTAAGTGCTTCTGGCCTATTTCATGGAGTTTACAACTAAGAGAGCAAGGTACTCTCCTATCCGGCGAGCCCTCAAGTAGAGAACATGAAGCATTCACAATTACACTAAGCGAGGATGAAGCCTCAGCTTCAATTTTGATCATTAAGAATTCGACTGTAGGCAGATTTCTTAAGTTGTGTGAGAGTTGTGGATCTGGTCTGGAGACAGCAATCAGAGATAGGATGAGTGGGGTTTTCTTTAGGGAAGTGAATGTAGCTGTGTGGAATAAAGAATGCTTCTTTGAGTTGCTGTCTTTTGGTCCCTGATGAAAAATCTGTGTCGGTGAACATGAAGCTCTAAGTAACCATGTCATAGGCACAGATCCTTGGAACCTTTTGGTTCCAAGGCAGGACTGTTTTCCCTAAGGAATGCAGATAATTATATTACACCACTATATGGAAATGTATTAATATGGATGGAAATTTTGATTTTACAAAATTACTTCCAAATGCATCTTTTTATTTTATCCTCACGTCAACATTCAAAGCCAATTGTACATTTACAGATATGGATCTATAACAGATGAATAAACTGGGACCCAAGCACCATCAAGACAGCACAACATGGAGCAGAATGGAGATTCAGTAGCCATACCTGGGGCTTCTTTGCATTGACCTTCCAATTGGGCCACTCTGCCTCTAAGAAAATGGACCGTGACCCCCTAGAATGGCTGTTTCTCACAAGTGAATTACTGTGAACTTTTTCTGAGAATAAAAACAATATGAGTAGTATTTTTTCTTTTCATTTGTTACTTAATAAAAGAAATGATATTTAGGGCAATATTACCATTACCTATGCACTTCCTGAATTATGTCTCTTTCCTTTATTCTTGTTTGTAAAACAATTAATATCTTCTTAAACCACACGTCTTCATTAGAGATGCTTTATAAGTGAATTGTGTTCCATTACCTTGAACCACAGTAATAATTATAAATTAGGAATACTTCAACCAGAAAGAAATGACTCATACATTTGTTTTCATCTGTAACATTTATTCAACAGCTTGATAATTGCAATATATACAGTGGTATGTGGAAAATATTTATTAAAAGACATAATAGAAAACTTGTTTATAATATGTATATTCAGGCATTTTTACTTCTGCCAATCATTGTTTAAATCTACCTTCTATACTTAAAATTTTAACCTTGTAAAATTTTAATAAAATTACCCTGTATGGGTTCTAATAATCTGGAATACACTTTTATTCTTTAAAAGTGAGGAATCTAGAATAAGTAAATCAGTGGTTAAAAAAAAAAAAAGAACACACACACTTTTTACTTTGCCATCATTACTTCATTTGTTGACACAAATGCAATAGCAGTATAAGTTTTATTTATATTACAGTGTATTTTTTCTTATTCCAACGTTCATTTTAAGGAAAACTTTAATACAAAGCTGCAATTATTGTCATCCTTATTGTCAATAAGTCAGTGAGCATCACAGAGGTTTTAGTTTCTAGTTTCGTTTATTAGTGTTAAAGCTTTCACAATACATATTATCTCTTTCATAAAATTTCACCTTATGTTTATAGATGGTCTTTTTGTGGCATGAAAATTTAGTATTTTTTTCAAAGGCAAAGACATCAAAAAGTGCAACTCTAACATTATAACAATTTACCTTTATGAATCCCATTCCACTGTATCATCTCAAGTAGTGGTCACAATTATGCAAGTTCAAGTGTGAATATATTTATCTCCATTTTACAGGGCTAAGCTTTAGGTAGTAAAGATAAGATCATCAGTAAGATCAAATAACAAGCAGAGTTTAAGAAGTACTAGAGGAAAGAAAAGTTGGTTAATATATTGAATTGATTGTTTTTACCTTTATCTCTTAAATTGAGGATATTTGCCATTATCAGACTTTTATTTAAGCAGATGGATTGAAAGTG
This sequence comes from Homo sapiens, assembly GCF_000001405.40. Taxonomy (NCBI): domain Eukaryota; kingdom Metazoa; phylum Chordata; class Mammalia; order Primates; family Hominidae; genus Homo; species Homo sapiens. Next base: position 65,804,501 of record NC_000018.10, read on the forward strand.
GTAGACCAGGTAGTTCATATCATGCTTAGTCTGGTTATATAGATGTAAAAAGATCACCAGAATAGCAGTGCATTGCTCTTTTAGTTTTGGGCTCTACAATCTTTAATTTAAAAATAAGGAGGGTAAAAATTTAATGAAGGTAATGGAGATTCTGGCACCCAAGGACATGCAAGCACGTTTCAACCCTCCCTTAACACACGTGTGTGTGTGTGTGTGTGTGTGTGTATTTATGAGAGAGAGAAAAAGGGAGAGAGAACTACTGTATAAAAGCTGAGGAAACAGGAGTAAGAAAGATGCCTGTTTCTACCAGGGCTCTGTCTCCTGGGGAACATAAACATGTAAGTGTGAAAGTACAAAATCACACACTAAATGTTACCATGAGCAACAAAGCAAGGCATCTGAACTCCATCTAAGTGGTTCAGAGGATTATGGAGAACAAACCAGAGATACAGGATGTTTTTTGTTTTGTTTTATTTTTTTTTCTTTAAAAAGCTATTAAAACTTAAATGGACAGAAATTGAAATAAAACAAATACTGCTGTTTTTCAAAGTGGATTATAAATTTACCAAATTTAATACAACAGACTTTATTAAGAATGTAGAACATAGTGATAAAAAGAACTTAGTTCTAAAGGAGTTTATAAATTAAAGTTGGATATAAAAATAACTAGATTTTCAATATAAAGCAGAATTAAATGAATTCTGTCATAGAAATTGAAACAAGAAACTACAGAAAATAAACAAGACAGTTGTAAGACTTCAGGAAAAGGGAATTTGCATCGAGCTGAATTGGATGTCTGTGAGTGGGTGTGTTGGGAAGCATGGAAATGCTTGCTATGCTCAGGCAGTGAGAACTAGTCCAGCATGCTTGGACCATAGACTACACTGTGAGATGTGGGAAAACGAGGCCTGGGAGATAGTATGGAGTCAGATTGGGACTCATGCCTAGAATTTTCGGTTAAATCCATAGACTGTGGGAAGCAATTAAATATATTTGGTGAGCATGCTGAAAAGGCCAAAGAAGGAGGATCAAGAGTCAGCCAAGTAAATGTTCCATTCACTTTGAAATAACTTCAAAAGAGTTGAATTCTCAGCAAAGATGTACTTTCCATAGGCTCTAAAATGAGCATGAACATAGCAATAGATGCTTCCTGGAATAAACAGCCACAATTGGCTGGACCATCGGGAAGCTCCGGGCCATGCCCAGGGGCCGATCCATCATGAAAGTCCTTCAGGCTAACATTGTTGTGCAAATATGAGATATTATGATATCTCAGTGTTATCTTTCAGCACTTATTGATAAAGATACTCTTGTAGACAAAAACGTTTAATGAGGGGTGTGATATAATTTAATATATGTTTTAGAGGAAATAATTTGATTATGACAGGCTAGGCAATGTGAGTTATTAAAATTAAAAAAAAAATGAGGTGTTTTGCAATAGCCCAAGTGAAAGGTTTGAAGATTCTAAACTAGGATTATGATTCAGAATGAATGAAAAAGGGCTCAGATACAATAGACTCATGGTGGAGGGTGCTCTATCAAGCAGGGCCTGATGGAACATTAATAGATTATTCAGAAATATATTTTAGGATACATGTAAAATGTGATTTGCATTCATGGTCTATGTAGTTTATGAGAGTCTGATTGATATTTCTTACATATTAATACATGATGCTGACATAATGACACAGGATTTACATAATTGCACCTCCTCCTCAGCTTATTTTTTGCCTTATCATGAGCTAGATTCAGCTAAGGATTCTATGCCTCTCACTTTTTGTGCTCATTTGAAAAAAAAAAAATCTTTAAATAGTTACTTCAAAGTCAAAACAAATACTTTGAAAAGGATTTAGGAACCCAGGCAGTAAAGGTAAGTTTTGTCTGCTTATTAATAGAGATTTTTTTTTTGTTATTGTTTAGGCTAATCTCAGGTTCACATTTGCAAGGGTATCTGTGAGTACAATAGACCTAGGTGATTCCTATTCTGCCCCCAAATAGAGCACAAATACTTGTCTTTGGTTGCGTTTATTTTGTTTATGTACTTATTTACCATTTTATAGGATCATAGTTTGTTTTTTTCTTGGTCAAAGGTTTTCACAGTAGAGAGTAACATTTTTCTGTTCAGGTTGTAATAGTTATTCTCAAAGGTGTCCATGCATGTGTGTGTGTGTGTGTGTCCGTGAGTGTGCACGTGCCTGCAGAGACACTTGTCAACTTAAGAACGTGATTTGCTATTTCTACACTTGGCAACATTTCTCTTCTTTGCTGAGCACTCTTTTTCATCAAGGAGAGAGGAGTTTTTTACTAAGAGTGTGGATTTCACTCCACCTGTTAGGATTAGTATAATGCACAAAGTCTCACAGATTAAATGTCTGAATGCCTCAGATAATTATGTACCTGTTTTAACAATTCAAAGTTGGTCAATTTTAACCACAGATGCTTACAGTAACTTTGCAAAGACACTGAGTTTAGACTCCAAGCAATTTTCTGCTTGTGAATTTTGGCAGTGGTTAGAAGCCTAGTGATGGTACCAGCTGGGAGAAAATTGTCAGCGATGGGAAGAATAGTAAAGTTTAGGACTTCTGAAACAGGATGTGTGCGTGGGGGTGGGGTGGGGCACGGCTGGGGCATGGGTAGGTAATAGAAGAGAAAGAATTTGATTGTTGAATGATTGGAGAAGCAAGCAGTATGAAACTTTTAAGTTCTGATGCTGTCAGTAATGGAGAACAACTGACAACCCCGTAATGTTTAATAAAACGCAGCATCAGAGCTCAGGTTGAAGTTCACAGTCAGGGCTTACTGTGTGATTTTTCTTGAAAATAAATTTATTTTGTCTCTCATACTTGGAATACCACAGGGACATTGTAGCACCATGCCAGGAAAACAGTGATCAGTTGGTGGGAATTAGGTAAATGAATCATAAGAGCTTGTTCTGTAAATGAAAGTCGTTAATGTGATTTCAGTGTAAAAAAGCTTTGATTAAAGACATGACCCATGTATATAATTGATATTTCTTGTGGTCTTCTGGATGTTCTTCTAACATTGCACACCACTGTCAGCAGTAACGTGTAGGTAAGTTGCTACCAGGTGCCGCCCCATAGGAGCACAGATGAGGGTGAGGGAGCATTAGGAGAGCAGCACTGAGCGTTAAGCGGCCCGGGGACTGGAAGCTTAAAAACAACTTATTTTCATCCATCATCTGCATTTGTCTTGGGAGTCAAGTCTTTTGCTATGTGCTGCTGAGTGTAGTGGAGTTTACTGTTATGTAATGGCAAGAAGGAACCCTTCTCATAAGTCATAAAATGCACACATGGAAACCACTGGAAGCACTGAGCTTCTTGAAGATTTGGGGGGGTGATCAGGTGGGGTTGGTTGCATAGTCCCTTCTTTCCTCAAGTTCCCCTTTGCATCAGCTCTTGAAGACCCTAGCACACAGGGCAACAATTCCTATCCTGGAGCCTGGATCTCGTTATAGGGAGTGGGGATGTGGGCTTTAGACCAGCCTGCCAGCTTTTATAATCCTGGATCTGCCAGAGAGTTGGCCAGGCCACTTCAGGCAAAGTTCTTAGCCTTTCTTTACCTCAGTTTCCTCGTCTGTTAGTAGGATTAAGGGCAGATGTGAATATTGAATGAATTACTATGTAAATAATGTTCTACCCATGTAACAAACCTTCACATGTACCTCCAAACCTAAATAAAAGTTTCTGCTTTGTTTTGTTTTTAAAAAAAGAATGTTAAGCATAGTGACTGACATCTAGGAAGTTCTTAATAATTAAAACTATAATAATTCTCATATTTCACCCTTTGTATTATAAATTAGAGGGAGATACATATATAATAGTAACCCTAAAAATGACTTAAGACAGTTAAATAATTCACAATAGTTGAAGAACACACCTTTTCCCTACACTGAATAAACATATGGCTTAGGATCCACTAGATAATTCACACTGAAAAAAGTTAAATTATAACTTGTGCCAGAAATTTACTTTTTGTGTTATTTAGTCCTACAGAAACCAAAAGGTAAATCAGGTATTCAAGTACTTGGAAGCAGAGGATAAACATGGCCGTTACAGTGCAGGGAAAGAATCACTTACAGAAATTCAAGGTACAAAAGGCAATGTCCTCAACAGCTACAGGGAAGGATGAAAATGTACTGTGTCCATACTTTCCTTGGTGTTTTTTTTTCATATGTTATATATCTTTAGCACCTTGTCTTTTAAAAAATGCAAACATAGTTCTTAAGGGCAGTGAAAAGCTTTATTATTTGGTAAATTGAGTTTTTACATTCATATTAACCAAAGTGCAGAATGATGGCAGTTATAGGGGGTGAAAGATTGTTGAAATGACGGATTGAGTAGCGCGTTTGTCAGGTTATGAAGTTCAGGGAAATGTGTAATTACGTGTGAGTTTCCTGAGGTTCCTCTGTTCAACATTATGTTCTGACATACAGCAGGGACAGTTCCAGATGTGAAATGCAAATCGGGAGGTGCTGCCCTGCTGCTGATGCTGTGCTTGATCATGCAAATCTAATGCAGTTCTGGGTATTTCAACAAAGCTTTTAGTTGAAGTCCCATGCATGTATTGATTTAAAATTCCTACTTGAGAGAGCAGTGTCATTTTTTTCAGCTCCAATTTTTAAAATACGGAACAGGACTTGGAGACAGATTTAGAGACTGGACATCCAGCCACACTCGTTAATCACAGAGTGTGAGTGGGGACAGGGCAGGGAGGAGGGAGAGAAGGGCACCCTTAAATAATATGGGGGTTTCTAAGCATATTAAATGGTATATTGGAACCAGATTTACAAATGTTCTATAGAAAGTTTCTTTGCTTAGAATAGATCAAATCAACCCATTATACATGTTTACTGAATGCCTGCTCTGTTCAAAGAAGATGGCTAAAACTGGCAAGGACAGATCAAATACAAAATAACACTACAACCAGTTCCCAACTTTGGGACTGATATAAAATACCTTTGGAAATGAGGCTGTTTACAGGAAGAAATGAAATTGTCTTGCTCACATGTACAAGCTGACACATTCTAATAGCCTTTCTGCTGTGCACAATAAGCGTTCAGCTTATCTTTCCAAGAACAATAAAATTTCATGTACTCCTGCCTGACATAAGAATTATTTTTACATATCTCCATATCACTGACTCTCTTGTAAGTTAATCTCATCTCACATGAATTTTTCACCAGCTTCACTCTGATGTTGATAAAGGAGATGGTTCCATCAAATACATCTTGTCAGGCGAAGGGGCAAGTTCCATTTTCATTATTGATGAGAACACTGGGGATATTCATGCCACCAAGAGACTGGATCGTGAGGAGCAGGCCTACTACACGCTCCGAGCTCAAGCGCTGGATAGGCTCACCAACAAACCCGTGGAGCCCGAGTCGGAGTTTGTCATCAAAATTCAGGATATCAACGACAATGAACCCAAATTTTTGGATGGCCCATACACGGCAGGAGTTCCCGAAATGTCTCCCGTGGGTAAGTAAAGAACACTCTGCTTTTGTAGCTTGTGGCCGATTTGGGGAGATTTGTATTTAAAATTAAATCATCATTAAGTACTGAAAAAAAAAAAAACCTTACTAGTATGTGTGTATTGATTGTCAGTTAGGGTGAGGGGAACATTTGAGACATGTTGGCAGCCAGTATCCATTAACTTAACTTATTAATTTATTTGTATGGAATATTAGGAAATTGTTTTTATACAGCTATTTCAGTGTTTTCAGGAAATTACTTCAATCTTACATTTTTTCAACTTGATATTTATTTATATTTTTAAATGATTACAGTGATGCCTCAGAAGTTAACAAACAGAATTCTTCCAGACACAGGCCAGTGATGATCTTTTACTTTTCTTTCCATGATATTAAGATATTGATTCATTGTTCTAAACATCTCTCTATGGCCAATGTATCAAGAAGGCCATCAATGGCTATCCAGGCTAATATTTGGATTAATATTTGGATTGGCTGTTCTGTTTAATTGTAATGAGTATGCTTGAACCTACAAATGGCCATACACATGCCACCACTAATTATTTTAAAATTTTAAGATCAGGGATACATGTGCAGGATGTGCAGGTTAGATAGGTAAATGTGTGCCATGGTGGTTTGCTGCATAGATTATCCCATCACCTAGTATTAAGCCCAGCATCACTAAGCTACTCTTCCTGATGCTCTTCCTCCTACCCCCAACCCTCCAACAGGCCCCAGTGTGTGTTGTTCCCTGACATGTGTCCATGCCACCGCTAATTTTAAAAAATTTCTCCAAAAACTTAAATGCATGGAAATTTGTAGTGAATTTATAGCAACGGTAAGGAGTTACCCATTTGGAGATATATATTTAAAACATGAAGGCTTTTTTATTCAAGGCCTTTTGTCATCGCGCCATTACTAGAAAGATACCCAGTAAAGCATTTCTAGTGTTTATATCGAATAATCAAAATTCTCTTTTAAATTTCATTTATTCAAGTACTTTTGGAATAGTTTACAGCAAGTATGTAATTTAAGCATAGGAAATCTTATAAAAAATACAAAGTTATTAGACTGGATGAGAGATGGGTTGATTATTATATATTTATTTCCTGCTGTTTTTAATATTGAGAGTTTATTTAAAATAATAATGGAACTTGTATTTTAACACATGGGTATTTTAACCCATGTGATTTATTAAAAAAAAAAAAAAGGTCATTTCATTCATCCAATCATGCAATCAACATACCTACGACACTGAGGAGTGGGGTTGCAAAGATGTGTATCATGTGTGCTCTTAAGGGGATCACAGTTTAGTGAACCTAAATTTCTGTTCCTATTAGAAGAGAGAGGGGAAATTATTTGGGTTACCACCATGGCTCTAGCTGCTAGAGAAATACCAAATGACAAGGAGACAGAAGAATCAATGCTTGTGGCCAGGAAGAATTTGAACCACAGTGGCATGATCTTACTATAATTAGCACATATGTAAGCATTGCTAGCATTTCTGTGACCAAACAGGTGTATTCACACTTCCTCACTACCGTCCACACCTTCCAAGTGCTTCCTGCTGCTCTTGCTTACCAACAAGAGCAGCAGCAACAGTAACTGTTACAAGATTTTAGAAAAAAGAAAGGGCACATTTTCCTCCCCAGATTAGTAACGTTTAGTAAAACAGGAATTTTCGAGATATGTTTGAGCAATTCAATTCAACTTCGTACTCCCAGATCTCATGGACATTTTGGTTGTTCTTCATTGGCTTGCTAAGGTTTTCCTTTCCTGCATAGAATATAGATATGTGAACTTTTTGTTTTAGAAGCTAATAGTGCACTGTTGTTTTGATTTTGATGGTACTCTGACATGAAACAGCATGAATATTATGCACACTTGAATAATGTATAAGTTAAATAAATTATATTATTTAAGTGTGCACAATAGTCATGCTGTTTCATATCACAGTACCTTTTCTTTTCTTTTCTTTTTTTTTTTTTTTTTTTGCGAGATGGAGTCTCACTCTGTTGACAGGCTAGAGTGCAGTGGTGTAATCTTGGCCTACTGCAACCTCCACCTCCCGAGTTCAAGCAATTCTCCTGCCTCAGCCTCCCGAGTAGCTGGGACTACAGGTGCGCACCACCACTCCCAGCTAATTTTTGTATTTTTACTAGAAATGGGGTTTCACCATGTTGGCCAGGATGGTCTCAATCTCTTGACCTTGTGATCTGCCCGACTCAGCCTCCCAAAGTGATGGGATTACAGGTGTGTACCTGGCCCATATCACAGTGCTTCAATAATTTATATTTAAGTTATATACTTGGCTGATTCAAATGGGTTTGGAATTTTCTTAGAGAATTATTTTCTGATGTCTTCAGGGTGTACTTGACACCAATTCAGACCACTAACTTAATATAAAAACTGGAACATAGAACATGGAATACCTAAACTACATAACATACGTTGTATGGGCTTACAGTTTATCAAACACTATAGTTAATCAAAGTGCTTAAGTCTAACCAAGTAAAATAGCCATCAAATAGTATGATATAGACCATGCAAGCTTTCAGTGTTTAATATTCAAGGATCATTTTTTATTGGATGTTAGCTAATCATAAAATTTTAAACACACTAGTAAGCCTTTAGGATACTTTATTTATTGCCAGAAGAACATAGACAGGTGTGGAAAGCTTAAATTTATTTGTGAATATGTGTGTGTATCTGGTGTGTGTGTCTATATGTGTTAAATGAGATAATGAACTTTTCAGAAAAAAATGTGTTATTGTACACAGCCAAACTTACTGAAGTTTAGTTTTTATTATTTGGTTTAAAATTGTTTGCTTTCTTTTAAAATGAAGTTGGAAAATAATGCTTAGGCATATTACCAAAATAAATATTGTAAAGATGATACATATAGAGGAAAGAGAGAACATCAATGTAATTTATTACAACTTTTTGAATATTCAAAATTTAATTCTTAAAAAGATTTAAAATATGCATTATTTACCATCTTGTCCCCACCAGACATCCACAGGGCACAATCATCTAAGTCCATAAAATAAAAAACTTCAGGCTGGGTGTGGTGGCTCACGCCTGGAATCCCAGCACTTTGGGAGGCCAAGGTGGGCAGATCATCTGAGGTCAGGAGTTCGAGACCAGCCTGACCAACATGGAGAAACCCTGTCTCTATTAAAAATACAAAATTAGCTGGGCATGGTGGCGCATGCCTGTAATCCCAGCTACTCAGGAGGCTGAGGCAGGAGAATCACTTGAACCTGCAAGGTGGAGGTTACGGTGAGCCAAGATTGTGCCATTGCACTCCAGCCTGGGCAAGAAGAGCAAAACTCCATCTGAAAATATAAAATAAAATAAAATAAAAACTTCAGGATTTAAAGAATAGTGCTGTACACTTAACTTTCATAATTTCCACGTAATTTTAAAGAAAATGGAATTGGCAATGAAATATATATAGAAAATAAAGTGGATTTATAGCAAAATGGGCATTAATGACTTGCTTAAGTCATTTTGAAAGAGATATTTACATAGAAATCAATCTAAAAATATGTTAGCTTTAAAATGTTGTATTCAGGAAATTATTTGTAACAAACTAGGACCTTAAATAACACATAAAGAAAGGGGCTTGTTCCATATTTAAAAGATAGCATATTTACTAAATAATAGTATATAACTAAATATATAAACTAAGTAAACATGAGTCTCTCTAATATTTTAAAGATTACATTCCAAATGGAAAAAAAGGAAAACAGATCAGAAGAAATGCTTTCCATATTGAATGTGTGAATATATAGTAAATGAAGAAAGAATATAACATTTCATCATATAACAAAGAAAAAACTATTGATGCAATTTTTAAAGTTTCCATGGCTTTCCTCTTTTACGAGGGGTTTGGTTTAAATTTTCATTTCCTGTTTTGTTTTTAGATCAATTGGCAGAGAAAATTAAAAACAAAATCCCAAGGAGATAGGGTAGCCACCTAATATACAGTTAGGTGCATCAAATATTCTTTGTCAATTAATGACATTTTGATTTCTATCTGGATCTTCTTAACTATGACAGTTGTATACCTGCAATTACTTGAGTGTCCAAGATGCTGTTGTCTTGCTGCTTTCTAGACAGTGATTGAGTCTTATAGAAGCTGCTCTTGATGAAAATATATTACCTGAGCCCAATGGATGAGACACCTAAAGTTTCAGTCCCATCCAATTCAGAGTATATCCCAGCCTAATGTGCATCATCGATGGTATTTTTTTTTTTGCCAGAATATTTTCTTATCCCTTAAACATTTCAAGAGTTTTATTAATATTTATGATCTCTTTGGGGCTGGTTTACTTAAAAAAATACTGTATCCATTTTTTTATGTGTCTTGAAAAAGATAAATGAAAATTTTCAAATAAGCTTAATGTGGAATCAGTAACATTTTGTACGTTTTTTGTTTTGTGGTATTTGGAAGTTTTTAATTCAGTGGTTTTGGGATTGGCATCTAGGGACCTCAGTGGTACAAGTGACAGCGACGGATGCTGATGATCCTACATATGGCAACAGTGCCAGAGTGGTCTACAGTATTCTGCAAGGACAGCCGTACTTCTCAGTGGAGCCAAAGACAGGTAAAAATTGAAATGTGACATTCTTGTAAAGTCATCATTTGTTTGCTGCTTAGAATTAATATTATTTCTAAATATAGTTGACACTAATAACATACCATTTTATTATGCTTCTCTCAATATGTCTACTTTGGTAAGCATGATATTATTGAGGATTTATCACCTTTTAAAAATATTTTATTTTATTCATCAGTATCTTAACAAAGTTAAAAATAATGCTATATATTCAAAAGTATTTCAGCTTCTATCTCCTGAATGCTTAAGAAAATTTCGATTCTTTACCTCAGAGCTTTACCTGTGTTTTGTTTTGTGTTTTCATTCACATGGGAAATTATACATGGTAATATTTATATCTCAAGTAGAAACCTCTCTGCCATGTAATATAATAGGTAGTACTTTCAGTTTATTCTTCCAGATGTTATTTTTCTCAGGGAAATTAGTTGAAACATAACAATTAGGGTGATGATCTGCCAAATCAAAAACTAAACTAAATATATATATTTTTTTAATTTGGGGGAACAATTTTTACTGAGTTGAAAAGTGGTATGGATAGAATATGTAGTTGGTTTGTTCTGTTTTGCTTTTATGTAAGCTGAAACTGTTTACATTAAGACTATAACATGGGACATTGTTATCTTGGTTATTAATTGATATTTTAATGTATTCAGTTTTTCTGGTCCTGTGTGTGTAGGGAAGGGCAGGTGGGTGCGAATATTAGCGGGTGTGTGTCACTGATTTTTTAAATCACTGTGAAAATCCACGTTTTCTCTTTTTAAAAATAATTTTGCCTTTATCATGGAGTTAGAATTATTCAAATATATACATTTATGATTATGAATAGTCATCAGTACCTGTAATCCTAAATGAATATTTTAATGCCATTGATCCTGTTTTCCATGTTTACCAAAAGGGCAATATTAATTTATTCTCAAATCACTGTGGGGATAAATGTTTTGAACACCTTTTGAGAATGACCGTTGTAATGTGCATGAACAGAGAAGTAAATTCAACCTTAGCTCATTCATTACAGCTTTCATAGAGATGGAATGCATATTTTACACCAGTGTAGTGATAGGGCTTGGAAACCACATGGAAATCTACAAAGGAAGAAGCAGTCATGATTAAGCAAGTATTAAAGGAGAAGTAAATGAAAGTATTTGATTTATGATATGAATCCTGTGAATGTGGAAAGCGTGCTTCTGTTTGACTGAATGATAGATCTGAGAAACCTAAATTCAAACACCCACCTCTTCCCTTCTATGCCTACTCTTGGCAACCTAAAAAGACATTGACAAGTTTCTGACAATATGCTCACAATCATACACTCCTGCCTTATATAACTTGTCCAAAAATAGCATGTATTAAGTCCAAGGATAAAATATTTTGCTGCTACTAATGATTGGCTTATGATTTTGGCTTTGCTGCAAAATAACAGGATTTCCCTATAACCCTATGGAGATAAAGCCATACCGGTTGATCAACTAGACAATGGTATATGTCTTAGGATTAGATTATTAATACTTCAAACCTGATTTTAATTTCAGAGTTGAAAGGATTGTGTGTTACAAGAGAAGAGGAAAGTTTAGTTTAGTTTTTTTTTTAATGCTGTAATTATGGTAATCGCTGGAACTTCTTTTTACATGGTCATGAATGCAGAGACATTCTGAGCATCTTTGTCCTCTCTGCTAATTTATAATATGTAGAGTACATTTCTTGTGAGAAAAAATAAATTGCATGTTTTTCTGACTGAAATGGAAAGTTTTCAGACCTAAAGGGCATGGGGAATTATAAATCAAGGTTCAGTTAGTCTTGTTAGTCTTCCTTTCCTGATGTCTGTCTGATTCATTTATATGTGAGAAATAACATTATTTCTCCTTTAAATCTAAGGGTTTTTTGGGAAGAAAGTAAAATTTTGACAGGAAAAATATTGAAATTATGCTAAATAAAAATTGCATAACCATAGGCACAGGCCATCACTGTTAGGTGCATTTTTATAAATTTCTTCTCAATTTCTAAGAAAATAACATGACTAAAATCTCAGAGCACAAATTTCATCTATAGCACTGTTTACAGGCTGAATGACCAGAGGGTAACTATATTTTCTGCGTCAATTTCTCCTTCCCCCAACCTAGAATGTGAGTAGTTGCAAAACCCAGTGTTGACAGTTGACTTTAACAAGCAAGGTAGCATGACACTGGAAACAAGGTAAAGCAACATTCCCTTGAAACTTCTCACCACCTAATTTCATAATGTCCCAAATTTACTAGGAGATTATGGACATTACATTTATTCCATTAAACATACTTAGGAGTATTCTAAGGTGTATCTGTTTATTTTGTAACCTGCAAGCAAACAGATACCTTTTTTGGATCTGTGTGATATATGGGAGGACTGGCTACCTAATTCGTAGCTTAAACTGAACATGCAGGTCCTTTGTTCTTAAATGATTAAGTTTAAATACATCATCAGCAAATCTTTAAACTGAGTACAGGGTCGGAATGACGGCATAGGTCATCTAGCCATGAAGCAAGCTCTGGAAAATGGATTGAGTGTTAAACATCATTTGTCATTTAGGAGTTCTTTTTTAGACATAAGAAGTATAACTACGTGGTGGCTGCATTATATGTTGTATGCATACCTATTACATCATAATTTTATATAAGAGGTATCGTCATAACAAGTGACCCCTTCCAACTACACCCTTCCTACACGCCCGGTTCTCATTCTATGCAAGAGTGCTGTCTCTTTTGAAAGCTTGCTGAGAACATCCCCTACAGGTTGCAAAAAGAATCCCCTCCTCAATGACTCTTCATTTGCTGCCAGCACTGGAATTCTTTGATGTTCCAGAAGCTTCCAACTTTACTACTTCACTGTTGTTGGTTCTTCTCTGTCTTTTTATAGCTCTCTCATATCTACACTAGAGATAGATAAGCCAAATAATACAGAGCTTAGGCACAAAATTTAGAAAGAAATAGAAACTCATTAGCAGATTTTTATCTTAAGTGTAAAACAAAATGAGCATCCAAAAACTTTTGTGATTTTGTTTTATAAATAGGTTCCCCCTCCCAAGAGTTTTCTCAGCTAATCAGTAACATAGTTTCTGTATAGCCAGGGCTGTGTATTTCTTTCATATTTGATTTACTGATAAATGTCTGTAATAAAAGTGCCATACTTGATTTTATTGCCTATTATATGAAATTCATTTATAATTTGCATTGCAGTATTTAAACTATTATCATCAAAGGATATTTTTAAAAATAGAAAGCAAGCCTGAAACATTTGTGCTCATTTCAGTTTCTAAGTTCCTTTGAAATTTAACTTTCAAGCATCATGAGTATTTTTTTAAATTTGAAACTTCTTTGTTCAGGATCTATTTCCTCATGCATCAGTGTCTACATTTGCAGGAAAGAGTGTTGCTTGACCCAATCTGTATTCATCTCTAAAATTCTACAAATATGTAACTCAAGACTTCACAATGTCTTGTGTTACAAATTGTACTCATAATAGAGTATTTTTAAAATATAATGCGGTATATTTATTTTCACAATGCAATTCAAGTCTCAAAGATACACACACCTAAGAATGTCTATACATCCCATTCTCCATTTCATTTCTAATTTACTTTTAGTTAACTTTGGATGCTATAAGGTTTTGAGTTTTTTCTTTTTTAATTTCAATGGTTATCAATATGTTACAGAATGAATTGGGTTTATTACAATTGGTGAATTGCTCCAACAGGAGCTCTTCAAGGGAAAGAAGATGGCAGTTAGGACTCAGAATAAGTTTACAAAAGTGATCATTGTTATCCAGTCAGAATGTGCATGGGGGAGTACTTCTCACCTATAACATAACAGGTGATCATATTGCATTAAAATATTCAATCGTGTCTTTAATAGCAAAACATCATATTGGAATTTTCTTCCTGAATATGTACTATATTTCTAAACATCATGTAACGTAACACTCATTGATATAATGTAAAACAGAATAAGCTAATATTGGTCACAAGTATCACTGAGATATTTTAAGTACTAAGAATACATATTGACAGAAACTGATTACATAAATACCTATTCAGTTCATTACCAGTTATATCTATTATTCTCATTCACTAGGGAATAATCACACAGAAATAATTATCTTTAAAGGAGTTACCAAGAGAGCTAACATGATATCCAATTAGTTCTTTAAAACAAAAGCAAAGCCAACAGCCAAACTACATGTATTTTAAATGATTTTTTTGCTGGTGCATCATTCTCCTGTCCATGTTTCAACAGTGCTCTCTTCATTGGCTGCTCCATTTTGGTGATGGCCATACCAAATGGCTTTAGTTCATTCATGGTCCTTATGAGGTAGGAGAGACCAGCAGGACTGATTTTCCGGTCACAACCTTGTTGACCAAAATAGGATCTGGTCCAGACAGGATAAAGTGAAAAAACTGGTAGGAACCAGCAGATGTCGACATAAGAGATCGCTAGCTGCCCTCATTGCTCATTGGCATAAGACACTCCCACCAGTGCCATGACAGTTTATAAATACTATGGCAACAACTTGGAAGTTACCACCTGTCTCCGTTGCAATGACCTGGAAGTTACTGCCCTCTTTCCTAGAAATTTCAAAATAATCTACCCCTCAATCTGCATTGACCCACTCCTCGATTTGCATGTAATTGAAATTGGGTTTACGTAAGTATAAATAAATTTGCCAAGAGACCATAGATTGCAGAGTTCGGGCACGCTGCCTGTGAGTTCGCACTGCTCCACAAAGAGCGGTACCATTTAATAAAAGTTGCTGTCCAAAACCACTGGATTACCTTTGAATTCTTTCTTGGGCAAAGCCAAGAACCTCCTGGACTAAGTCCCAATTTGTGGGCTTGCCTGTTTAGTATCACTTACCTCTTGATATATATTATTAAGTCCATAGAAGCTGTAAGGAAACCAGTATCTTTAATGTCTCATTGTATGGTTTTAGAATTCTTAGAATAGCTACAGACAAAAAAGGCTGTAATGGAGAGAGTGAGGATCGTGAAGGGCTTTGGGAGTTGGAAGTGCAGATGACCCAGATCCTGGTTACTGTGAGAAGGTACTTCCTCAGTTAACAGGATCCCTGAGAAAGCTGGTTTTGCAATATTGAGATTCCCCTTGGAATGGTAGTGCAGTCAAAGTGATATCCAAAAAAGTTTATTTAGTTTTAGTGAGAACAATCCTAAAGGGTTGAGCCCTCACAGCGTGAATCTCCCCAGCCCCTGGTTATTAATCCTTGGGTTCATGTGGTTGTCTAGGCTCCTGAGGGTAATTCGAAGCCTGAATATGCAGAACCCGTGTTCCTTTGCTTCCCTAAAGTGCGAAAGATTTCAGAAATGGCTATCGTCTGTTACATGAGGTACATATACCAAATTTTTAAGAAGATTCAATAGTAGCAGAATATGCTTTAAAAAAATCATCTGAGGCTGATAGGACATTAGATCATCAGATTTTTTTCCTATACTTAAAAACAGCTTTTGAACAATAGCAATATAAGTTTATATTTTACATGCACAATGCTTTTTATGAACATGGATTATAAATAAATGAAAAGTTCTGAGTTATGGTATCAGATGATATAGCTATAGAAAAATTATTCACAAAGCCTAAAATATGAGCCAGTGTCTTTTTCAAAGAGCCCATAGATAGATTTTTTTTTTGCTAAGCCTAAGTGACTTAAACAATTACTGATTATTATTAAGCATGAAAGTCTCACGGAGTTATAGGTATCCAATTGGTCAAGACTAGACTTTACTAGTTCAGTCATATGATATTAACAATTTTCTCTGTGTGTGTGTATTTATATACACAATTATATAATACATGACAAAACACAAATGAAATCCAATGTATGAGAATGCTTTTCCAAATTTAGACAGTTTTTACTTAAAAGTGAGCAAATGCCATACAAGTAGAAATCTATTATTAGTGGGTGTTCTTCTTTCAAGTCAACTTTTCCCAATTATATTATTCTTGTCAAAAATACGTTCAATAGTTGAGGAATTTGGAGATTACCTTTCCTACCTGCATTGATTTGCAAACTTTGTGATGATTTCTGCCTTGGAAAGGTGTTATTTATAGGCTCACTTATAAAAAGACAATTAGAAGTGTGAAAAATAAGTGAGAAACTTTGACTACCAGACTTCTATCTTAACGATGCTATATGTCCTTTCAAAAATCCACAAAGCAAACCCATGAGAGGATGAGGCTGCAGTGTTTCCTTTACTGATTAGTTGAGGGGTTATAGACTTCTCTCCATCACAATAAATGTGCACAGATGATAACACACATACTGATATTAGAAGGAAAAATGAGAGATGAGTCAAATTTAAAAAAATATATAAAAAATAATTGGGACTTCTTTTCTACAAATAACTCATTTTGTTCACATTTTTTCATATAAATGAAATATGTGTTGGTCATGTTCAAAATAAGCAATGCTCAATTTTTAAAAATGGGGTTACAGAAATAAAGATAATTAACAGCAAAAAATAACAAACAAACAAACAAAAAAAAAAACAAGAAAAGAAAAAGGTGGAGATATGTCCCAGAACTCTCACACAAAGATTGTTTATGTTTGGTGACAGTATTAGGGAAGTCAATATTTGCTTTGTTGTAAATTTAAGTTAATAGAAGTATTGAAAAGCAAACATGAAAAATCCATAAAATCATTATGGCTCTGAGAAGAGTATCTATATATTAGATACTTACCACCTGGACCTAATTTGTATATATTTTTTTCATTTTTATTATAATATTTCAAAGATCAATTATAAAATATGTAGACACACATAAGGATTCATTGAAGGTGTTACTTAAAGTGAGCCTGGATTGCCGTGACAATAGCATCCAACTACACTTAGTGTATTAGAATAAATGAGTAATGTCAAAAAATAAATAAGCAACGTGGACTTTTCAAGTAAGTGTAATTTGAATGCCTAAAATATAGATCTGTTGCAGATGTATGTGTGTGTTTGTGTTTGAGAGCTAGTGTGCTCAGATTTAAACAAAAATATTGTTGCTACAGATAGTAGGAATATTATTTAACTTGAAAACTGATAGTAAGTGGTTATGCATTTTTATAAGTTGTTGAGATGGAAGAAAAAGACAAGTTCATTGCTGCGTACTTGTACAGGTGACTGTCCATTATTCTAGGTAAAAGGCCATTTTATTTATTTATAAATTGTTATTTCCTTAACCACTTTTCCATGAAACCTAAAGATAATCCTCTTTATTCAGTATTGAGAAAACCACGTTAATAATGTTTTCTCTGTTTTGTAACATTGTGTAAAACTATCCTATTTCTTTGGTCTTTAATACACAGTAAAATTATTTAAAGTAAACAAAACAACAAAAGGCAACAACTCAAGAGGGACTTACTACTTGTATCAGTATTCTTTGTTAGTATAAATGCAGTGATTCATGATGAGTTTTACTGGGATTTGAAATTTTACAGGAGTCATCAAGACTGCCCTTCCAAACATGGATAGAGAGGCTAAAGACCAGTATTTGCTTGTCATTCAGGCAAAGGATATGGTTGGTCAAAATGGAGGACTGTCAGGAACTACATCAGTCACTGTGACCCTAACTGATGTCAACGATAATCCACCTCGCTTTCCTCGAAGTAAGTTGTTTTCTTAAGTGACACAAGTGCAATAACTTTCCCTGAAAGTCTATAAAATACATCTTTAAAATGACTTTTTTTCAAATACTTCTAAAGCAAATAATTGTCTTACTTCATTCTCTCAAATTTGCATTTTATTAGAGACATAATTTTGATTCAGGAATATGGATTATAAGGGTATTGAGAAGAAATAGAAGCCATCATATATTTGCATTACTTCTATCTTAAATATAGTAAGATTTTTCTTTCATTCACATTTTGAATACTAGACAATTATTAATTGTGTTTATGTATTAGTCTTTTTTCTAAGAATTACTCTTTTTATATTTTGTAAATTATAAAGTTGTTGCCAATTAATAATATTCAAATACATTTTATTCATTCTATGCACTAAAATATTGATTTATTTTTGAAAATTAAAAAAGAGTAATAAATGTTTTCATTTTATCATTTCACACTTTTTAAAGCCAGTTTATACACACTGAACATTCCTTTAGCAGTTCCCCCACGTCTTTCTTGTGCAAACATTCAGTGTTTTAAAAACCAATCTAAAGAACTAGAAAACCAAATGCCCTCAGTTCCACTTATTTGACCAAAGGGGCTTTTAACTTAACCAAGAAAAAAGAAAAAAAAAATTCTCTAGGTAGAGGTGTGCTGTTTGTAAAAAACGTTTCATCTCACTCTCTTTTTAGTTCCCTTTTTTTCCCTAAGTGTATGTGTTATTTCTTTAGAACACTCAAGAAAATAAAGAGATTGTACAGACCATAATGTCTGTACAATGTCTCTAAAATGCTTTTCCAGTAGAAATGGGGAACTAAACTCCCTACCAACAGAATTTAGAAGTGAATCATATCAAAAAACGAACCTTTCTGAGCAAATACAAGTGTCACTGTTTTTTCCTTCAATGACTGCTGCTTTAAAATTTTCCTCTTTATCTTACATATTTTTAATATTTATATTATTATACAAGAAATGGTATCTCCTGGTAATATAAAAAAGTGACCCCAGGTTTAGCATTATTTTCTTTCAATAAGCCTATTCTTAATTGTGATCTTGATGGCTTATCATGGAGAAGGAGGGACTTTTAGAATTAAAAAATGTAATAATGCAATTATCTTGGGCTTATAATGAAATGAACTGCTTTCCTTTTGTTTAAGCCTAGATTGATAAAATTATGTAGAATTTTAGTAGGATACAGGTTTTCTAGGCCATTATAGATCCCTTCAAACTTATTAAAGTGAAAAAAGCCAGGGATATACCATTGTTATTCATTTTTGCTGGGATTTTTCTCTACCGTTGAATCACTAGTTTAACCCTGACATTTTGGAATTTTATGAAGGACACTTTGAGATATGTGAAAGGGGTCACTCAAAAGTAATAGCATATGTTATAATCATTTAAAAAACAAACAGTAACTATTCACAAAGTCTAGAAAATTGCGAACAAGTCTCAGTCTAATACATCTTTCCATAATACAGACACATTTTCCTTTCTATATTCTTCTCAGAGAGAATCCTTTCTTATCCCTTCACAAGACAGGACAAATGCACCACAATTTAACAACCAAAGGAAACAGAAGTAGATGCAGGAGGCAGGAAAAAGTAAATAATTAGAGAAAAAATAATGAAGGAATATAGCATGCTGCGGTGTTTCGTCATTTCTGAGTGATGTAGTTCATGTATTTCTTCATCTGCCCCCAAACTTTTTCTTTAGTTTGAGGGATGGTGAAGAGGAGTTATTACAAAAGTTAAACCAAAAATTTTAGAAGTTATTTTTTTCTCTTTCACTTTTTTTTTTTTCAGTTCAACTAATATTGTCTAGGCTCCCAGACCATTGTGGCCCAAATCAGTTCTACATACAACCCACACAAATCATTCTTATCCTTTCTTATCCAGTTTTCTTACCCAGTTTTCTGAAACTCTCTCGGTAAAAATGCTAAGTAAATTCCAACATTAAGTTATGAAAATGATTTAGGCTTGTATTTGTCCATTTCAAGGCCAATCTATTCTATTTTTATTTCTTAGTATTTTACACATTATTGTAATTATGATATTGAATTACATTTACTAATTGTATATCAATTATAATTACTTTAAATTTATTTTTATTTTTCAGTGTAGGATATTTCTCACTGCCAGAAATACAGGAATTAGAGATTCTTCTCTTGCTTTTCCTCATCATCTATTTCTGCTATCACAGTGATTATTAACTAATCATTCCCATCATACCTCTTAAGGCTCTATGAAACTCATCTTTTGTTTTCCATTACCTTAGCATATATTTTATTAAAAAATAAAAAGAAGTTGTGCTACAATGATGCCAAAATAACCCAATATTTAAATTTTTATTGGTTAGTTTGGTGTAACGTGTTCATTTCTTGCTTTGAATTTCACAGGGTCTTATCAATATAACGTCCCAGAGTCATTACCTGTAGCCTCAGTTGTGGCCAGAATTAAAGCTGCTGATGCAGATATTGGAGCTAATGCTGAAATGGAGTACAAGATTGTGGATGGTGATGGTTTGGGCATTTTTAAGATTTCTGTTGACAAAGAAACCCAGGAAGGAATCATTACTATACAGAAGGTAATGTTTTCTTTATTTATCTTTTATCACAGATTACTGAGAAGTCCTTTCTGTTTGATGGGAGAATGTACTAGACAAACCGAATGGCCATATGGGACCATTACTATTTTAATTTTAGTAAGATAAGCTATACATTTAATTTTTGGTGTCAGACTCTTAGGGAACCTTGAGTTACATTTGTAATAACACCCATCAATTCTATTCTTTAAGAAACTCGCAGCCATTATCTATAGCACTATAAAAATAAAGCAAACTGGCAATGTGCTGTTTTAAAGACCTATTTGGAGAGATGAATATGTTTCTGCCTTGACTATTCCACTAATGAAACCCTAAATTCAACCAAAAGCCTGTGTATGCAAACAACAGATGCTATTATTTTCTCCATAAATGAAAATAATATGATTTCAAGTGGAAACCAAAATGTTGAAAACTTGCTACATTACCAATTATTGCCATTTAAAATTTATAGTAATTGGAAGACTTGCATATTTCGTACAAGAAAAGCATGAAAAGTTGTAAAACCTATCATACTTTCTACAGAGCGAGTGTGAAAGAGACAGAAAGTCAGTACAGCCCAAACTAAAGATTATTTTCCATAATATATTTAAATTAGCTCTCAACACAGTTATGGGAGAAAATGGACTCTTTACTCTCTTTTCAATTTAGAGATATGACTTTTTACAGATATTTAATCAAAAATAATAACTCAAAAGCTATTATTTCAAAACATAGTCTTAGTTTATCAACTATTTGAAACATTAAAAATATATCAATATCTTGACCCCTAAGATACGAAATTTTTTGTCAGTATGAAAATCCAGTGTATAACTTTGTAATTAATACTTTTCAATAATTAGCACATATCAATAAAAAAAGTGATATTTTATTTGTTATAGGAAAACATATGTTTGATTTCAGGCCAATGAGAAAAACATTTCTGCAATTATTTCCAGTGGACAGCTGCTGTTTTAGCTAAGCTGGTGACAATCTGTGTATAAAAGTTTTAATAACTAGAGTAGGCCAACTGTTGGTAAAATGTTTTGTTTTGTTGCCTAAATTAAAAGGAATTCAGTAAGGTACAATGCTGCTCAAAGATTTCAAAGAGTCATCTGAAATCAATCTGTTCACATTCAAGAATTTTTAATGCAAATTGAAAGTTTTTATTGAACAAATACCTATATTTTATATATTATAATGAAGGCAGCATGAATCTTTGAAAATTCTAAATTTAATATAAAATATTTGATTTAGTAAGGGAAAAGTAAAACTTGTTTTCTAATTTTATAATATCATTTCTGGAAATTTTAGAAAATTGCTAGAAAAAGAGACAAAAAAACCTAGATTAAAAATTATGTCATCTAAAAGCATAAAACTCATTAAAAAATTGCAAGGAGAAATTTGATTCTAACTTATAACAATAGAAAAACATCACAAATAATCATTATTATTCTTATAGGTATCAATATCTGTCAGGCTTTTCTTTTTGAGTAACTTAAAGGCTTTATTTTATTTTCTCAACAATCTCATGAAGCTATTATTAGGACCCTGAAAATATAGAAACATTATAAAATATTGAACAATGGAAGAAATGGTAAATAATTTATATTATCATATTAAGGAATTTTCATCCATCATTGTAGTAATGTGGAGATGTTGTTTTTGCAAATGAATATGGAAAATTTTTATTCAAAAATTATTAAAAGGCAGTATCCAAACTTTTACAAAGTCTTTCACATTTTATGAAAATTGTATTTATACAGAATAACAGATTATAAGAAAAATGTTAAAAATGTTAATAGTATCATTTCTAAATCTTACCTTCACTGCTTTTTCAATAATATGTAACATTCAGTAGTTATTGTTATAATTGAAATGTTGTTAAATATATAAAAGAGTTATTCAAAGGCCAAATGGAAATAAATATCATTAAAAAAATCTCATTAAAAACACTGTATAATCTACTTTGACTATTATTAGAGATCAAAATTATTTTACAAATACAGAAATAAGTCACAGAGATGGTTTTCAGTGGGTTCAAATTTCGTGTATTGTTGAAGTTCTTAAGTTTGTGTATTGTTGAAGGTATTAAAAAACGTAATATTCTATTTAATAAATTATGATTAAAAATGATTCCAAATTTTTAAACATTTAGATTAATAGAATTTTTGGTTTTGATACAGAGATTCCTTACTTCTGCCCAGAAATCTGAATGATGCTTTGAATCTAATAAAAATCAATCATTAGTTATTATTAAATATTTATTCATCAATCATTATATGAGAAGTTAGCTAAATATTTTAACAATTTTTTCACTGAATATGAGGTCAAAACTCCATTATTTTTAGTTGAGATTGTTAGCAACTAAAATTAAATTTTATTTTCTTAAATGACTTCTAATACATAAATACTTGTCTAATTCTTTGTTTTGTTATATAACATCAAAGATTATTTAGGAAAAATTAAGCACACACAATGTACAGGAGAATCTTAAGAATCAATGGTGGTGAAAAATTTCATAATATTACTTCTGTGTCATAAGTAGCCAAGGTAAATTTTAATATGTAACGAAAGAATTCTTGTTCATCCTGAATTACTATGGAGAACCAAACAGACTATCTAGCTATCAAAGGTCAAAAAAATAACATTTAGGTTAAATCCAGGGATTTTAAATACACCAGTAGACAGTTCAGATGTTGAATGCTAACATGATTTTCCATATCATTTTGAGCCTAAACACACTGTTTATATGAACAATAATTTAGACTAAGAAGTTAGTCATAGTTTATTACTCTTAAAGGGGATTGCGCAAACTTGCTTTCAGTTTTCTAATGTGCAAAGTAGATCTGATTTTTAAATTTTATCTTAATGTGGAGAATATATATACCATATTGAGGCAAAACCATTAGATTCTAAAAGTAAAATGATGTATAGCAACAGATGGCATGAACCTAAGCAGTATGGTCTGCAATTTTTATGTTCATTAATTCATCATGATAGGATGCATGGGTGTTAAGACGAGATATCTGAAATTTTGCTGTTTGAAATAGATAAAGATGTTTAAAAAATACCTATGGTGCTTTTATACAGTGCAGATAATATCAACATGGAAATAAATGAAAACAAAATCTCAGTTTTCCTCATGCTAAAAATCTTTAGGCTTAGCAAACATTACTTTTTTCTTTCTTCCTACCCTCCTCCTTCTCCACGTAGTTCTGAGTAGATACTAGATAGTGGGAAAATTAACTAGTATACAGGAGCTTAATTTTTATTTCCAAAGCTCCCTCCACCTCCAAACTAATTTTTAAAAATTTTACAAATTTTTATTATCTGTTAATATGTTCCAGTGTCCAAACAATCCTACTTTCTCATCCGTATTGGAATAAACAAACATAAACAAATAATTTATGTAAGAGTTGACTAAAAATAGTGGAAATGATACATTTGCGTTTTACTGCAGTTTAAGCTTACTAATTACGAAGGTTTTCTTTTCACTTGCAAAAATTGCTTATAGTGTTACACAGTTGATCCTTAAAAACCATGAGTTTTAACTGAGTGAGTCCACTTATATATGGATTTTTTTCTATAAATATATTACTCTTTTTGGAAATTTGTGACAATCTGAAAATACTCACAGATGACTTATGTAGCCTAGAGATCTTGAACATTTTGAGAAAAAATTGGTATGTATTAAATGCCTAAAATATATGAAGATATTAGACTGTTTATGTGTTAATAGAATAATTGTGTTATCAGTAAGGCTTCTGGTCAACAGTAGGATATTAGTAGTTAAGTTTTGAGCGATCCAAAGTTATACACAGATTTTTGGCTGTGTCGGTGGTGGTTCTCCTAACCCCTATGTTTTTCAGGGGTCAATTGTATATTCATCTCATTTTTAGATGAAAATTTACCATTAATTCATAATTTTCTTATTCTCAGCAATTATTTTATTAATTCATTGAAATATGTAATTCACAGTTTATGTGTAGCTTCTCTGCCTCTTACCCTGTACTTGGTTCCAGAATAATCCAGGGTTTGTCCTGTTATCCTCAAACATTGTTCATATTCTAACTCTTTCTATGAACTTCAAAGAACTATTGGATGCCTAGAATTGAGATCTCTTAAATTTGCTTTCAGTTTTCTAATGTGCAAAATAGATCTGATTTTTAAGTTTTATCTTAATGTGGAGAATATATTTACCATTCTGAGACAGAACCATTAGATTCTAAAAGTGAAATAATGTATAGCAACAGAAGGCATAAACCTAAGCAGTATGGTCTGTCATTTTTGTTTTGTTTTGTTTTGTTTTGAGATGGGGTCTCGCTTTGTCGCCCAGGCTGGAGTGCAGTGGTGTCATCTGGGCTCACTGCAAGCTCCGCCTCCCGGGTTCACGCCATTCTCCTGCCTCATCCTCCTGAGCAGCTGGGACCACAGGCGCCCGCCACTACTCCTGGCTAATTTTTGTATTTTTAGTAGAGACGGGGTTTCACCGTGTTAGCCAGGATGGTCTCGATCTCCTGAACTTGTGATCCGCCCGCCTGGTCTGTAAAATTTTTATGATCATTAACTCATCAGGATAGGATACATGTGTATTAAGATGAGATATCTGAAACGTTGCTGTTTGAAATAGGTAAAATTAAAAAAAAAAAAAAAACTTGTGGTGCTTCAGACTCATATTTGCCAGATATGTATTTCACTGTTCCTCAGTTTCACTCAACAATCTAGAGCAGTCACTAAACTACTTGTAATTCCTGGAGAGCAACGTAAAGTTTTTTCCAGTTCTTCAAACCTCCCCCTGCCTGTTGACTCCCCTGCACTCTGCTTTCGTGCCCCCTTACCATACTCATCTTTTGAGTCTAAAAAATCCCTCCTATTTTTCCTTTAAACAATAAACAGAAGAAGCACAGCGCCTGTACCAGCAAGATGCATTTTTTTTCAAGGAAGGGAGTGTGTGTGTGTGTGTGTGTGTGTGTGTGTGTGTGTGTGTGTATTCAATCATGGGAACTGGTCTAATCATGGAATGTAGATGTCCCAGTTCCATAAATATTCTGATTTTTTTCATAGACTTAGCTGTGGCCACAAGGATTGAATAAATATCCAAGGCTCTGTAGAAGTGTCCAGGAGAGCTCAGGCCCCATCTGTCAGCCAACTGGTCAGTCCTACCAGGGCTTTCAAAGATTTGAACATGCCCTGGGGAAGAAGTTGAATAGTGGATTCATAACAATGTTTTTCTCAGGTAGACAAGAGAAAGTGGCACAGAGGTAATCACCTGTGCAGAGACTTCACTTATGAGATAACCTGCTAAATACAGAAAGAACCGGGGCAATTTCTTTGGAGGATAATGAGGAAGGGAATGTGGGCAACAGATGAGGTAATGTAAATGAGAGGGCTCTTAATGCTCCTTCACAAAACTGCTGTTGGTAAATAGGAATATATATGTACAGTGCTTTGCAAATAGAGTGGATTACACATAATACATATTGTAAGGCATTTTAGGTGCAGCTCAATAAAATATGAGTAGAAAATTAAAATATTTGCTTATTTCTCTTGAACACTTATTCATGGAAGTGCCTGTGATAACTTTAATTCATTTCAAGTCTTTCACTTCTTTTCAAAGGACTGTATTACAATGAATATCAATATTTATTCAAATTGTTATTACTTTCCTGGTTATAAATACATTTCCTTCCTCCCTTCCTTCCTTTCTTCCTCCCTTCCTTCCTTCTTTCCTTCCTCTCTCTCTCCTTCCTTCCCTCTCTCCTTCCCTCCCCCCTTCCCTTTCCTTCCCTTCCCTTCGCTTCCCCTTCCCTTCCTTCTTTCCTGTCTTTCTCTCTCTCTCTTCCTTTCCTTTCCTTTCTTTTCCTTCTCTTTCTTTCTTTTTCTTCTTTCTCTCTCTCTCTTTCTTTCTTTCTTTCTTCCTCTTTCTTTTCTCTCTCTCTTTTCTTATTCTTTCTTAGCCTTGAGGTCATTTTAAGTTTTTTTCCTTGCCTCTTCCTGTCATGATAGCTCTTGGCTGTTTATTTTCCCTTTGACATTATCCTAAGCTTAGTGATCGTTGCTTCACCTCTAAGTTATTTTTATGTCCCCCACACCTAGCTCATAGCCTGCGTCTAGCTTCTTCATTTTTAAATACATCTTTTTAAAAAATTGCTGTTTAAAACTCAAAACTATATATTTTTATTATTCCAGCTAGTCTTAAAAGAATCTACCTTACACTCAGGGAATAAGACAGAATAATACCAGCAATTCAAAGGAAGCAGTGAAATAATTATGATAGAATGATGATATTATATACTTAGAAATTATAAAATAATTTATTACAATTTTGTCAAATTAATGAGAACTTTCATTAATGAGAGCTACAAAACAAGTTAAAAATCAATACTTTCCCTATATGTACTTCATGAGAACATTGGTGTGAGTTTCTGGGCTTAATCTAACCATGGAAGAGCAACCTGTGAGTACCTATGTAAGGAATATCCATCACTCTCATTCACATCCCTGAAACCTTCCATCTTAAAAGAACGCGATCTGCTGGCCCAACAAAGGCAGGCTTTACCGCCAAATCCAAGTGTCTTTCCATCATGAGGTCAAAAGTATCTCTATACTCAATTTCAGAAGAAAATATTTGCTTACCATTTTGTAACTAGAGTTTATTTGGAGTTGTTTTCCCAGAATCAAGGAAGTCTTGTTCTTAAGATTTCCTCAGTCTGAACTAACAGTTTACTGTTTGTGGCCCTAACAAAACAGGATTTTGATTTTCAGTTCTACTTACCAAGATTTCAATAAACATGGAGCCTACATTATACCCTAGATAAAACTTTTCCAGGGAGCTTTCACAGCAACAGGAATCTGCAGAACAATAAATGAGTCCCCTAATTTCCATATTCTTTCCCTACCAGAAAGTAGTGGCATTGTCTGTGAAATTTAGAATGGATTTTTGAATCCGAGTTGGAAGACTAAAAGCCAGAAATTCTGAAGAAAAAAAAAAAAGATAAATTTGGCCTCCTTTTATTACCCCAGAGTATTTTAAAAATTATACCGAGATAAACAATGGAATGCTATGGACAGTCCACCAAAACGAACAGTTTTTTGGTTGGTCTCCCAGTCCCTTCTCCGCATAAGAAAACATTTACAACCAGACATTGCTCAGATGTTGACAAGATTTTTGTTAAAGTCATAAATGTATTTGTTCTGGTGGTTCTGAATGTCTACATATTACTTCACATTTGGACAATAAAGCTTTAATGTCCATCTGGATAGAGTCATTTCTATTGTAATGAGATTATTTTCTACCTGCGGACTGTGCTTGATAATCATCTGAATTTATTTTCTCTCTATACTATAATAAAACTTTGGTCCATATCCTTTTCATAAATAATGTACTATTATATTATATGTATAATAAGATGTATTCCAGTTTGTGAAAATTATCATTGTATTTTGCTACATTTGAATGTATTATACTTGGCATAGAATTCTTTTAGAATCAGGAAGAGAAAAGCAGAAAAAAATCCTTTTTAAAATATATATTTGAAAAAAGAATAAATAGAGAAAATGAAAAAATGCTGTTGGTTATTCTATTACTGTTCCAATATCTTATACAGAAAATGTTTATTAATATGACAAAATATGCAGAATCCACAAGGCTAAAGATTGCTGTAAATAATGGCATAGAGTTTTTATGATTTAATCACTCTTATACTTTAAGAATAAACCTGATTATATAGTTTAAATATAAAAATGATGATGAAATTTTCATCTTAAACAGTTAAAGCAATGCAAATGCTATTCCTTGACCATTTATGAATGTTTCTATGATAACCTTTATAACCAGTTAAATAGGATTTCAAAATTTACAAAGAGTAAACATAAAGATTATCACATTTGAGTGAATATAGTTTTTGTTTCACCTAGAATTCTTTCTTTTTACATTTGCTATCATAACTTAAAATTAGGCACTTTAGTCTTTTTTAATTTTTTTCTTTAATATATGGAAGTCTTTCCTCTAATGTACCTCAGTTTTCAATATAAGTCTTCAGTTGTGATTAAATATGGAATTTTTTTCTATAAAATGCATTACTATGGAGTTACTATAGAGTAAAAAAAATGAGCATTTTCAAAATTAATTCCCTATGAAAGATAACTATGCATCCGGTATCTGACATGTGATTTATTTGGTGGTCCACTTTGTCACACTATGAAGACATTTAGGCTTTTAAAGGCTAATTTTGCTGTGCTAGATTCAAAATATGCTCATATCCATACCCTATGAAAGGCTGAATGAAGTCAAAATAATACAGCATTATGTGGAGGTGTTAATAATGCTGTCTACCTGCCATTCACTGCCCTAAGTTAGATAGCACAGTGGCCTTCCAGCCTTCAACTCAAGCTGCACAGATGTGGACTACCTGGGGTTTACTGTCTTGTACTGAAATGTGTCTTTTGCCTATTACTTGTAATATTGAGGTCTAATTTCTACAATCAAATATGTATTTCATTTAGTATTTCATAAATGTTGCTGATATGTGGTGAGAGAGAATCAAACCAAGGTTAATGCCAATTTATTTTTCTTCCTCTCATTAATTGTTTTCTTTCAAACATTTTATTCAATTAATCCTGCTGCTCAGGATGCATATTTCTTAAAATTGAGCAATGACATTGCTCTCATTTGACTGTAAAAAGGCATAAATTTTGGATTATTTTAGTTTTAAGGGCCGAGATAATTTGGTGAGCTTCTGAACTTCAGATTATATTTTCCACTTAATTCAATCATTGTTACTATGTATATAAGTATATACTAGCATACTTTAATCATTATGTGTATGTGTTTGTGTATATAGGCTTATTATCTGCTTATTAAGGTATAAATTTACCTGTGCTTGAGTAGTCAAGAGTAGAGATGAACATAGAGTTTTATAAAAAGATAAGAAATTAACATTCTTTGAAGAAAATGATACTAATTTACATGTCGACATGTTTGACCTGATCAAAAGGCACTGACTTTGTTCACTTAGGATTATTTCAGCTTTTGTTGATTTTGTTCACTTAAGAGTATTTCAGCTTCTGTTTGATTTTTTAAAATTTTGATAGTGATTATAGCAGTATTCTCAGAATATGTGTATATCAAAGATGTTTTCCAGTGAGTCCATTATGGAATTTATTTTGCTGAGTACAAGTCACAGATCATGTAAAATTGTCCTTCCTTTCCCCCCTGCCCTCCCACGGCGTGTTGATTCCTAGGTCAATTTCGGTGGGTAGGATTCCAAGAAAGAGATATTTAAGAAATAGATAGGAGAGAATTTAATAATTGTATAAGGAAGGTTAAAAGGAGAATTTAAAGACATAGCCAGTATTTCTAGTTTGTGTAACTAGCTGAATACTTGCATTGTTCTTTGAGAATGGAATGGAGATGTGTAGGATGGCTTGGAACAAGTGATGTTTGGTGCACTGTAATAGCAAGGTAAATATGTCTAAGAAGTCATGAATATAGGTCTGTAGTTCAAGGAAAAGCTCTATAGTACATTCTTATGTCTAGGAGTTATATGCACATGCATGGCAATCAAAGAGACCATTGATAACATCCATGGAGGGCACAAATGAAATGATGAAAAGAAGGCTTTAGACATTTCTTGGTGAAACTGAACAATTTAAGTTAGCATGGCAAAGAAAGACTCAGAGAAGGCAAACTGTTTTATTCTTCCAGAATTAAGATATTTTAAGACGGGTTAAAAATAACTTATCAAAAAGACTAACAAACAAAGTTTTATATTTAGATGAATAGAAGAAATTGCATATGTTATCAATAGAAGAGAGAATTGATGGATCCTGACATCTATGATACGTAGTAATGATGGGACATAACAGATAAGGCAAAGATTAGAATAGTCAAGGAACTGGAGCTCTTGCTGAGTTCAAAGAAATTCCCATGTCGAGATCTGACTTCTTCCCGACTGTTTAATTTGGCCATTTCAAGTTTATTTTGGTTCATTTTATCTGGATATGCTGCCATCACCTGACAAAAACTGGTCACCAACTCTCATTCTCTTTCTATCTGTGGTTGTATCAACTACCTTATTTCTTAATAAATCATCCCCAAACCTGGTGCTTTAATTTCCTTAGCTCATGATTTTGTGGGTCAGTAATTTGGCCTGGGCTCAGTAGGATATTTTTATGCTGATCTTAAGTGGGCTCACACATGCATCAGCTATTGGTCAGCATGGTGGCTCTGCCTCTATGGAGGTGGCTGGCTGTCTGCCTGGAAAACAAGGGGCCTGGACCTCTGCCTCCCATCATCCCATGGGCTACCTGGGCTGGTTCCAAGAATGGTAAGAACAGAGGTTGTATGGTCTTTTGAGGCTGTTTGACAGAATTGACATGTCATCATTTCTGCCACATTGTATTGACCCAAGCAAGACACAGGACAACCTAGATTCAGGTAGTGAAGGGAAAAAAGCATCCCTGAGAAGAAAGAAGCAATAAAGTATTGTGGACACAGGGAAAGTGGGAAAAATATGTTGAGTTCCAGCGCTGCTCCAGAGAGACTAACTAACCTTCAGGTTATACTTCATGAAATGGCCAAGGAAATACTGAATCTCAGTTCTGCCCACTTCCCTCATCATCCTTTCTCCTCTATTAGCCTATCTCATAAAATCATTTTATTGATCAAGGTCAGTTAAGATTTGCCACTGTTTGATGAAGCGTTCCAGGAAAACATATGCTAAGTTGTCTTCAGGTCATAATGTGGATTCTGCTTCCCAGACAATGTATGAAACCCTCTAGAAGTTATTGGGTACAGCTATAGTGCATGCTGGAAAATGTTGACCTCAGCGTAGTAAGGGAATTGGCCTGAGCTGTAAGGTAAACCAGGTTTTAGATGCTGGGCAGAAATGCAGTCCTTTCCAAGGCTTGTTTTCTACTTTATGCTTATAAAATCAAAACAGACTACCTAAGTTCAGAGTAGGAGGCTGTGGTAGACACAATAATGCCTCCTCCTCAAAAAGATATTCACAGAATATGTGAACGTTTTACCTTATGTGGTAAAGTGAATTTTGGAAACGTGATTAAGTTACGGAGCTTAATGGGAACATTATCCTGGATCACATAATTGGGTGCAGTATAATCACAAGGCTCCTTAAAGAGGAAAGAAGGATGAGTCAGTGTTATAAAAAAGAGATACAGTAACGGAACCCAAGCTTGGAGTGATGCACTTTGAAGATGGAGGAGGAGGCTATGAGCCAAGAATACATGCAGCTTTTGGACACTGGAACAATTCTTCCCCGAAGCCTCCAGAAAGAATGAAGCTCTGCCAACACCTTGATTTTAGACTTCTGACCTCCAAAACTATAAAGCAACAAATTTCTTTTTTAAGCCACTAAGATTTTGGTAATTTGTTACTGTAGCAGTATGAAATTAATTAATGCAGAAGTCAAAATGGAACATTTCTATGGGGGCGAAAGCTGATCCAGACAGGAGAACAGAAGAGAGAAAGGAAGACACTCGTTAACTAAGTATGAATAAGAATCTGGATAGGCAGAGCCTATTTTAAACTGTGCTAAGTTTAAAATAATACGTGATGGCTGTGGTTACTTTGATGATAATATTCCTCAATATTAACTTGTGTTACTAGATGATGAAAATAATATCTCCTGATATGTATATCATTATTGTATTCCTGATCATATCTTTGTATAATTTATGGTTTTAGACTGCAATCATTTCTGCAATTATTCATTGTATTTTGTTTCAACCTACCTTTGGAGCACTGGCACTTTCTATCTACTGGTAATAATCCATTTGCAAGCTGCAAATGTTTGTTCATGTTCTGTCCTAATATCTGTGTTCAAGTATAATTAAAATAATAATAATAATAATGACTGTCATAAAAGTATAAAATGGACCTGGAGACAACCAGTAATCTCTTTTGCTTATTCTAAATTTGCTTACACTTATTTTACTGTTTTTCAGGTAATTTGTTTAGCCTTAGATATTTTTTCTTTGTAAATCAGTAAATCTCTATTTTATTCAAAAATAATCATATCTATTGCAGATTTGTAAGATTAATAAAGTTAGGATCTTTTTATAAGAATCTCAAGTCTAGTACAGTTAGAAAGATAAGAAAGTATCAGTCTGGCTGCAGAGAATACACAGAGCTGGCAAGACCTCCAGAGCTCTTCTCCCCCCATAACCCATAGACCTCTATGAATGCATCAACAGTGTGCACCTAGGTAGAACATAGTATTTATTGTTTATATATTATCTTTCTCTCACCTTCTTCTGTAGAAAATATAATTTCTTGCTAAAATTCATGAGTCACAAAAATTTCAAAATAGAGCCCTCATCTACCTACTAAGATCACTTGCTGCTGTGAAAGCAAAAATTGCACAGGACAGTTTAACAGGTAAGGAAGATTTTATTCAAGGCTGTTGCAATAGGAGAGAGAAACGAGACTCAGTCCAAACTCACCTTGGCTAAAGCAAAGGGCTGCAGAGTTTTTATGAGCTAGGATGGAGGGTGGGGATCATAGGCCAGTTGTGTTTGATGATTGGCTTTAACCAATAGGAAAGTAAATGTTCTTGTATCATCATGACAGGGGATAGTTTTACAACCTGGAAAAAGGCTCCTGCTGAAGTTAGGCTCTTATCCTTCTACAGAAACTGGGAGGTATTGGTTCTGTCTTCCTTGATGGTAAAATTTCATAGAGATGGCTTTGGGGCCCTTGAGGAAGACATTCCTTGGTAATAAAAGTGTCAAGAGGATTTTTAAAAGATTTACATATTAAAAGGGCAGAAAAAAGATTTACAATGACGAATTTTCTAAAGAGAGGTCAGGGGCCTAAAATTAGAAAGAAACCTGTTTAAATTTACTCAAGCTAAAAGAAACATAAGGCCTTCTTGGTCATAACCCAGGGAAATAAGAAAATAGAAACGACAGAATGCAGTTGTTCATAATAAAGGGGATGTATTTTGCTTTGGAAAGTTCTTGGGGAGTCATTATATTTAAATGTACAGAATTATTCCTGCTTTTAAACCTCATCCAAGGTTGTAGATCAGGTTTAAGGTTCTGGGTAGTATGTTTATTTAGAGATTTAGAGTAATTTTTTTTTTTTTTTTTTGAGACGATGTCTTGCTCTGTCGCCCGGGCTGGAGTGCAGTGGTACAATCTCGGCTCACTGCAACCTCTGCCTGCTGCGTTCAAGCAATTCTCCTGCCTCAGCCTCTCCAGTAGCTGGGATTACAGGCACGTGCCACCATGGCAGGCTAACTTTTGTATTTTTAGTAGAGATGGGATTTCACCATGTTGACCAGGCTGGTCTTGAACTCCTGACATGATCTGCCTGCTTTGGCCTCCCAAAGTGCTGGAATTACAGGCATAAGCCACCATGCCCGACCTAACATAAAATTATTGTAAGGGAAAAGTTATAAATGAGGGTTATTTTCCCATAGGTATGGTCTCACTCAAGCCCATTTACTTAGGAAAAAAGATTTACATTTATTTGTTCAAGAAGTAGGGAAAAGCTACAGATATTGAAAGCTACAAAATATACTTTCATTTGAAAAACAGCTAGAATCTCCAGAGAAAGAAATACTCTTAATGAAGACAGTCATAGAACTTTTGAACAAAATCAAAATTAAACGTAAGACATTAAGTATATAGACATGCACATATACACATACACTATCCAGCCCTGATAGTGTCATGCTACCATTAAAGAGAACAGAATGGAGAAATTTAGAAGAATTTAACTTGGATCAATTCCTGAAACATTAACAACATTGTTGGCTAAAGGTGCGAGATATATAAGGAGGTCATTGAACTTAACGAGTATGTATTTGGCTATAAACCAGAAGCAAAGCTATATTAATGAAGAAAAATGAAGTGCAATGATTTTATTAAATGAATTCAGTAATTAACTTGTTTTAATATTGAAAAGGCTACAAATGGCAAGGGAAATTTTGAGACTCCACTATTCGTTATAGTCATATTTTTTAATCCAACAATAGAATTTGCCAAAGACAACAACCTAGGTGCCAGAGCAGAACAAAGATGAGAAACACGTACTCTTTACTTTCCATTTGCTTATAATCTAGCAGGAAATAATGCTTCTAATAACAGCATAATAGTAATACAGCAAGTATTTATACAGTGATTATTTTGTGTCAGTCACTGTTCTAGGTGCTATTTATTTCTCAATAATTTACAAAAACCTCATGAGGTTGATGAGGTCAGCAAGGGCTTATACGTGATAACATCATACAGTTGATGGATATATATGACCATGAGTTCATGTAGTATCTGTGCTCTTTAAACATGGGCTTTTTGGACTTTTACTAGAACTCTTTGCTATTTAGTTTTCACATGTATTAATAATATTGTCTTAGTCCGTTTGGGCTACTATAACAGAAATATATGCTGGATGTTTAAACAGCCAATATTTATTTCTCACAGCTGTGGAGGCTGAGAAGTCCAAAGTCAAGATTTGGCATCTGACGAGGGCCCTCTTTCTGGTTCATACACAGCCATATCCTGTGTCCTCTCATGGCAGAAGGGGTGAGGGAGCTCTCTGAGGTCTCATTTATAAGGGCCCACTAATACCACTCATGAGGGATCCACACTCAAAAGCTAATTAAATCCCACAGGTCCCACCTCCTAATGGCATCACCTTGGGGGTTAGGATTTGAACATATGAATTTTTGTGGTGGTTGGGGGGCGGACACAAATATAAAATGCAAAAGAAACACTAATCTTACATTTTTTAAAATGCATGTTAAAGATATGTGTGTACAACTCTTTGTAGTTAGCTCTTAATGTAAAAAAGTTTTATTACATGGGTAAGGCGTTTATGGAAATGCTTATTAAGAAGGTGATAGTCTCTAGAAGATTTCTCTGAGAGGAATGATAAAGTTGTGTGAGAAAGAAATGCAATTTTTGAATCATCTGAGAAAGAAGGAGCAGCAGGTGATATATACTAGAAGAGAAAAAGTGTGCTGGATGCTGATCACTGAAGGCCATGAATGTTAGCCTTACCATATTGGGCTCCTTAGATCAGAGATTGGCAAACAACTGCCTGCCTGTTTTAGCCTGGCCCTTGAGGTAAAGATGGTTTTACATTTTTAAATGATTGGAAAAACTCAAAACAAGAAAAATGTGTTATGATACATGAAAACCATACAGAATTTAAAATCTGGGTTACCTATCAAAAATTATTATTTGCAAACAATCATATTTATTCATTTTCATGTGGCAGAGAATGTACTCCCTGCCAAGTCTAATAGTCACTAATATTTATACTTCACAAAAATGTTTGCAGACCCTTGCTTTACACAGAATTCTTTTTATTTAATCCTAATTTAATTATCCTTGATGACAATAAATTTAAAGACTATTTTTGTACTTTGGAAACTAATACACCAAAAAAGCTGCTTCTCTCTTTTAGTGTCTCTAACACAGATGTCACTTGATGTATGAAAAAGTATCTGCTAGTCTGTATGTCCCCTATTTGATTCCAGACTTGAAGTGGTGAAGCCACAGAGTCATTCTGGGAACCCTAGAGATGCTAAAAGAGAAGCAGCGCTTTTTTTTTTAACCCTGGTTAAATTTCCAATTATGTAAGTATGCACTTATATGTATGATATGTTTGGCTGTGTCCCCACCCAAATCTCATCTTGAATTGTAGCTCCCATGATTTCCATGTGTTGTGGGAAGGAACCAGTGGGAGATAATTGAATCATGGAGGTGGTTTCCCCCCATACTGCTCTTGTGGTAGTGAATATGTCTCATGAGATCTGATGGTTTTATAAGGGGGAGTTTCACTGCACAAGCTCTTCTCTTGTCTGCCACCACGTGAGATGTGCCTTTCACCTTCTGTCATGGTTGTGAGACCTCCCCAGCCACGTGGAACTGTGAGTCCATTAAACCTCTTTCTTTTGTAAATTGCCCAATCTTGGGTATGTCTTTATCAGCAGTGAGAAAACGAACTAGTACAATGTACTTCCAAACATCGAGATAATTTATTTAGAAATTACTTTTATTTTTTTCTATTTCCTTATTTGGTGTCTTTTCTTAATTGTTATTTTTCAAGTATAATCTTAGTAATTAATTCTAATAGTTATGGACTATATTACATATCTAGAAATCAACAATGAGAAGTCATATAAAAAGTAAATTTTACTGTAAAAATTTAATTTTTTTATTCAAATGCTTAACAGTCTTATCACATCTTTGAAAACTAGATCCTGGCATATTTTGATATACTCTGAAAATAATTTTGTGAAGCAATTCCTTTTGTCTGTAATCTTGATTCATAGACTTTCATATGAATTCTTTTATTGCTTTATTTTCATAATAGCTTTTAGGCAACCAATCATCATGCATAATAGTGTGTTTTTTCATGACTTTTTAGCATCCAGATGTCTATACCTCATGTTGCTCCTTTTAGATACATTTAAAAAAACAAGTTGCTGTAAAAAATTGCATTCATTTCTGCAGTACATTTTAAATTATTCTTTCATAAGGGAGACAAACTTTTACTTGAATACAGAAATACTTGGTATGCCTTTTGCTAATGTGAAAACCTGAATAAATAACTTAAAGGTTGTGGTTTTGCATTGATTTGAAAGGAGCTGACAAATCGGATTTCTAAGTATATTCTTTTACATATAGACACATCATATTTGAAAATAAGATTTCTCTTATAGTTAGTAATTTTTATAAAGAATATAAGAACAAACTGAGGTTATTATCTAAACTGCGAGTATGTTTTGGTTTCTCAGTAGATGCTTTTAGGTAAATGAGAATGCTTCAAGTGTCCCCAACATAAAGGTTGGAATTTATAGATAGGCCCAAGAAAATTTTATGAGTAGGTCAGGTTTCTTAAGAGAGGATTTGCTTCAGAATCACTTGACGAGCCTTCTAAAAATATATCTGCCTGTACCTCGTCCTGCACCTGCTGAATCAGAATCCATTGGAAGGGGCCACACATATTTTAGAAGGGTCTCTGGTGGGTTCTCATTCTCACCTTTTTTTGACCACCGTTGGACAAGACCGACTCTTAGATAATAAACAAACAAAAAATGTTAGCCTCATAAAAATATTACTGAGTTTGTTAATACAATGTTGTCATGGCAGTATTTTCTATGTGTCCCAACATTTTTATGTAAAACCTGAGATAAAAATTAAAACTTTTTTGTTCTGCAGCAATTCTAGAAAGTGTTTCTGTGCTCAAGAAAAACAATATACTTGACTGTTATTTCTTCCCTTATCTCTCATTTTAACCAGCAGGATTCTTTGGGTCAGATGTATAGTTCAATTTTCAGCCTCTTGTACACTGAATATCTGTGTTCTAATTTTTTTGTTGTTGTGTTGATTCAAGAAAAGGAGGCTCAAGAATTTATTGAGACTCCCCTATGTATAAAAAGCATTTTAGGTACTGGGAATAATAGTGATGAACAAAATGATCAGGGCTTCAAATCTAGTGGCTAAGAGAGATATTAAATAAGCATTTTAGTAAGTCCTGTCTGGTCTAGATATTGTAAGCCTATTTTGTATATTGATTTATATATATATATGTGTATATTTTCCTTTTGCTTACTCGGAGATAAGCTGTGGGATCTCTTTAATATTTGTGTGCAAACATATATATACACATATGTAATGTGTATACATATATTTATATATATAATGTGTATATGTGTGTATATATGTGTTATATTTTATGTAGCAAAGTGAATATGCACTGTACACAGTATGGGATATATTATATACAGTATAGTATGTGTATATACATCCTATTGTATACTTATATAACTATTGTTTTATTTATTTTGGTTATTACCTCCTTTGTGGGATAAGTCGGAATAAATGCGTGCCTGCATACATATACACACGTATGCCCAAACATACAGTGAATGAATCTGAATTACAATTCTTAGTATTACATATTAGCTCACATTTCATAATGCCTTATTCTTATATACTGACAACTAAGTCAAGTATGTATTATATTTTTCAGTATTCCTGTAAAGTTTTTTTTTTCACTGTTTTTAATTCTTTTTGTTTTACATCATTAAATGTAAAAAGAATTTGGGGACAGTTTTGCAAGTGGTAAGACTGAAATTGAAAGTCATAAAAAGCTGTTACTTTCTGTATCCATTGAAGAAAAAGAAGCATGTTATTGTCACAAACAACGTCTACATGTTGTGTATATGATTTTTATTTTTCAAAGATGGTGCTCTGCTACTGCAACTAGTTTAATTGTCCTTACAACCTTTTTCAGCTCTCATGCGGTTTGAGTTGGTCACTAATTTTTGGGAAAATTGTAGCATGTAAATCCTCTTGGAAAATTAGATACAATGTAAAGATTCTGAGATATAACTGTTAACCTCCTAAAATAGAGATCTAGTATATTTTGATGGAGGAATAGCGAAGGCAGACATGATGGGTGCTTCATGGAGAAGAACTGGCCATGTTTGCAGATTGAACAACCTCAGGATGGCACACTTGCCCCTGAAGCCACACTTTGAGTGCCCTGAAAGCTCAGAATCCTAATTAAGTCCCCCAAATCACTGACCTTTTAAATGAGAAATTCAATAGAAAGTAATGCTTTTCTTAATTTTTAAAGTGCACCCTGGGTAGTACAGTTAAGTTACATGGTTGAAGAATATTACATTGACAGTCCCTGTTGGAAAAAAAATAAATTTGACCAGTTTTTCTTTCAAATCGTATTCCAAAGACTGGCATCTGTCTGTCTGTGCAGCGTATAGCAGCAGAGTGGATGAAGTTGATTCAAAAGCACTAACCATTGTTTGTGAGCCAGGAAAGCAACAAGAAATCTGATTGGCATTGTTATTTATTATTTTTGGATGCTGATGGTGCATTTACATGACAGAGTCCTTCCTAAGCTTATTGACATTCATAAATGAAAAGGCTCTGCTTTGCTGACTGTTTAACCGGTAATTTAATTTTCCTAACGACTTTCTTTACAGGAGCTGGATTTTGAAGCCAAAACAAGTTACACGCTACGGATAGAAGCTGCAAATAAAGATGCCGACCCTCGCTTTCTGAGCTTGGGTCCGTTCAGTGACACGACAACTGTGAAGATAATTGTGGAAGATGTAGATGAGCCCCCTGTGTTCTCTTCACCCTTGTACCCTATGGAGGTGTCGGAAGCTACCCAGGTTGGGAATATCATTGGCACTGTAGCAGCTCATGACCCAGATTCTTCCAATAGCCCTGTGAGGTAAAAACTCATTGTTGTCCTTTTCTATGGTTTTACAAACAATGCATTCTTGTTCACAACTCTTATTTTACGCTCTGATGTTCCTTTGTTCATAACAAATAAAAACCAGATATATATATATATCGAGTTATAACAGCAGAGGTAAAACAGCATTAGAAACATACATTTTACTAACTCAAAAATATCATCTGATTATCAAGGCCATTATCGTTGAGCCATATTTTTAGGCCTCCATTACTATCCACAAGCCATAGCTGATGTTTCTATTCAACCAATTATCCTGAATCTCTTTTAAAGCAAAACATGTTCAAAAATGAAGCAATGCATGTTTAAGTTGTAGGATACATGCATATGTTAGAAAAATAATTGTATCAACAATTCAAATTAGGGACTAATTTCTAAACAAATCATTTTATTGATATTGGTCTACTTGAACAGTATATATTTGTTCAGTTTAATATTTCCACTTAATTTTTTTAAAAAAACTAGCTACATATAAAGACTATTAAAAATATCTTTTCAGTAGTCTTGTATCTAGGCTAGATATTGTTATAGCCAAGTAATATCTTTAAGACTGACACAATGGTGATATGTAAGCATTTCAAAATATGTCAACATTACATTTTGCACTTTTTAGCAAATTTATAGTATGAGATCTACATGTTTTTGTGTGTATGCATGTGTTTATGTGTTTGTGTGAGACTTATTTTTTTGAGGTAACATTATAAATAGAATATACTTGAAATAAAATGTCTGTTGTATTATATGTCTTATTTGGGTTTGTAAGTAAAATACTTCACTTTTCAACATAAAGGTTTGATTTTGATTACAAAGACTATAACGTAAAAATAAATAAAACAACAATGATTGTTTTATCTTCAGATATGTTCAATTAGAAACTATCCACAGACTTTTAGATTTAAATAATATTTAACAATGGTAAGTGCTTTTGAACTAACTTTTGAGATAAGTCTGGACGTTGGCTCTAAATTGTCATGAAAATTACTTAATATTTATTGATTTTAAAAAGCCGATAATGTTGTTTCTTTCTAAAGTAATAAAGTGATTATGTACATTTATACACATACACACATATTTTAAAGTAGTATATATACATACATATATGTATATGTGTATATATATGTATATATATACATACACACATATATATAGAACTAGTAAAGGATTGGTATAGAAAAATAGTTATTTAAAAAGTGAAATCATATGTATTATGTGCTTATCTAGGCAGCAAATTCAGAATGTATTGATGATTATACTGTTTTTAATGTGGTGATAATAGACCATTTCCGAGAGTATAATCTGTGCACAAGAATATTTATGAATCACAAATATAGCAGATAGAATAAGCCTTCCCCTCTTCTCTGTAATTGCCCTGCCTTCATGGTCAAGAAAACTTTCTGACTGCAGTTCAGCCCCACATACCAAGTTATATTAATTGGGGCAAACATGAGTTTGAGTTTTGTTATAGCATTCCATCTCTTAGTGAAACCTTAAATCTCTTGCCCTCATGAACAATCAACCACAGTACAATTACTGGCATAGATTAGCTACTTAGGACAATTTGGTTTCTGCTTGAATCATTTAATTTAATGGAAAGAAAGAGAGACATGCTTTCATAAAGTTGGAGATATGGAGAGTGACCGAAAGACATTACTATATATCATAATTTACTACTAAAATGAATGATGGAGCCAGGTGGGGTGACAAATGCCTGTAGTTCTAGCAACTTGGGAGGCTGAAACAGGAGGATCACTTGAGACCAGGAGTTCTAGACTGCAGTGAGCTACAATTGCACTTGTAAATAACCACTGCACTCCAGCCTGGACAACATAGTGAGACCCCTGTCTCTAAAATAAATAAGTGAATAAGTAAAATGAAAGGATTTAAGAATATTTTCATTGATTGCATTGATATTTTTATCCTGTTTAAATTATTCTATTACCCACTCCCTTGTTGTCATTCTGTTGAAGCCTTTCA
The DNA here is from genome assembly GCF_000001405.40 of Homo sapiens. Lineage (NCBI taxonomy): Eukaryota > Metazoa > Chordata > Mammalia > Primates > Hominidae > Homo > Homo sapiens. The sequence continues at coordinate 65,846,064 of NC_000018.10, forward strand.
TAGAAAATATTTCACTTTTTATAATATTTTCATTGGAAAAAAGTCAATATTATTATATAATAATTTTAGGAAGAAGAAGGAATAGTTGGCCCAAATGGGAGGTGACTTGAGAAAGAGCAAGTAGTGACTAGAGAGAGATGAAGTGAGCTCCACTTCTGTTCTCTGAAGCACAGAGGTCAAAGGCAGAACTTCTGATTTTGGAAGTAAAAATCTCTGTGGTCTTTATCAGTGAAAGAGTACCCACCCAGCACCATATTTTTTACCCCACTTTCATTTCCTTAAAAGTAATGACGGTGACCTGAAGGTTCAGGTTTCTATTAGCTTACATCGTTATCTCACAAATAGAGAAATAGATAGACTTTGTCCCCAGTGAATTAAAATTTTATTTTGTATATATGAATATTTCTTTTGCATTTGTAGAATTAATTTCTTGAGTCATGTTTAATACTTACATACTTGAAAGTTTTTACACGATTTTCATAAGGTCAGCACAATTATTTATACCTTTTTATTCTGCATTTGTCTCTCACATACTTCTCTTCCTCTATCCATTTATATAATATCCCTTAAGAGGCCAGTCTCCTTATTTTATAATTTGTTGCATATGCATTACTCTCACGCATTCTCTGGAAGACTGGTTCCCTTCCCAGCACTGCTGTTTGTGGAATGGCCTCGGAGATGTCACCTTGTCTTCTGTGTTTTTGTATTAGCCAGCAAAAAGGAAAAGTAGCTGATGCTTTATCCCAAGCTTCTCTGATGATTGAATAAGAGCGAGAAAGTAAATGAAGCTTTTAAACTGTGAATCATGACTTGAATATTACCATGTATTATCATTATATATTGCTATTATTATAGGTTATTGTGTTTCCATGCCATTTTAATTCTGAGATTAATGAAGTCAGTAAAAGAGACATAGCATTTTATATGCAACCATATTGACAATCTATATTGCAGGTTGTCTTGTACTCACGCGTATTCCAATAGATATAACATATTGTATGGCTTTTTGATGAATATAAGCATGTATTTGCATTAGGCACTCCAGTAACTATCAAAATGTAAATCCTGTCTCATATGTTTAACATAATAAAACATATGTTAATGGATGAATAAATAGCAGTCTTCTGAGGTACTAGGAAAAGTGAATCTCCACATTGAGATGGGACATGAGGAGTCTTAACAATTGTGACCTTTGTGCTTTACACCTTTAGCAATATTGTAGTTCTTTGAGGAATGGAAAAGCATTATTTGTTTTGTTGTAATTGTTTAAAATTAGACCAGTAGGGTTTGACTTGTAAAACAGTGTGGCCAATGGGATGATTAGTTTTGAATTTATTGACATTCTCTGTTGTATAATACTGAAATCTAGCATATGTCATTTATGTTTGTAGTATTTTCTGATATATGAGGCAATAAATTAGAATTCTAGAAAAATATACATTTAGTTGCCCCCAGCAAGGCGAAATTGATATTGTCTTCCTACATGATCCCTGCCTTGCACAGCATTTTAAAATTTCTACCTACTTTACTGAAGTACCACCCAAAGGCTATGCATAACTCTTCTCTATGAATCTGCTTTTTCCTTAGAGAAAGACTGGGGCACCTATATGACTATTGGAACCTGGTCATTCTTGACGTTTACAAGTGTAGTCATCATAGATGGAAAGATTAAAAAAACCCAAACCCCAGTAACTGGCCAGAACATAACACGATTGTGAATGTTAGGTCTTTTTTATACTTTACCCAACATCCAGATAGCTTATCTAGACCACCATTTCATGTACACTGTACTGTCCTTTTGTGGCAGGGAGTGGTATGTGGAAATAAAACCATACGTAAACTAAAATTGCAGTCAAAGCCAAGGGTAGAAGTTAGTTGACACTTGAGATTACTTAGAGGGAAAAAAAACGATTTTTTTTTTTAAAGAAAAATGGGTAATTGAGGGCAAGCACGTTTCCGGCTTGTTATTTGATAAGTAGCTGTTTATCATATCATGTAAATTTTGGCCCTAAGTACTCAATATCGGGCTTTATCTATTGAACTTGGAAGGACAGATTGTGGTCTGCTGATTCTGGTCACGTTTCTGAGTGATAGAAACTTCACTTCTGTGTTTCTCATCCAAGATGGTAAAAGATGTAAGAACAGCCTAGAGTCTAGAGGATTTGACTCATTTCTCATGTCAGCATTGGCAGACTGATCAATGACTGAACAGGCATTCATTAAAAACCTGTGTTATGCAAGCACTGGGGAAAATGCTAATGAGAAAACAAAGATAAATAAAACATTTCCTCTGACCTCAAGGAACTTACAATCTGGATGAAGTAATAAGAGCTCATAAAAGTTAAACAATATGGGGAAAAATATGCCAGCACTGTAATATGGCAAATTGTAAGATAAATAATCAGCACTCCAAGTTCACTGGCTGTGAGATTTCATTTGAAGGAGTGGTAGTGTAAGTAGGGCTTCAAGAGATGGCAAGATTTGGGCAAGCCAAGAAAAATCATGCAAAGTACATTTATGTTTTATTTGGTTATATCCTAAAAGCCTAGTACTAAATTATGAAATCAGCAAGTTCATTTCTGTAGGCATCACAGCAAGCCCAAAGTTCCTATACTAAAAATGGCCAATGAAATAGAACATGATATTATTACAAATAAGATCAGATATGAAGACAGGAAAACAAAAAGTAATACGCATCATTTTAAGCATTTCTAATAATCTAAATATAGAAATATGTTTATATTTATGTTAAAGGATACTTGGATAATATTTACCCGTGGGCTTTTTCAGCATTCCTAGTATTGTATATCCTCACATAAAAAGTGATAATATTATGTTGGAAATTACTTTATGTGATGGATTAGTGTGAACATATTTGGGGTGTTTGAATAATTCAGTGTGTATTTTTTAAGTAGCTTGTACTCATTCATATATGTGCACATATGAAATCTAAATTATTTGTGAATATCTATTTTATTCTAAGAAAATTAGCAAACCAACCAGTAACATAACATACAGAAAAATAATACTAGCAATAAAACTGATTAACTTAAAAAGTAGCAGATATTATATCTCTGAGAAGACTATAAGCTGTACTCTATTTCAAAATGCTGCTCATTTTAGCATAACTACCACTAAAAATGAAAAAAAGAAAGTATATGTTCATGTATGGTGAAAACATAGCGTGTTTTCATTAGAGTAGTGTACTTACTATCCAGAGATAATTTTTGTAGGTTAAATTTTGCAGGAAATGCCTAATTTATTTTAGCCTTTCCTTTTTCTTTTCTTTTCTTTTCTTTTCTTTTCTTTTCTTTTCTTTTCTTTTCTTTTCTTTTCTTTTCTTTTCTTTTCTTTTCTTTTCTTTCTTTTCTTTCCTTTTCTTTTCTTTTGCCTGGCTGGAGTGCAGTGGTGTGATCTCGGTTCACTGCAATTTCTGCCTCCCAAGTTCAAGCAATTCTTCTGCCCCTGCCTCCCGAGTAGCTGGCATTACAGGCATCCGCCACCACACCTGGCTAATTTTTGTATTGTTAGTAGAGACAGGGTCTCACCATGTTGGCCAGGCTTGCCTCGAACTCCTGACCTCAGGTGATCCATCTGCCTCAGCCTCCCAAAGTGCTGGGATTACAGGTATGAGCCACCACCCCCGGCCCATTTTTTCATGTTTTATTCTATTGCTCTAGAATTACAAAGCTCTGCTGTCAGCAAAGACTTTCTTAGTTACCTTTTTGGAAGACTCCAGGTAAAATAAATTCACTGAAAATTACATTTGTTCTGATTTGTTTCTTACAGTATTTTTCATATCTAAAATACTTATTGAGGGCCCAGCACGGTGGCTCACGTCTGTAATCCCAGCATTTTGGGAGGCCGAGATGGGTGGATCATTTTAGGCCAGGAATTCGAGACCAGCCTGGCCCATGTGGTGAAGCCCTGTCTTTACCAAAAGTACAAAAATTAGCCAGGTGTGGTGGTGCATGCCTGTAATCCCAGCTACTCGGGAGGCTGAGGCTGAAGAATCTCTTGAACCCAGGAGGTGGAGGGTGCAGTGAGCTGAGATCACGCCACTGCACTCCAGCCTCAGTGACAGAGTGAGACCCTGCCACACTATATATAATATATATATATATAAAATTAAATACTTATTGAAAAGTCACATTAATAAAGGAATACAAAAATTCAATGTTCTTGGTGTAAATCATAGAGAATTATTCATGGGGTTAAAAAGTTAGGGAATATTACTTTTTATCATGTACTATCCTCTTAACATTCTTTAATTATAATCAACAGTAATTGGCCACAGTTCATTTTTTAAAAAAGAAGTTTATTGAAATAATTGGGTATAGCTCAAAGAAAGAAAGGAAAAAACTGAATGGCCAATCTTCAGAAAAGAGAGGAGTAGGGTTCCTCTGTAAATACATGTAGCGAGGGTAGCAGGCTCTTCAGAACGTGGCAACTGTGATGAATCAGCTGCAACTCTTCTTGCAGCTGTCTGTTTAAGATTCACATTCCCTGCAGAGGTTTTATTATTATTATTATTATTATTATTATTATTATTATTCATATCTTGATATATGTGGCCGTCTCTTCTCCAAAACATTCTGGACATCTTGAGTGCCATCAAGATTGCATATGAGATTTGAAAAAGTATAAAACCCTAAAGGAAAATTGTGTTGACATAATCAGAAGAGGGGTGAGGATACAGGCAAGGTGTCTGCTATCATTAAGCTCAGAAATCAATAGTTCATTTTTATTCTTTTTTTTTTTTTTTTGAGACAGGTCCTCAGTCTATCGCCCAGGCTGGAGTGCAATGGCACAATCATGGCTCACTGCAACTTCCGCCTTCTGGGCTCAGGTGATCCTCCCATTTCAGCCTCCCCAGCAACTAGGACTACAGGCAGATACCACCACGCCCAGCTAATTGTTTGTAGAGATGGGGCTTTGCCATGTTGCCTAGGCTGGTCTCTAAGTCCTGAACTCAAGCAATCCACCCACCTTGGCCTCCCAAAATGCTGGGATTACAGGCATGAGCCACAGTGCCCGGCCTCAATAATTTATTTTGAAGTTTACTTATCATTAAATTCCTAAGAGACAAGCACTATTATTCCTATATTAGAAGTAAATATGTCCCCAGCCACACAGTTAGCAAATATGGTTCCAGGAATTTAGTGAGGTCTATATCAAACCTGTACGATCCTTACAGCAATACACACACACACACACAAATGCACATATCGACAAACTTTATAGTAGATTAAAATTTCTATTCAAATTATTCATCTATTTCAATTGATGAAATTTTCCCATGTTTTTGTATTACATTATCTTTTGCCACTTTGGGAGTACTGATGATATATTTGTGTTAATCTAGCTCACTCACCTGCACTTTCTGTTTGTGAACACTGATATGTAAATTAATAGCTGGTGATAAGAATGCTACCTGTGAATATAAAGAAGAACATTTTAATTGATCTCTTTAGCTCATCAAATAGCTGCAGTGATAATCACCGGTATTCATTAAGGAATTCATTTTGTAACAGATGTTCAGAACACTGAAGACACACAGATGTATGAGATATGGTCTTTTGCAGAAACCCTCTTGTTATGTAGCTGTAGAAGAGATCTTACATGAAAACTCATTTTAAAAAATTCAGTGTTAGATCTGAAAATGAGAATTCATCCTGTAAAACTTTCTCATTGAACAAATGAAGAAACAGAAAAGCACAGATGAAAAGCCCCAATTAGAACAGTAGGTTAGTGACAGGGTAATGGCCAGAAATACTGTCCTTTAATCCTCAGTCTATGGTCCCTGGTGGTGTAGCACAAGGAGCATTTGGTAAGATCCACGGATCACACACCATGCAGGTTTTCTTAAAAAAGCATGACTTCTGATGTAATTGGAAAGGCATGCTGCTTTAATGCTGCTAGTTTGTCTTCAAGGAATAGCAGGACTAAAATAATTGGAAAGGAGGAAAAACAGGAATACAGAATGACCAACATGAGAAAAGGCACAGAATTGGAGATGTGTGTGGTATATTTGTTCACCACTTAATACATCAGTTTGACTGGTTATGAGTTTAGATAGGAAAGCAGAGGGGTGAAAAAAAACAAATAGAAGCTGAATTATAGAGATGTAGGTGGCTGAAACTACAATTTGTATGCAACATAGTATGCTGGAAAACTGGCTCAAATAGTCATGATTCTAAATCTTGGATCCAACCCCCAACTGTGAAATTTTAGAGTCCAGTATCGAAATAACCTCAATAATAATATATGCTTGCGTTAGTTAGAAATTGTGCTTGGCTAGTAGCAGCAAAGCTTAACACTAATGACATACTAATGAGAAGTCTGGAGCTATGCTTTCAAGGACTGACACCTTGGCAGCATAATGCCATCAAGAGCCTTCACTTCATTTTTTAAGCACTTGTCACCGCTTATTTACAATGTGGCTTCTGGATCTCTTCCATTGTGTTTGTGCCCCAGGTGAGAGAAAGGGGGAGGGCAGAAATCAAATACCAGGTAAATTAACAGCTATCACTCATGCTTTAAGGAGTTTTTCAATTAGACTATAGGCTAAAAATGTATTTTGTACCTCATTTTTCAAAACTTAGATATAAAGACATCACATCTACAAGGGAGGCTAGCAAATATAGTTTTTCAGAGGGACATATGGCTGCGTCTAATAAAAGCATGGTTCTCTTAACAAGAAGTAAGAGAAATATAATTATTAGGCATGCAAATGGAAGTTTCTGCCACATATGATCTTACATATTTGTTTGAGAATTAAGGAAAAAAGGTAAACTATATTTTAAATATTATATCCTGCAAAGAGAAAAGTTCAGAAGGTAGGGTAATTTGGGGAAAAGGTTGATGAATTTGCTCATAGATATATTGAGATTGAATTAATGATGGTAAAGCCATCTATAAAGCAGTGTTCAAAAATTTCAGGAACTAGTTTTAGGCTGGATATTGAGATACAGAGCTGTCAGCATAATAAGTGGATGGGGCAGAAGCTTAACTGCTGTTGCTGCAAAAATATGGAAGTGATCTCTCTAATTGTCCGCTCCAATATACACTAAAGGAAGCCAAGTATTTTAGGCTGTAATTTGCAGAAGCTAGAGAGATTGTTGTAAGTTCACACACCGCTAATGGCATCAGAAGTTGCACTGTAGTTAGTGGTGGTTCATGACTAGGAAATCACCCATCCTCACACTTCTAGTTCAGCCTCCAATTAACTCAGGCAACTGCATTTCTCAGTCCCTAGGCCAGTCAATCCACAACATCAAATAGTGTTTCCTTTCAGACTTCTTTTAGGGCCTTTCTTCTCTTGGCTCAATCAGCCATCCTACATTACTAAGGCAGAGATACATTACACTTCTCATTCTAAAAAGTATCTGTATTTTCTTTATTTTTCTCACCTAAGGATTTTTTTTTTCTCAAGTGACTTTATACATTAGCTAATGCTTTATACAACAACTGAAGTTTTTTTGCATGTCCAGAGGGGCTGGTAGAAAATAGGAAACCCCTTTAATTCTAGGTGACCCCAAGTCCTTGCCATTAAGAAATGTAAAAACCACCAGGACTGTTCTGGATGTTCAGTCTAATCCTTGTCTTTGACAAAGTGTCCCATCTCATCTCAAGTCAATACCTTTCTGCAAACATGCCCTGACCTCCTTCATAACAACTTCTTAGTTTCTTCCTCAATATTTATTATTTTCGTTGCAATAAAAAAAGTTTATGTAATGTATTTCCTGAAATAGTATGTCACTTGCAGGTGCTCAAGAGTAATTGCCAAATGCATAAATGAATAAATGGAAGACATAAGGAAATGATAACATCATAAATTACCATATATATATATATATATATATATATATATATATATATATATATATATATGCTATTTAGTGAGATCTAAGTGGGGATTATAGTTATTAACAAATACACACAATTTAGAAGGGGTCTGGGCGTGGTGTGTGGTTCAAGCCTGTAATCCTAACACTTTGAGAGGCTGAGGCAGGAGAATTGCTTGAGCCCAGGAGTTTGGGACCAGCCCTGGCAGCAATAGTGAGACCGTATCTCTACAAAAAATACAAAAATTAGCTTGGCACAGTGGCCCATGTGTGTAGACCTTGCTCCTTGGGAGGCTGAGATGGGAGGATCACTTGAGCCTGAGAGGTTGAGGCTGTAGTGAGCCATGCTTGCACCACTGTACTCCAGCCTGGGCTACAGAGTAGACTTTGTTTAAATAAATAAATATATCTACAAGGGGAAGCTGCAGAGTGTATAATTTAGAAATGGTAAATATTTGAATGATAGAAACTTTTGTTGCCCATGTTTTTTCAAAACAGATAGAGTCCTAGGTTATAACTAGATCCCTAAATTATTTGTAGTTTTCTATGAGGCAAATACTGGTTGGAGACCAGTTTAGCATATTAAATAAATTCTCAACTTTAATTTTTTTTATTCTAACGCTAGGATCTTTGAGACTATTGATAATAGAAGCAAGTGTTTTAGTCATTGACTTTAGCCCTGTGGGGAATTACATGAATTCATTTAGACTGATGTCTGTCAAGTTCAAGGCCTTTTAGCTTTTAAGAATCTAGACATTTGTCTTTTCATGAATATTCAAACATTATCTCAGTTATTAACTTAGAGATTTGACAAAGAGAGCAATTCAGGTTTTAATATTGGCTTAATTGATGCATGAATGTATGGGTTATAATCTCATTAAGTTATAATCCTCTTATCAAACATTAATATCAGTTTTCCTATTGCCATTAGATATGACTTACATAGAAGTGTATTTTATATATGTATATTGGTTCATACATATACGTATGTATGTAGTATATGTGTACACATATATATATATACACACACATATATATACACACACACACACACATAGATACACACATAACCCTGTTCTAAGTAAGCATATTCCACCCTGTATCTCACGGTAAATGCAGCTATGAAACCTGGATAGAGTGGAGCCATCAGGCCTCTAAAAAGTAAATATTAGCAGGTAGTTTAGTGAAGATGAGTATACAGAGTATCTCCAAACCTGTGATGAGTTTACCATTATTTTCTCTCTACTGTCCCCTGTCCTGGAGTAATAATTAGAAAAACATTAGTAGAATAAATCCAAAGCAAGGTGAAGAAATAAAACAATAAAGATAAGAACATAAATCAATGCATTTCAAAACAAATTTTACAGAAATCAATAGAATTAAAAGCTTGTTTTTTTGAACAGACCTAAATATTGATAAACGTCTACCAACATTGACAAAGGAAAAAAAAAAGCAGAAAAAATGATAAATATTAAGAACAAAAGAGGAGATGTTACACACCCCGCAAACATAAAATGCAGAATAAGAAAACACTATAAACAAATCTACTGACATAAGTTTTATAATTTCAATGAAATTAGGCAATTTAGAATAAACGGATCAATTTTTCAAAAAGTGTAAACTCTCAAAACTCACTCAATATGAAATAGATAACCTAAATAATCCCATAACTATTAAATTATAATTTTAGTTAAAAACTTTCTGAAAATGGAAATATCCAAGCCCAGATAGCTTCACTGACAAATTTTTACCAAACGCTTAAAGAAGAATTACCAAGTGTACACAGTATTGTTCAGGAAATATGAGAAGAGGGAATGCATCCCAACTTTTTTACAAGTACAGCCTTATTCTTACTACCAAAACCAGGTAGACACAGCAAGTAAAGAAAACTTTGATCAAGACTTTCATGCAAATATTTTCCACAGAACATTTAGATAACTCAATCAAGCAATATAGAAAAGAATAATTCACCATGATAAAGTAGGGTTTATCCCAGAAGCATAAGATTGGTTTAATATTCAAAAGTTCATCAATATAATGCATCATATTAAGAAATTAAAGAAGAAAAAACACACTGTCAGATCAATTGAAAAAAAAAATGGGGGAAGCTGGCTCTCCCGCCGTAAGGACACTCAGGCAGTGTTGTGGAGAGGAGTCCATTTGGCAGCACCAACTCACCATCCATGCCATGCACATGCCATCAATGTGAATAAGACACTTCGAAACTGGATCTTCCAATCCCAGTCAAATCATCAAATGACTGTAGACCCAGCCAACATTTGACTACAACCTCCTGTGAGATTAAGAGCTAAAACTGCCCTACAAACACACTTTCAAATTCCTGACACAAACAAAATAAGATATATTATTATTATGGTTTGATGTCACTAAATTTGATGTATTGCAATGTAATATCCATATACACAGGAGTAATAATAATGAGGGCTCATAGTACATAAATTGGTAAGAGATGTGAGGAAATAAAGGCAAATTGATTTTAAGAAAATGTTGCTAGCATCAATAAACTGTAGGTCCCTATTAGGATGAAGAATTGCTGGAGTGGGAGGTGGTGGATAGAGAGTAAGATGCTTGAAGTAGAGTTTCCCACAGTAATGCATATATTAGAGCTGACAAGTCAAGGGTATGTTCATAAGAATCCATGACGCCTGGAGTAAAGGAGCAAATCAAGAATCAAGAAGATGAAGAACATGAAAGGCCTTTATGTTTAATGGGTCATGAGGGTAGCTGAAGCAGTTGCTGATCATCATGCCTAAAGTGGGTGTGTGTTTTTTTCCTGTTTGTTCTTTCGTTCATTTGTTCGTTTAATTGTTTGTTTTTGAATGAGAGCCATCTCACCCAACCAGAAAGACTGCGAGGGGAACCTGAAGATGATCATCATGAGGGGAGGGTAAATTTTGTGTATAAAACAAATAATAGCATGGACTAAAAATACAAGTGGAGTAGTAATTTTTCACTGCTGAAAAAATGTTTGGATTACAGATATTTCAAGAAAAGGCTTTTACATGCAAAAATAGCCATGCAATCTCAGGGGTTCCACTTTGAAACATGTCTTTAGAATCCTGGTCAAGACCACTGAGTAAGATTTAAAAAAAAAAAAAAGAAAGAGGGTTAATAACAGGTTGGTGCCGTCAGAACAAAAGATATTACTAAGTATATGCAAATGGGCAAGATGTTTACATGTTTCATTTTAGAAGGGTCCATAATCGTGACCAGGGTTACCAAATATATTGTAAATGGTTTACAGGAGTCATAATAATAATAATGAATTTAGCCAGTGATGGTGGCTCACGCCTATAATCCCAGCATATTAGGAGTCTGAGATGGAAGGGTCACTTGAGCCCAGGAATTCAAGACCAGCCTGAGGAATATAGCAAGACCCTGCATCTATAATAATAATAATAATAATAATAATAATAATAATAATAATAATAAAATAGCCAAATATGGTGGTGCATGCCTCTAGTCCTAGCTACTCAGGAGGCTGAGGTGTGAGAATCCCTTAAGCCCAGGAGTTTGAGGTTACAGTGATCCACTCCACCCCAGCCTGGGTGACAGCAAGACCCTGTATCAAAAATAAATAAATAATAATAGTAATAATAATGAACTTGAAGTTCTAATGACATATTCAAAGCCATTGTGAAGATTACTGTGGTGTTCATTTAGTACTGTCTGACAGAAAAGCAAACATATTAGTGAGACACAGGTTATAAACCATCTAATATGTGGGGAGAGTTTTAAACCAGGCATGCATTTATGTGATTAATATGACAGATCAGAGAGTCAGTAGGATTTAGTAATGAGCTACACAAATAATGAAATAGTTTCAGCAAATTATAATCAAACGTACATGTTGAAGGCTTTTCTTTTCTTCAATGTTCAATTAGGTACTCAATTGACAGAAACACAGACTTGGAGAGATACTTCAATATTGATGCCAACAGTGGGGTCATCACAACTGCCAAGTCTTTGGATCGAGAGACAAATGCTATTCACAATATCACAGTCCTTGCAATGGAGAGCCGTAAGTTGTGAGGCTTAAAACTAAATTAAGATGGAGGACAGTGAGTGGAGAATCGATTGTCATGAGGTTGTAAATTCAAGTTAATTAAAGTAGTTCCTTCTTTGAATTGTACAAAAACTTGAGAATACCAAATTTCTAAGCTGTGAAATATACTTATCTTCACTGTCTTTCTATGATAATATTTACAAAATTTATGAAAACCAAGGACTAAAAAACAATGGGCCTATATTACCTTCACAGGATTTCTTTTTTTCTGATCATAATTCATATATTGTGTTTATGCTGTTATGGAGTTAGTGAAATAACTTACAGTAATTAGTAAATTGATCTATAACAAAGACATCTGGATTTGAATATTCTGATACTGAACTAAGTTTAGTCCCTCATAAAAGATAAAATAATAAATAAAATAAAATAAAAACTATTGAAAAATGAATGCATATTTGCATGCATATATGTATATGATATATTGTGTATTTTAATGTGTATGCATTTATAATACATGTGTTGATAATACAAATGTATAGTCATGCAAATATGAGCTCTAACATCAAAGAACATTGAAATTCATGGTTTACCATTTATTCTTCTTTCAACAATTTTCTCATCAGGGACTAAAAAACTACAAGTACACATGTAGACCATAAATATACATTTATATATATGCATGTATATCCAAATACACACACATATAATCATGTATATGTATATATTTGGATATACATAAGTATGTATACATACACATATACGTATATACATATATGTATGTGTGTATATATATACACACACATACAAATACATACATATGAATGTGTGTGTGTATTTGGATCATATTTTCGTATTTTCTATAGCTCCTTTTAAGTAATACAGCATTATGATTCTAGATTTCATTCTCAGCTTCGTCATTTTATTATTAGAATTGTGCTTTAGATGGGCAAAGAGTAAATGATAAGACACTGTCTTATTTATTAGAGAATCCATCTCAAGTAGGAAGAGGCTATGTGGCCATCACTATACTTGACATCAATGATAACGCCCCTGAATTTGCCATGGACTATGAGACCACCGTCTGTGAAAATGCCCAGCCGGGGCAGGTAAGAGTCTTCAGAACACTTTGCTTCTAATTTGTGGTTTCTTAAAAAATATCCAGCAGCAGTTGCCTTTGAAATTCTTCCAGCTTTAAGATAAAATATAATCAGCTTGTTTCAGCAAAACTAACACTTTGATGTGTAGCATGAACTAATATTAAAGGAACCTTCAAATTCCAGTTTAATTGGGGTGATGAAAATTCCTCAGGAAGGAAAGGTAAACATTGTAAAAGCTCTGTTAAATGGCTAAGAACTTAGACTCCTTTCGGAGAAAGACAGCATAGTACGCTGATTGGGCTGTTTCCTACCTTACCCAACCGGGTTTAAGTGTCTTACAATTCTAAGAATTAAGTGCAGTTCAATCTCAGTTTGGTTTGTTCATCTATTGTTCAGTGTCTTGTGATGTTTCCTGGGATGTCTAATCAATTGGAACAGCTTATTTCTGAAGTTCACAAAAGTGAATTCAAACATGAACTAAGAAAATGACATGATTTGTTTTTCAGAGCCCTTTTTTAGATTGGGTTCATAATAATACATCGGATCCTTTCTCCCTAGCTCATTCAGGGAGATGGTATTTATTATAAAGTGTAAAATTGCTTTGTCCTGCCACAGAAAACTAAGCATAGCACACCAATGTGCTTTCATCTTTTACTTTCTCTTTTCCTAGGTTATCCAGAAAATCAGTGCTGTGGATAAAGATGAGCCATCCAATGGACACCAGTTTTACTTCAGCTTAACAACGGATGCAACAAATAACCACAACTTTTCATTGAAAGATAACAAAGGTAATGTATTAATATTGTTACCGATAGAGGCAGCAGGTACAGATACTCTAAGCAAGTATTTTTCTCCCCAGGAATGCTGATTATGGATTTTTTTTAAAGCAAGGACAATAATTAAAGGGCAATGAGCACCTCAAGTAATTTTTATCTATGGATTTACTATCATGAAGGAAAAGCTGCTATTTAAATTTTCTTAGGCCTAAAGCCAAATAGGAGGGAAAGTTAGATTTTTCTCATTCTTTTCTTATAAGCACTCGTTTTCTTATTTGTATACCAAGTTCATTATCCAAATAATCTAATAAGTTGATGGTCAACTAAATACCCTAATAAGTACTATGCTCATAGATGCAACTTGAGACATAAGAAAAAGAACTGGACATTACACATTTTAATCTAAATCAACTTTGACTTAATGTTTTCGATAATACCCCTTACTCTTTTATTTTTACATAAATGCAAATGTAATTCATGCAAATAATAATAAAATAATGACATATTTATGATGCTAAGAAATATAATGTTAAAAATAACAAAACTCCCTCTCGTGTCAAATTGTATTTCTCTGCTTCAAAGGTAAACACTCTTAGCAGTTTCCTAAATATCATTATAGTAAAAAAAACTTACAAATACCTACAAGTAGATTTTAGTTTTGCTTAATAATATATATTGACAGTTATAAGAACTTAAAGCACGAGAACCTGCTATCATTGTCTAATTTTGAATCATATGTTCGAATGAGTTTTTATTCAAGATATTTATTTTAGTGGAAGGAGAGCATTTGAAACTGATGTAGAGGGTGAATAGTACCCCCCAACAGCATGGAAAATATCTATTTTTAAAAATTTATGTTGTTTATGTAAATCTGGTTTTAGGAAAAAAGTACAGAATTGGATTTGCTAGTCATTACTGGCTTGTTTAAAACAGACTTACTACCAAAAGGTGGATAAGAAGTTTTGCATGAAGCCATCACCTTATTTAGTGCAACCTAGGCCTCAAAAAATTTCAATCTCAAAAAAATTCAATCTGAAAATGATAATTTTTCCTGATCTTATTTCCTACTCAATGAGAATACTATTGTGTCCCTTTAGTAATATAGAAGGTAGAGCATTCTCTACCTGGGTAACTCCAGACTCACTGACTTAATCATAGTTAAGAAGGATAATTCTCAGCATTTAGGTTCATCTGGTACAAGTGCAGAGAAGGGAATTTATGAACTTCACAAGGAGAATGTGAGTATATCCCCCATGTGTCACCATCCAATACCACCATGATTGCTGTACAGCACGTGCACTAAAATGTCAGCATTTATAGGACATCCACATTGCCACACAATTGAAAAATTGTCTACCTTAAGCCCAGAGCTCCCTTGACTGTACCTTGAAGGAAAACATATGAATACAGAGAGAGTCAGTTCTTAAGAAGTCTTCCATATGATCACTTTTCTGAATATAGAGTCATATTCTCACTTTTTGGGCATTTCAGCTTGTGTTCCTCAATTCACCGTGTGTGTGTGTGTTTGTGTGTGTGTGTGTGTGTGTGATTTTGGTATCAGTCATGTTAGATTACAAATCAACAACTTTCTAAAACTTTTTGTATCAAGTCATAAATGCCTCTGACATCGGAGTTGGTAGGAGGCAGAGGCATAGGCCTGCGTGCTATTGTGAAATGTACAGGAACTTACTCAAAACAGTATCCTTCAACAACTCCAGCTTAATTTTTTAGTGAGTACCTTCTCAAATTCATACATTCTAAAATAAAAGATTTTTTTACATAAAAATCTACCAGATGGAATCTGAAAATCAAACTGTTTTATTACTGTCTCTTCTATAATTGCATGTAATACATTTTCTGCAGTCTAATATGAGCTTGCTGTTTTGTGCTGTTTGAGACAGATTTCATCTCGCTGTTTCACTAGAGTACCGTTAATTTTTTCATGCTATCATTGAATAAATCTTTTTGACAGTTTGGAAGAGAGAAAAATAGATAAAAGCACACTGCATGAAACTCTGATCCTGATTTTTCTTCTTTTCCTTTATATTTTTATTAACAGCTATTAATTTAAAAAATCTCATAAATACTCTTATTATTTAATTAAGACAAGTTAGTTGGAAAACTGCTAACACACACAAAACATATTTTTGATATATAAATCACACGTTATATAGACTTATTGATCACTTGTTTAAAGTTCATAATTACTATAATTGCTTAGATGAATTCAAATATTAAATATAAGGTAAACATAAATAGCCTGTTTTATCACTGACAAAATGTTTATACACATAGAGTAGCTATAAATACCTATATATAATTTTCAAAATTTTACGATAAAATTCTTCTGAATATCCCTGTATATTCAATTTAAATAAAGCTAAAGTAGCTGATTTTACCCTTTTTAAATATTGGTCTTGCAACTTGTCTAAGAAAGGATAGACTGAAAATTTTATCTGTGCTATATGATGATACTGCAAAATATTTAACCTGTTAATATGTACCATCCTTTCTATAAGTTTATGGTGTCAAATTTAAGATAAGTAAAAGATGTAGTTTTTATAAAGTTGCAATTAATGTAATAAGTGATGCATAAACATTTTCATATTTTGTTTTACTTTATAACTATTTCTTTTGTTATACTGCATAGAATAACATAAATGTCTTATAATGTATTAAACTGGAAATGTCCCTCTGTCCTAGAGAATTGAAAGAAAATTGTTGAAATAAATCTGCAACTCCAGAGATTTCCCTAATTAAGGCATCAAAGTAAATAGAGTGACTTAAATAAAGTTTGGGAAGACTGATTCCATCAGAAATCTGGTGTTATACATTTGCTTTCGTTATCCTAGACAACACAGCCTCAATACTGACCAGGAGAAACGGCTTCCGGAGACAGGAACAATCAGTTTACTATCTGCCAATTTTCATTGTGGACAGTGGATCTCCCTCACTTAGCAGCACCAACACCCTCACCATCCGCGTGTGTGACTGTGATGCTGACGGCGTAGCCCAGACCTGCAATGCAGAGGCCTATGTCCTACCTGCTGGCCTCAGTACAGGAGCCCTGATAGCCATACTCGCCTGTGTCTTGACATTATTGGGTAGGTACTGTTTCCAGGGCTTGCTCTGAAAGAGCTGTCACAATAACCACATGTCACGACTTGCCTATTATCTTCTCCATTTGGTGAACATATGCAGATATTCTACTGGATGGTGTTTGTTTTGTTTTGTTTTTCTTTGAGACGGGGTCTCACTCTGTTGCCCAGGCTGGAGTGCAGTAGAATGATCTGGGCTCACTGCAGCCTCTGCCTCCCAGGTTCAAGCAATTCTCCCACCTCAGCCTCCCGAGTAGCTGGGATTACAGGGGTGCACCACCACACCCAGCTAACTTTTGTATCTTTAGTAGAGACTGAGTTTCACCATGTTGGGCAGGCTGGTCTTGAACTCCTGACCTCAGGTGATCCACCCACCTTGGCCTCCCAAAGTGCTGGGATTACAGGAGTGAGCCACAGCTCCTGGCCTGGATGGTGTTTTGCTCACTAAGTAATACAATTGTTGGCCACACTTTCCAGTGGTATATTTGAAGTATAACTCAGACAAAAAGTTGTATCAATTTCATTTTCAAAGCAACAGTGAAGATAAATGGCTTATGCTTTAAATTAATGCTTTTTAGGATTAAAAATAATCTATCTTATCCCAGTTCTTTGCTTTAGAGCACTCTACAGAGGAGATACACTAGACTGGAGAATACATTTTCTATATTGTTTTGACAATATGCTTATTTTAGAAATTATGGCTTTATATTCTACTTTTTAAAGAAATTATTTGATTGCTTTCTTAAATTATTTGCAAATTTGAAATGATTACAATTTCAGCAATGCAAATCTTATATTTTTAAAGTATTAAATACTAACACATTTAATTGTACATTTCCATGATTAGTTTATTACTCGGTTAAATTAAATTTATAACTCATATTTGCAGTAACTCAGATTTTGCAGCATCCTTTTAAAAATTGGGAGATGTCCAATGTGGACACTGGGTAATGGGTTTATTCCAAAGAAACATTTTTCTTCACATTGTAACTTGTAACACGAACACAACAAGAACAGAGTAAACATTCAATATACCGTTCCATATGGTGAATGTTCAATAAATTTTAAGTGTTACTGATGGAAAATTATAAGCTAAGACCTAGTTACTAATACATTATAAATGCTGTCGTGAAAATGGAGGTTATTGTCTTAAGTAACTTAAGCTAAACAAGTAAATCTAAAAGAAAATAAACTATATTTTGCATAGAACTTTACACAGATGCAGAAACTTTCAGAATTTCATTAGAAATGGGAAGTAATTACCTGCTAAATCTAATTAGAATATAAGGGATTAAAGTTTGAAAAAGGTAGAACCACTGCAAACAAATTTTTATTGGTCTAGAAGCTTCTAAAACAAACTTGTCCAACCTGTGGCCTGCAAGCCGCAAGCAGCTGAAGATGGCTTTGAATGTGGCCCGACACAAATTCTTAAATGTTCTTAAAACATTATGAAATGTTTTGCGGTTTTTTGTTTGTTTGTTTTTTGTTTTGTTTTGTTTTTTTTTTTTGCTCACCAGATATTGTTAGTCTATTTTATGTGTGGCCTAAGACAAGTATTCTTCTTCCAATGTGGTGCAGGGAGGCCAAAAAATTTAGATTTTGGAATCTAAAACTTAATAAAAAAGATGTAAATTGCATATTTATTTTATAGTAGCAGAATAACCTACATTAGAAGATTTAAAAATTACATTTGTGGGCCAGGAGCAGTGGCTCACGCCTGTAATCCCAGCACTTTGGGAGGCTGAGGCGGGCGGATCATGAGGTCAGGAGATCAAGACCATCCTGGCTAACACGGTGAAACCCTGTCTCTACTAAAAATACAAAAAAAAATTAGCCAGGAGTGGTGGCGGGCGCCTGTAGTCCCAGCTACTTGGGAGGCTGAGGCAGGAGAATGGCGTGAACCCAGGAGGCGGAGCTGGCAGTGAGCCGAGATCATGCCACTGCACTCCAGCCTGGATGACAGAGCGAGACTCCATCTAAAAAAAAAAAAAAAAAAAAAAAAATCCATTCATGTTTAGAATGTCTTTAGCTTGAAGGCACAGAATGAGAAGGAATAATGAGAGGATAAGTAGATGATGTGTGGAAGACTTTTTAAGTTTGGTCAGTGTATCATAAACAACTTAGATTATGCCGTAAAGGAATAAGATTGTATTCCCCAAATTTTAATTATCCTCAATAATGAATTGTTTTTTGATTATTTTAAGGCTGTCTGATGAAGCTTGCTTCACTTTAGTAAACACTTTCAACTTTGACTTTGGGATTTTTTGCGATTTAGGTTGCTTGATGATTCTAATTAAGAATTATCAGCTAATTATTACTGAAAGTAACTGAAATAGAGTTTTATTATATTTCATTCTTAGATATACTGTATATGAGTATACATATACAGTATGTGCATGTATGCTTGTGTGTGTGTCTGTGCATAAAAGTTTGGGGGATTTGTCAAAATTTAAGTATGGCTACTCTTTCTGCTAAATTTGAACATATTGCTTAAGTAGACACCAAATTTGGAATATCTCTTCCACTTCTAAGGATCAATTTTTTTGTGCCCTATATTTTATTCATTTTTTTAAGAGTTACCGCAAGTCTTCAAAACCGTAAGTAAAACAAAGTCTGTTGTACTGAAATACAATTTGGAACAAGGGGCTTCTGCTTGCAGCTTCCATTTCTATAGTGACCACACAATAATCAGTATCATCAAATGCTACCATTTTAGCTCAGAAATGTGGTCTCTTTGTGTCTTATTTCCCAAGTTTTTAAAAGCAGATAATCAGGAATTTTTATACTGTTTTAGTTTTGTCGCCACTATTATAGACTCTGGATTTTCACACAGTAAGTGCTGAAGCCAATGAGATTAAGTATTCACAGGGGGTGCATGTGGGGCCCACAGCCTGGCATGAAAATTGATTTCTAGTACACAAATAATTCATTCTTTATGACACCTCAGAAAGTGGTGTGAATCTCGTTTCTAGGCATTAGGTATCAGGATTTGTAACTCAAACCTTTTAAGACTTCTGAACAAATATTACTGGCAAAAAGCAAGGTGAGGAGGTGGAGATGGGGAATAAGAACTTGAAAATCAAGTTCAATTAAGAATGAAACTATAGGCCGGGCGCGGTGGCTCACGCCTGTAATCCCAGCACTTTGGGAGGCCGAGGCGGGCGGATCACGAGGTCAGGAGATCGAGACCATCCCGGCTAAAACGGTGAAACCCCGTCTCTACTAAAAATACAAAAAATTAGCCGGGCGTAGTGGCGGGCGCCTGTAGTCCCAGCTACTTGGGAGGCTGAGGCAGGAGAATGGCGTGAACCCGGGAGGCGGAGCTTGCAGTGAGCCGAGATCCCGCCACTGCACTCCAGCCTGGGCGACAGAGCAAGACTCCGTCTCAAAAAAAAAAAAAAAACAAAAAAAAAAAAAAACAAAAAAAAAAAAAAAAAGAATGAAACTATAGAAGTACCTGGACTTTAGACTCTTAAAAAAAAAAAAAGGTACTTGACTACATGTTAAGTTTGTGTTCCAGTGATGTGACTAATTAAAGCTACATGTAACATGACGGATGGGGATGCACTGACATTACCAGAAGTTTAATGCTGGAAGGCATCCCACGTATCAATGCTAACCCAAACCTTACAGAGGGAAAACTTGAGGTGTAGGGTAAGTTCGAGGGTTTGTAGGAGTACATATAACAAGTTAGAGGATATGACGGGGTAAGATTCTAGGTCTCCTTATTCTCAATCACTGATTTTTATTTAAACTGCACAAGAAGTACATCGTGAAAATATAAATATGTTTACGCCTATATATTGCTGAAATAATTCATGTTATCCGAAGTTGTATTTGTCAGTCTTTATCTCTATCTGTATTCTCCTAACTTTATGGATGAACTGCTTTCTGATTTCTCATTCTTGCTCTCTCTCTAATTTATTTACACCTGAATTCTTTAAATGAAAAAAAAATCCAAAAATTAGAACATGGGTTTCCTTTATTTACAGTGAGTACAGTTTGAATGAGATAAGCTATTGCTATACTCACATTTCATCATAAAATAATCAATTAGATACCTCAATTATTTTTCATGCAGAAAAATTTCATCAACATATGGCAAGATACTCTGGTATTCTAAATTTTTTTTTTTTTTTTTTTAGACAGGGTCTTGCTCTTTCACCCAGGCTGGAGTGCAGTGGTGCAATCTCGACTCACTGCAAGCTCCACCTCCTGGGTTCACGCCATTCTCCTGCCTCAGCCTCCCGAGTAGCTGGGACTACAGGTGCCTGCCACCACGCCCGGCTAATTGTTTGTATTTTTATTAGAGATGGGGTTTCACTGTGTTAGCCAGGATGGTCTCGATCTCCTGACCTCGTGATCCACCCGCCTTGGCCTCTCAAAGTGCTGGGATTACAGGCGTGAGCCACCGTGCCCGGCCTGTATTCTAAATTTTGAATAGAAATTACAACCCATAACTAACATCAATACCAATTTAATTATGCATTTTTATCATAGTTAAATTCACACTTACAGACATACACAATTATTCTTCCACCAGGCTAAAAACACTTTAAAGAAAAAAAATTCTATGAATGACTAAGACATTCGATTATTTATTCAGTAGATTTTTTTAATAAAGGAGAAGAATTTCAACTGTTTTGTTTAAAAATATGGTTTCAATATTAAATATTGTACTCCTATTCTTAAAATATTACAGCTAAATTCTTTCTGTTCCTCGGCATACACAAAAATAAAACCTGTTTCTTGCACAATAAGGCTGCCACTGAATTTACTATATTAAGTTTTGGGTGTTTCTGTACTTGGACTTCCAGGGCCCAGTAATTGAAGTCTTCTAGCGTTCCTTCCAGCTCTTTGCTCTTCTGACACAATTGGGATTAGTTAGACCAGCCCAGCTTCATAAACTCAGATTTAATAAGGTGTTTGTAGAAACTTGCTGTTTACTGCATGGGATTCGGTCTCCTCCAGTATGTCTATGATGGTCAGCTTGACAGTTAGCTGTCATGCATCTTTTCACTTTTCTTCCCTGATCTCCCAAGTACTAAACTATATTTGGCCACCAGTAACTGTGGCTATTCATGATTTTTTTCCAACAGAAAAATGCTTTCTTGTTTTTGCAAATGATAGTGAACATCACTGAAGATTGTGGAGAAAAAAAGTGGCAGCACTATGTAAAAAAATGGATCCCCATCATAATCTATAATGATAGAACATAATTGGCATAGCAGCCCTAGAGATAATAATGTGCAGACTACTGTTGGCTAATTTATAGTAGCAGATGTGTTCCTCTTTCAAACAAGCATGAGCATAATAAAAAATGAATTGCATTTCATAAGCTCGTACTATGTGCTAGACATCAGCCTAAGTGCTTTACAAGCTTTATCTAATTTAATGCTCATAAGAGATTTCCTAGGCAAGTATTACTATGCCCACATTTTATATAAGAAAACTACAACTTAGAGGAAATACACAAAAAGTTACAGAATGAACAAGTGTCAGAGTCCGGACCCAAACACAGGGAAGCCTGCCTCCTAAATGTTCTTTATAAGGTATTTTTCCATATATGTTTCCCCACGTGAAAGACCTCTCTGTTTCTAGGAAATGCTTACAGGTTTGTGGATATTACAGCCTGGGCACTGCCAAATTAGGTGCAGGAGTATCTTTGCTGTGTTTCACATAGTGGTTTTATTATTTATTCGGTTAACTCTGAGTGTCTATTTTATAGTATCTTCCAATTCCTTCCAGTCTTTAGAAAACATGTTTAGAAGAGTGTGTGTTAAATTTGAGGTTATATTTCAGTACAACCAAAATCTAATACACAAATTGTCTTTGTGCATAAACCATTCATTGTACTTAGGAAACTTTTCTTCTATATTAACTGAGACTAAGGTGAAATCATTCTCCCTCACATTTAAAGGAAATGAATTTTGTGATACTTGTTTTGGGAAAAGAAAAGATCCATTTTAGTTAAACTTTTCCCTTTCTTGAGACTTGGAAAGAATTAGCCCCTTTAAGCATATATGATCTATTACAGGAGGTCTACCAATGTATGTTCCTTGTTCTATTGGAGAGTTGAAACTAGAAATCTCCAGAGAAACATCAATCCTGAGCAATTTTCCTACATTCTTGCCTCTTTTCCTGATTGAATACCCACTTATATGTTTTTCTGAGTGGAATCAGCCAGGCTTCCGTCTTCTCGCTTGCATCCTCCATGGTCAATTAGTCCGCACATACTGTTAACTTTAGTTTTTGGGCCTTGAATCAATTTGTTTCTGTCTCTTATTGTTGCACCTGATTTTTGTCCAGGGTCTTTTTTTTTTTCCTCCTGAATTGTGGCAACTCTACCATTCTCTATCAGAACCAATCCGTCAGTATTTCAGAGTAAGCTTTTAAAAACTAAATGGGATTTTGAAACACCGCAGCTTAAAATCGTATTTTCATGAAATCCCATTGTCTACAGACTAAAATCACAGACTCTCCAGTACCAGACAGCTCTCATCCAGTTTGACTTTATTTTTCTCTACTTACTTGGTGTACTTTAGTCAAATTGCATCTGTTGCTTTTTCTAAGACTCATTCTGCTTTGTCTTTCTGCCTGGAATGCCTCTTCCCATAATCTACAAGTGGGTCAATTTTTTTTTTTTTTTTTTTTTTTTTGTATTGAAGACGCACTTCTTTGGCTTCTGAGTCCAGGCTGGATGCTGTTCCTAAGGACCCCATAATACCTTGCATCTAGCAGTCTTTGAGCATCTGACATGGTCGACTTGTCTGTTTAATTGGTTTATCTCCTTGTCCATCTCTTCCAGTAGACTGCTTTTAGAGGCAAGGACTGAACATTATTTTGTCATTATTTATATCAGCTAATCAGATGCTGATCTGACACATAACAGAACATTCTATACATGCATGCTGAATGAAGCGTGAATGATTTGAATGTACTGAATTGTGGAAAAGAATAATTGATTTGACTTATTTTTATTACCCATAGGATTATCTCCATTAGACCCTATTTTTTCTATTTCCCAAGACGCTATATTTTTAGGACATTTTTCTGAGATTTGGTCTATCTCCTTAACTCTACAGAAAAATTGATGTGTCACAGATTAAAAGAATTTAAATGATGTTTGCAGGTTAGTAGCCATGGAACTATATAAGGGCTTAAGAAAAAACAGTAGAATATATGACTAAAGGTAGATGGAGAAAATATTGCAGAAGAGATGTCAGAGATATTTTATTTATCAGTTTAAAATTCAGTTAAATGTTATAGTTGATATCTCAGTCACTCACTTGGATCATACCAATTATGAATCTTTAGTTATCCTTTGCAAAAATAAAAGTAGTAGAGTTGGTCCATAAGTGCAAGATAAAATTTTAGCCTTGTGTTACTGGGGATCTGCATGAGCCTCAGATTCCATAGCACGTAAATCCACTCATCCTTCAGATCTTTACTTAAATGCCACTTCTGATGACATCCTTTTCTGATCACAACCAGACAGTGGTGGTACTCCTGCATTTTTCCTATCACTTTCCTTTTTAAGACATAAATTATTTTACGTCTCTGCTTGAAACATTTCAGATGCACTTACATGGAATCTAAATGTTTCTCATGGTCCACAAAGCAAGGCATGTTTGGCCACCTGCTTACCTCTCTAAGGTATCAGGCTGTCTGATCCTTCTCTCAACCAGTAGGAGGACCCACAATGCGTTTCTTCCCATTATTTTCAAGTGTGCTACCCTGCTCCTGAAACAGTCTTCCTGCATTTCTTCACCTGTCAAGTTTAGATTATCTTTAATGCCTCAGCTTCAGTGTTATCTCCTCAGGAGGAGTGTCCTAAGCACCATTATTCTCCATCATAGTATTTGTTTCTTTTGTAGTACTTATTTGTAACTATATGTGTTTGTTTTCTTTGCTCAAATATAAAACCTTTTGAATGTAGTGATCTTCGTCTCTCTGTCTTCTTAACCAGTATATTATTGGGGCCTGTCAAAGGCACATATAGAGACAATATTTTTAATCCATAAATATTATTTATTGCACTCTACTGAAAATTTTGCAACCTTTTCCACATATTTTAATCCCTTCAAGAATAGGTCCAGTATCCTCCATAATTCATTATTCTACCGTCAGTTAGATAGAATAGAGTAGATATCAGATAAATTAACTACATTACAGGAGGTCATCAAAATCACAAGTGAGAGCATGGTAAAGTTTACATTTTATCTGTGTATGAATCACATGACTCAAATTTTAGCAACACCCAAAAAGTTCGGAACTGAATCATATGAATTTATTGTAGAAATTCCACAATGTATGACCTATTATTGAATAAAGACAGTTATCGCCTACTGTGGGTAGCACTACTTAAGCCCTTTACAAATAGACACTCACTTAATCTTCATAAAGTTACTATGAAGTGGTTTATAAGAGGTAAAGACTATTATTTTCATATTGGAGAGCAGGTAACTGAGGCAAGGAGAAGTAAAGGATCTCACCTACCTCCATACATCCAGGAAATGGAATAACAGGTATGCAACGCAGATGAGGTCCTTAAATAGGCAGGAGCCATGGGCTGAGGGACGGGACTTGAGGCATATTCTTGGTTACAGTGAGTAGGAAGAATTGTTTGAGTGGAGCATGCGGTGATGGAGAGTTGAAGCAAAGAGGAAATGAAGAAGGTGGAGTCACAGATGACTTGGAGTTTCTGGTTTGGGTATTTTCCTACTTGAGAAAAGAGCACACAATAGGAAACAAATCAGAGGAACGTTAATGAGATTAAACTTAGAAATTTTGAATGGTGTATGAGTGAGAGCCATTGGACAGAAAGTTGTTATCAGTAAAGGAAGTGGTCATAACAAATCATAACAATGATAATTACCATTTTGAACATTTATTATATTCTGATGAGTATATATATTTGCATTATCAAAAATAGGAGTAGTCATTTTAAAATATGGTCTGGTTATCCAAAGAGATAGATGAGAGATTTAGATGTCAGAGACATCAGCTCTTGCCATACAAGAGGCAGTTGAACCTGGGGTTTCACTGGGCTCGCCTAGGAAGAATGTGGGGTGAAAAGCCAAGAAACCGAGTATGGAACTTGAGGAAGATTTACTGTAAGTACTTCTTAGAAAAGAGTGGCTACAAAAAAACATGGTTTGAAAGAAGAAAATAAAATTGTTTATTTTCTTTTAAACTCGCTGCAAGCAGCTGCATTGTTTACTATTGAGTAAGTTCAAGATAGCGGACCCACACAATTTCCCATGAAGTTCTGTGTCAGATAGGACACACATGCCATGTAAAAAAAAGGGCCACAAAGTGCTCATTGGATTTGGCAAAATGTGAGTCATTGGTAGCCTTGGTCCCTGGGAAATAGCAGGGAAAACTCAGATTGCTCTGGTTTGAGAGCAGTCAGGATATAAGAAAGTGGAAATGTGGAGTAGGCTATTCTTACATAAAATAAAAGTTAATAATATTGAGGGTATATGAAGATAAATTGTTGGCTGGAAAATTTCAGGAAAGTGTTTCCACTTAATGTCCTCCCTTTTTGAGCTCTGATGGAATAGTGTGCCTGGAGATAGTGGAGAGAGTTTCAAGATGACCCTGAAAAGAGTGGGGATAGCATGTTTCTTCATCATGGTTATTTCTGATCCATCTGAAGCCAACAAAATTCAAGCTCAGTTCAATATTAAAAGGAAATTAAGCTGGGAGCAATGACTCATGACTGTAATCCCAGCAGTTTGGGAGGATGAGGCCAGAGGATCACTTGAAGCCAGAGTTTGAGACCAGCCTGATCAACAAATGAGACCTCTTTCTCTACAAAAAATAAAACAATTAGCTAGGCATGGTGGCATGCACCCAAAGTCCCAGCTACTCGGGAAGCTGAGGCAGGAGGATTGCTTGAGCCTAGGAGTTTGAGGCTGCAGTGAGCCATGATCACTCCGGCCTGGGTGACAGAGTGAGAAAAATAAAATAAAAAAAGATTAAAATTAATTTTAAAAAATTAAAATGTCTATAAAAATTTAAAAAAATTTAAAAAACAGAATTAAACAATTTTTGAAATTAAAAAAGAAAAAAATTACTAAAACTTAATTAGTGCCCAGTAGAAAAAGAAGACAGATTTTTTAATAAACTTCATGTAAATCAACAGGATCAATAAATGGTGAAGAATTAAAAAATAGGAAGTTTTTGGAAGGCTAAGTTATACTTGCATATCAATGTGGATGATTGTTTAAAATAAATTATTGAAATTGCATCCAGATTGTGCTGGCAGATTTTTTATTTTGATTAGATTATTTTTCAACTATACCTTGTAGGTACACTAATCATTAAACTGATTATAGCTGTCCTATTGTTCAACATGTCATTTGACAATAAATCTGAGAATACCTCTAAGACCATATGCAATTAGAGTATTCTGGTGTTTGAGTCTTTTGTTTAGATCAGTTGTCCAAAATAAAGTTATTGTGAACCATCAGTGTGAAATGCATATGTAATTTGAAATTTTCACGTAGCTTTATTAGAAAAAGTAAAAAGAAACTGTTGAAATAAATGCTAATAATATATTTCAAACACACTATACAAAACTATTATCATTTTAATATGTGATCCATGAAGATTATTGAGACAATATTTTACTTTTTTAAAAAGAGAAACTTAAGTCTTGAACATCATATGTTTATTTTACACTTAGAGCATATCTCAATGAAGAATAGCCATATTCCAAGTGCTCAATAGCCACATGCAGCTAGTGGCAACTATGGTAGACAACGAAAATTTAAACGACTATTTTATGGCTAATTAGAAATGATGATTGTTCATAAGAGACCATATAGATGATGGTGTTTTTGGTAAAGACTTACTTATCCCTCAAGTCACATTTCAAATGTCATCTCTTATGTTGGACTTTCTCTGAGAATCCTGGGCAGAAATAATCCCTTTCCCATACATATTTTCCTAGCATATTTTATATTGCTTTATATTTAATTCATTCTATAATATTTAACTCTTTATTTTTTATTCAAATTGTTGGGCTTGTTGATGGCAAGTCCAGCAAGTCTACATATTTCTAGTCACATTTCCTTGCCTATAACTTATTAATCCATTTATCAAATATTTATTGAGCACATACTTACTATCATGTATTATTCTTTGTGCTTAGGGTAAATCTGTAGAAAGCAAAGTCACTGCCCTTCATATGGCTTACAGTTTTAGCAATCAGTACTCATTAAAAATATTATTGAATTAAATGGAATTTAGGCTTTAAACCTGTGGTAGTAGCCACTAAACAATGGATTAAACTTAAGAAAGTGATATTTAACAGATACAAACATAAATTTATCCAATTTGGTTTTAAAAAACTTTCTTTACAGAGTTTTAGGCTAGGAAAAAACCTAGTGGGATGTAATTTACATTACTGAGTGATTTTAAAAGGATACCAGATTCAACATTTTAAATATGTTAAAAAAAATTAGTGGAGTTACTTTCTCTTTAATATAAGTAGCCTTAGAAAGCCAAATACCTCATGTTCTCATTTATAGGTGGGAGCTAAACAATGCGTACACATGGATATAGCATGGTGGAATAATAGACGTTGGAAACTACAAAAGGTGGGAGAGTTGACGGGGAGTAAGGGTTGAAAAACTACCTGTTGAGTACAGTGTTCACTGTTTGGGTAATGTACACCAAAAGTCCAGACTTCACCACTGCAAGATAAACGCATGTAAAAAAATCTGCACTTCTACTCCCTAAATACATAAAAATTTAAAAAATTCAAATATGCATATTTTATATGTATATACTTATATATGCATATATAAATGTATATATATTTATAATTTCATACATGTATATATAGATATGTGGCCTTATTTAGCAATGGTACCATTTTGTGATGATCAGATGACATCGGCAGAATTCTGCTATTTCTGGGTGCCAAAACTGAATATTGAGCATTCTGACATTTGCAAGCACAGAACATCCAGAGTAGGGGACTCAGGATGACAACGAGGTTTTGAACTCCAGACCAGCTGAACACTACACATGCATGTGGAGCAAGCTTGTTCAACCTGAGGCCCGCGGGCCACATGTGGCCCAGGATGGCTTTGAATTTGGACTAACACAAATTTGTACACTTTCTTAATATATTATGAAATATTTTTGCAATTTTTTTAGGTCATCAGCTATCATTAGTGTTAGTGTATTTTATGTGTGGCCCAAGACAATTCTTCCAGTGTGGGCAGGGGAAGCCAAAAGATTGGACACCCCTGCTGTAGAGCAAATATAGGTGACTTCTGAAGTGTCTGCCATCTTTAAGAGGATATGACAGTTCATAATAGAATACATTCATTGGAAAGAAGGGATACTTATTGTAGAGACCAGTAATTTCATGGTTATCATCAAGTGGGGAGATTGGTTAGGACCACAGGACTTGATGATACTCCAATAGAAATCATGTTCCAGTTACTTGATGATAGTCCAGTAGAAATCATTTTCCAGTTTACTGTGCAGATGGACATCTGCCAAAGATCACAGTAAAGCTGAGAATAAAGGTGCCCACTAATTTGTAGTATGGTGTGTGTTTTACACATCAATATTTTTCTCCATATTCCCTTCCTTTTATTTATCTTGGTTTTGGGAGAATGATTCTATCCAATTGCTGGACAACTTAAACTAATTTAAAACTGACAAAAAGGCCGGGCGTGGTGGCTCACACCTGTAATGCTAACGCTTTGGAAGACCAAGGCAGGAGGATCACTTGAGCTTAAGGAGCTCAAGACCAGCCTGGGCAAACTGGCAAAACTCCATTGAGCTCAAGGAGTTCGAGACCAGCCTGGGCAATATGGTGAAACCCTGTCTGTACAAAAAATAGCCATGTGTGGTGGTGCATGGCTGTAGTCTCAGCTACTTGGGAGTGCTGAGGCAGGAATATTGCTTGAGCTCAAGAGGTCGAGGATACAGTGAGCTGAGATCCTACCGCTGCACTTCAGCCTGGGTGACAAAGTGAGACTCTGTCTCCAAAAAATAAAAATAAAACTGACAACACATCAGTTCAAAAGAGTGTAAAGAATTACATGAAATTTGTAAAATAGTTCGCAGTAGGGTGTTGTAGTTTTATATAATTTTATTCTTGTAATTCTCTTTTCTGCATATTTCTCTGCGCCTGTGCATGTCTGTATATTCTTACAGTGAATTGCACTAAGATTCATACTGTATTTATCTGTGAATATACAGTCAACAGTGTTGGAACTGCTTATTTGTAGGAACCCTCTCTTGATATGCTTTTGCCAATATCCAGCACTATTTCCTACCTGCTAGAATGCTCAGAAAATGTTGAATTGAATGTTGTAAGACTGAATTCCAAAATCAGAAATTTAGGCCTGCATCATACTTTTACTGCTGTAATAGCACTCTAACTTCTTTTGTGACATCTTCTCCCCTATCTTCCTCTCCTTGGTCCAGTAAGAATGATTTTTATTTATTTTTTTGAAACAATCTGATTATATCATGCAGGCCTTAAAATATGTTTGTTCTTGGACCTGTAGGGCCTGACTCGTGCCTACAGCTCCAACCTTACCTCACCTCTTTCTTTGCCCTCCAGCCACGTTGGCCTCAAATATTTGCTCACTGTCGTCACTGTACCAAGTATGTTCTTCCATATCACATCTTCCTGTCCCTACCCTCAGCCTCCAGTTATCATCAGTTAAGTCTTTCTCATCTGTATCTATTTCCCCTAGTACACTTCTTTATAAGATCATGTGTCCCTCTTTTGGAGTAATTATTACAATTCTACTTTTACATTTATTTATTTTAATGTTTGGATCAATATCTGTTGGTCCCACGGAATCGTAAGGTCCATGAGTAAATGTTATATGTCTGCTTCTATGTGCAACATTACACTACAATACCTAATGCATATAATAAATTGTTAACATATTTTTGTTAAACAGATATGTAAATTCCTGAACAACCAGAACAATCTAAGTGTCACACATGGCTAAATTTCAGCTAGACCTAAATCTTTTCTTCTATTTCCACTCAGAAGTAGAGGTCATATGACACAAAAGAGAAATGATAAAACCTCTTAAAATATATAATCTTCTGCTTACTTAGGCAGAGTATTCTTCTTAATACAGTGATTAGCACCAGAGTCTATGAAGAACAGTTAATTCTTGTTCTATGTAAACATTAAATTCTATTTTTTATATGCGCTTACATGGTTAGAAATTAATATTTTCTGAGATCATTCAAATGTTAAAATTATCTAACCTTCCAAAATACCATGTTTTTCTTTGCCTTGGACAAGATTGGGAAATAAAGCAAACTGCATAACACATTAATATCCTTGATGTGTATTGTACCTTAGGGCTGGTATACCCACAGGCACTGTAGAGTTTTACTTTGATTGAAGACCTGAGAATCAGAAGTCAAGTTTATCAGTAGCATGAAATACATTTACAATAGAATATAAGAAATAATTGATATATACTATATATAGCAATATATTTATGACAAAATTTATTATAATTAAAGAATTTATAATTTTGAAATGTTTTGTCTACTTAGACATTGATTTAAATTAAGAGACCGCCTAATTATTATATAACTCTTACCCTCTTTATACCCTTACTGACTCTCATACTCATTCATTTCTTACACCCTTTTGTTCTCAACTGGACATTTCTCCTCCTTAATTATGCTGTTCAACATGTGTAACAGGTGTCTTATTTCTACCTGCCTCCATCTGTGCATCCCATCACTATTTTCTCTCAACGTCCCTCTTCATTCCATGCTTTACTTAATTTGATTTCTCACTAAGAAGTCCTACTGGGTTCTACTTTCTTTCTACTACAATTGCTTTCATTTTGGGGAAACTATGTGAAAAATTTCAGAAACTAAAGTTGTATATGAATATAAAATAATTGTTTATTCATCCATGTATTTTAAAAATTGTTGTCTTTCTTGAGCAAGCAAATTGCCTTTTGAGCTTTCATACTTGTCAACTTTAGCCTTTGTTTTTTAATCACCTTGTTTGAAAGTACTAAGCATACAGTGTTATAAACAGTGCGGGGGCTTTGAAGACAGACTGAGATGGAGTATGCCTCACCCCTCACTATTGCATTTAATTATATTTAGACAGGTTATTTTATGTGTCTAAGACAACCATCAAATGGGAAAACACCTACCCCAGAGAATTGTTGTGAGTGTTAAATAATATGTCCTGTGTGCAGACCTTCATTTCTCACTATACCACCTTTCCTATTTCCCATTTAATCTTTGGTACATATGCCTAGCCATATATGGTACACTTTCTACTTTGCTTGTTACCTTAAAAACAAACTGCTCTGTTGCATACTGATAAGTAACTGGGATTCTGCTAACTCTACTTACGTTATTTCCAATGTTCTTTATCTCTTCAGTCCACACTGTGAAGATTGATGTTGACTATTATTATCATATATTGCTAATTTCAATTAGTTTGAAAGTTACTTGTTCCAACATCACACAGCTAATATGTAGGAAGGTTGGACAAGGCCTTTCTGACACCAAAGCTGCAGCTGCTGTTGTAGCATTCTGTCATGTACCTTGAGAACTACAAGGCATTAGAATGGTGAAAGTGCTAATTCTCAGTAGACAAGAAAGGACAATCCACTTAACAGGGAAGGAAGGTGAATACCAGACTACTTATGGGAACAGAAAGATATACAAGCAGTAACTTTTGAACTTAGGTTGGTGCAAAAGTAATTGTGATTTTTGCTATTACCTTAATTGCAAAAACCACAGTTACTTTTGCATCAACCTAGTACATATATGCCCTTTTGGTGAAGCTGGTTGAAAACATTCAAATGAAGTAAACAGGAGCAAAAAGAAAGAGAGCAGGGATATCTGTGCCAATGCAGCATGAGAAGGTGGCCAGAAAAGCTCAGAAATGTATCAGTTTCTGAACTGTAGGCCATCCATAAAGTGTAAAGCTTATGAGAAGAGCAGTGCAGTAGGGTCCAGTGGGAAAGAAAAGGAAAAAGTGCCACAAAAAAACAATTGTTTTCACAACTATTTCCACAGATCACCAATACAGTTTTTCATCAGTCACATTCCTGTTGATGATAACACAGATAGCCAACAGACATTTAAGAAAGCATGTATTTTTATTGAAGATGAATTCATTTTATTTAAAACTAAATAAGTGCTCAGCTTTTTGGTTTTTGAAAGTACACTGAGGTGGGGGATGGAGTATGCCTCACCCCTGGTTACTGCATTTAAGTACACTGCAGTTAAGGACGTTGATGTCCTTCATGGTTTTATATTTTTATTTTCAAAAGTGTTCCTAATGCCAAAGTAAAAAGTTTACAAGATACTTTAAAAATATTTCACGCCTGCTTTTAAAAATATGATGACAATAATGTACCCTAAACGATAATCCATATAATGTACGTTATGGGCTATTCAGACTTTCCAGAAAAAAATCGTAAGCTGATGCAATATAAATTGTTAAAAGGTATTTGTAGATGAATAAAGGTAATTCATTACTTTACATATTTTTAAATTCCAAAATTCAACAATACTCTTTTTATTTCATTGTAGTTTAGTTGAAGTTGCAATGAAATCAAATGTATTCCCAATTCAAGGAGCATGCAGTCACTCAGAGGCCAGAGCACTTTCCTTATTTGTGTATACTAGTGAAAAATGCACAGAATACATTGTTTAAGTCCCCCAAATAACCAGTGTAGTTGTTCTTATTTGCTTTACAGTGCAACCTCCTGCTTTAAGATGTGATTTTTAGTTTTGATATAGGAAGATAAATTCCTAACATTAAAGGGGTGATTCATTTCTTAAATTTATCTTTGAGAGTTGCTGAAAATCTCACAGCTTGTATTCTGTCTGTAGGTATAATGGATAAAGACCAAGTTCAGTATTTTATACATGAAAGTGGGACTCAATTTATTATAGAGAAGCTTTTAATCTTTGTAAATGGCCTGACATGCTGGATTTTATTTAACAGTTGACTTTCATAGAGAAGGAGTAGGCATTTCTTCAAAGAACCTGACCGAGTGCTATAAACCATTTCTTTGTGAAATTGCAGTTGTTAAATTAGACACAAAACATTTATGAATTTCAATTTGCCTTTCCAGCAATTAAGGAGTTCAAAAAAATCCCTTTGTGTTTCCTGGCTTTGAAATGATTATATTTATCATGAACTGGCCCTTCAATTTCTTCTATCAAATACATTGGAGGTTACGTTAAAGAGGAAGACATCAGTTCTGAACAGGTGTGGAAAAGGGTTCCTTGATGTATAAAAGTGTTCTAATTTAAAGCCACTTTAGCAATTTTAGCACATCTACCGCTGTGAATCCTTGTGGAAGTAGGTGGCCAATTCATTTCTCTTTAAAGGGAAGAAAACCTGTAACTCAGCGTCCTAGGCCTAATTTTACCATGACGTGGGGCAATGGGTGAGTTTACTGAAACTTTCTCTTCCTGTCTTATTGTTTCAGTGTTGATCCTCCTTATCGTCACTATGAGAAGACGGAAAAAAGAGCCCCTTATTTTTGACGAAGAAAGAGACATCAGAGAAAATATTGTGAGATACGATGACGAGGGCGGGGGAGAGGAGGACACGGAAGCGTTTGACATGGCTGCACTGAGAAACCTCAACGTCATCCGAGACACCAAGACCCGGAGGGATGTGACTCCAGAAATTCAATTCCTGAGTCGACCAGCTTTTAAAAGCATCCCAGATAATGTCATCTTTAGGGAATTTATTTGGGAAAGATTAAAAGAAGCCGATGTTGATCCTGGTGCTCCTCCTTATGACTCCCTGCAGACATATGCTTTTGAAGGAAATGGCTCAGTTGCTGAATCACTCAGCTCTTTAGATTCCATCAGCTCAAACTCTGATCAGAACTATGACTACCTAAGTGACTGGGGACCTCGCTTTAAACGACTCGCGGACATGTATGGGACTGGCCAAGAGAGTTTGTACTCATAGCCTTGGAACCTTAATTCGAAATGTACTGAAGAAAAAGTAACAGCAAAAAATAAAATAAAATGAAATAAAATAATAAACCACTACATACAGAAAACAAGAACTCCCCTTGCTGGAGACAGATGGTTGTAAATATTTCTCCATTTTTAATTGTTTAGATTTCTGCCTTGGTGAGGCATATCTTCATTAGACTTATCTAAAGGACTGCACTGACCACAGACTCTGAGCATTTGAAGGTTTTTTGATAAAAATAAATGCTCAGTGGTTTGTGAATAGATAGCAACTCTCATATACCTGCAAAGGCACCAAACCTCTATGAGAAAGTAGTGCCCTGTGTTGTCAGTGAGTCAAAGATGCCCTGTACATACCTTCATGGTACTGTCATTGAGAGGAATAGAACATGATGAGCTATTGAAAAACCCTGGAACTTGTTGCATATCAAAACTTGGGACAAATTTAATTTACAGAGATGCTTATAGCTTACTATATTATAGAATCCAACAGAATTATGTTGCTCTTGATTAACAGAAATATTTTATTTAGGAATATATAAATTCCCAGAAATTCCTTCCTAACTGAAAACCCTACCACAAAAGCCAGTAAAATTTAGTTTAAGGCAATATAAACCATTGTTTATCCAATAAATTATGAAGTGTTCCAAATAAGAAAAAGGTAAATAATTTGATAGTTTTGAGATGCTTGTGTAGGTATGATAAAAAAAAAAGTTGCTGTCTGTTCATTGATTTTTATTATCTCTTCTGATTTGTACAGGAGAATATCTTTTCTTTTTTATTTGACACATGGTGTTGTATTTATTTTGGAGCTCCAATCTCCACTAAATTCAGGTCCATCATACTGCCTCATAGTATTAAACTCATCAGAACATGCTGATTTTTCTCCAGCCCGAGCTACATGAAGGAAATGAAGCATGGAAATGGAGAACTAATAGTAAAGCAATTGAGCCCTGTTGCAGGTCACATCTCAAAGAGGAGCACAGCTACAAGGACATATAAATTGTTCTTCTGAGCCATTAGAATGTCAAAACATTGGAATAAAATATTTGTATTTTAGAAAGACTTCAGAGAGAATTGAGATTTTCTTTGATGCAAGAATTATTTTTCAAGATCATGAGTTCTACATGCTCCAAAGACGATTTCAAGAACACAACCTTTCTTGCTGCAAACCTATTGAGTAAAATATTGAGTTTTTAAAAGTCTTAATATAATGTTATAAAAATTAAAATCCATCTTTAAATTCTGATGCAAATATGTCCCTCAAGAATTAACCAAGCAATGTATGATTTCTGTGTGGTTTAGATGTGCCAAAGGAAGGAAGGCAATTGCAAGTCATCATGTGTTTAAGTTTGAGTTGAGCTTGTTAGAGTATGACTTTCATGACCAAAATGATGTTTCTACCTATTATTTTTCCTAGATTAATACTAGTTTAATGTGCATATACATTCAAGTAAGAATGGATTTATTTTTTCCTTCCTTTCTCCTTTTAAAAATAATTCATTGTTGGGTTCCTAATACATTTACAGATAGTAAACACTGTGTAGAGAATCATGTTCTAAAAGTGCTTTTTGAAAGGTAGACAGTGGAATTAGAATATTAATATGTTGATTACACAAAGAAGAACTATGTAGGATTCTGTAAACTTGCAGCCCAACTTTAGAAATGAAGTATGTAAAAGTGGCCTTCAACTTCATAAGTATAAATAATCCAATAAATTTCATTACCTGCAAACAGTTCTTTAATTTGAATAGAGTTTTGTAGACATTGTTTTATGACTATATAGATATGCTTCTTGCTGTATTAATATGCATATATATTTTAAAAAATTATAACAGTGAAAGATACTGTTCATAACTTTTAATCACACATGCAAGTTTTTCAAACTAAAAAATAACAAACAAACAAAAAAACACGCGTATTTACCCAGTTCAATAAAATCAGAGTGTGGTGCAGGAATTACAGAGTTGTTAAGTCAGCAAGGTGCTGAGAAAACAGTTTGTAATAATCCCCTTGTTGTCTGCAAGAAGATGAAATAGTTTAGTACATTTGGATGATGTCAAAACTGCTGATTGTTGCACATACCACTAAACGGAGGTGTGGATGTATTTTAGAAAAGGAACACACATCATTCACCCTGCTTTTTCTGCTTTTAAAATGTGTGTTTTTTCTCATTAATTTTTTCAAATGGTTACCAATGATAGATTGGAAAAAGAAAGGTTCATGTTTAAATAATAATTTAAAATTATTGCATATACCCAATTGCTATTTATGTGTGGATGATTATATGAATACAGTATTACATTTCATTCAGTGGTATTTTTTAATTAAAAAAATTAATTTAAAAAATTAATTTTTGAGATGGCTGGAAGAATGTTCCTAATATAGGTAGTATTTATATGAAGTATTCTAAGCTTAATTGTAATAGTAGTAAATTTTTTGCCGTTGCTTATTTTAGTTTTCTTTTTTCTTCTGAAATCTAATGCTATATATGATGACTGTCAATACTTGAGATATAGGCTTTGTTTTAAAAACAGTGATTGAAGAGCTGATTGATAAAATTAATATTAAGTCTAGTTGGAAAATTCTCCAAATATGATTTAAATAAATATATATTATCAAGTTGCTTAAATTCAGTATTATACTGAAACCAACTAGAATGAGCTCACAGGAACTAATTCTTCATATCTCTTCCCAACTCCAGGTACAGTGATATCATTTTGGTAGGTTGATGTCAGCCTTGGTGGGATTATTTAGACCACAACAGTAATCAGCAAACACTACCCTTTTCTCTGGAGAACAAGTTGTTAAACATTTACCAGCACTCTACTGCTTAAATTATTTTATAAAATGAAATGTCATAATTGTAAATATAGTATGAATTTATATGATTTAAAATAATGACATGAAAGGAATTTATGCTATATTTTACTACTAAATAACAATGTATGTGGTAGTGATTTCCTGAAGTGAAATCCTTGGAGCTACTTGTAGACAGGGAGAGGAGTCACTTCTTTATGGAAAACAATGGCTAAATTTCAAGTAGAGATAATAGTTCAGGAAGTCAATATATTTAATTATTTTCCACTTGTCCATACAGGAGCATCAATAGAAACTCAGGGTTTGCCAAATTATGCCCATTTTGAACAGTTTAATTTATTGAAAAATCAGATGCATTTTACTTCTTACTGTCTATGTCAAGGAAATACACCCAAGCCCTTAATCTGAATTGTCACCATTGCATTATTAAAAATCAACATAAAAATATAAAAATCAAATCTTAAGGAAATGGATTTCTGGAGATCAAGCCTAAATTATCAATCTCAATTCACAAATTAGTCTCTGAAAGAAATATTCCAAGATCAGCCAGCTAAGGAACAAAATCAGGAAAGAGACATCAATAAAAAATTAGGTAGTAATTTGCAGGCAATAAGTAGATTTTTGATTTTTCTACAAGCAATCACCAGATCTGGGATCTGGTAAATGTCTTTATTTGCCAGGAAGCTCTGCTGATGACTACAATTGAGGTTAGTTGTCTACAAGATACATGCAGGAGGTAGTAGTGGTTAAGTAATGGTAGCTGCCTTTTCACTCTGCCCTCTGAGGAAGTTTTAAATTATTTTATCTTCATGCACAATTACATTTACTACATTGGATGGTAGACATAGGCAATTATTTTCATGTCAACGGCATAGTTACACAATGTAGGAATGATATTTGTGAAGTGATCCACATGCCCAAGAAATGCAAATGCAAATAGTGTTGTTAGCATTTATATTGAAATATAAAATCTAAAGCAGCTTAAAATAAGCTAAGCTAAACAAACTGCAAGAAGCTAAATGATTTAAACATGTTAAAGTTTTAAAGCACTAGCTGTAAATATTAATCTTCAGATTTTCAATTTAACATGTATTCACTTACAAACTGTTCTAATAATAACACTAATTATTTTCCAAGTCACCATTTAAAGTTTTATTTACAGTTGACCTAATCCAATTGAAGTTGATGAAAGCTTCAACTTATTTTTTAACTCTTTCTGGTCCACGATGCCTGGAGGCAAGTGAAATATATATGACAAATAATAGATAAACCAATTTATTTTCTGTTAGTGTATGTTTATTTTTTAATTATTAATAATGTATATTGTGTGTATATATGACGGTGTATGAAAGTTGGCAATGAAAGCTAATACAATCATGTTAGTCGGCTGGATATAATAAAGAACAAGAAAGGAATAATAGCATTTGCATTTTAAATGTAATTGAAACTATTTCAGAAGAGTGGGATAAGCCCTTAAGAAAAATGGGAGATGTTTAAGGCTGTGATTTGGCCGACATTGTAACGTATAATTCTGTGGGAAATTTTTCAAGCAAATCAAGACAGGCAGTGTGCGTTGCATTCTGACACTTTTTCATTGTTATGCTAACTTCTACTGGCTTAGAATGTAACTGAAAAGGATGTGTGCCTGTGTTTTTTTTTTTTTTTTTTTTTTTGACGTGGAGTCTCGCTCTGTCGCCCAGGCTGGAGTGCAGTGGTGCGATCTCGGCTCACTGCAAGCTCCGCCTCCAGGGTTCACACCGTTCTCCTGCCTCAACCTCCGGAGTAGCTGGGACTACAGGCGCCCGCCACCGCGCCCCGCTAATTTTTTTGTATTTTTAGTACAGACGGGGTTTCACCGTGGTCTCGATCTCCTGACCTCGTGATTCGCCCGCCTCGGCCTCCCAAAGTGCTGGGATTACAGGCGTGAGCCACCGCGCCCGGCCCTGTGTGTGCGTTTTCATGTGTGTGATTGGGAACCTTGAGAGATGTATCTGAAGTAATGTAAAAATAAGAGTCTCATAATTCCTGGTTAATGCTGGCGTATTGTTGTCACCTGCCAAGTGACTGTTAGGCAATAAGACTAGAAAATATGGTACCGAATGAAAGGAGAAATATCTTATTTGCTGTAACAATCTAATTTATATTAAGGTAAGGATTTTGGTGGCTAAGGAAAGAACATTTAGCTGTTATTTGTGTAATTGTCACATATTATTGTGCAGATTTAATCTCATTGTTAACAGAATATAGAGTGTGAATTATTTGTTATTAAATGTTACTGGGCTTTGGTGTCAGTGTGGTATACCAGAAATTACCTCTGGTCTGTGGTTATAAAATCTAGGTCAGAAGCTCAGTTTCGCCACATTTTTGCTGTGCCCTAGATGCCATTTTCATTCTCTGAACTTTTATAGCTTCATGATTAAAATTGAGTTAATTACTATTGTGTTTCAGAGGCTTGTGAATGATTAAGTGAAAGACTGTGTAAACAGTAAAACACTATAAAAAGATAAAGCTTTATTATGGGAAATAATGGGAATTATATAAAAAGGTTGATAATTGTTATATGGTAAACAGAGAATTTCTGTTTGGAGATACATACATTAAGGAAAAATATATGCAACTTGGTATCCTAAATTGGAAAATAATATTCAAATAGATAATTGTCATAATTAATTGAAGCCACTCAAATACAGTTATTTATAAGATCTCAGAAGATTGCAGTTTAACTCAACATAATTCAACCATTCATATGAATTAATGATATCCATATGTGAATGGGATTATAAATAAAGAACAAATCTTTCTTACTTATAATGATAACTGAGTGGAAGATAAAGGACTGCCTTTAGATGATCCCAGCCTCATTGATGAACACAAAACACCAGAATAGAGAAAAAGACAATAATGAGTATAAGTTAAGTGGTCTTCCAGGCATCCAGAGTAGATAAAGAAAATGAAGTTCTAGAGAATACAATACTTTTTAAAGTCACAGTGACATATGTGTAATTAATAATTTATACACTTGAAAAAATTAGATGCAATGATATTGACTTAACATGAAAACCATCCTGAATGCAATGCACTCTTGATGACTCAAACTCACTTATATCTTACAACAGCTCATCTTAATCTCTTACGAATGAAGAAACTCTAGGAAACTAAAAAATAATATATAATGGATATTACTTTTTGTCAGTGATGCCAAGATGAATGTTAATAAGCTCTCTTCTCAACTTTAGCTCTTAGTTATCTGGTTATTTTATGCTCATGTGAACAGACACTAGAAACAAATATATTAATAACTATGTAACTAATGAGAATGTTGAAAGTACAGCATACTTTCATTCAAAAACAAACTTGCATTTTCATTTTATTAATGAATATAATGATGTTAATGGTTTATATAAGCAGGAAAAACTTATATGATTCACTACCCTACAGCTTCATGTTCTAATTTTGTGAGTATAAACCCTATGTTTTTGTATATCAAGATCTGGAATATGTTGTATACTGTATATGACCAATACTTTAAGAACAATCAAGTTTTTTTATTATTATTATTATACTTTAAGTTTTAGGGTACATGTGCACAATGTGCAGGTTAGTTACATATGTATACATGTGCCATGCTGGTGTGCGGCACCCATTAACTCGTCATTTAGCATTAGGTATATCTCCTAATTCTATCCCTCCCCCCTCCCCCTACCCCACAACAGTCCCTAGAGTGTGGTGTTCCCCTTCCTGTGTAACTATATAGCAATTTCATTTTACATGCAGTAATTTTAAATGCCCAAAAATAAAAGGAAAAGGAAAAATAAGTCACTACACAACTTATATATATTATGTATTTGTCTTTGAATTTTGTGTGCGTATGTGTGTGTGTATATATAGACAGCATGCGCACACATACATACACGTGTGCAGGAACACACACAATTTGAGGCGAAATGTTGAAGTAAAGTAAATGACTTTTAAATATTTTCTTTTTAGCTTTTAAGATGTCTATTAGATCCAACCTCTACAATTAAATTATATGAGCATACTGAGGGAGAATTGCACATTTGTAAAGTTTCTCTTTAGTAGAGATTTCAGAATTTTTTTTCTCAAATTTAGAGGAACGAACAATTCACATTAGTAAAACACACAGCATTACTTTCAATGAAACTATAATTTTTATGTTTATGAGATTCCATTATAATTACATTAAAAAGAAAACCACTTTTATAATATTTTTGCTTATGTAAGAGTCACTTCTATAGTAAAAGAGCCTTAAAAATGTTAATTCAATTGACTGCAGAATTGATCCTGAAAATCCAGTTCATTTAACCTTGGAAATGAGACATGAAGCATAAAACCTGGGGTCAGGATGTATGTCCAAACTGAATAGATTATTTTCGTTCAGCTCAAGTGCTATCTTTCAGGCAAATAGACTCCTACAATATTCAGTATTGGAGATGTTTAAAACAAATATAAGAAAGAGTACTGTTTCAGAACTAACCAGCGAAGAGATGTATACAAAGTGTACTCTGAATTGGAATAAGTGTAGGAAGACAAGCCGTGAGAATGTGAGACCTCAGTATATTGCTGTGTTTTATTGTGTGTTTTGCTGTATTTTTAAAAAATAAGAAAAAATTATCACAGAGTAAGATACATAGAAGAAAATAATTTCCGCAATTCTTGGTACCTCAAAAGACCTGACACACTACAATGAAGACTTCTGTTGTCATCATTCTCAGCTGTGATGGTGGCGCCATCCTGGTTTCCAGCTTATACCTCCTGACAACTCGGTACAGAAAATGAGTATCATTGTAATTAAAGTTTGATATTTTCTTCTAAGTGACTGATTTTTAATATAAAAGTATCACAATAAAGTTTTTCCACAGATATGTAATTTTAAGTTAGATAACATTCTAACATATACATGGTTTCAATTTTCTTATAAGTCTGTGAATCACTCAAGTTAGGCATTGTTAGGTTTTTTAAGGAAAAACTTTGATGCCCAGAATAACTGTAACTTATGCAAACACACACACACACACACACACTCACACACACACGAAGTAAATGGTAGAAATGAAAGAAGAAGAAGAAGAAAAAAACATTGGGACATTTTGCCCTTTATCTTTTTATTAAGACTGTCAATAAATGATGGTTTGGTTTAAGAGGATAAGAAGATAGCTGAAACTCTAATAATTGGACTTTCCAATCTTAATTATGCTTTAGTTCCCTTACCAGGATTAGGAAACTTCTTTGTGATTCTTTTTTAAAAATAATTTAATCAGGAAGTGACATTAAATTCTGTTTCAATGTAATGAGAAAATAGAAATATTTATATTGTCATTACGATGGCACTTCACCAGTATGTCCTAATCTATTCTCTATTACGTCTCTGAGGTGGGACATTGTTGTGAGAATGGACGAGAGCACAAAAACACGGCAGACCAGATTTTCTGAGGGTTACCCGCTATGCAGATTCATAAACTTGTTATTGAATAGTTGGCACACAAGGGTAGGAGAAAAATCCCAACAACCCTTCCACCTTTTCCAAAAAGAAAAAAAAGAAAGAAAAAGCTAAATCTTATGAAGCTAAACTGTCAACAAACAGTTCCACTGAAGTTGCCATAGGGACAGCTCCAACCCAGTGCTGGGCTCGTGGAAGGCAGCAAGGTACCTGCATCAAGCCAAGATCCATGAAAGTGCTAATGTCATTTGAGGCCAGTTTCACCCCTACCTCCCATAAATCATTTTAAACCAAATATGAATTAGTAGTCAAAAATGACCAAACACAGACGATAACCCACCATGAAGGAGATGGTTCATAGAAATCTCCAAGAACTTCAGATAATTCAGGTAATTATCAGAAACATGACAAGAAAAAGCTTTGTGTAAAATACAGAATACAACACAAGGAATAATGAAAAGATGATCTATGATGGTGTATACTTGCAAAATAACTAAAGAGTGTATTTAAGATTTAAATATATCTTTGAAGCTAGAAGTACTATGGAGATTGTATATACTATATTAGACACTGTGCAAGAAGGAACTTGTGAAGCTAAAAAATAGAATGCAATAAATTAGCTAGTCTGCCACATAGAGAAAAAAAGATAATCTGCAAGAACATAAGGGACAAGGATAAAATACGGAGTTTAACGTGCTTATAACCAGTGTGATCCTTGTTAATCAGAATTCTAGAATGTTCCATTGCCTTATGTGACACCTCCACTGCCCCCACTTTTTCTTTTTTTTTGACAAGGTCTCATTATGTTTCCCAGGCTGGCTTTTAACTCCTGGCCTCAAGTTATCCTCCTGCCTCTGCCTCCTTAAATACTGGAATTACAGGTGTGAGTCACCATGCCAGGTGTCTCCCATTTTTTAATGGTAGCTTAACTTCACCTGAAGCCTCCTATGC
This sequence comes from Homo sapiens, assembly GCF_000001405.40. Classification (NCBI taxonomy): domain Eukaryota; kingdom Metazoa; phylum Chordata; class Mammalia; order Primates; family Hominidae; genus Homo; species Homo sapiens. The sequence goes on from NC_000018.10 coordinate 65,890,132, forward strand.
CACTATCTTTATAGGAAGCTTTACCGACTTTGTACGACTTGGTTTAATTTATTCAGCTTAATGGTCCATTTAACCAATATTGTTATAAATTTATGAAGCTTCAATTCTAGCAAAAATAAACTATGTGCACTCATCAAAATGTGTGGCACACCTATGAAAAGTGATCAGGATGCCCAAGCAATTTTAATTAAAATCAGATAATTAAATATGGCTCTGTGTTTTCATTTATCTTTTCTCTCTATGGTGTTTTGGATTACTTTCTCTGGGGTTATTGAAGATCAAAATAAAGCCCTATTTTTTTCCCTCTAATAAAAGGGGGATTTATTTAGGTTGTACAGAAAAGATACAATATAATCAGGGTTTAAGTAGCATAAATCAAGGTTTTGTGTTTTTTCTTCTCTTTTAAATACTCTCTTCCTACTTCTTTAGTCCATCAAAATCCTTTTAACAATATATTCAATAGCCAGAAAATCGAGTGAGTCGAGGACTGGGTCAATTCTTCAGCTCTCAACTGATATATCAGTGAGTAATTCTGATCTATACCACTTCTAGGTGGTCTTCGATATCTTCATTTAAAGTTTCATAAAGATAACTAAGCTGTGCTTTTGCCATTTCACAGTTAGGTAGTAAAGGGGATTCTCTTAGTTCTAGTTCAAGGCAAAGATTGTTATCTTTTGTTTTTTTTTGTTTTGTTTTAGCATCAATGGTGGGTCAGGGGTGAGCATGATGGTGTCACTACTTGTTTTCCTAAGATGTTAACAAGGCCAGGGTTGTATGACAGGCATAGATCCTTTGTACTTAAAACCATCCAGTTCCCTCCTCAAAAGGAATAATAAATGAATAAAATTTAGTCTCCTAGTTCATGGTGAGTTAAGTAGAATGTGTATATGACTATAAGCATGTGGAAGAGACCAAAGAAAAGTCTCACTTACATAAAAAACTTAAAAAGGTTCATATTCCACTTTCCTTAATCTAAAAATGTAATATCTAGCTTCCAAAATGAAAATGGTTGAATAATATGTACCAATTATTTAGAAAGGACATTTTTAAATTTTAAATATGCATTATGCATTATTATTTTTATTATGTATAATCATAATAGGAGAGGTTTAAATCACATAAATGCTCCTGAACTGAAATTTAAGAAACTTATTTATATGAGGTATATTTCACTGTTATTTCACATATATTTTCTGAGGACATGTATTATTACCAGCATTTAACCCACGAGGAAAGTAAAACTCCAAGCGTTTAGATGAATTGGCCAACATTCCACAAGCATTGAGTGATAGGGCAGGACCTGAACCAGGTTAATTCCATTCTGCCATAACACTGTTATGAACATTCATAATTTGAAGTTTCATATAATGATACTGTAATTTCACCTGTTAAATGTATGTATTAACATCACATAGGTAGGTAAGCATAAGTAATTAAAGTTTATTGTTTTTCCTCCAGGTGGTAAGAGGGGAAAGGTCCCTAAGAAGATGACCCTTTAAGCTCTATGTTTCGGTGAGAAAATGTGTGAATTGGGCTTATGGTCAAATTTACGTAGGCAAGTCTTTAAGTTTTAAATATCAGTACACCTTCATAGCACCACATTGGTGTATATACAAATCAAACAGGAATGCAAAAGAATTCCTGATAAACAATTTGGGCAACTGTAAAGATTAGAAGTGAAGGAGTGAAACGTAATGGATGAGGGCTAGAAGTAGAAGGCATGATGGAAATGAAAATCCTCAGTATTAACCACACTGAGAAACAAATGCACCTCCCAGAATCAGGCAAGAGACAGTTTTGTTATGATAATTACTATAATATGTTATGTTTGCAGTTGAAATCATCTTCAAGGCTATTAATATATAAACAATTAGAAAAAGGTGTCTGCATTCTTAAACCCATTCAAACTGTTAGTGAAAGGTTCAAACAATGTTGCTTGAAAGTACAGTAATTTAGAGCAGAATAGGGGTTGATAAAAATAAGACCAAAAAATTATAAAACAAGAAAGTAAGATATTTATAGAAAATTATTATTCAAATTAATTGTCATTCATGTCAAACTCCGTCCCCATCTTCAATTCAGCTTCTACAAATCTTACCCTTCATTCATTAATTTAGAAGTAAGCATCTGTGTGGGATGGGAACCGGCCATACAACAGTGAGTTAAAGAGATATTATTACTCTAGAGCTACTAGACAGTTTTCTCTGAATGTGGTTCCTGGATTACCTAAGTCATAGTAATTCTTGTTACATAACAGAATTCTTGTTAAGTGTGTTTCTGCAGACTTCATATTGCACATTGAATTAGGATTTTTTAGGAGTGAAAAGCTTAGCATTTCAGGCATCCTCTCTTCCTAATCACTAACAACCACCATAGAAATGTCCTGGCTAGGCTCAGTGGCTCACACCTGTAATCCCAGCACTTTGGGAGGCCAAGGGGGGTGGATCACGAGGTCAAGAGATCAAGACCATCCTGGCCAACAAGGTGAAACTCAGTCTCTACTAAAAAAAAAAAAATTAGCTGGTCATGGTGGCACGCACCTGTGGTACCAGCTACTCAGGAGGCTGAGGCAGGAGAATTGCTTAAACCCAGGAGGTGGAGGTTGCAGAGAGCCAAGATCACGCCACTGCACTCCAGCCTGAGTGACAGAGCGAGACTCTGTCTCAAAAAGAAAGAAAGAGAGAGAGGAAGGAAGGAAGCAAGGAAAGAAGGAAGGAAGGAAGGAAGGAAGGAAGGAAGGAAGGAAGGAAGGAAGGAAGGAAAGAAAGAAAGAAAGAAAGAAAGAAAGAAAGAAAGAAAGAAAGAAAGAAAGAAAGAAAGAAAGAAAGAAAAAAGAAAGAAAATAAATGTCCCGACAGGTGCCTCTGTCAGGTTCTCCACCATGGGAATCAGCAAATAAAATTCCTTATATGCTAATTCTAATGTTATACAGGGAACCAACTTGTCTCTATATTGAGTAAGGAAAGTTTTATAATCATAATTGATTTGAAGCACTTCAAATAGTCTTTTGCAATTTGACCATCAAAATAAGTACTAATAGTGAGTGATAGAGGAGCTAGAAAGAAATCATTTAGGCAGATAGTGAGGGTAAAGGGGTCCTCGGCAAGGCTTTCTTTTTAATAAAAATCAGCACTCAAATCATTTCCTTTCTAACAAGGAGCAGCCTGAAAAATCAAGCTGCGGACATAGATAAGCAAGCTGGAAGCGTCCATGGGTGAAGGCCGGCAGCTGTTCCACTAGGAAAAGGCTACCTGTGGGACAGGTATGTTCAACATGGAGGCTCCATCTTCCCTTTTCTTTGTCACCATGCATACAGTAAAAGAAGCAGGCAACATGGCACCAGCCAGGTAAAGAACCCAACTGCATAATCAAAGATTAGAGTAGGGGTGGCCAGATTTTTGCACGGTATGCAAATGGCACACACCTGGTCTAACCAATCTTTCATGCCCCATGTAAATCAAACACTGCCTCCTCAAGCTCATCTATAAAACCTCCTGCACTTCACCACTGAAGTGCCAACCCATTTTCTCCAGGACCCCTCTCTCTGCAGCAGAGAGAGCTTTTCTCTTTCTTTTGCCTATTAAATTTCCAATCTTAACCTCACTCTGGTGTGTCCACATCCTAGTTTGCCATGGCTGTGGGACAACGAACCTCGGGTATTACTCCAGACAATGATATCGCTTTAATAGCATGGATTATAATCTGAGTCCTAACCTGAGTCTATGCTGGCACAAATAAATAATTAAAGATTAATAAAAGTCCTTTCTTGTAGTAGGATGCCAACCAATAAATATTGAAGGGATGATGAAAGTAGAAATTCATCAAAGGTTATTAAAACTAGTGTATAACATGAGATAATAAACATGTTTACATAACACTCAACATTTGTTTCACAAGATATTTATTAATTACAGAGGAATAATAATAATAATAAAAATAATTTCTGGTGCAGAAATATGGGAAACACTGCCTGAACCAATGAATTAGCTGATCAATAAGATTAGAAAAAGTATTGTGAAATATCTCCTGATATGATGCACTGAGGACACAACATTGCTTTTGTGTTATTCCTGACAGATATGTATAACCTATTTCTATTTAGAAGGACACACTACAAACCATAAAAGAACATTATACAAAATAAGAAGCTTATAGTTTTCAAAAATGTCAAGATCAACAAATATAAAGAAAAGCTAGGGAAGGTTCCAGATTCTCAAAAAAATGTATAAATGCAATGCAAGTATTTTCACAGTTAGAAGGCATTTTTTTCCCTAAATGCTTTTCTGAAACTACAACCTGACAATCTAGCTCCTGCGAGATCACATAAAGAAATCTTTTTGTATTTAATAAATAACAAATGAAATATTTAATTACAGTAGAAATAGAATAGCAAATACAGCATTATCTTAGTTCCCCAGATAAATCAAAATAGATAAGATAAAATAAGATAGATTTGCACATGGCGATACTGATACATACAATGCAGACTTGGAAGTGCAATAGTTTCTATGGTGATTGCCAAAGAGCTGCTAATCAGTAATTCTTTTTTCCATATGACAGTATTTTTTTTTTGCAAAATTCTAAGAGATGATCTATAAAGTATATATATATATGTAATAAAACTAATTGGTTTATTTAAAAATTAGTTATTGTAATTATTAGTCATGGTCATATTTTATTATTGGAATATTAGATGATAATAACTAATTTTTAAATAAACCAATTAGTTTTTTTAAAAAAATAAAGGCCTATAAAGATTGTAACCGACATCACTTTTTAATACTATGTGAGTGACAGAGTATTTGATTGGTTTGATATAGATTCGCTTAATGGAAATCTATGTATTAATTTAAAATTAGAAATTTTCTTTAGAAAATATTAACTGAAATTATGGCAGCTATTGCAAATATCATGAAGTATTTTAAGTGATACATTCTTATTCATTGTACTTATTAAGAAAATGATAAATGCCTAATGGTTTGAGCCATTGCTGAGTATTATTTACTGTCAAAACTCTTCCAACTGACAGACTCAGAGTATAGTAGAGAAGCATTTTGCATATTAAAGTATTTTTAAGAAATTTAAATTATTATATGTAAGCAAAGGGTAAAAATGACAAAATACACTCTAACACAATAAAATAAAATGGAGGGGGACTTATTTTATCTGTTTTAAAGGCTGGCAAAAGATAAAATATAATTAGAACTTTATGTGTAATTGATAGTATTGCCTTTAAACATCTGCTGAATAACCTTGTCTCTTAATCCTATTTAAATTATCACTGTGGGCCCTGTGCAGTGGCTCATGCCTGTAATCCCAACACTTTGGGAGGTTGAGGTGGGTAGATCACCTGAGGTCAGTAGTTCGTGACCAGCCTGACCAACATGGTGAAAGCCCATCTCCACTAAAAATACAGAATTAGCCAGGAGTGGTGGCAGGCATCTGTAATCCCAGCTACTCTGGAGGTTGAGGCAGGAGAATCGCTTGAACCTGGGAGGCAGAGGTTGCAGTGAGTAGAGATCACGCCATTGCACTCCAGCCCAACAAGGGCGAAACTCCAACTCAAAAATAAATAAATAAATAATAAAATAAAATATCATTGTCTATAATGAACTCAGCCAGTTTACCTTTCCCTTTATTCCTTCTGCTTTTTGGATAAGGTTTCTTAAGATATTCAATCAGGATATCATCCTAATTCCCAGCAGCATCAAATTCAGAGACCTTGCTTTCTTGAAACTTTCCTATGTCACTTAAACACAAGCTCTGATAATATGCCTTTTCTAACATCCTCATACTAAGATGCCCAACAATTATGGACTATGTGTTCTCCTTTGTTGGGAATCACAATTAAACTCAGTATTGTTGAACTATATATGTCTATTACTAGTAGTCCTTGGCTGCTGGACGTTGACGTGGTTGGATTGCAGAGGACGACGTAGCTGCAAGATAATGCAGGGTCAAATGAGAGTTTTTTTAAAGATAAGACAATAGTTCAATATTTTTCTAGCTAATGCAGGGGAGAAAATTTCTGAAGTGGTATCTTTTAGAAGATGAGAGTTAATGGGTATAGTGAGCGCATAAAGATTGGTCCTAGGTAGAAAAAAGAAGAGTCCAGAAACAGAAAAATGAGAGATAATAAGGCATAATGATACTAGTATCAATAGGAACATGTTCAAGTGGGAACACGTGGAGTCTCTTCTTGGGTTACTTTTATTGTTCTTGCTGAACGGAAGAGCAAAATCATCAGTGGAACGTGAGGAAGTGGAAGAAATCTTAATGACGGATGAGACAAAAGTGTGAAGTAGATAACTAAGGGAAGAGAAAGGATCACAGAAACATCCTAGAACCTCTGGCAGCAGGAAGAGCTCAACACTTATTGAACTTATTGACCATGTCCAGAAATCAACTAAAATTGTCCCTACACTTCCATATCCCTACACAGTACATGTACTATTTAAGCAAAGGCGTGTATTGACCTTCTAATTTCTGATTTACTAAATTATCAACCTGCTTACATGCACAGACACATACACACACACACATAGACACACACACATACACACACCCATACACACACCCATACACACACACATACACACACATCTTAAGGTGAATTTTTCAGAAGTCATTAGGAAAGACCACCTGGCACCACCATGTCTAGCCACTAGATGTAGACCTACTGGTTCCTAGCTTACTTATTCTCTGAGTGACTCTATTCTCTAAGATTTGCCTCTCTATATTCAAATGTACCATCTATGTAGTGGGCATAACAATAGAATCTACTTCCTATGCATTCTAAAACAGTTAAATGTATTAACACTTATGAAGTAGTACTTAGAACAGTATTAGGCACTGCATTTGCCAAATAAACAGAAATCTTACCAAACTAGAATCTTATATCATTTTTTCCCTGGATTACTTTGAAAAAATAAAATCAAATGGATGAACTAATAGAAACAACCTATCACTGTGGCCTATTTGCCAACATGTCTAATTCTGGTAGTCATTTGGGAGTCTTTGTGGTCTCGATTATGGTTGGCATTACTGAGTGACTTCCATTGTGTAAGTATGAAGCCACTCACGAATGAAAGTGCTCCTCCCACCTGCCCAAGCATTCTTGCATCATTTTATTGTTATTTCTGGAAGAGTAGTGGTAGAAACTTGTTTGAAAAGTTAGAGAATGGGCAGGCATCATGGCTTAGGCATCTATCCCAGCATTTTGGGTGGCTGAGGGGGGAGGATTGCTTGAGGCAAGGAATCTGAGACCAGCCTGGGCAACAGGGGAGACCCATCTGTACAAAACATAAAAAATTACCTGGGTATGGTGGCATGTGCCTGTAGTCCCAGCTGCTCAGGGGGCTAAGACAGGAGGCTGCGGTGAGCCATGTCTGCACCACTGCACACCACACCGGGTGACAGAGTGAGACCCTGTCTCAAAAAAATAAAAAATAAAAAATAAACAAAACAAAAAAGAAATCAATAAAAAAAGTTGAAGAAATCTTCAGTTCCGCTTAATGATAATCAATTATTAATACATCACTAATTTGGCCATTTATATGAGTAAAAAAATACATTCTTACCTACTTAATTTTGTTATTTCTATCAGAGAGAAAAAGAGAGAGATCCAAAGACAATATTGTTGAATAACTCTCTATGCTCACTACTACCTCTAAAAGCCCCTTTAAGAAATGGAATATCATATTTTGAATGCATCCAATTAACTAACATGACTTTTAAGGAGTATTGTATACTATCAAAGGACATCCCCAATGTGAAAACCTGTTGCAACTCATCACTATTCTATTGCTCCAGTTTTCATATTATATTTTAAACTTTTGAAATATTTGTTTAATTCTCTTTATGCTTTACTTTTTTGTATGACTGGAGATTTGTAAGACATGTCCACAAATTCTAAGGAAATCTAAAAAGATGAAGTCTACTGAATGAAAATTCTTTCTCAGGTCTATAGAAATTCAAAGAATAAAACTTTAAAGAGAAATAAATTCTGTTTAGTTGACTCTAGCCTTCTAAGTATCTAAATCTTCTTGAAAGAAGTAAAATGTGATTAAATTTTGAGGGAGCGCAATAATCTGAAGTCATCGCGTTTACCTATTTTAGCAGCAAAGTATTAAGACAAGGAATGGTGCCTAAAAACTGCCACTGCCCAAGAGCTCCACAGGAAGAGCTGAAATCCACCCAGGAGAAATAAGTTTCTGTCGGAATATGACAGGACATTCAACTGCACTGATCGTTTTCTCTTTGGAGATGCATTCGATCGGAATTATTAAGAATGAAGTTCTTTTTACTTTATAAAAATGTTCTTCAAAGATTTTCTTTTTCTTCCCAAACAATTTTGCCTTGCTTTGCAGGCAGTACCCAGAAAAATAAAAGTTACCCTGTGTGATATTACATTGCATTTTACATTCAAGGACACAGTAAAGGTGTGTGCATTGTATAAAAATTAAAACATTCATTTTCTTCCAAGAACAAATAAAGGCTTGAACACTATTTGTCTGTTTCTGCTCTTTCATAGCTATTTTCCTATGAAGGCTAGAAATGATGGCAAAGGTATTCAGAGAACATTAAACTTTTAAGTACTTCTTCATTTTGTTGTATTATAGAGTAAATACAGCTTAATTAGATAACTGGTTTGAAATATGAGAATAAAAAGTATTTAATAACTACAAACCATTTGAGAGCATGTGAGTTGAGGATATTGTCTACAAGGAAAAGATCTTTAAACTATAGAAAATTGCCTTTTTGAAACACAATTAGATTAAAAATTGGAACTATAACCTGAACAAAGAAAGAAAAGGCAACTTAAGAAAGAAATTATTTCATGTGTCTAATATTGAGAACTAGTTTTATTTTTCCAGCCTGCAGATATTAAGTCAATGTATTATTATACTTATTATGAATATGAAAACTACTGGGATTTAGAAAGCTTGTTTTAAACACCACCAGAATTAGTAATGAAAGAAAGGAGGCCAGATGTCAAATATTTATTCTCTTATGTATGTATGTATATATTTTGCCATTCAACTCAAGTTGGATTCCAAGACTCAGTTCTGACTCTGGTAGTTTGTTTTCTATTTATAAGTTGCCAAAGACATAAAGAACACCTATATTAGTCCGTTTTCACACCTCTGTAAAGAAATACCTGAGACTGGGTAATTTGTACAAAAAAGAGGTCTAATTAACTCACAGTTCTGCATGGCTGGATAGGCCGCAGGAAACTTACAATCTTGGTGCAAGCTGAAGCAGAAGCAGGCGTCTTCTTCACAAGGTGGCAGGAGAGAGAGTGCTAGTAGGGGAAATGCCAGATGCTGATGAAGCCATCAGATCTGAAAACTCACTCACTATCACAAAAACAGCATGGAGGAAACCAACTCTATAATTCAATTGCCTCCCCACATGGTACCTCCCTTAACACCTGGGGATTATGGGGATTACAATTCAAGATGAGATTGGGGTGAGGACAAAAAGCACAAATAACTGTATCGCTATCCTTGGAAAATGTACTTCCCATTACTACATCTCAGTGATAAAATGTGGGTATTGATACTTGCAGAACTTTTTCGCCTATAATGTTACAAAACTAGGATAGCTGCAGGAAGTCTTTTGTAAAATGAAAGACTATTTTTTCTTTGCAGCTTGCTAGGGTATTTAAGTTATTTATAATTCAGGAAACAAATAAAGCAAACTCATACATCTTCCTACTGAACTAGGCATATTACTGTAATGGCCTTCATGTGAACAATATCTCTTAAAAGGTAACTAATGATATCTTACCTTTCTTACTTCTAGAAAAAAAAAGATTTAATCTAATGACAATCATTAAATTCATTTTACTTTATTAAGTATTTTTTAAAAATTTAGAGACAAACCTTTGCATCACACTGAAAAGAACTTACATGAATACTTCCTTTTCTAGGTGCTCCCCAGTTTAATACAAAAGAGATTCCTGTTTATTTTCTCAAGTTTGTTTTGAACCTGTGATTGACTCACTTTTTAGAATTTCTTTTCTGTGTAAAAGACATAATGTTTCAAATAGTATATTTATTCCTTTGGTATTGAGTGAACAACAGGATATAATTCAAGTGCTGATATAATTGAACTACCTGAATGTTAATAATTTATTTCTTTGAGTATTTCTGCAGGTATCGTTAGTCTTGGACATTCAATTTCAGGATGTTCTGTATCACTTTCAAACTTTATACTTAAAGCTAAAATAAAGTCAAATGATTTGATTTTTAAATTGTACATCATTTGCAAGCAGCGAAAAAGCATTTTTAATCATGTATGCATATCACCGCAGTGTCATGATTCCTGAGTGTGTGCCACGACCTCTAAACAGCTCAGAAATATGTTGTGTTGTGTTGACAATTGCCTATATTCATGTGAGAACTGTTAACCTAGATTTATTAAATGTAGTGCACTTTGGAAAATGTGAAATTGAACACAAGAGACTAAAATATAAGCTGCATTCCTCAAGAAATAAATCCAGTGCCTTTGAGCCTCTAAAATAAGCATAAAATACACAGAGGGATGAAAAGACACAATTTAGAGAGCAATAGTCCCTCAGCATCTTACAAGACTGCCCTTAGCAACTTGAAATATATGACTGTTCACATGCCCCATGATTCTTTTACTCTGTGTGGTGCTTTTTCACCTTTTCTATGGGATTCTCTCACTCCAGACCCAGTGAAGAGCTATGCTAATTTGAAATAAGTTTGGAATTCATGCCATAAAACTTGCTAAAGATGAATTGAGTTTGATGCACGATGCCAGTTGTATTCTGAAAGAATGCTTGCATTATTATAAACAAATCAGATAATTATGTAGAAAAAAATCCACATCAACCCAAAAAATAATAACAAGTGTTATAAAAAAAACAGTTCAGAAGTACCCAGACAGTACATTCTTTGAGAGTGGAAAACTGGGTTTGTGTATTTGGTCAATACTTGTATTGACAAAGTATTTTAAAATTCTGGTTGAAGTATTTTAAATTTGACCATGTAATGGCTTTAACTCTCTGATAATAACCATGTAATAACATTAATTATCTAGATATGTTAAAAAAGGCAAACACATCATATCAAATATACTGAGTATTTTATTTTTTTCCAAGATAATTCTAACAGACGAGAAATAATTACCTTCCTGTATCATAAAAATACAGAGAGATTACAGACTACACTATACTCTTTCCAAATACAAACACAAATATAAACCAATGAACACATAACCAAGGAACAAAGGAAAAGCAAAGTATTTAAAAATGTGAGCTTCTGATTCAGTGGTTTTGGAGGACTCTATTAACTCCTGTGAAGGAGCTGACACCATTATTTCCATTTAAAAAGGATATGCCTTTTGTGTGAATTGTAATTTGCTTTATCTGAATCCAACTAGTGAGTGGTATTCAGGAGATCTAGCCTAAAAACTTTAATTTAGAGTAAGAGAAGATGCAATAATGTGTTCGAATTAGACATTATAGACTTCCCTAAACCTTATGACCCATAAATCTGTACACTCATTACACATTTTATTGCCAGGTTTAAAAATCTGAAGTTAGTTTAACATGTTTGTTGTATTCAGCTATATAATAAACCTCTTGAGACAAGATAAAATCTCTTCTCATATCTTATTTCATTCAATAAATATGATGACTTGTTTCTGAGCAACACATAGCATATACTTGAAATATATTGTTTGGAACAAGAAACCTAGAAGAAAAAGAGGTGAGGCTATCAACATAATTTGAATAAGGAATCTCAGTGATCCATTAAAGATGCATTCGACCTTACATATTAAAGAAGTGTTTCTCAGATCTAAAATATACATCATGATGTCAAAGCAAACAAACAAACAACAAATATCTCTGGAGTAGTCTTAATAACCTGCTAGAGATATTTTATAATGTGTTATTTATTCTGAAATTTCTAATATATGCTATCATGTGTAGAAAATTAAATGAAGACTTCCATTTCCAGTGATGGTGGAGTAGCTTATATCAGAAAAATCTCCCTGTAGTTAACGATACACTCTATCGTTAAAATAGATGAAAAATAACCATTTGAAGACAGAGGTAGGCGAAACCAGAGGCTGTTCAGCTGTTGAATGAAAAGGAGCACATAAGTGAAGTGTGAAGTGATTAACTTTGAAATTTAGCAGTCTGATAGATTAAAGTTGAATATCATTAAACTAGCACAAATACTAAATATTAATGATAGAAAAAAAGTGACTAAAAAGCTCAAAGAGGAGAGAAGGAAAATACAAAAAAAAAAAAAAAATCCCAGCCAATTAAGCCAAAGTAATATGAGAAAGGAGTAACAGAGAAACAAAAAGGAGAAATGATAAATGAAAGACACATACCAAGATGGTTGACTTAAGCCAAAAGATATCAAAATTACACGAAATATAATTAGAAAAAATAATTCAATGAAAACAAGAGGTTTTCAGACTGAATGTCAATCAAGAAATAACTGTATGTTGTATATAAAAGATGCACGAAGTGTAGGTGTGCATATCAAAACAAGCATAGGTTGAAATGAATAAATATGGAAAAAAATACACCATACAAACTTTCTGCTTAAAAACTTGTGCAGTTATATTAATATCAATGAGTGCAGACTTCAAAGTAATAAATCTCACCCCAGATAAAATATTTCATAATGATGAACACATCAATTCATCAAGAAAACGTAACAAGTAAAAACGTGTATTGATTAGAATTTCAGAATTTATGAAATAAAACTGGAAGGCCTGCAGTTAAAAAAAGCTAAATCTGCATTAATAGATGGAGACTTTAAAAATGTTAATTTTAATTTCAGCAATGAAATTAAAATCACAATGAGATACCACCTTACTTCTTCAAGGATGGCTGTAATTTAAAAATTAAAAAAACAAAACAGTAGATGTTGGCATGGATGTGGTGAAAAGGGAACACTTTTGCACTGCCGGTGGGAATATAAACTAGTATAACCACTATGGAAAACAGTATGGAGATGACTTAAACAAGTAAAAGTAGATTGTTCCAGCAATCCAACTACTGGGTATCTACCAAAAGGAAAAGAAGTCATATGAAAAAGACACATGCACATTTATGTTTATATGAAAACAATTTTCAGGTGTGAAGATATGTAACCACCCTAAGTGCCCAGCAACCAACGAGTGCAGAAAGAATATGTGGGATACATACAACGTTGAATACTGCTCAACCATTAAAAGGAACAAAATAATGTCTTTTGCAGCGACTTGGTTGGAGCTGGAGGCCATTATTCCAAGTGAAGTAAGGTAGGAATGGAAAACTAAATATTGTATGTTCTCATCTGTAAGTGGGAGCTACGCTGTGAGGATGCAAGGGCATAACAATGATACAATCATTTTTGGGGAGTCGGAAGGCAAGGTTGAGAGAGGAGTGAGGGATAAAACACTACGTATTGGGTACAGTGTACACTGCTTTGACGGCAGGTTCACTAAAATCTCAGAAATCCCCAGTAAAGAACTTCTTAATGTAAGCAGAACCACCTGTATACCAAAACGTACTGAAATAAAAACAATTTTAAAAATCAGCAATAAATATAAAGAACAATATAAACCAAAACATCTTAAATGATACCTATAGAAAATTACACTGAACGAGTGAAAAATATAAATTATATTTTCCAAGTTCACATTTAATATCCACCAACACAGAGGATAGGCTTGGCATCAAATAAGGACCAATGTGTTTTAAAGAGTGAAATCTTATAGACTATGCTATCTGACCACAATAATATTAAGTTAGAAATAAAAACGAGAAGGTACTTTAAAAAGCCCCACAACATTGGAAATACTATTAAATAAATCATAAGATTTTAAAAAATCACAAGAGAATTTATAAAATCTTTTAAGATAAGCGACAAAAACCTAACATTTCAAAAGGTTTGGGGTGCAGTGAAAGCAGTGCCTAGAGAGAAATTGATTGCCTAAGTGTTCCTGTTAAATATAATTCTTTTTTCTCGCCCCTTACCCATGTCCTTTACAGGAAACCACTGATCTTTCGGTTACTATAGATTAGATACTAGGATTTTGTGTAAATTAAATTATACTGTGCATAATCTTTTAAAATCTGTTTTCTTTCAGTCAGGATAATCGTTTGAGATTTATTGATGTTGAAACAGTAGTTCACTCTTTTTTCTTCCCATTAGCATTTTATTAATAAATATACTAATATTTGTTCATCCATTTACCTCCTGAGGGACATTTGGATTGTTTTCTGTTTTGGTTATTACCAATAAAGCTTTTATGGCCATTTGTGCATAATGGTTTGTGTATACATAGGATTTCGTATTTTTGTATAAATGCCTGGATAATATAGTAGGCATTTACTAACTATATTAAGAAACTGGAAAACTTTTCCAAACTTGTACCATTTTCTGTTCCCACCAGCAATATATGAGAGTTCAGGTTTCTCTGTCAACACTTGGTATGATCAGTCCATTTAATTTTAACCTTGCTAGTAGATGTGTTGTTGTATCTCATTGTGATTTTAATTTTAATTTGCTTTTTCCTTAGGACCAATGACGTTGGGCATCTATGACATTGGACATGCACAGTTTGCACTAAAATAAGATTTTCATGTGTTTGCTTGTCATAAAGAAAATACAAATACGTTGATAAATTAGTCATCATTAGGTACATTATTCAAATCAGTCTGTCACGGTAGGTCTGTTCTATACTTCCTGTAACTTTCCTTCAAACTAGGAGAGCCAGATAAAACACAGGGCACTTAATTAAATCTGAATCTTATACACACACACACACGTATATAACATATATATCTATATATATATATACATATGAGTCATGTGTGTATATATCTGTATGTACACTCATACATATATAAACATAAACACATACATAACACATATACATATATATAATAATTTACATGTGTGCGTATGTGTAGAGAGAGAGAGCAAGACAGTGAGAGATAAATTGTAAGGAATTTGCTCTCATGTTTGTGGAGGCTAGCCAGTCCAAAATATATAGAGCAAGCTGGTAGGCCAAAGACCTGAAGGAAAAGAAAAAAAAGAAAAGAAAAAAGCAGGCCTTATTCTCCTAAATTTTTGGATCTTTTGCCTTTTTTATTCCTAAAAACTAATTTCTTCATGATGGACAAATTATGTAGGGCAGATTTACACTATTATGCTATCTAGAATGCTGAGCACAAGTGTTAATCAGCTAGAGAGAACAAAACGTAAACACTATCTGTGACCTCAGAGCCTCTGCAGAAAAACACACAGTTTGTGAAATTTGTAACAGCATCCAGCAAAAACAAGGAGTACAGATTGAGATCCAGCCTGTTCTTTCCTAGCCAAGCCATGTGCCCTGTCCCAGGGCTGCCTCAGCTTGGAGGATGGGCCACCTTTTACTTCACTTAGAGGCTTATCAAGCTCCACTGTGCTTAGGACTTCTGAGAGGACATCACCTTTTTCAATTAGTGCAAAATTCATATTAATTCATATTGATCTAGACAGGTGATCTCAGGTCTTTCCAAGTACTGAAACAACTTCAAACCTACCCAATTCAGATCTGTGTAATTATTGTTCATTGTTCCATAGGTAAGTAAACCAAGCCACCTGTCTTGAATGCTCATACTGATGCCTACAATGATCCATATTCCATCACTTTCTTTCTCTCTAATACTTTAGTTCTCATTCCAAGATTTAATATTATTATGCATTCTAAACTAATGATTTCCAAATTAGACAATAAGAACCATGAGACAGATGATTTCCTACAGAAATTTAAATTTAATTAATTTAAAAAGCTATCCTAACTCTCAAATAACATCCTTTCTAATTTTAGGCTTCAAAGTAATTTTTCCTTTATAAAGTCAATTTTATAACAGTTGTTGTTTTATAATTGTCCTTCCATGGAAGAGCACTGACAACACTATTCTGATCTATCTCCTTTGAGATTACTGATATATAAAAAGCAAAAGTCTGCATATCATTTTCTCAAAACACTTCTCAGAATCTCTCTGCTGCTGCAACATGGCTGAGATTTGGCCTCATTTAAAGGCCTCAATTTTCCTGCTGAAGCAGCTCAATTCCCTACATTATGGGGTAATTATGGGAATTAATTTAATGTATGCAATAGACTTACCTATGGAAGCAGGAAGAGATCCATAAACAGTAGCCATGGTTTTATTTGTGTTCTTGGGCAAGTAAAATAACATTTAAAAGTCAGTACTTTAAAGGACTTTCTTACCCGATTACAAGTTACGGAGAAGATGCATTTTAGATTTTACATGCAGTAGTGATTTTAAAATTAAAAATAGTGACCACGTGTAAACTTATTATGAAATGCTGTTGTCAAAGCAAAAAATTACACCAGACAGTTAAACAGGCAAGCAAAAATTTGTTCAAGGCTATTTGCAATGGAAGAGAGAGGCCAGAACTCAGTTTGCATTCAACTCCCTTGAAACAACGGGGTGGAAAGCTTCAGAATTTTTATGAGCTGGAGTGCGAAGATCTTAGGCCTTCTATGTTTGCTAATTGGCTTTACCTGAAGGAAAAGTAAACTTTCTCCTCCTATCTTCATGACAGGAAGTAGTTTTTACAACTTGGGGCAAAGTGCCCAGTGAAATTAAGACCCTACCTTCCCACAGAGGCTGGGAGGTAGGGCACTATCCTCCTTGATGATTACATTTCAAAGGAATGGCTCCCAGGTCCTTGAGAAAGACATCCCTGGGTTGTAAAACTATAAAGAGGTTTTAAAATGATTTACATCTCAAAGAGGCAGAGAAAGGATTAACAATGACAAGTTTTCCACAGTAAATGTTATAAGAAAAGGTAAATCAGAGGTCTAGACTACTCTCAGGAAGAAGCCTGTCTAAACTGCAGGCAAACTGAGGAGAACTTTAAGGCCTTTTGGGTCTCTAGCTATAATCAAATAAGGCCTTAAAACATAATTTCATAAGGAAAAAAAATGAATAGCTAAAGGATAAAAATCAAGGCCACTTAAAGGAGTAATAAAGGTTACATCTAAGAAAAAAAAGGATTAAAAATCAGCATCAATTTAGCAACAAAGAAAACTAGTCAAGCAGAGATAAGAAGTTTATCAAAATCTGCTGTTTCTGAGACTTCTTTGCTGTCGTGTGCTTTCAAGGAACAAATACTTCTATTTAATAATCCTGTACTATTATTAGAATCAATGTGTTAATATGTTTAAAATGTTTATAATACATGATTGGCACATTAGCAGCCATCAAAAAAGTGATTATTTACTTATTCTGAATTACTCTTTCTTTCTCCTCCTTATGTTTGTGCAAGCCATGCCTCGGGGTATGTGCTCTTAGCTTTCAAAAATAATGGATTGCAAATGGAAAGGATTTTCTAAACTAGCATGTGGACCAGCATTCAAAATCTTTGTACTTGCTTGAAGAATACTGTATCTTGACGCAAGAAAGATAAAAATGGCACAGAGTAACAGAAGAGTCCTTATTTTTTAGATTCTATGCTATAATTTGGGCCTTGATAGGATTTTCTTTTTTTCTTTCTTGATTTTTGAAACTGCCATTACCTCATTCTATGAAATAGAACGAGTGTTCCCAGCTTTGGTATTTTTATGATTCTTATTTTTATGATCATGGTTTATACATAATTGTACTAGGTTAAAAAAATCTCCTAGCACTGGAAAAATTTTAGTAGTTCAAAAACTGATATGTGTTATTGGCGAAAACAACCTCTCAGTAATATTAACATTTGCCATATCAAACAAACAATGGACCTAATGGTGGACTTTTGAAGCAGTGATATGGAGCCACTAATTTGTTATATATTTTTAAAAGAGTAGTTTAACTTCAAACAAGTTTTAGAAAATTATAAAATATAGGTTGAAATTTTGAGTATGTTTCATGTTTGGGGATCGCTAATTGCATCATTTGAAAGAATATTGCCAAAATGGACAACTTGTAGACTATGGGCAGAAAGAAAATATTGCTTTAAGATTTGAGTTGTGATTTGACTCTGGAAGTCTGGCAAATCAGATTGAAATTATTTTTAAATTGGTTGTAACTTCTAAAATAGCTAGATGGCATTTTATTGCTATGGTCAGCTGTCAATTAGAGGAGCTTCTTTTTGTTGCCGCTTTCATTTAAAGTGATTTACCTAAGTATGCTAAGGAAAAAAAAAAAGAGTTTCTTAATAAAATCCAGTATGGATTTATGTTTTTTTGTTTTGTTTTGTTTTGTTTTGAGACAGAGTCTCGCTCTGTGCTCCAGGCTGGAGTGCAGTGACACAAACTTGGCTCACTGCAACCTCTGCCTACCGGGTTCAAGAGATTCTTCTGCCTCAGCCTCACAAGTAGCTGGGATTACAGGTGTGCACCCCCACGCCCAGTTAATTTTTGTATTTTTAGTAGAGATGAGATTTCACCATGTTGGCCAGGCTGGTCTTGAACTCCTGACCTCAGGTGATCCGCCCTCCTCCTTGGCCTCCCAAAGTGCTGGGATTACAGGCATGAGCCACCGCACCTGGCCTTCTGTCTCCCTAAATTGTATAAAATCAAGCTGTAATCCAACCACCTTGGGGGCATGTTCTCAGGACCTCCTGAAGCTGTGTCATGGGTCATGGCCCTCACATCTGGCTCAGAATCTAGTTAAATATTTTACAGTTTGGATTTTTTCATCAACAAAACACTAAACTTTAAACTACATTCTTCTTTCCCTCTCTCCCATTAGTATTTATTTGATTGTGAAACAAAGTTTGTTGTTATTTCCCCCAATCAGTTGCAAAGTGGTGATTTGTCCTAGTATAATGGAAAAACCATTGTCATTAACTTTAATTTATCATTGTACTTAGCTCCCTTGGCTCTAAGCCAGGAATTTATTAAAGCTGGTGTCAGATTAACTCACTCCAGATTGGTTTTTACAAATACGCTTTCCTCTATAGCACCGCAGATCATAAGCCTGTGTGACCAAAAAAAAAAAAAAAAAAAAAAAAAAGCAGAAATCTTCCTTTCTCACTGGCACAGAAATGAGACTTACTTCTATAGGCTACGTTTGCCTCATCTATCAACTTTTTTGTTTTAATTCATTAGTTTTCAGATTTTTTCCCTTGAGCTTCTTTGAAGTTTATACAGTTCTATTTCCATTAGATATTATTGTAATCCAGTGTCTCCAAAACATAATCTGATGGGTTATGTTACTAGCTTTTTGTATCAAAAAAAGTCAAAACTCTAAGGGACACTGGCCTTTAAAACAAAAACAAAAACAAACAATAAGCAAAGTGTGCCCCAGGAAAAATAGAGGGGGATAAACTAATCATCTTATACAACTGCACCTTCAGTTGTAGGTTTCATAGGTGTTCCTAGGTGTTTAAATTTCCAGCAGGTTTCTGAGAAAAAGAAGATAGCCCAGAGCAGTTTGAGTTATGTGAGGCATGCAAAATTTATCAGGCCTAGAGTGGTAAGAGTATGGAACTTCAGTTGGAGGCTGCCATGGCACGGATGACTGGGGGCAATTGTTTAAAGCCACTTTTTTCCTGACTGGCTGCTTTATCCGTTATCTTCACATTCCTGGAATTTGTGATAATAAAGAACAATGTATACATAATTAATAGTTTACGGTTTTGTTTTCTTTTTGTGACAGAGTCTTGCTCTGTTGCCCAGGCTGGAGTGCATTGACACAATCACGGCTCACTGCAAACTCTGCCTCTCGGGTTCAAGCGATTCTTGATTCTCATGCCTCAGCCTCCCAAGCAGCTGAGACTACAGGTGCATGCCACCATGCCCAGCTAATTTTTGTATTTTTTTGTGGAGATGGGGTTTCACCATGTTGCCCAGGCTGGTCTTGAACTGATCTCAAATGATCCTCCCACCTCAGCCTCCCAAAGTGCTGGGTTTACGGGCATAAGCCACCATGCCTGGCCAGTTTAGGTTATTTTAATGTAAATTCTTGGTGAACAACTTTAGAACTGCCTCTTCTTTTTCTTTAAAAACCTACTTGTAACTGTTGCTAATTGGAGTGTGTATTCAGAGAGACTTAAGTCTATGCTATCCGCCTGCAATCCTCAAGCTTGGCCCAAATAAACTCTCTACTTATATTGATTTTGCCACAGTTTTTTTCCTTCTAGGTCTACATTTCATTATTTCGTTTCTATTTTATTCTTATTTCGGTGTCACAATCTTCAGTTAAATGAGGCAAAAGACTATTTGCCATGACAATTGAGCAAAATTCTTTATTGAAAAGGAGAATAAGTGTGAAAAATTGTATTAATGTGAAAAGTGAAAAATCTTTTTGGAATATAGGTTTACTATAGCTTGGAAATGTCGGTGGAATATGATCATCTTTTCTTTAAAATAATTTTTAAAACAACTAGAAGTTTTATCTTTTAGATAATAAGTTTTAATACTGAGTCAGCAAGTCACTGGGGCAAGTTTTCCAAAAACCTGTTGGTCTTTGGGCAGTTTTGTGACTTAGGGGGAAACACAGTTTGAAACAAAAATGCATGTTCATTTTAAAAATTGAAATAAAGGGTTTATTATAACTTTTTTATGCAAATTTCATTACATTTAAAACAGTATTACTTTGTGCTATATAGCCTACCTTGTTGAGTTTGTCTTGGCTGATACTAAATTAGCAGAGGGCAGTTTGTAAATGTAATTTTACATCCCTTTTTTGTCATTATCTTTATTAAATTTGCATCTTAATCATTACTATTGTGTTCTGTTAAATCTCCAAAATGCTGACGGAACTATTAGCCAAAAAACGGGTTATTGAAGTATAAAGGTAGTAATGTTATTAACATAATGATTACAACTAAAAATAACATTATTAATGCAAATAATTAGGGCCTAGTGCCAGTACAGAATGTGAACGTATATGTTCTTGAACAGGTGATTCTGTAGCTGTATTAATTCATGAAAAGTTGTTTTTTTTAAAAAATAAGCTTTGAAAAAAGAATAAGGAAGCTCCATGAATAGTAAAAATTGCATTATATTAGCTTTGCAATTCATAGAGCCCTAGCTTCCACAGAGGTACACAATATGAAACTTTATCAAAAGTCACATGAGCCATCAATGCTTTAACATGATTTATAGAATGCATTAATCTCTTGGATGAATCAATATCTTTTTTCTCCACAAGCATAATAACAAACACTTCTTACATATAATTAATTATTCAACATTAAAAGGTAGAAAAGTAGACTAAATTACAAAGGCACTATTCAAAGTGACATGTCTCTTAGCCAGAATGGAAACAAGAAACACTATTGCTGAGAAACATGTAAACCAGCAGAAATGGGCCATTGGCAAGATTATTTGTCAACAGGCACTATTAAATGACACCTCATATTGATGCTATACAACAAGGAAGAACAAAAGCAATCACATTTGTAAACCAGGATATATATTTTTAACACTTGGATGAAACTGCTCATATCCAGAACATGAATTCACACTTGACTTAACTGTAGTGTATACAAAGAGAAGAAATATTGATTCTGTGTTTACTATAGCCTTTGTGGACTGTCACATAAACTGGAAAGAAAGAGTGTTTAGGATGAATACCATCACCAGAAATTAAGAGCATTGTCATATTAAAAAGAAGATGAGTCCAATTATTGATCTGTTTTTTGAGAAAGAGATGTTAGAAGTTAACAATAAGCCTATAGATATGCATTCAAAGTTAAAGGAATTACTGAAAATGTATAGCTCAGAGTGCTATACAAGGAGATCTGGCATTAGAAAATATTCTACTTTTCTACTGTAAAGTCCACTGACTCAAAAATATATGTTGAAAAAATTAGTTGGGCAGCGATTAGAATGGGCCCTCTTTCTTTGCCACTTTTTGGTTATTTAATTCATTATTTCATAAAATATGCAGAAAATATTTACAATTTCAAGGTATGTTTCTTAAATTGCAGAGAAAACTTGGAGTTATCTTGACATTATTTGCAGTGCAATTAAAACAGTTTTTATATCCAGAATAATATTAAGTGATGAACAATGAACAAAACTGGAAGTGTTTTTGCTTCAGAGATCTGTGTGTTAGGAAATGCAAGCAGAGAGAGGCTGGTCTGTGGTCACTGCCCATAGATTCTACTTGGTCCCTGCTCATCTCAAAGGGCTGGACTCTCTCTTCTGTAATGAAGATATTAACTTTTTATTGTTGCAGTTTTGGACATTGAGAGTCTTACTTCTCTATCCTGTAACATAATTATTTTAAAGTCACAAACATCATAGTGTCTTAGAAGGATGATGTAACATTTTGAAAACAATGTACACTTTAGCCCTTATTTTTGGTAATTTTTGAAATATTTCCTACTTAATTCTACATATCATTTAGAAAAGTTGCATGTTATACTGCTTTAAGTTTCTTTTAATTGTGTTTGCTATACTCTTTAACGAACTATGTAACCTTGTTTGACTTTCATATAAAGTAAAATAAAGAGGGCTCTGAGTCCATTGTATGATACTACTAAAATAATGACATATTCTCTTACCTGAGCCTAAGATGACCAAGTATAATGGGTTACTTTCTTCTCAGCTTCTTCTTTAAAGTTGCTGTTCATTTAATGTATTTTTCATGGAAGTTGATTATTTTTCAACTCCGTGGGCTCTGTCTTATAATAACATATAATTGTGCCACTGCATTTGATCCTAAGTAGATTGACTTACACATTTTATTTATCCCAATTTAATTAAGCTTCGTGGGTTCAAGATAATTGTTATCCCCTAAATGTTCTAGCCCAGCTGTTATAAACTCGTAAAGAGCATCAATGCCTTTCAATTAATAATGCTAATAATGATATTAATTAGCCTTATGAGTTACGATCCTTGCAGCACATTTACAGTAATTTTAGTCCATAATCAAACCATCCGATTTTAGAGTTTTTTGCTATTTTCCCTCACTGTCCAATATATCATAAATTGTTCCTAAAAGGAATAAAAATTTTTTTTACAAACCTTTCAAAGTCTAGGGCTCTAGGGCACCCAAGCTGATCAGAGAAACCCAACTCATTGTGACTAACACCATTTAACAAATGGCACAATTTCAGCAGTTACACATTAAATTCAATATGTTGAAGCAACCAAAGCGACTAGATATTTGTGAGTGTTACAGTTGGACATTGCAATTTCTTAGACATCTCTCTTCTTAATGCTGCTTGGATTATATGATTCATCATACCATAAAATTAAAGTACAACTTTGACCTAATATTCTCTTATTAACTTTCCTGTTATTGCTAATTCTTTGTCCCATAAAATTCTTCAAATTATATAATATGATTTATTTTTGAAAACTTATTTTTACATTCTCATCATAAAGGAATTTTTTATGAATTCAAAAGAGTAGTTCTTTGATTATATATATAATATATAAAATATATATAATATATAATTATTATATATAAAATATATATAATATATAATAATATATTATATATAATATATATATTATATATATTATATATAATATATAATATATATAATATATTATATATAATAATTATATATAAAATATATAATATATAATATATATTATATATAATATATATAATATATAATATATAATATATAATATATATAATATATAATATATAATATATTATATATAATATATATAATATATAATATATTATATATAATATATAATATATAATATATTATATATAATATATATAATTATTATATATAATATATATATATATTATATAATATAATATATATATATATAATATAATGTATATTATATATAATACTTAATATATATAAAATATATAATATATAATAATATATTATATATAATAATATATTATATATAAAATATATAATATATAATAATATATTATATATAATAATATATTATATATAATGATATATTTTATATATATATATAGTGCTCTACAATACCAAAGATATTACCAGGATCTCACATTTTGAGCTGTGGTTGCAACACTTTGAATTCCTACAACTTCTCCTCTTCACCATGCTCTGGTTGACATTTTCCAATATAGAGGTCACGTCTACAAACTCTTACGTATGGAATTATTTGCTTATTTTTATTACAGTTTTATTAAGATATAATTGAACTATAATATATAGTACATGATTAAAGTGTATCATATATTTTCACATATGGTGATAACTCCTCACCATAATCAAGAAAATGAACCTATTCATCACCACCCAAACTTTCTCTGTGCCCCTTTATAATCTCATTCTCTTGCCCTTTTGTGTCTCCACCACCCACAGGCAACCAATGATCTGGTTCACTATAGAATAGTTTATTTTTCTAAAATTTTATATGAAAGGAATGCATGTTTTATCCAGCTTCTTTTGTTCAGCATACTTAATACCCATCCACATTTCATTGCTGTGTGTCCATAGCTTCTTCCTCTTATTAGTGAGCATTAACTCTTTGTTTTTTGTTTTCTTTTCTTTTTTCTCTATTTCTATTTATTTATTTATTTATTTGGCCTCTTTACTCTGAGGGCACTGTCTCAGAGTCCATTGTATAGATATTCTGTATCTCTGTGGGTGGACATTTCAATTGTTTGCAGTTTTTAGCTATTTCAGACAAAGCCACTCTAAACATTTGTGTAGAAATCTTTTAATGAAAATATGCATTCATCTCCTCTAAGTTTGGAATGGCTGTGCCCTATCGTGGGTATATGTTTATCTACCACACTAGTACGTAAGCATTTCAAGTGCTCCATATCCCCACCAACACTCTACAAGCACAGTCTTTTTAGTTTTAGGCATTTAAGTAGATATGTAGAGCTATCTAGTTGTGATGTTAACTTCTGCTTATCTAATAACTAATGATCTTGAGTCATTTTCATGTGCCTTTTTTCGGTCCACATAATTTTTTTTTGGTAATATATCTGAGGGCATTTGTAGGGCTCATGTAATTTGTTTCTGTCCCTCAGAAATCAGTGTCTTTCACTGTCTTGTGTCTAATGTTGTAAGAGTGATTTTATTTTTTTTCTGGCTTTGCAACTGCAGAGAATAAATCTAGTCTCTGTTATTCCATTTTGACCAGAAGTAGAAATTCCCATATATACAATTAAATGTTTAGCCCTCTTCCAATGAATCCATGTGGATTTTACCTACATAACAGTCATTTATACCTAAGCATTTCAGTACTTTATCTTTCTTCCTTACATATTTTAGTCTTGTCATTCAAAGTGTTCCAAGGGCCATACCCTTCTAAATGTGGTATTGTATTTGTACCATGCTGATTCATTTTCCCATACTTGAGGTAAATAAATAAATTTCTTGGAGGTTTCTACATTTATTCTGAAGAATTAGTTTGATAGTCTGTTACTAGAGACATAAAATTTACCCTCTAATATTGCTGGGCTTGTTATAATGTACATATTTTTTACTGTATTTGCATACATTCTTCAAGTGCCAGCTTCAGATCTGTACACAGAACTATCATTAGCATTTGTTTCAAGTCATTGATTATCTGCTCTTCTTATTATATGAAGTGGAACAGTTTGATGCTTTTCATAGTTGAATGTATTCCCATATGGCCCAAGCAAACAATTGGGAATTAATAATTACCCATGGCTAATCTGCTTATGGCCCACCCCAACTTAGGGAGACAATATTTGTCCAGTGAATCCATCTGCATTGAGGTTGCCAGATGGGCTTTAAAGTGTTTTCTTTATCACCATAAGTCACTGTAAATCATTGTTTTATACTGCCAGAACATATATAAAGGGTACTGGCTGGTTCTTGTGAAATTAATTCATAACTACAACTTCAAACCATTGAAACTATCATCAAAATAAAGGAAGAGAGTAAAATAGAGATAAAATGAAACCTATTAAATGTTTCCTAATTATAGTTTAGGGTTTTAAAATTTATTTCTCATGATACTCATTACCTATATATTAAGTATATCCTGGACCTTAAACATTATTTCTCTGTTTTGGGTCTGGCCCTCGGTTAATTAACCCATAATTTATCTTTATTTAGTCAAAGGTAATTTTCTTTCTTCAATTAATCTTTTTCTTGAATCATAGTTTAATCAGTTTTGTTCATTAAGTTGTAACCCTAGAGTTTGTAAACAAAACTCTAGTTCATGTTAAAAAAAAAACTTTGCAAATTAATATTTTCCCATAATTAACCATGTAGATTTTGTTCAAATCTACTACCAGCTATGTTTTAACAAAGATACGCTAAGAAAGTGTTATTTTATTAGGTTCCTTCAGGGTAGGCATGGTCAAATATATATAATGCAATGGCTTATTTATTGGCTGCATCTAATACGTTTTATATATTCTATCATTTTTATTTCCCAAAAGGAGTTTAATGATGTGGGTAACTCATACAATAGGTTACAGATGATCAAAATGTACTAGGTTATAAGGTTAACAAATATCAGAAAGGGCTGAAACACATGAATAACTCTTTTTTGTTTCATGTTTTTATCTTGTTTTGTTATTTTTTCCCATAATGGCTAAATGTTTAGGAGGATGTCACCTTGGGTTTTCAGTTTCATGCATTCTGATGTTTTAGTCTCATTGTTTAATTTAAACAAAGTAGGTCTAGCTTAGATTGGATAGTCCTCACATGACCTAAAGTGACATATATGCATGGTGAACTTAAATCTGACCAGTAACCCAAAGAAGTATTTAGATAATAAATTAATCTTATGAAATATTTTCACCTAATTATGAAGGCTATAAAATAACTACATTGTGAATGATTTATTAAAATCAAACCTTTTTTCTGGAATGAGTTTAAAATTGCCTTATTGTGATCAATCTAATCAATTTTGTCGTGAAGTATTATATAGAATACTCTGAATGCTCATACTGAGGTGGCTAAAGACCTTCAATACCCTTCTTTATAGTAGTGTCTCTCAAAGGATGATCACTGAGCAGAAGTATCAACACTACCTGAGAACTTGTTAGAGATGCAAATCTTGCTCCAGTCTCCTTTACCCCAAATATTTCTTTCAGATTTACTATAGCAGAAACTCTGTAAGTAGGGCCCAGCAAACTTTAATAAGCCCTCCGGGTGATTCTGAGCACACCAAAGTGTGAATTCACTGTTTCAATAATCTTACCTTTTTACCTAAAAACTCTGAGACTGCTATAAAATGAAGTACTCAGGGAAATGTCTATCATTTATTAACATTTTATTCAAATGCTAGTCTTACGAGTCTGTTCAACTGATGTCATATGCAAAACTGTAGCAAACCAACTTAGGACATAGTTGAAACAGTTCTTCATAAACATGAAACCGTATGATATCAAATTTAGGACAAATACCTAAGGACATTGCAAAATATTATGCTTTGTATCATTAATTTAAATTTTTTCCTGAAGTTGTTAATAATTTGAACTAGCCATTCAAAAGAACAAGCTAGTAACTATAATTTTTTCTTAAATTAGATCATTTTCTTAACCTGTTTATTAGCCAGTTTTGAATATCATAAATTTCTATCTAGATATAACTTTAATAGTAAAATTTATTGAATTTAAATTAATACATATTGTTATATTTGCCTTAAATGATGAGAATACATAAAATACTCTTTAGTGACAGTGACATACCTACATTATTCTACAAAAGTTGTATTTTATAATAATAGCATACATCAAAATTATTTTAACAAGCTATTGATCTCCATCTTTTCTTCATTTGTCAGGCACAGTTTATATTTATTCCTTTCATTGTTTGGAGAATAAGAATCTCAAAGAACCCGATTTGATATAGTGTAATAAAATGATAAAGTCAGTTCAGTTGATTCTAATGTTTAGCATCTTTCAATACACTGAGAAGTGATAGTTACAGAAATTGGGGCTCTGAACAGTCCATCAGAGTATCCCTCTTGATACTTGGCACGAGCGTGAATCTACAAAGACAACAATAATAGTTAAGTTATGTTTGAGGAACGTCAAGAATTAATACATATGAATTACTCATGGCAGCTGCCTAGTCATTTCCAAAGCAACACATAATATCCCAGTTTGTTTATTTCCTTACGTCCCTGAAACCCGTTTGTGTAGATATACAAGGCACACTAGCAAAATCACTCTGCTTTGCCACAAAGCAGCATTTTTAACAGCATATAACTTTCATTTTCCTTGTTTACCCCATTACTCCACCCACTTTGGAAAACATTAGTATCAAATCTCACATCTCAGGAACTTCGGTACATTATCTATTCTTTAGGGGACAGAATTCTTAGTATAGGACTCAGATTTAGACTCTGTTTTTGCATGTAATGAAGTGGCAGAGATGATGCAGTGAAAATAGAAGGACAAGGAGATGAAGCCATTTTGAATCAGATAAACTGGGAATCCTTGTTCTGACATTCACTTAATCTATTCTTTGGACTATTAAATTAACCATTCTCGGTTTCAGTTTCTTCACGTGTAAATTAACATAATAATACTTGAAATGGTTACTGTGAGATTTAATGTTTTTGTTGCTTTCTTTCCTTCCTATAACTCTCCATACCTCCTCTGGTGATTTTATGTGGTCGTCAATAAAAGCAGTTTGCATGCAAGGCAATGATCAGTAGTACATTTTCATTAGTCATAGCTTGCCTTGAGACAATGATTTTAATTTCTGATTCTCTTACTTTTCTGCTGCTCCAGTTCTGCAGTTTTAATAAGTTTTTGTTGTGTTCTTTAACACTATCCTCATGGAACAGGAGCTAACTTTTAGCATCCCTCCAGTATTAAATATTTAATGATGTTTGAATACTAACTTCTTAAGGATGTTTTAAATCATTCTGTAAATACACTGGCACAAATAATAAAGGTTTAGACCTCTGCTAGATACTGAGAAAAACAAGGAATTAAATCCACTACAAGCTAGGTGAAGTTGTACAGGAGATTTTATATGGTAAGGAAAGCAAAAAATGTATTTTCATTTATTTCTCTGGAATGAGAAAGTTTTTCGGCTAATTACTAGTTAATGATCATAAAGTGCATTGAAAATATGTAAGTGCTGTATATAGTCCTTATAATGATGGAACCTTTATGACTCTTTCAAATTATATGATCATTTAACAACATTTAAAAACCCTTTGTGCTAACTGCTTCTCTTAGTCATTTACTTTACAGGGCGACTGCTCCCATTCTAAAAGACAAATACTCATATTCTCTGAGCACTCATCCTATCGCTAGTCCATGCCCTCTGGTTTTCATATTTGACTTTAGCTAAAGTATTCTTTTAACTACTAAAGCATATATATTCCTTCAAGTGTGATATGTAAATAATGTCAGTGGAATGGATTCTATCTTTAGTGTCTTGCTTTCAACATTAGGAGTGTATAAATTCTGTTGAATGCTTAAGTCTCTAATATTGCAAACTTATGTTTTTATATTTCATCTTATAAACTCCTTATTTTAACCAACTGCCACATTTCCTACCTCCCCCCTCTCTGAAGATACAAGTTCAATTCTCTTGTGTACGGCTTGGCAGCACATTTTGTGTGCAGCTCTCCTAAAGACTGCCATAGCAACATAAAATGATAACTTATGCTTATATGAACTTTCATGAATTGGAAAAATAAATGCTTGGCATAACATCAAATCCTTGTCTATATTTGTTATTTTTCCCCTTTGCTATAACATGAAAATTATGGGCAGGTTGTCTCTTTCATCTTTTTTCATGTATGGAGATCTAAATTAGCTGCTACGATTCATGCTGACCTTCTAACATCACTTTGTAGTCAGAGTCCCTTGGCGCTCAATTCTGTGTCTGAACTGAGCTGCAATCAATTTATCACTGAGCAGAGGAAATAGAAATGGAGGAGAATGAAGAGTGTGTTAAAATACCTAATGCATGCGGGGCTCAAAACCTAGATGACAGGTTGATGGATGCAGCAAACCACCATGGCACATGTATACTTATGTAACAAACCTGCATGTCCTGCACATGTATCCCAGAACTTAAAGTAAAATTAAAAAAAGATGGATGCATATATATGGTTGACTGTTGTCTATGTAGATTTCTTTAGAAACTAAACTATAAATACATAGTGGGTAGTGGGTTGAACTTAACAGTGATTTATAACTAGTAGTAATTAATGTCTGGTTATCAGAGATCATTAATGGCATGGGATAAAAATATCTGTTAACATTATTTATGTTCTATGATCTCAGAATTATCATTGCTATACTTAATGTATTCATTATTACCATACCAATTTATCAAGAGCTACAAATTAATCACATTTAAGCTTATTTTTAAAGAGATTCAACATTAAAATTTGTTTTTTATAATTTAATTTCTGTAATTTCATACATTCTTATAATTTAGTACTTAAAATGAATGCTTTCAGCTACTCTGAAAAAATCAAATGACAAAATGAATATGGATTTTCATAAGCAAGGAGAATATAGCTAGACAGACATGTACTGAGAAAATATTAGATTATCATGCAGCATATTTCAAGTATTTGACCTCAATTACGGTGAACTTTTGCTTGGGCTGGAAAGCTTCATGCCTCCTGAGCCATGGTCGCCATAGATCAGAAGCACACCTGAAGTACTAAGACCAGAGCTCTTGGGGAAGAAGGCATCCTTCAGGTCTATATTACTTTTTGAATACACAGATATCTAAACGGATATCTTTTAGAGGTAAATAAGGCAGACAAATGCTACAAATTTTCTATTCTTGGGGAGTTTTGAGGTGTATAAGAAAGTTGGAGAAAGCAAAGGATTCAGAATGGCTTGAATATGGTTTTACCTCTTTCCACACTTTAACTAGCCAGACCAAATGTTCTTCCAGCCTTGTCACAAACCCTGGATTCAGCACTAGGTTCTTCTTCTCCAACCCAGAGAAGATGAAGGAAACAAAACATAACAAATATAAAAGACAAGTACATATGGATAAAAATAGTTTCTGAGACATATGTCTTCTAAGAAGTGAAAGATTTCAGAGAAGGCTCTAGAAAATGCAGGATGATGATGATGGTAGTAGTGACAAACATGATAATTATCATTAAAATAGTGAATTTTATTGAAGGTATATTATGTACCAGACACCATGCCAAATGCTTTACGTCAATAATCTCATTTAATCCTTATGGCCATTCCATGATTTATGCATTTATCTCAGAAAGATGAGAAAATACAGTTACATACAACATAGCATTTTGGTAAGATGTGAATAAGAAATGGATCTAAGTGCATATTAATGGAGGTGACAGGTATGTGTTCTGCTAGCCAAGACATCATTTAGACTGACAAAAGTATGACAACTTTAAGGACTGAAGTAAAGGCTGAATTAAATAAAGATGGACATGTGGGATTTTACTGGAGACGGGGAGAAGTAAGAGGGTAACACAAGCAGAGAGAACAGGTTGAAAGACACAAGAACATTTAAAAATAGATGGTATGTTTTGAAAATAGCAAGAAGGTTAAGGAAAGTAAAAGAAACGAAGCTCAGCTATTGGGCAGATGGGAAAGGTCTTTGTAGGCGTTCAAAGACCTTCTGAATCCAACCTCTGACACTTCTTTGCAATCCGAAATCTGACCTCTGACATTTTCTTTGCTTCAACTGTACTAGAGTAGTGACCCAGTGTCCAGGGGAAGCCACAATCTCCATGCATTCTACATCCTTCAACATAGCATTTCCTTTACTTGAAACCTGCTTCATGTGTCTTCTGCCCCTCATTTGGCCGCATTCTGCTTCCATGTTGCCTTCTTAGGGGAAAATGTCATTCACATAGTGCAGTTCGTCCTAATCCCCAGACTCTATTTTTATTAATGGCTTATTCCTACATTTTTATTTTTATTTACTTACTGTTATTATTTAAATTTCAACTTTTAATTTGGATGCAGGGAGTACATGTACTGGTTTGTTAATGAGAATATTGTGTGATGCTGGAGTTTGGGGTACGGATCCCATCATCCAGGTGGTGAGCATAGTACCTGATAAGTACTTTTTAAACCTGTGATCCCTTCCCTCCCTCCTCCTTCTGGTAGTTCACACTGTCTGCTCTTCCCATGTTTATGTCTATGTGTGCTCAATGTTTAGCTCTCACTTATAAATGAGAACATGCACTAACCCCTAGACTTTAGCAGACACCCAGAACACTCTGATAGTAACTTATTCTTCCTCTTTCCAATCAGCATCCACTTGTAATTACCTGTTCAGTGGCGGTGATACCTGACAGCAAGATTCATGATGGCAGAGACAGTATTTAATTCTGACAGATAGCTTTGACACATAGTAGAAGCTCAGTAGATATTTTGGGAATAAAGAAAGAAAGAAATTCCATGTTAAGGAGTTTGTCATTTAAACTACATAAAAGCTTTGGAGGTTTTAATCAGAAGAGTGGAAGATGTTATTTGGGAATATAACTTTATAAGAACCTAATTTACAACAAAGTGGCCTCCAAATCAAAAGAAAAGAATAAATAACCGAACATTTGGAGAAAACCGATTTGTCAAAAGGAGAAAAATAAAACTTAATTCTTACTTCTAACTCTACAGGGACTAAAAACCTGATTGTAACAAGTTTTACTCTATTGGTAATAGCACTGTGGAAGATATTCACTGTGCTCTATATTGTGAAAGACTTGCTAAATAAGATTAAAAAAAAACAAATGCACAAATCTTAAGGTTAAAAATCAATAAATTTGATTATATCAAAAATTAAAGTCTTCTGTTTAAAAGGATAGTAAAAACAAGGTTAAAAGATCACTGGCCTTTTGGAAGGTGATGTGTACATGTCAAAGTAAAGGATCTAAGCCAGTTTCGCTTAGTGTTTTATATCACAGGCATTGTAGTTACACACGTAAGGATTGAAACACAGCTCTGCTGCTTGCTGTCTGTATTTGGAAAGAATGATCACTTCATATTGCCACAACTTAGTTTTTACATCTGTAACACAGCTTTGGTAATGATCAGTTAAACTGTAAGATTTTCATGAGTTGTAGTTCTACAAGTCACTTGCTATTCAAATTCAGGAAACAAATTATTATTTTTTCTTTTTTTGGGACACTGTCTCACTCTACCACCCAGGGTGGGTGCAGTGGCACAATCATGGCTCACCACAGCCTCCACCTTCTGAGCCTAAGCAATCCTCCCACTTCAGCCTCCCGAGTAGCTGAGACAACAGGCACGCACCACCATGCTCAGCTAATTTTTTGATTTTTCATAGAGACAGGGTCTCACTTTGTTACTCAAGCTGGTCTTGAACTTCTGGGCTCAAGTGATCCTCTCGCCTTTGCCATCCCAAAGTACTGGGATTACAGGCATGAGCCACTGCTCCTGGACTTGGGAAACCAATAATTTTTTTTTAGATTAAAATTGCTAGATATCTTAAACTCTCACTACTTGCTACCTGAAATTCAGGAACTCAATAAAGACAATAAAGCGATATTCTTTACAATCCATCAAAGCTATCTGAACTCATTATTTGAAATTTGAAATGGAATAGATACAGACAATGATGGTAAAATGTACGTACAAATACACATGGTTGCTGTACTTAAGAATATTGGGAAAATCAGTAGTGGCTTGATATTAGGCTTTATTCAACTAATCAGTAACAGGCCTCATCTTTCTGGAATGAAATAAACTTAATATATGTTTTGGGAAAAGAAATTAATCTAGACCAGCATAATGAGATTTTAAGAGAAAGGAACATATTGTACCACTTTTCGCCAGCACACAAATATCTGCTTATATGGTTTCTCTTACATTTATTTTCATTTTGGTATGATATTTTATTCATAGAATGGTATCCAGATTATTTAACAAATAGAAATCATTTGAGATCTAAACAATACTTTCAAAAATGTCAAATTATTACTTTTATATGTTAAAGTGCTATTTGCTGTCATATTAAAAAGTTACTAAACTTCATGAAATATAGGCTACATTCCAAATATATTTTGCAAGAATACTGTGTATTTTTCAGGATACACATATGAACAATGGTTTTCAGAATAGTTCGTTTTTGTTTTTTCTCTTAGCAGTTTTTAGGAAACCATTTATGAATGATTTAATTCAAACATCTTTTGCTAAGTAAAATTTCCATATATTTTGGAACAATAATTCAAAGAATATGGTATACGAAATGGAGCCTATAAATAAGCATGCCCTAAAATTTGTCATCTTTCCATATTTGAGTGTTAAAATTAGTTGATAAGTAGAGACACTTGCATAGTAGGTGATATGTTTTGATTCTGTCCCCATCCAAATCTCATGTTGAGTTGTAGCTCCCATAATCCCCACATGTTGTGGGAGGGAGCCGGTAGGAGGAAATTGAATAATGGGGGTGGGTTTTTTCCCATGCAGTTCTCATGGTAGTGAATAAGTCTCAAGAGATCTGATTTTATAAAGGGCAATTCCCCTGCACATGCTCTCTTACCTGTCTTTGTTCCTCCTTTACCTTCTGCCGTGATTGTGAGGCCTCCCCAGCCATGTGGAACTGTGAGTCCATTAAAACTCTTTTTCTTTATAAATTACTCAGTCTCAGGTATGTTTTTATTAGCAGTGTGAGAACGGACTAATACAGCAGGTTT
Source organism: Homo sapiens (assembly GCF_000001405.40). Taxonomy (NCBI): domain Eukaryota; kingdom Metazoa; phylum Chordata; class Mammalia; order Primates; family Hominidae; genus Homo; species Homo sapiens. The sequence goes on from NC_000018.10 coordinate 65,924,644, forward strand.
TCTAAAGGTGCTGGGCTCTGTGTGTGTGTGTATACACATGCACGTGTGTGTAGGCTATTCTTGAAGCCTCATAAATATTTTGTACATTATGCTATATTGTTAGGAAACTGTCATCATGATGCTTTACGGAGCTTATTTACAGAGTTTATTCTATATCTGGGGTAGCAAAGTCCGTTTCTCTAGAACAGATTTGTAATAATGATAATAATAATATGTGTTAATGTATTCACTGGGTATAACACTTTACATATGTTATATAATTTAATCTTCATGACAAAACTGTTAAGAAAGTAGTATTATCCCCTCTTAACGGATGAGTTAATTGTTTGCAGAGGCTATTAAGTTGATGTCGTTGAAAAGAGTTGGACTATTGACCCAAGTCTGTCTGACAATGAAATTTGATGATGACGGATGCACTTTAACCACAGAACAATATTTCTCCAAGTATGAACCAGGCTACAGATTGTAGTGTACTGGAGCTGGCTCCAACCTGCTCAGGAGATCTGATTATGTGCATATGTTTCTAGCAACCTGTTCAGTGACATTATGTGGAGACCTTGAAATGGGCCCTGGTGAGAGTATTCATATCATGGTAATAGGAAATGCAGCAAATCAGGGTTTTCATGTATCAGGGGAGCCACTTAGTCTGCATACCACTCACTGGCAGAGAATATCCTGCTAGTAGGCTACGAAGTGTCCAAAAAGGTAAATTTTAAAAAATTATTTTGAATATCTCCACAAAATTGTATTTTTACCGACAACATAGGTTTTTTCCTAGATCTAAAACAAATTATTTTAAAAATGTTATTTCACTAGGTGTTCATAATTTTAAAGTGATGCCCTATCAGATCAGTTTACTAATAATTCTAAGTCAGTATTCTGTGAATTCTAGTTGCCATACAGTAATTAGCAAGTCTGTAAAGCACTTTCTCTCTCTGTGTATGTGTATGTGTGTGTTTGGAATTCCTGAAATTTTAAATATTTGCTATCAGTCCATGGTAAGCGTGATCTTGAAATCCTCATTAAAATATTTCTATTTTTGCTTCTTAAATTATGTCATTATTGATTAAATGTAATCATTAAAATGTTTGTTTCTTTGTGGTCTTTGGCTTATTATTTAATGTGTAACAACTCATATATACATCAACAGTGCTTTAGACTTATACTTTTAGATACAATTTTATTTTATATATAACTATTATACTTTATTTTTTTTCACTTACTGGGGCACAATTGACAAAAGTTATACATATTTAAAGTGTAAAACTTGATGTCTTGATATATATATATATTATATATATACATTGTGAAATGATCAAATGGGATGATATTTATCAAAGAATACAAAGTTTCACTTTTGCAAAATGAATCCTTTATTGAGATAAATTAATACAATATTGATTACCAATATATGTTTAGCTTCTTGAATTTAATGACAGAAAGCAACTACTAAGGATTGAATAATTCTTGGAGGGGTTTGCTCGTTGGTTTTGTCAAAATACTGATAAATAAAGCAGAGCAAATGCCCAAAGTTTTCTCTGAAAGGCAATGGCTCCAATGGATTTGGTGAATTTTTACTTGAAAATTGTAATACATTCTAAATGACCAGGTAATTAGAGCTATTCTGAAAAGATCTTAAAAACTACAAAACTGGTTGCATCTTACCAATCTATTCTAATTATTTTTAAAATTCAATGCAAAAAAAGTCAATAATAAATTATCTGACACACATCTAGTATCTGTGTAGTAGACAGCATGGTCCCCCAAAGACATCAGTTTCCTAATCCCTGGAATCTCTGAATATGTCACCTTCCATTACAAAAGGAACTTCATATAGGTAGCTAAGGTTACTGACCTTAAATGGAGGGATTCAACTAGATTATCTGTGTCTTCACAGAAATCCTTAAAAGCAGAGAACCTTCTCTGGCTGGAGTTAGAGAAATGCAACAGAAGGCAAAATCAGAAAGATTGGAAACATAAAAGGGTCTCACCTCTCACTGATGGAGGGGGCCTCATGGAAAGCCTGAGAAGGTATGGGGAACAAGTCTCCAGGAGCAAAGGCAGGCCTCTGGCTGAGAGCTACTAGGAGTGGTGAACTTCGGTTCTACAATCCCACTGAGCTAAACCCAACCACCAACCTGAATGCACTTGGAAGCAGATTCTTCCTCTGAGCTTCCACTAAGGAACTCAGGCCTTGACACCTTGATTTCAGTCAGGTTGGTGAGACTGTAAGCTGAGGATGCACTCAAGCTAGCAGAGTTCTTCTAACCTACAGAAGCTGTGAGGTAGTAAATATGTGCTGGCTTAAACCTTAAACTTAAACCCATGTGAGAAGTTCTTATAACAGTGAAAGGAAATGAATAACCTTGCTTTAGGAAGCAGGCATTGCCATTTACCAGGGTTTAGGAAAGCACTTGGCTAGTAGCATGGATCAGATGCTGCGACTAGGAAGGTGGTTAGGAGTTGCAGCAGAAAACAGAAGATTATAGTGCACTTATTTTCATCACTCAACTGGATGCATTGCCTCTGAATTTTTTGGTGACATTACAACTACAAAGCTAAAAATAAAATCAACTCAAAACTTGCAGTATTATGTGAAAGAGTGCCCTATGTTTTTGATTCATCTATCATAATACTATGCCACCTGTCTCATCCCGAACCTTGGCTGTGAAGTGTAACTTTGATATTCACAATTTTCTGCTGCTATGAAATGTGATAGTAGAAATGTTGCAAAATTATTTTTTTTTTAATACTACCAGTTTCCAACAATATGTGTTCCAACTCAGATCTCACTACTGAATTGCTCCCTTAGCGGAACTTCTCTGGAGAGATTGTTTTTTATTTGAATAAATACTTGAAGAAAGCTTTATGGAATTAGATTTAAATGTTTCTTGTCAGATATCTGTAAAAGACTGTTATTCATTTGAACATTTTAGTACTTTGAAAAAATGTGTTATATCCGAAACACATATGGAAGTATCGATAGTTTGCTAAATTCTGTGAAAAACACTCCTTCACTCCCTTTTTTTTGCCTTAATTTCCTCTAGATTTTCCATATCTCTTCACATATATCATTCACTGATTTTCTTCCCCAGCCATGTTTTAGTAAAGTGTACTCTTTTAAATGAAACAGTCACCTGTCCTTGTCGTTAAATGGTATCCTGTCCTAAGAATTTAAAGACCTCTGAGTAGCACACCAGAAAGGTTAACGGCAAATGAAATGGTGCATTTCAATGTTACTGTGGACTTCATTAAAATTTAGTATTCATTATTGGTCTTTTCTAAGATCACGAGTTCTATTGAATCATTTGATTTTGTCCTTGTAGTATCGTTAATAAGTCAGAAAACTTTATTTCAAACACTTCTTTTAAGCATCTTTCAGCATCATGCTAATTACCCAACACCTCCCAAGTGTCAAAGAAGAAAACTTTTACAAGAGGCAGAGTTGATTCATCAGAATGAATCTTGTCTGTTTTCAATACAGTTTCATGAGTGGATGCAATCTCCATTTATGTTCAAAAATCCTATACTCTAACCACTTTTCTTATTAAAATGACTTAATTTGCTTATTTGACATAGTAAGTATTTTCATCACGTTTTTAAAATAATACATGTTCATTACAAAAAATTTGAAATATAGAAAATTAAAAATTGAAAATAAAATCTGTGCATTATTATCTCTGTACCAGAGACAACTTCTGTTATCATTTTGATATATTTGTCTCTGGTAGTTATACATAACTAAGATTTTACTGTGTAGACAGGTTTTCAGTCTCTTTTCTTTTTAATATTTATTTCTTTATATTTAGAGACAGCGCCTCATTATGTTGCCCAGGCTGGCCTCAAACTCCTCAAGTAATCTTCCCAAGTAGCTGGGACTACAGGTGTAAGCCACCATGCTTGGCTCTTAATCTCTTTTCTTTTGCTTAACAATATATTATGCATATTTTCTCTTTTCCTTAATAAGTCTCTCAAAGTAGAATTTTTGGCTGGGCATGGTGGCTCATGCCTATAATCCTAGCACTTTGGGAGGCTAAGGTGGGAAAATCGCTTGAAGCCGGGAGTTCAAGACCAGCCTGAGCAACATAGTGAGACTCCATCACTACAAAAATTTTAAAAAGAGCTAGGCATGGTGACATGTGCCTATATTCTTAACTACTCTAGAGGTGGAGTCAGCAGGATTGCTGCAGCCTAGGGAGTTCAAAATTGCAGTGAGCTAGGATTGCACCACCGTGCTACAGCCTGGCCCATAGACCTATAACCAATCTTAAAATAAATAAATAATAATAAATAAAATTGTAAACACTACCATATAGATGTAGCACAATTCATTTAACCATTTTTTCTATTATTCAATTCATCATTATCAAAGATATGCTACTATAACTAAAATTAAAACACAAAGTTTTTACATGTAAATTTTCCTACAGTCCTTGATAGAATCCTAGATGTAAAATTATTAGGCCAAAGTTTGTGATCCTTATGAAAGTTCTTGTTGCATACAACCAATTGCTTCTCAAACTCTAGGAGATAGTGTCACATGATTACTTCTCCATAATTAATTTTATTTATTAAAAAAATAATTTATTATTTTTAATTTTTTTTGAGACAGGGTCTTGCTCTGTCCCACCAGGCTGGAGTGCAGTGGCATGATCACTGCTTACTGCAACTTTGACCTCCTGGGCTCAAGTGATTCTCCCATCTCAGCCACCGGAATAGCTGGGATTCCAAGGGTACACCACCACATCTAGCTAATTAAAAAAAAAAATTGTAGAGATGAAGTCTCTCTATGTTATGCAAGCTGGTCTCAAATTCTTGAGATCAAGAGATCCTCCTGCTTCACCCTCCCAAAGTGCTAGGATTACAGGCATGAGCCACTGCACCTGGTCTCCTCTCCATAGTTTAATATTATTCACTTCTGCCAATTTGATAGGTGATACATAGTATTCCATTATTTTAATGTGTTGCTTTGATTTCTAGTAAGACCACGTTTCAATTTATGATTCATTATCTTTAAAACAGTTGATGATAATATTGCTTACATTTATCTGACAGATATATTAAAATGATTAAATTGATCTTCACTGTAATAGGTCTTCATGACCCCCTTGGCTTCTCCAGCACTGTAATTTTTGCACTAGATGTGTCATCCTCTGCTTATTGTCTCTGTTTGTCATGAAACTATACTGATATACAGTTTAAAGCATGGACCATGGCAGTTTTTGCTCATCCAGGTTAACTCTGTTCATAGGTTTTCTTTAAGATAAATAAATAAATAGTTTACAAATGCTCATGGTTCTTACAATAACCTACAGATAAATGTTAGTTACTATTTGATAAAGAATAGCCAGAATATAGAGAAAGAGTAGACTGAATCCTTTGCATTTAAATTTTTGCAAGAGCGTAACACCAATTAAATATATTTAAGACTTTTCAATAGTCTTGGACAGGGTCCATGCAAACAAGAAGGCTCTGGATTTTAAGCTTTATTTGTTTCATGATAAATCCACTCTGCACTCACTATCATACAGTGAGTGCAAAGCAACTCACTATTGCAAAGCAAAGTCCCTGGCACGTTTGAGAATCGTGAAAACCACAGGAAAACCTAATTGGTTAGCATATTCAGAGACATTTCCTCTAAAGAGGTGACATTTAGGTTGAGAACCGAAGAATGAAGGAAAAAGACAAAGGAAGCTTATTCCCATAAGTAGAAATAACGCTAGCAAAAGGCACCACTCAGAAATGAAATTCGTAACTTATGGTAAGAGTGAAAAAACATTTAAAATGGATGAGGTAAAGCAATAGTGAAGCCATGCATGTTGTTATAGGACAAGTAAAGACCATGAATTTTGTCCAAGTAAGCCATCGAGTAGTGTTATGTAAGGCAGTGACAATATGATATGCATTTTATAAAGACAACTCGGGGACCAGGCAAGATGGCCGAATAGGAGCAGCTCCAGTCTGCAGTTCCCAGCAAGACCAATGCAGAAGGCAGGTGATTTCTGCACTTCCAACTGAGGTACCCGGTTCATCTCACTGGGACTACTTAGACAGAGGGTGCAGCCCATGGAAGGTGAGCCAAAGCAGGGTGAGGCATAGCCTCAACTGGGAAGCACAAGGGGTCAGAGAATTCCCTCCCCTAACCAAGGGAAGCCATGAGGGACTGTGCCATGAAGGACAGTGCTATCTGGCCCAGATACTATGCTTTTCCCAGACAATACATTTTTCCCACAGTCTTCGCAACCTGCGAACTGGTTTGCAACCTGCGAACTGGTTTGCAACCTGCAAACCAGGAGATTCCCTTGGGTGCCTACACCACCAGGGCCCTGGGTTTCAAGCACAAAACGGGGTGGCCATTTGGGCAGACACCGAGCTAGCTGCAGGAGTTTTGTTTTGTTTTTTTTCATACCCCAGTGGCAGACCTGAAATGCCAGTGAGACAGAACCATTCACTCCCTGGAAAGGCAACTGAAGCCAGGGAGCAGAGTGGTCTTGCTTAGTGGATCCCACCCCCACTGAGTCCAACAAGATAAGATCTACTGGCTTGAAATTCTCACTGCCAGCACAGCAGTCTGAAGTCGACCTGGGATGGTTGAGCTTGGTTAGGGGAGGAGCATCCACCATTACTGAGGCTTGAGTAGGCGGTTTTCCCCTCAGGGTGTAAACAAAGACACTGGGAAGTTGGAACTGGGTGCAGAACCCACTGCAGTGCAGCAAAGCCGCTGTAGCCAGACTGCCTCTCTAGACTCCTCCTTTCTGGGCAGGGCACCTCTGAAAGAAAGGCAGCAGCCCCAGTCAGGGGCTTATAGATAAAACTCCCATCTCCCTGGGACAGAGTTCATCGGGGAAGGGGCAGCTGTGGGTGCAGCTTCAGCAGACTTAAACATTCCTGGCTGTAAGCTCTGAAGACAGCAGTGGATCTCTCAGCACAGTGCTCGAGCTCTGCTAAGGGTCAGACTGCCTCCTGAAGTGGGTCCCTACTTCCCTGCCTCCTGACTGGGAGACACCTCCCAGCAGGGTTCGACAGACACTTCATACTGGAGAGCTCTGGCTGGCATCTGGCAGGTGCCCCTCTGGGACGAACCTTCCAGAGGAAGGGGCAGGCAGCAATCTTTACTGTTCTGCAGCCTCTGCTAGTGATACGCAGGCAAACAGGGTCTGGAGTGGACCTCCAGCAAACTCCAGCAGACTTGCAGAAAAGGGGTCTACTAGAAGGAAAACTAACAAACAGAAAGCAGTAACATCAACATCAACAAAAAGGATGCCCATGCAAAAACTCCATCCAAAGGTCACCAACATCAAACACCAAAGGTAGATAAATCCAGAAAGATGAGATAAAACCAACTCAAAAAGGCCGAAAATTCCAAAAACCAGAATGCCTCTTCTTCTCCAAAGGATCACAACTCCTTGCCAGCAAGGGAACAAAACTGGACAGAGAATGAGTTTGATGAATTGATAGAAGTAGGCTTCAGAAGGTAGGTAATAACAAACTCCTCTGAGCTAAAGGAGCATGTTCTAACCCAATGCAAAAAAGCTAAGAACCTTGATAAAAGGTTACAGGAACTGCTAACTAGAATAATCGGTTTAGAGAAGAACATAAATGATCTGATGAAGCTGAAAAATGCAGCAAGGGAACTTCGTGAAGCACACACAAGTATCAATAGCTGAATTGATCAAGTGGAAGAAAGTATATCAGAGATTGAAGACCAACTTGATGAAATAAAGTGTGAAGATAAGATTAGAGAAAAAAAATGAAAAGGAAAGAACAAAGCCTCCAAGAAATATGGGACTATCTGAAAAGACCAAACCTACATTTGATTGGTGTACCTGAAAGTGACGGGGAGAAGAACCAAGTTGGAAAACACACTTCAGGATATTATCCAGGAGAACTTTCCCAACCTAGCAAGACAGACCAGATATAATTTGATATTATCCAGAATATTCAAATTCAGGAAATACAGAGAACACCACAAAGATACTCCTCAAAAAGAGCATCTCCAAGCCACATAATCGTCAAATTCACCAAGGTTGAAATGAAGGAAAAAATGTTAAGGGTAGCCAAACAGAAAGGTCGGGTTACTGGCAAACGGAAGCTCATCAGACTAACAGCGGATCTCTCTGCAGAAACCCTACAAGCCAGAAGAGATTGGGGACAAATATTCAGCATTCTTAAAGAAAAGAGTTTTCAATCCAGAATTTTCGATCTCTCCATCTGACAAAGGGCTAATATCCAGAATCTACAAGGAACTTAAACAAATTTACAAGAAAAAAACAAACACCCCCATCAAAAAGTGTGCAAAGAACATGAACAGACACTTCTTAAAAGAAGACATTTATGTGGCCAACAAACATATGAAAAAAAGCTCATAATCCCTGATCATTAGAGAAATGCAAATCAAAACCACAATGAGATAACAACTCATGCCAGTTAGAATGGTGATCATTAACAAGTCAGGAAACAACAGATGCTGGAGAAGATGTGGAGAAATAGGAACACTTTCACACTGTTGATGGGAGTGTAAATTAGTTCAACCATTGGGAAAGACAGTGTGGTGATTCCTTAAGGATCTAGAACCATAAATACCATTTGACCCAGCAATCCCATTACTGGGTATATACACAAAGGATTTTAAATCATTCTACTATAAAGACACATGCACAAGTATGTTTATTGCGGCACTATTCACAATAGCAAAAACTTGCAACCAACCCAAATGCCCATCAGTGCTAGACTGGATAAAGAAAGTGTGGCACATATACACCATGGAATACTATGCAGCCATAAAAAGGATGAGTTCATGTCCTTTGCAGGGACATGGATGAAACTGGAAACTATCATTCTCAGCAAACTAACACAGGAACAGAAAACCAAACACTGCATGTTCTCACTCATAAATCAGAGTTGAACAATAACATATGGACACAGAGAGGGGAACATCACACTGGGGCCTATTGGGAGTGGAGGGCAAGAGGAGGGATAGCATTAGGAGAAATACCTAATGTAGATGATAGGTTGATGGGTGCAGCAAACCACGATGGCACATGTATACCTATATAAGAAACCTGCCTGTTCTGCACATGTATCCCAGAACTTAAAGTATAATAAAAAAGTAAGTAAAAATAAATAAAGACAACTCTGGCTGTTTCATTTAAAATAACACAGGTGTGGGAGCCGAGGCAGATGGATCACTTGAGGTGAGGAGCTCGAGACTGGCCCGGCCAACACGGTGAAACCCCATCTCTACTAAAAATACAAAAAATTAGCAGGGCGTGGTGGCACGCGCCTGTAATCCTAGCTACTCAGGAGTCTGAGGAAGGAGAATCGCTTGAACCTGGGAGGTGTAGGTTGCAATGGTCTGAGATCATGCCACTGCACTCCAGCCTGGGCAACAGAGCGATATTCTGTTTCAAAAACAAAAAACAAACAACAACAACAACAATAATACACAGGTAAGAAAGCAAGGGCTGCAGCTATTGCAATAGTACACTTGGAAATAATGACATTCAGGGGAAAGGTTGTGGAGGTTTATAGGAACATTTATTTATTTAACACTAATTTTTCAGTATATACCTATAACTGCATGATCCCTCTATATCAAGGGATGGGATATAATTGAGGGCATTATATTTATTCTCTAACCCCACAAACATATTTTAGTAGGAAAGAAAATATTTTAAGCAAGTAAAACCATTGCATAAAATAGTTAAAATGTGTGATTCATTTTATTATGGCAATAATAAAGTGTACTGAGGAAGACTGGTCAAGAAGCAACTATGGAGTCAGGGAAATATTTTATTAAGGGAATAATAAAGTGTACTGATGAAGACTGGTCAAGAAGCAGCTACGGAGTCAGGAGAACATTCCAGGCAGAAGAAGCAGCATGTGCAGAGACCCTGTGCCAAATGAGCTTGGCACATTCTAGAACTCCTGGAGAGATGATAGTAAGGCAGAGTGAGACTAGATCTTAGTGAGTGAGATTAAAGGGCAGGTACTGAGGTGAAAGGCAGGTGGGTACCAAATCACGTGGGTCTTTTAAGCCATGGTAAGGGGTTTGCTCTAAACACAATTGAAACCATTCCTAGGAATTCCTAAGAGGGGTCACTCCTTAGAGATGTGTGGATCGAATTTAAGGGTCTTTTATGATTCAAATGTTTGTTCCCTCTGAACCTCGGGTTGTGACTTAATCCCTCATGTGACAGCAATAACAGGGGAGGTTTTGAAGAGGTCAATAGATCATTAAGAAAGATTAATGTCTTTCTCGTGAGACTTGATGAGTTCTCATGGGACTGGGCTAGTTACTGTGAGGGCAAGTTGTTACCAAGTGAGGCTGCCTCTCCTGTGTACTATTTTTGCACCTGTCTGGTTCTCCTCCTACTTCTCTAGCATGTTATGCCACAGGACAAGGCCCTCACCAGAAGCCAACCAGGTATGGCCCATTGATCTTGGACTTTCCAGCCTCCAGGAATGTGAGCCAAGATAAACATTGTTTCTCATAAATTACCCAGTCTCAGGTAATCTGTTATAGCTACAAAACAAAACAAAAAAAAAGGACTAAGCGTTCTTAACTTGAATGAGTCTACATTGCATCTTTTTTTTTCCCACTCATAATAAAATTTACCAAATAACTATCATATTTGAATAGCCTGTGACTTTGTCATCAAAAGAAATCAGAGATATTTTCATGGCACTTTATAGTTGTTGCAGACATCTCAACATTTATGTTATCAGCACTATGTAAGTAGAATAGTTTTAACATTCCATCAAATTTTATTGTTTAATGCATTAAAGGAATTTCTTATATTATTATCTCACAAATTAGTTTAAAAAATAGTTTGATAAATGTACTTCAGCAATTTTATTTGTAATACTATGTATGTCATTTTATGTAGTTAAAACCATTAGTCTGAGAAGGGGCTCATAGGCTTCCCCAGACTGTAAAGCAGGCCTACAGCATGAAACAATCAATCAAAACCTATTAAGAGCCTCTTGTTTTAAGAGCATTGTTTTAAGCAAGGGAGTGACACTTAAATCAGATTTAAGGCTTATAAACCAATTTTGTTTCTATGTGGAGTATAGATTGCATCTATTTGGAAGGAAATGGTGATATCAGTTGGGAAACTAACAAACCGGCTGGTTTTAGGATAAGGTTAGTGAAAATACAAAGAGTTGGACAGAATTGAGATGCTGGAATTGGTTGGGGAGAAGTGAGAAAAAGATAGGACTTAAGTTGACTCAAGGTTTAACATTTATTAAATAAATGAATACTCACAATGCTTGCTTTGAAAGGGAAGTTCAAGGAGAGAAAATTCCAAGACTTGTGAAAAATTCCAAGAGCACCTTCACTCTGAGATGCTGTTTGAGATTTTATCAGTCATCTAAGTGAAGATATCAAGGAGAAATTAATTATAAGAGGAGGCAAAATTGATAATACAACTAAATGTAAGAGTTAAACGTATATAAGTAATTTTGGAGAAAACAAATGAGTACTGCACAGATTTCTTAGCTATAGCTCCAAAATGACAAGCAAAGAAGAAAAAAATAAGACCAACAAATTTAAAAACTTTTGTTTTTCAAAGGCACCATTAATAAAGTGAAATGATAAGCCGTACACTGGGAAAAAAAAGTATTTGCAACTTATAGACCTGAAAAGAGAGATTTTTAAAACTCTTACAACACAGTAATAAGAAAATAATATTTTAATAATGAACAAAAGTTAACCCTAGTACTTTGAGAGGCTAAGGTGGGAGGATCACTTGAGACCAGGGCCTTAAAATCAGCCTAGGCAACAGACAGATTGAAACCCCATCTGGAAAAAAAAAAAAAAAAAGAAAAGAAAAAATAACATTAAAAATGAGCAAAAGAGTTTAATAGACATTCATCAAAGAATTTACACAAATGGCCCATAAGCATACTCAAAATCATTAGTTTCTAAAAAATGGAAATTAAAGCCATAATGAGGTATTCCTTCACACCCACAAGAATGACTAAAAAGAAAAAAAGAAAGGCAAGAACATGGGTTGAAAAGTATGTGGAGAAATTAAAATCCTCAAACATTGCTGGTGAGAATGTAGAATGGTGAAGTCACTTTGTAAAATAGTTGGGCAGCTTCTTTAAATGTTAAACATAGAGTTACCACATGATCCAACATCTCCACCCCCAGGCATATACCTGCGAGAAATGAGAACATATGTACATGCTTCTTGGCAAATACTCATAGCAACACTACCCATCATGGCCAAAAGAGGGAGAAAATATCCAATAGTTGGTAAATGGATAAACAAAATGTAGTGTATGCATACAATATAATATTATTGACAGTAAAAAGAAAGAAGTACTCTTAAGTGTTATAATTTGGATTAACCTAGAAAACATTATGGTGTGTAAAAGAAGCCACTTACAAAATACCATATATTGTCTGATTCCACTTATATAAAATGCCCCCAAAAAGTAAATCAATTGAGAAATAAAGTAAAATTGCTGCCTTGGCTGCACAAAGGAATGGGGAGAGACTGCAAATGGTCATATTTTTTTATGGGGGTGATGTAAAGGTTCTAAAATCAAATGGTGGTAATAGCTTCACAACTCTGGAAACATACTAAAAGTCATTGAAATGTACATTTAAATGTAGTGAATTCCATGGTATTCAAATGATGCCACAGTCAATCTGTAAAAAGAAAAACAATTACATGAGTAGAAATCCAGCTCTGGGCTGAATATCTCAAAGTGAAAATGTCAGCATGTAATGATCTATCAGTCAGAATCCAGTCAGGAAAGTGGAAACATTATTTGAACTTTCAAACACAGGAAAACTAATAGGTTTCATAGGTAACAGGGGAGCTTGAATAAATGGTTTCCTCCTGGTGGTACTGATGTAAATGAGGTTGATTCTGGGAATGACCACAGTTTTCTGAAGAAGAGGGCAAACTGAACTGCTAGTTTGATGTGACCAGGACAACAAAACTACCTCTTATCTTCTAATTTTCCTTTTAGGCAGACCAACAAATAGGCAGATCAAGGAGCTGTCTGACAAAGGAGCCTAAGACCTACTGTTTGCAGAGTTCCAGGCCTGTATGACAGAGCAAAATATAGAAGAGTAGGAGCTGAGACACAATAGGTGAGTAACCTACTTACGTAGTTATTTAAAAGGGAAAGTGCTCAAAATACTAAACATTTCAAGGTCAGGTAAAAAAGTAGGCCTAGAAAAGTAAACTCTAAGCATGAAAACTTATGGTTTCATTGAAGTCAGAAAGGAACTGATAGATGTCTCCAATGAAGCCGAGAGGACAAGCTGGAAGAGGGGAAGAGAAGAATACATGGATTTGGCCACATGCAGAGTAGAGGTAACTTTACTAAGGCCAACTTCAGTGGAATGCTAGGACGTTGACAAATACTAGGTGGGATGAAAGAACAAATTGGAGCGAACATTGTGACTCTCACTCCCTCTGAGAGTCAATTTGACTGTGCCACAGGGTGCCCAGACATTTGCTTAAACATCATTCTGGGTGTGTCTGAGAGTGTGTTTCTGGATAACATTAACATTGAGTCTGGAGACTGATTAAAGCAAATTACCCTTTCCAGAGTGGGTGGGCCTCATCCAATCCTTGAAGGCCTGAATAGGACAAGAAAGAACAAGAGGCGAGATAACAAAGAATTGTCACTCTGTGCCAGGCTGTCTTCCATCTGGGACATCTGCCTTCTCTTGCCTTCCGACTCAACTTGGACTGGAATCTACACCATTGGTTGTCCTGTTTCTGAAGCCTTCGGGGTTGGACTGGAACTATGCCATCTGCTGCCTTGCTGGGTGTTCAGTCTGCCCGTTGCAAATCCTGAGATTTCTCAGCCTCCATAGTCATGTGAGCCAATTCCTTATTATCTGCCTATCTATCATCTATCATCTATCTCTAAGCTATTCGTTCTGTTTTCCTAAAGAATCTTGACTAGAACACTCTCTGATTTCTATAACTGAGTAAGCTTGAGTATCAAGAGATATCGTTACAAGGTAGGAATTCATCAGGACTTATTTTCTGAGCATAGGTTGACCCTGGCTGCAACCCTGCTAATTAAAGCAAGTTCTTGTTGAAACAGGTAGCAGTGAAAAAGCCAGCTGAAACCAGCAGATGGCGATGAAAGCAAGTTCTAGTTGCCCTCACTCATTAGCATAAAGACACTCCCACTGGTGCCATGACAGTTTATAAATGCCATGGCAATGGGCCTTGGCAATGACCAGAAAGTTACCTTATATGGTCCTGGAAATACCTCTAAAGTTCTGGAAACATTTTTCCAGAAAGTTCTGCATGGCCCACTGAATATAGTTGGCAGCTGTATTTATACCCACCTTTAATTATATTAATTATATATTTTATATTTATATATAATATATACTTATTTATAATATATAATATATAATATATGATATATTATACTTATATATTATATATTATATAACTATATATTAATTATATGCTAATTAATGTAATATAATGTGGGTATAAATTATAATTGATATAATTAATATATTTAAATATATTTAAATAATTTAAATAATATAATTAAATGTGGGTATAAATACAACTGCCAACTATATTCAGTGGGCCATGCAGAACTACTTCAACGATTCTCTTTCTTCTTTTCTCTTTCCTCTTAATTATATGCTAATTAATATAATTAAATGTGGGTATAAATACAGTGAACCACAACCCATATACTGCTGCTCTGGGCACAGCCGCCATGGGGTAGACCTACTCCATGAGGGGCAATACCTCTGCTGCTACTGTACATTGCTGCTACAGTGAAATTGCTGCCACCGCCAGCCTGCCCTTGGATTATTTCCTAGGTGAAGACAAAAACCCTCCCAGATTAAGCCTCAGTTTAGGGGTTCACCTGCCCTCCATCAGTTAGACTTTGTAGAGGTAAGAGAATCGTTGAAGTAGTTAAAAGTATATACGAGGTGGAAGGAGTTTTTATTTAGTATTAACATAATAATAATGGCTGATGTTTACTGTCAATTTTCTAAGCTCCAGACACTGTACTAAGTATTTTTCCGTGCACTGACACATTTGAATCTCACTACAATCCTATGACTTAGATACTGCTATCATTATTTTACTGCTGAGGAAACTGAGGCATAAAGTGATTGTCACTTGCCTAGCCCTTGAGGCTAGAAGAGGCACTTTCTCTGTGGAAACTGAGTGGAGAAGATGGGGGCCCTGAGGCAGTTAAAAATCAGGAGAAAAATCTTACGTTCATTTACAAAATTGCCATTTCTTTGAGAAAGACGCTATTTTAATTTTTAACCCCAATGTTCTCATTGTTTCTCATATGAACCTTCTACTCAAGCCTGAAATATTCCAATATCTGTAGCTCTGTTTACAGTATGACTTGTTTCATCTTCTTGTCATTTTCTAGGGTTTAACCTCAATCTCATCTTCACAAACCTTGAACCACCAGGCTCAGGGAGACTCCTCTGTTCTCTGAAGCTTTTCTATCCACAGGGCCACAATGTTGCACCATTTTACCACTGATTTGATCGGTTTTCTTTTGTTACCCTTTTGCCATTTTGTTTTGTTTTGTTTTTTAAAGAAGATACTAGAAAATTATTTCTCTGAATACTTGGCAAACAATATTTTTCCTTTGATTGATTAGAAATCATGACAAATCTATTCTAAAAAGCATATAGTTTAACTGGACATTTTTAAGTGGCCTGCATCTGCTGAATTTGTTTTGTAGTTACAGTGACCATATTACAGAATAAAATTGGCACATATAGCTAAAAAATAACAGTATAGTTGGAAGGATAATGGGACGTATTCAGAGCAGCATAGTTTCTATAGTTAATACCTGCACCTACAACTTACATAGCACAAAACTTTATTTCCAGAATGTGAATATAAAAATTGTACAGTGATAATGATCTCTCTATATACCATTAAACTTCAAATTTCATGTCTAATATGTTACTTAATATTTCTTTTTTCTGCTTATTGATTTATTACACCTAAATATTTTAATTTAATTTATTTATCCTATGTCTCTTTCTAAAACATATTTGAGCTCACTTATTACAAAATGCTAGTTTTTTTAAAACGGGACAAGAAAAACAAGCTACCTAAAAGTAATACTTATTTATTTTCATAAGCCAAGTTAAAAATCTGTTTCTGAATTTCCATGGTACTAACCAGTAAGAAAAACATGACAATGTATATGCTCCCTGCTCTAGGATAAAGGAAAGCATATCATAATTAATAGGTATGAAAATAAAGAATGTTGAGGGATGTAATATACATGATCTTCAGCAGTTTCATAGCATACATAGAAACACTGAACATGCAATGTGAAACTTCTAAAAAGGAAAGTAACTGATTTTGAGAAAGTTTTGAGTCAGTTAACATTTTATAAAATATTTATATTAAGAAATATTTTTCCTCATTATTAAATTTGGGAAAGGAAGAAAATGAAATGGACTTTTAAGTTTTCATGGTTTTCTTTAATGTGAAAATACAGCCCTTTCAAAAAGCACAATTTTCACTTTGTTTAGACCAATGTAATTTACTCTAAGTATTTGCTTGGGAGGTGTATATTGATTTTGTGACTGATCTTATTCCTTCTTCATTAAATGCGCTCAAGTCAGGAAAAGGGGTGATGACGATGATGAAGAAGAAAATACAGTGAAGAGAGGTGTAATTTACAATGCTTCCCTCTTTCCTCACTAAAAAAAATATAATATTATGTCTCAATTTAGAGTACAATTCTCATAGATTTCTTCTTTAACACTGAGGTTTCTAGACTACTGTAGATAATGCTGAAGATTTCTTTGGGAGAAAAAAAATTAGGATTAAATTTTTCTGCTGAAATACCAGCTCCTGTCTGGTCCTCTCTTCTTCTCTCGGGAAAGTAGCTGGCACTAGTTGCTACATCAAAAGTACAAGTTGTACCTAGCTCTTTCAGTCACTCAGGACAGAAATACTGAGTAGCATATTAATCACCCAGGTGATTAAATGTCATGATGCTTTCACCCACCAATAGATTGTTCTTGAAAAAGGAAAAGAGTGCTGTTTGATGATGATCATGGCTGATGACGCAATGCAGCATTTACGGCATTGGTTCTGAGCCTTGGAAAAGCCTAGCGTAACAACTTCTTAGATTGTTGGTGTGTGTTCCATAGTTTCCTTATTAACAGAACTCCATTTGCAACACTTGCCTCCTCCACCATCACCAGTGCTATGAAACATATTCTTTACTACACAGTGCTAATATGAAGATAACTTGAGAGTGGAAATCCCAACTAATCCAAGCATGTACTTACTTGAACTGTTTCCCAAGATACATGAGGGGCAGTGTAGTTGGGTAGCCCAGTAGGAGTCTCTGCCACCTGGGTGGATGCCTGGGTTGAAATCTCACCACCACTCTCTAGTTACTCCTGCCCCAGAGCAAGGCATTAGTGACTTAATTCCTTCATCATTGAAGCAGAGGTAAAAATAGAAACCTATCTAATAGGGATTTTGCATGTCTTAAATAGGTTAACAAATTGTGCCTGAGAAAGTGTAAGCTTTTCATTAATGACTATAGCATTTGTACTATGCATAGTGGACATAAACATAGAAAGCTGTTCCTGAATTCTGGGAATATGTATCAATTCAAAGGAAAGGAATGTATTTCCTGATAGGACCTGGGCCGTATCAGGTTCTAGGGATGTCGTAATGCTTTAGTTTACCAAGGTTCTTTCTTACTTAGATTTGATAAATTTCCTGACACTGTAGTCTGCCCTTTTACAAGTGATAACACATTTCCTAATTTCCTGTGGTTTCTTAAAGATATCAAAGAATAATAGAGTTTCCTTGTGGTGTGAGATTTTGCTCCTAATAGATGGCATTTATAGGACAAGGGTAGAGAAAAATATAACCAGATAGTTGTTGTGAGACATATAGGGTTAAGCTTCATTGAATTCACAAAATCAAGCATCTTTCTGTGATAGATTAGTTTGTTTGCTTTTGTAATTTTCAGTTATTAGTGTAAAAAGTATGTCATTAGGGGAAAGAATGATTTATGATGATAATAAGCAGAGTAATTAATATGCATACATAGCATAAAGTAAATATTTGAGGTCTTACTATCTCAATCAAGCTTAAGGAAACAAAACCTCATAGTCATTTAACCAGTCTCATCTATACCTCTGATTAGTGCCAAATGATACATTGCAACAAAAATATTTAAGTATTAAATTTAGAATTTGGAAAAATATTGAGTCTAAATTGCTAAATATTTAAGAGAGTGTTTTTCCTCTTTTCAAATCTGTCTTATTTCTTATTTTGAGGCATATGAAAAATGAAAGAAGGTTGCTAACTTTACTGAATTCTTTCAAAGGTTTTTACAAGAGGAAATGCAAAAGCCTTTGTGAATTGAAATGTTTAGCTCAGCAATTTAAAATCTTTTGTCTGGGCTTGTAGGTGTAGGTTACAGTGCTGGCTTTGAAAGGGTAGAAATAAAGTTTTCTTTTATTCAGCAGCTATTTTACTTTTTGACACCAGATTTAAATGAATTTAAAACTGCCCCACGAGAGATTAAGATTAGTTATAGGGAAGAATATTCTTGAGAATTTAGGATGATTGAACAGGAGATATCCTCTTCCTTATTTTAACATTGTTGAATGTTCCATTTCCCTTCGTTGTCACACACTATTTTCTTCAAGCCTTCAGATGGGATCCTCTGTGTGGTGAATTTTGTGGTGGGCCACCAAAAGACCCCTGCAGGAATGGAGAATTGATTTCCCCATCTGCTGGGCATGCTGCAGGAAGATGACCTTTGCTCACATTGACTTTGGGTTGCTTCAGCTAAAGAAAATTGCCTAAAAGAAAATTGCCTAACTCAGAATAAAGGTTTTCCAGGGTCAGGCCATATCCAATAACTGGTCACCCAGAAGGTGAGACCCGCTCACCACCATTCTGAAGAACTCTTAAGAGCTGTCCAGCTTGGAGCCCTCCGTAGGTGAGCTGAATCTTTCTTTGTGACTGCATTACAGTTTGCCTTCCCCCTCAGTCCAATCCTGCTTTCATCCTCTCCCCTGCACATGAAGGTTTGAACTCCAAGCCCACCCCCACATAAACATCTTGAATGCTCAAAATCTCCACTCAGAATCAGCTGAACAAGAAACTCAGCCTACTCTACTCAGCCCACGTGCTGCAGCACAGACATAACCCTTTAGAGCTATTGGCTTTTGACTTTTTAAGTAAACTTTTTAATAAAGAAATACTTATACAAGTGAACAAATTGTAATGATGCAGCTCAATGACTTCTCATGAAGCTCACACTCAATTATAACAATACTCGGAAGAGGAAACGGAACATTAATGGATCCCCAGGAACGCTTTCTGGGGCCTCCTCCTCTCTAAAGAAGTGGCTATTATGACTTCTACATAATAAATCATTCTGTTTTTGAACTTGATATAAGTAGAATCTTACAATTTGTGCGCTATTTATTATGTGGCTTCTTTCACTCTGCATTAGGCTCATGAGATCCATCTATGTTGTTATACATAGTTTAGTTCTTTCAAGGCAATACAATATTCAATTACGTGAATATGTCATACATTATTCATCAGCTTCTGGACATTTTTTCCCCTCAATTTTGGCTACTATGGATAGTGCTGCAAATAATATAATTGTAAATGTCTTTTGGTGAACATATGTATGCATTTCTTTTGAATATCCTTGTATCCTAAGAGAATTGCTAGATCATAAGACATGCATATTTTCAGCTCTGTGGATGGCACCAGTTTTCCAAAGCGGTTAAGCCAATTTATGTTTTTACTAGTAGTATTTGAGAGACCTGGTGGTTTTTACTTGCTTGCAAACAGTTGAAATGTTTTACTTTTGTTTTTTTTAAGCCTTTCCAGTGGATGTGTGGTACTATTGCATTATAATTTTAATGTGCATTGTACCAACAGCCATGAAGCTGAACATATTTTAATACACTAATTGGATTTTAGATATCTTATTTCCTGAAAAATCTATGCAGAATTTTTATTTATTATTTTAAAATTATGTGACTGTCCTTTTCTGATTAATTTTTAAGAGACATATATTCTCCACTTAAGTCATTGTTGAATGTGTCTAAAATATCTTTTCCCACTTTGTGGCTTACATTTGTATCAGTGGTAACTGTCGATGAGTAGAGTTTTTAACTTTAATGTAATCCAATTTTGTTTTTCCTACTATGGTTGGTATTTTTTGTGTTCTACTTAAGAAAATTTTGCCATGAGATATGAAGAACATAAAGATTTTCTCCTATATTTCCTTCTAAAGCCTTTATTATTATTTGTCTTTAATATATAAATCAACACTCTATGTAGAATTATTTATCTTGCATAAAATTGAGTCAGTATTCATTTGTCACTGATGTTATACATTATGTGCCTGTATAGGAGTGGGTTTGTTTCCAGACTTTGTGTTCTATTTTAATGGTCTCTTTACATAGTCTTGTCCCATAGCCACAGTGTTGTAGTTACCACAGCTTTACAATAAGCCTTGATATATTGCAGACTACACCATCATCTAGTTTTGTTTTTCTTCAAGATCTCTCAAATGTTTTTGAATCTTTGTATTTTCATTTTTTAAAATTCAGCTTTTCAGATTCCACAAAAAAATTGATGGAATTTTGATTAGGATGGATTGAATCCTTAGATTAACTTAGGAAGAACTAACCTCTTTATAATATTGAATTTTCCAATCCACAAATGAATGAGTTTTTTCTTGTATTTAGATTTTAAGAATTTATTTAAATACAATTGCAGTATTTTCAGATTTAGTCTTTGGTATATAAGGCCTTTTGATGCCATTCCAAATGACATCACTTTTAAAATTTGATTTCCTGCTCCTTTGTTTCTGGTAAACATGTGTCTTTTGTTGTTGTTTGAGATAGGGTCTCACTCTGTCACCCAGGCTGAAGTGCAGTGGCGTGATTACAGCTCACTGCGCCCTCAACCTTCTGAGCTCAAGCAATCTTCCAACTCCAGCCTTCAGAGTAGCTGGGACCACAGATGCGAGACACCATGCCCAGATAATTTTTAAATTTTTTGTAGCTATGGGATCTCCCTATGTTGTCTGGTCTGGCCTCCAATTCTTAGACTCAAGCTATCTTCCTATCTTGGCTTCCAAAAGTGAAGGGATTACAGGCATGCACTGCCACGCCTGGCCTATTTTTATTATTTTTTTTATCTTTATTTTCTATTGTATCCAACTTCTTGAGAGACTCCCTTATTAATTCTAATTTTTTACATTGTCTTTTTTTTTACACCAGATTTATTGAGGTGTAGTTCACAATTAAAATTTATATATATTGGGCTGAGCACAGTGGCTCATGCCTGTAATCCCAGTACTTTGGGAGGCCACGGTGGAAGGATCGCTTGAGCCACGGTGGAAGGATCGCTTGAGCCCAGGAGTTCGAGACCAGCCCTGACAACATAGGGAGAGACCCCATCTCTATAAAAAAAGAAAATGAAAAATAAATGAAAAAAGTTATATATATCTACAGTGTACAATGTGACATTTGCATACACATTGAAATGATTACTGTAATCAAGTGAATTAACACATCCATCAGCTAACAGTTTTTTTTATGGTAAGATCACTTCATACTGACATTGTTTTAATTCACACATATCATTTTAGATTTGAAAAAAATACTAGTTTATACTTTTATCTTTGAGGGAGGGACACTTTGGGTCAACGTAATGTATTGCTCTGGCTTCCATTGGTGAATATATAAGTACTGCTGGTGTTTAACATGCTTATATTGTGAATACTCATAAAGTCCACGGTGGATTCTGATCAGGAAAACAAACGTGTAGAGAAATGATAGTCTGACACCTGAATTATTCCTCAGTCAGGTTCCCCATCCCCTTAGGGTGGTCCAAAAGCAACAATAGAGCATTCCAGGAAGAAAGAAGGAAATCACTGCCTTAAGTAGTTAAAGTTTACCGAATTTGTAAGAGATGCAACATTTCAAATAAATAGCTCAGTAAAAGTGAAAAATGCTAATGTAACTGGGTGCTTACAGGCCATGATTAGCAACTGAATTTAGTTGTTATTCTTATTGTCCCACCTCTTCTGGACATTGTGACTGCAACTGAGTTCACTGCATAAAATAGTGGCATTTGGTATCCTGTCTTTGGCATTGACACTGCCTTCTTTGCTCTCACACTGCCACCTAAGAACCAAGAAAAATTGACAATTATTTGGCAAAGCCTCCAATACAAGTTTGTACTACTCTCTCAGAAAGGTCTTACTGGTTGGCAAGAGAGAAGTCTCTGTCTCAGTAGCCCGGACTGTGATGTAATCATATCACCACCAGCCAAGGTGACCTAAAAACCTGACATATTCAGAGTTCAGAATTCAGAAGCATGCTTGCTATGCAAAGTTTTCTGAGAAAATGTGAGCGGATTTGCAACATTGTAGCTCTCTAGTCAAGGAAAAAATGCTGTCACTTTGCTTTCCCTGTCTGTAGAACCTCCTGGATATGTGTATTGATATCTTTCGTAAGTTTAAAAATATTTGGCCATTAAATGCTGCAGTATTCTTTCTGTTCATAACTTTTCTCTTTGATTCTAAATACATGTCAGATCTTTTTACTGACTCCTACATGCCTTTGAGGTTTTTCACTATTTTTATTTATTTTCTTGCCTCAGTTCAGGTATTTTTTTATGGACCTGTCTTCTATTATGTTTATTCTGATGTTAACACTACCCACTGGTTTCTTAATTTTATTTATTAAATTTTCCTATTTCTTAAATTTATGTTGTTATAAAATGTAGAACATAATTGACGTTTTAAATCAGTTACTAGAATCACTTTTCTGATAACAATCTTATTGTTTTCATCTACTGATTTAATATAAAATCTATTTGATTAAGCATAACAATCTTATAATATTTAAATGTCCTTTACTGGATGTTATTTTGAAGTTCACTGCAATATTTGAATTACCTATGATTTTTCTGGTGTGTGGTTTCTCTCTTGTTTCTCAGTTATTATTGAAACAGGAAATAGTCCCCTTTTCTTAGTCTTCTTTATTGTTGTGACTACTAAGAGAATTAAGTGCCAGACCAACAGGTGAAATACTGTAGAATTTGCACATGATGTTATCTTCCTTTAGAGAGTTTTCCTTTTTTTGTTTGACTTCTTTCTTAAAAACTTTTTAAATTAATAAATCAATTAATATATATTTTTAAAATCCTTCCTATTTTTCTCAATTGTTTGACTTCTTTTGCCAGAGAGATACAGTGTTGTCTGATCACTTTAATGCAATCAGATGGAGGTCAGTGATTTTGGTAAGGCTTGGTTCTATTTCCTCCTGGCCACAGACATCCTCTTGCAAGACATTCAACTCAGAGCTTGTGAGTTCATCAGGAACCTGATCTTAGAATTTTTGTTCTAATATTTGTCTCATCATCTCAGGAGACTGCTTTGAATTGTACTTTTCATAGATATGTTGCTTAGTATTTCCGTCTTCTGCCATGCTTGGTTTCAGAATTCAGCAAATACTTTGCAACGAAAAATGATTCTACCTCTGAGACAAGTCAAATTTCAATTCTTTGTCTCTCCAAACTTTCAAGATCACACAAAGCAGCACTGGTTCCACTGCCCCTTGGTCACAGCAGTCTGTTTTTGCAAAACTCAAGTGGCGAATCTCTTGCCCTGTGCCAAGATACATCATTTTCCCTAGGGAAAAAGTCACTTCATCTCACATCTCTGGGTTGCTTTCCTCTTCAGAAAACCACTATCTTGATTTTCTCTCTTTCACAAGCTTCAATTTTAATAGTCTTTTTTTTTTTCTTAATGTTCTTGTTAGAGTGTTGGTCTGCCACCATTCAGTGCACCATACGTAGTTATGAGTCCTGCTTTGCCAAATATTGATCAGTGTGTGTGTGTGTGTGTGTGTGTGTGTGTGTGTTACACTAGGGCTGGATACTGGCATAGTAATTTCTAATACATTTCATTTTGATCTCGGTGCGTCGTTCAGTGTGGGATGGAGCAGGTGCAGCTTGTTGTTTGCCAGAGCTCCAAAATTGAAGTAAAACATGAAGCCCTTTATAAAACAAAAAGAAAAATTACATCTGCTTATTCCAATGATCGTATGAGAATGTTGGCCCAGGAACATTTAAAAGTGTGGGGTCAGGGCATTAGACAGTTTTGCTCAAAGACACAGCTCTGAAGGTAAGTAAATTGCAGAGTATCAAATGCTGCATTTTATAGTCCCTTTGAGAGGTTGTTATCCTGTAGTCATGATTGCATTGTAGTTGTTGCTGACTCGCTAGTTTTGAGTCTTTTAATTTATACAATGCTGGACAAATTCTTATATCTAAAAAGCTGTGTGCTGAAACAAAAATGGGTTGCCTCTATTTTGTTTTTATGAAATTATATCAACATTGTAGAAATGTGGAGTTGAAAGATATAATGCAGGTCATGAGCTGTATACCCTTTTGCGATGAAACTCAGGCAGATAATATGAATTTACCAAATATCATATGCCATTTAGTGGTAATCAGTGCTACAACCAAGTTTTCTGATTCCTGGTCCAATATCTTCGCTTTATTTAATCAAGATTCCCTCCAAATAGTATTGCTATATGCATCCTCACTATTGTTAATCTACATGTGCCTATTTTTTCCCTTTTGGTTTAAATAGTAACCCTGATAGTTTAATAGTATTCAGTATTCAGTCTGCCTCCTTCATGTTGCTTCCTGTTCACTCACTCTTTTTTAAAAAAAATGTTGTTTAAAAGTGGCTTAAAAAGCTGAGAACTTAATGATTAAGATAGGTGATGGGAATTGCTATAAAATACTATTTCAAGAAGAAAATTTTATCTTTTCATAGGCTTTATGGGTAAATGTGGAGGGAAAAATGCGGTACCAAAAAACTGAAACTGTAGATCTGTTTATAATCCCTGCTCTAAGAGGTAGCAGCCAGTTATGCATAGGTGGTACTTAAATAGATCCTCCTTAGTCTATTCCTTCTCCAAGCCTTGAATCATAGGCACACACATTTACAATATATCTGTTGAGATTCTCATCAGTTACAATGTATTAAAGGTGCCACTATTTCATGAGAAAATAAAATAAAGCTAAGTATAAGATTTCCATGAAAGTAATATAACACTGCATTTGACAAAATTCCTTTTTGTGAGCTTACAAATTGCCACAATATCATACTCCAAATCTGCATGACAAAACTGTCTTATGGATTAAGGCAAACTACTTTTGTTATATAAATGATATCTTACTACCTTGTGCTGCATTTTATTGTGTCACGTTATTTACAATAAGACTCATGAAGAAAGAAAACTGAAATCAGAAAAACAAAATGACAAAACCTGAATCATCAGCCAGATGAATGAAGTTAGGGTGGGCTATTAGAATGAAGTTAGGGTGGGCTTAAAAAAAATCAAGCTGAAAAAAGTGTCATTTTAGTGAATCTTGAACTCTGCTGTGGTTCTATGCTTTTCCACAGTAAACCACTCACTCTAAAGTTAATGACTTCTGAAATACTGATGAATAAATATGGGAATGAGAAACATTTTTTTCAAATTTTATGTATAGATAGGTAGATAGAGATTGTACAAAATGCATTAAAGACACTTACAAATATCAAGTCATCTCTTTCTTTGGTGTTACAATAGGATATATTTTATTACATTACCTTCATAAGAAACAGATGGAGTGCCATAATGTAAAAGCTGGGATTACAATGATAAATATTTTTTTCTGTTGATATTCTTTGGTTTTTTTTTCATAATTCTACAAATACATTAATCATCTATCACTTTAGGTAAATAACATTCTTGTAGCCCTGTTAAATCTTCATGATTTCTATTTTCCATTGCAATCTGTTTTGGATTATTTTTGTTAATGTTTGCTTATGCTTAATTGCTGAACCACATATGTATAAGGCTAAGAGTAATAATATCCAAACTATCTCTCTAAAAAACACAACATATTGTGCTCAAATGATATATATCATAGATTTTCCTATTATGAGAACAGGATTTTTAACTTCATAATATCATAAAAGTTATGTAAAATATACTTTTTTCAATATTTTTCACCAGATTACTTCTTATATCATATGGTGGTTTTTATTATCAATAAATAAATTAATAATATCTGATGGACTTTATTGTTACATAAATGTTATGCTTACGCTAGATTCTGGTAGGCTGAATCCGTCATGCAAAGTAGAGTGAGTCATAACTACACAAATGCTTGCACGCACACACACACACACACACAACCCCTAGTATAATGCAAAAAGTATGTTCTCTGGATTCAGACAAAGTCTTAATAACCATTTTAACAATTTCCATAACCACTTTAACAGTTTCCACAACCATTTTAACACTTTCCTTTACCATAGACTCCAATGATTGCTGTTTTCCCTTCTACTTGGTATTATGCTTCTAATTGCCACTGAGGTCTGGATAATCTAGTAGCGGGGCTATGTAAATATAAAGGGATTATATATTTTTTACAGAATACCAAGCACATTAATAACTTCACCTAAAGTCTCATAATAGAATACATTGATATTAACTTAAGCATAAGATAATTAATTATCTGTAAATCTGGTCTGAGTTAGAGATGCAGCTAACATTCCTGAGTCACTATTTCCAACCAGCACAATACTAAGGTCATTGCGTTGATAATTACAGCAACTCTTTCTGTAACAGGTAAGTGTTATTACTTCTACTTTAAAGATAGAAACTGAAGAATGTTAAGAAATTTACCAAATTCACACTTTCAAAAAAGTGGTTGAAACACTTACTAACACTTTGAATCCAAAGCACATGTTCTTCCCATAACACTATGCTGATCAATATTTGAACAATGATCCAAATCTTCACAGGAAGATAATTCTAGGCTACAGCACTTTACATTCTTTAAACTGTTCACATGCTGTAGATAGATACTCTTGCTTTTTGTAAGAGAGAGAGAAAAAAGCTCATATTTACTGAACACCAACATGTTTGATAGGTAATTACCTATGATGTCTAAACTACCTATAATGTCTAAATTATCTATGATATACCTATAATATGCATAGAAAGAGGTGTTATACTAAAAGTAAATGTTGAATTTATGAATACTCATGCTTCATATAATTGGCAGTAATGATTTTATTTGCATGTCTTCACTTAACACTTATTTATTTAATTCTTGACCTGGACCTAGTGAAGAGGGTTAAAAAGAGTAAGAAAATATCCTTAAGGAATCACCATACTGTCTTCCACAATGGTTGAACTAATTTACATTCTTGCCAACAGTGTAAAAGTGTTCCTATTTCTTCATAGCCTTGCCAGCATCTATTGTTTCTTGACTTTTTAATAATCGCCATTCTGACTGACGTGAGATGGTGTGGTTTTGATTTACATTTCTCTACTGATCAGTGATTTTGAGCTTTTTTTTCCATACGTTTTTTGGCCACGTAAATGTCTTCCATCTAGAACCAGAAATACCATTTGACCCTCAAATCCCATTACTGAGTATATACCCAAAGGAATATAAATTATTCTACTATAAAGATGCATGCACATGTATGTTTATTGCAGCACTATTTACAATAGTAAAGTCATGGAACCAACACAAATGCCCATCAAGGATAGACCACACAAAGAAAATGTGTTACATATACACCATGGAATATTATGCAGACATAAAAAGGAATGAGATAATGGCCTTTGCAGGGACATGGATGAAGCTGGAAGCCATCATCTTCAGCAAACTAAAGCAGGACCAGAAAATCAAACACTGCATGTTCTTACTCATAAGTGGGAGTTGAACAATGAGAACACCTGGACGCAGGGAAGGGAACATCACACACCAGGGCCTGTTGGGGGATGAGAGGTGAGGGAAGGGAACTTAGAGGTTGGGTCAATAGGTGCAGCAAACCACCATGGCACACGTGTACCAACGTAACAAACCTGTATGTTCTGCACATGTATCCCGGAACTTAAAGTAAAAAAAAAAAAAAAAAAAAAGTAAGAAAATATGCTTGATCCTAAGCAGCTATAGTTTGGTAGGGAAATATATTTATAAACAAATAATCACTACAAAATGGTCCCTTTTCTCTTTCTTATGATTTAAATTTTTTTCTTCTCATATGCTCTTCATAATTAAGAAAAATTGATGAAATTTTAAGAGAATAAATTATTTTCAACTCTCATACAACCTGAGCAGTCTATCTACATAAGAGTCATGGAGAAAATGACCTTTTTAATCATGTATATTATTTGATGTATTGCTTTTCTCAAAAAAGTCTGCTGTCAATTGAATCCTTGCAATGTTGTCCAGATTTTTTATTTTTTATTTTTATTTTTTATTTTATTTATTTATTTATTTGTTTGTTTATTTATTTTTAACTTAGGAGGTACTCTGAAAACAAATTCTAGTATCGTTTGGTTGGTTTTTTAATAAAAGAAAAATCTATCAATTTGGGTATGGCCCCTTTTGCCAACGCCATGCTTCACGTAGGGAGCCTGACATGCAGAAAACTCTCCAAGCTATTGATTGGATAAAGAGCCAGAGCTGACTGAATTCCATTCTTCTTGAGCCTCTCATTCTGTGTTTCTCGAATTTTTACCAAAGCATCTTGACACACAAATATCTGACTCAAGGAAAAGGAAAAACAACTGCTTTTTCTCCAGCTGCTTTTATATAAATTGGCTCTTAAACTTTCTAAGTTTATTATGGATATGAAATATCGATCAAACAAAGCAGCAACATTGAATGATGTCACATGGTCGTTTGTGTCTGTCACCCATGTATGTCTCTAGTTCCTGAGTTGAGAGTTGGTATTTGACTTTTTTTTTTTTTTTTTTTTTTGAGACGGAGTCTCTCTCTGTCAATAAGCTGGAGTGCAGTGGCGCGATCTCGGCTCAGGGCAGCCTCTGCCTCCTGGGTTCAAGCGATACTCCTGCCTCAGCCCCCCGAGTAGCTGGGACAACAGGTGCCCGCCACCACGTCCTCCTAATTTTTGTATTTTTGGTAGTGACGGGGTTTTGCCACGTTGGCCAGGATTGTCTTAATCTCCTGACCTCATGATCTGCCCGCCTTGGCCTTCCAAAGTGCTGGGATTACAGGCCTGAGCCACCGCGCCTGGACCGTATTTTACTTCTAGGTTCGTTGGTTGTGGATAGATTTATCTGAGCCTTTGTTGGCATCTACCAGAAAGCAGATGGTTGCAAGATTTATCCTAACAAGTGCCCACCTCCTTGGCTGTACCACCCAGGATGTTATGATGGTTGAGGTAAGCTTTATACAGCATAAAAGAAGAGGAAAAGATTTTTAAACAAGAGATTTTGAGGTTACCAAAACTCGATTTAGATTAAGAAGCAATAAGTTGTCAACGTTCCAGAGAAAAGCTAATTTAAGTATTTTCCAGAAGGTAGAAAAAGGAATAAAGTAAAAAATTAAAGACAGTTTTTATGTCTTCTTTGGAGACTAACCTACATTTTCTAACAACTCTAGCAAATGCAATCTTTAAAGACGCTCTTTAGACAATCTCCTGAAAACCTACCTATAACAACCTGGATGAATTTCTATAGAAAATGAAAACAGAATGTGATCAAATATTAAATTTATTGTCAATTGTATTGGAACGATGAGCAAAATAGCAATTAATTGATTGCATGATGGTGTAGAGCAGCGGTCCCCAAACTTTTTTGCACCAGGAACCGGTTTCGTAGAAGACAGTTTTTCCATGGACGGGCTGGTGCTGGGGGATAGTTTTGAGATCAAACAGTTCCATCTCAAATCAATTATCAGGTATTAGATTATCACAAGGAGCAAACAACTAGATCCCTCACATGAGCAGTTCACAATAGGGTTCACACGCCTATAACAATCTATTGCCACCGCTGATCTGACAGGAGGTGGAGCTCAGGCGGTAATGCAAGTGATGGGGAGCGACTGTAAATACAGATAAAACTTCACTTACTAGATGCTCACCTCCCGCCGTGTGGCCCAGTTCCTAACAGGCCACAGATCAGTACTGGTCCTCAGCCTGGGGCTGGGGACCCCTGATGTAGAGCATTTCTCCATATTTTTTTCTTTACAAGAGCTTAACTTAAAACAAACAAACAAAAATCCTCAAACACTTGGCACAGAAAAATTTCTTTCTTCTTCTAGGATACTTTCTGCTCATTTCATCTGCTTGGTTTGGTTGATTGATATTTCTCATCATGGAATAAAGCTGATATCATAAAGGAACAAATAATTATGAAGTTTACATGAAATCAACAAATATTTATTTAGCATTAACTACATATGGAGAACTAGATATAGAAAGCATCAATTGGCCGGGTGTGGTGGCTCACACCTGTAATCTCGGCACCTTGTGAGGCTGAGGAGGGTGGATCACCTGAGGTCAGGAGTTCGAGACCAGGATGGCCAACATGGTGAAACCCTGTCTGTACTAAAAAATACAAAAATTAGCCAGGCGTGGTGGTGGGTGCCTGTAATCCCAGTTACTCGGGAGGCTGAGGCAGGAGAATTGCTTGGCGAGGGGTTGCAGTGAGCCAAGACGGCACCACTGTACTCCAGCCTGGGCGACAGAGCAAGATTCTGTCTCAAAAAAAAAAAAAAAAAAAAAAAAAAGAAAGAAAAGAAAAGAAAAAGGAAAGTGTCAATCTTTTAGTTCTCTGAGAACTTGAGGAAACTGCATATTCCTACGTTTTTATGCTCTTTTTACTGAGGCAAGAAAAATGAAAATCAGGAGGCTATTTTTAAATTAAATAATTTGGCACCTTGTCCCAGCAGTCATGATTAAAGGTGGCTCCCCAGACATTTAGATGTTACATGATAAGTAATTTAGTGTAAAACTTAATTAATTCTTTATTTTAGCCTGGGCGTTAATATTTTCCCAGGAAATAATTCCACATGGTCATTCCAAATCGGGAATATTTCCTTCTCCAACAACATAAACAAAACTTTTAGCACCAGTTTACTACTTTATAATACAGATTCTCTGAATTAATCTATACATTTGAGTTTTAGGTGAATTTTAATTTCACCCTTTAAGCTTTTGTTTCCACTAAAAAAATGTTTATATTAGATCAATCTGTAGCTCAGGGAAGGCGGCTTATGGCAGTAGCACCAGAAGTACCACGCACTAAGGGGAAGTGATTTACCATACCCATGAATGCATTTCCTAGCATACTGTGTGCGGGTTGACTTTTATTGGGTAATTATGTTGAATCTTCTCCTAAACCTTTTGTTCCCTGGGCAGCACCATCTTTTGCATAAAACATCATCAGTATGCCTTTCTCATACATCATCCCTGTGACAGCTTCAATGGTGTACTGAAGCAACAGCTCATCAGAGCAGCAGTGCACTGTGATGATTTATTATAGTAACATATCGTCAGAGGGAGGCAGCAGAATAATATATGGCCAGAAGCATTCAGGAGTGTTATGCAGGAGCATATTTAGTTGTGCAAGAGGATTCAAGGAAACCTGAAAACCTCACATTAGCAGATCCGTGTCCCTAATATGTGGAGATGTTTGTGGGTGAAGGCTTTTCATTCACTCTACAGGTAACTGGACACCTGACTGCAGTTTTTTGCCCAAATACTGTGAGTAAGTTTTTTATAGAACCTCTACAAATTCAGTTCAAATTTTGTTTGTATAAGAAAATTTGCAGTTATCAAAAATGGCATTAAATGGCAGACACTGTTTTCTATTAGAGACATTCTGGATATTGTCCTATCCTATTTTCTAGAAGGATATGTAGTTTTCTAAAAAATTACTCACTCTAGGCAACCACTTTTTTGTGTTAAATAGGTTTATTCGAAAACCTAGTTAATAAGTGGAGAAAGTTTCACTCTGCAAATTAATGCAAGGCAAAAACAGCCTACATACGAAAATTGAATATTTGTAAAATTCACATGTTAGGGAAAGGATTCACCATTTTAACCTGGTTGACAATGAGAGCAACAATGTGGTATAATTTGCAGGGAAAAGGGTTGATGGAATTCTTAGTTCTTCAAGGGTGTCTGACAAAAACTGAGATATTGAACAAGTCTTTAAGCTTCCATAAAATCCATTTTTTTATTTTTATGGGAGAATTGATTTTTGAAATTATAAAAATAATTTTAAGATCTTTATTGGGAATGTTAATTTCATTCTGTAGATGATTAAATTTGCTTCATGTTTCTAGTCATTTTTTCTGCAGGATGTCTGCTAGCCTCAGTCACACCTGACATAATTAGTGGAACATTAAGATTGGTTCAGTTTTGGAAGCACGACATCACCTCTTTTTGTGACTTCTGCTTTGGGAAGGACGGAGAGTGTTTTTGCCCTGATTCTGGTGTGTATGTATATCCTGTTTCTTGAAGGTGCTGCTCAGTTAGAAATATCTCCTGGCAAACCTCCAAACACAGCATTTGTCAAGATCTTACCAATCCTCAGTCCCAATTGGATGAAAAATATTTCCTAAGTGAATTATTTCTTCTCCATTCAACGGGAAGCTGTTATCACCAACTTTATTGGAGAGTAAAGAAGAGGCTTTAAAGAGACGAAATCATACATTTTTCTGCCAGCTTGTATTTTTGATATCCTCAATATGTAGTACCCTACTTTATGAGTTTGGATACAACATTTCCCCAATTCCTTCCCACCCAGGCTGTGATCCTATCAAATCTTTGGAGGGCAACTTCAATAGCACATATCCTTATGAAATATATCATTGCAATGTATCTCTTTACTAGAATGTCTTCCCCCATGAGGCCTTGAGCTTTGTGAGGATATGAATTATGTTTTATCCATCTTTGTATTTTCAAGGGTAACACACAACAAGTGCCAAATCAATATAAGTTGAAATAATTTTTTTGTTACCTATGGTGGCTTAAATATATAAATTACTATTCACCTGAATGAGTTTCTATTTATACAGATTTTATATTTCCTTTGATTTCATATATTTTATTGACAATACATTAAGTGGGTTTAGTTTAAAAACATTTATTTAAAACCATTTGTCAGGGCTGCTGTTATCACTCAGATAAGAGAAGTGTACAGTTAGTTAAGGATAGACCAGCAATACATATTGTGTTGCCAGAATAACAGCCTCCTCCTCCTCCTCCTCCTTCTTCTTCTCTTTCTTCTTTTCTTTTTTTAAGTCATGGTCTCATTTTGTCACCCAGGCTGGAGTGCAGTGGTGCGATCATGGCTCACTGCAAATTCAAGCCATCCTCCTACCTCAGCCTCTCAAGTAGCCAGGACTACTGATGCATGCCACCGTGCCCAGCTACTTTTTAAATTATGTTTTGTAGAAACAGGGTTTCACTATGTTGTCCAGCTGGTGTCGAACTCCTAACCTCAAATGATCCTCCCTCCTTGGCCTCCCAAAGTGCTGAGATTACAGATGTGAGCCACCATACTTGGCAGAAATTTCTGAGAGAGTAAGAAAGATGTTATGCTTTGCACTTTGAGGATTTGGGGATTTGAGATTCTTGAGAGATAGTTTTCCTTGAGTCTCTTATGTTTCTGCTCTCCTTGTAGCATCTTTTGTTCTGGGTTGCCTTTCTAAGGATATAGGCATACCAAACATAAATAGATACAACGACTCCCTCTGGGGCAGAGGGCAGATTTGTTTGTTGTCTAAGGAAATAAAGGCACTGATTCCTTCTGGGACAAAGATTGGGCAGGTTCACCTGCAGTCTCCTTAAAAGACTGGAGTTTCCTAAGGTCATGGTTTTTAAGCTGTGACAAATATCCACTGTGTGTACAGCTTCTACCTAGGTCACTTCACATTACCTGATGAGATCTGGGAGGAGCGGAGGAACTGAAGCAACATGAAGCTCATGCTGCCTACTGTGCCTGTGTGATGAAGTCCTTCGTCTCTGGCTCGGGAGTCTCATGTGTTCTGCCAGCATCCACGAAACTCTGACAGGAAGGCTTGTTAGCTTCTAAGTAATGTAAAAATTTAAACTCTTCACAGTTCCATCAGACCTGTGTGTGGGGGCAGACACGCCCAATTAGATATGATCAAGAGGAAGGTACTGAAGGTCTGGTGCTCAGGGGACCAGTCGATCTAAAGACACAATTTTGTTAATTGTCATTATATAGGTGAATAAAATCGTAGGATTAGAGAATTTCAACCAAGAAGAGCATGCATTTTAATGGACAGTGAGTCAAGAATGGAAGTGAAGTCCTTTTCTTCTTTAGGTTATTGGTTAGAACTGGATTGTCAAAGTCCTGTGGCCTTAGCTGTGGGTGGGAAAGAGATGTGGGATCTGAAAATTAGAAACCATTTCTTTGGGGCTAAAATCAAAGCAATCGATTTTAAATTAATCATACTATTCATTTTAAAGCATTTTTATATAAAAATTTTGACAGGACTTTGGTAGAAGAAAAAATATGACAAGGACTTTGGTAGAAGATAGAAAATAAGAACCATCCAAAATGAAAACAACATTGATATATGCAATTAGCAAGATGTATCTGAGAAGCATGATGTGAAGTGATAGAAAACAGACACAAAAGACCACTTACTGTATCATCTTACTTATATGAAATCCTGCAACAGGAAAAATTATAGTGATAGAAAGTTGATCAGTGTTATGAAGACCATGGAAAAGGGAGGATGCTGCCTGCAAAAAGGTGTAGTCAAATTCTTTTGGGTAATGGGAATGTTCTTGATTGTGGTGGTTACACTACATATATTTGTTCAAATTAATCAAATTGTGCACCTAAAATGTGGGAATTCAATTTTATGTAAATTATACCTCAATGAAACTAATTTAAAAATTAAAATAAGTAACATTTTAGGGCTATATACACTTTATTCTTTTTAATGTCATGAAAATATCAAATTATGATTTTAATAGACTATGCTATGTAACACAACTTTCATATCGTGTTATTAAAATATTTTTCTTGTTGATCTTCTATTACCCATTGTTGATGCTTTTCTTTCATACAACTATTGAATTTATGGTCTTGGCATTATTTAAAGGAACTCATCTCATTTCCTTTGTGTCTCTGCTTTGAACTGACACTACTCCAGGGTTTGTACTGCTTGCTAATATGTCCTCTGAGTTATAAGTCTTTCCATGGCCTTGGAATATGTCACCTTAACAAACTGCTCAATTTTTACATGCTCATTGAGCTCTGAGATCTTAAGATGACAGGACCTTGATTATGTCTCAAAAGAGAAATAAAGTGGCCACTAGCCCTAAATACCAAAGGAATCTCCATGTCAATATTTGAGTCAGGCTATTTTAGAAATACACACCTAGTTGAAAGAGACTTACATCGTTTATTTTATGATCAGAAAATTTGAGTTCTAGTGCTGGCTATAAAATTAACATTTTCCTTGGCTATGACATTTAACAACTCTGCTTTTGTTTATCCTTAGACTGAATATAATTGTATCTATCACCTCAAACTGTGATCAAGAAGTAAGGAAACATATTTGGGAGAGCAATAATTTTTGAACAAATTTTTTTATTCAAAAATTTCTTATCTGGTTCCTATTAGAGTTATACCAGTTACTGTGATATGACAGTGGCTGGTTACACAATGTTAAGTAAAACAAATCCAATCTAAGTTCTCACATTGCTTCTGGTCTGGTGGAATGTAGCCATCATTCTGATGAATGCTCAAATACAGGATGAAATAAGTGCTCTAATAGAACGAACAATATTTCAGTGACAGCAAATAATAAAGTGATCTGACCTCTACTGAGGGTGAGTGGAGAGGTTGACCAATGAATGAGGTTTATCTGGGGAAATGATACTTGAATTGAAACAGGAAGGATGTGTAGGATCAATTAGGATAGGGGAAATGTAGGGAAAGAGCATGTCAGACTGAGGGTAACAGCAGAGGCAGGGTCCTGTGGCAGGGATGATAAATGAACCAGTTCAGCCAGAACACTGTGAGTCAAGGGTAGCATGACATCAAATGAAGAGAGATGGAAGGTGGGTACCAGCCAGGTCATGCAGTGTATCTTTCTAAAGGCCCTAGAGGTGAATCTATCTCCTTGCTTTTTCCTCTTGAGGCCCTCTTCCTCGATCTTCAAACCAGCAACATTTTCTCTGACTGATCATTGCTCTGACACCCCTCTTCTGCTGCCCTTTATTGCTTTTAAATACTCTTCCCCACATTTGAGCCTCACCTGGATAATTCAGGATAATCTCCCCAACTCAAGGTCTGTACTAATCACAACTGCAAAGTCCCTTTTGCCCTGTCATGTAACACAGTCACAGATTTGGGTGATTAAGATATGGCATCTTTTGGAGAGAGGTCATTATTCCGCCTATTAAATCAAATCTCCAGAATCTTTCTGTCATGGCTTTCATTAAGATATGGCTTTCATCAGTTTAATCCTCTCACTAATTGAATCACCATATAGTTGGTGAGAGTTATTATAGTCAAGTTCGATGCTAAAAAATAGACATGTAAATAACAAAATAAAAGAATAGATTATAGTTGGTTCTTGAACAATGCTGGGGTAAAGGAGGACAAATCCCTGCACAGCCAAAAATGTGTGTATAACTTTTGACTCTCCAAGAACTTGATTGCTAATAGCCCACTGTTGATCATAAGCCTTACCAAAAATAAAAAGTTGATTAACACATATTTTATGTTATATGTAGTATATACTCTATTTTTATAATAAAGTAAGCTAGACAAAAAAGATGTTATTTAGAAAATTATAAGAAAAAGAAAACATATTTACTATGTATTAAGTGGAAGTGGATCATTCTCATTCTCATCGTCTTCATGTTGAGTAGGCTGAGGAGGAGAAGGAAGAGAAGGCGTTGGTCTTGCTGCCTCAGGGGTGGTAGAGGTGGAAGAAAATCTACATGTAAATGGACCCACACAATTCAAGCCCATGTTACTTAAGGGTCAACTGTATATTACTCTAATAAAGTAAAGTCTAGGAGTCTAGCAGAAAGCATAGATTAGCAAACCTGCAATGATAGTGCAATGACAATATGTGGACATATAAATCAGACGCGGATGGAGGTGTGAGAGCATTCAGGAGAGATTTTTCCCATGGTGATCCATGCATTTTTGCCAAAGAGCATGTAAAAGTTAATTTGCTAAAGAAGGAAAAGTGCTCTTAAAATATATGCCATACTTTAAACAATTTAGTTCCCAAAGGTTTATAGTAACTATTAGAGTTTTATCTTAATAAGACCCATTATTATGCACATGACAATTGCTTTTTGGCATGGAAAATAACTTGGCATTTTTCAAATCAATACAAAATGTATGGTAATGGAAATTTAATTTTCTACCTATATCCTGACCAGTTTTTAAAGTCACTTGTTTTGGTAGAAAGTTATTGTTCTTTAAGTAAACTCTGTTCTATTTTAAGACAGATACTCCTGCACTAATCAAAAAACAATGACTAGAAATAATCACTTTCATAAACAAAGAATATATTCTCAAAAAACCCCCAGGAGGCTCTCCTCATTGCCTCTTCTCTCTTTCCTTCTTCACCTCCACCACCGCTCCCCAAAATGCACAATAAGCATAAAGACTGGGCTATGTGCTCCACTTACAAGCTCCCAATGATTTGGCCTTTCTGTTGCACTTAACTCTCCCCACATTGGAAGTTCTAATTCCCAACTAAGCTGCAAATTTTTTAAGGAGAGCTGTATATTTTCTTCACTTTTATGATCCCGCAATCTAGAAGACTTCGTTGCAAAGTCTCACAAAATATTTTCAAATTCAACTTTTGCAGAATGTATACATATTGGTAAGAAGATAATTAGCAACAGCATGAGGCAGTTTCTGTATTTATCTGTTTTGCTAGATGAG
Source organism: Homo sapiens (assembly GCF_000001405.40). NCBI lineage: Eukaryota > Metazoa > Chordata > Mammalia > Primates > Hominidae > Homo > Homo sapiens. Next base: position 65,962,460 of record NC_000018.10, read on the forward strand.
AAAGCTGAGGCTTACAAGGATCATTCAACTTCTTCAGGTTCTTCTTGCCTAATCCCAATGTGACCTGTCTAGAGAGACTTTCACTGAACTCTTATGTAATTTCTACCAGGCTTGGTTACATGAACTGAAGGAGAGGGAATGATGGCCCCTTCCAAAATCACGATACTTGAGGAAGCATCCAGCCTCCAAAATATAAATTCATCAACAAAGCATGCTTGCTGGAAAGCTCAATGGAGATGGATCAATTGCGCACTCAGACATTTAAAGGTGAAAGATCAATCAAAACTGCCTTTGAACAACTAACCTGCTTTTACCTCCTGTAACAATGTTAGGGAATTAGCACATTAGTCCACTTTGTTTTTGTCTTATTTATGCTTACAAGTAACTTAACAAATCCAACATTTAATATCTTCATAAATAATATGTTTTAGTTTGAGTTAATTTTATACACAAAAAACTCTTCTATGTATCATTAATATTGAATTTTAAAATGATGCAACTTAGAAGTCAGAAAAGACATAAATTATTTTCAATTTCGTGAAAGAGTCAAGAAAACAAACAAATAAACAGCAACCCAAACAAACCAGCCTCTGGTGAGTGTGTGACTGTGGGAATGAGCGCCCAAGTAGAATGTCTGCCATGTTTTGCTGCGTTGCGCTGGGAAGGAAAGAAGTGCAGGATTTGGAGTCAGGAAAAACTGCCTTGGTTTTTTCCAGCCCCATTCTCTGACTGTCTCATAGATTTAGTAAATATCAGGAAACCAGGCTTTAAAACCCTGTGTTCTGGAAGAGAAAAATCCTGTAAAACATTGTCTCTTTAAGCAGCAGAGTTAGGTAGATTGCCCAGGGTGACTCAAAATTCTCATCAATAACTTTCTAGTTATTTCAGGAATTTAGACCCCCAAGGAGGTCATGACTCCCTGCAACCTAGAGAGAGTTGTATTACTAATATAAAGAATATAATTGGCCTGAGGATTATATGGTTTGTGATTAAAAGAGGATAATTTTCTTGAGCCTTTAATTTGATCATGAAATTTTAGCCATAGGCACATAACTGGTGATAAGGCAAAAGGCAGGCCAGTGGTCCTACCCTGTTAAAAGTGACAGTTGCCTGGTCCCCACACTCATTAAAATGGATTCAGTAGGTAGAGAGAGGAGCTAAGTTTTACGTATATATTTAACACTAGATTGAATGGGAGATCGCATCCCAATGTTTGAATTCCATGGCTTTATACATTTTAAACGTCAACTGTGAAAACCGAGGGACTAATAATCTGGTTTATAAATTAACCACTGAGTAATTAAAACGTTTAGACTTTTCAGAAACCTTGTTGTATGAGTTTATTTCCCTCCCCGCCCTTTAAATTCCAAAAACGCACTCAGACTCTCTTAGCGTTCATTAGAATCTCAATTAGAAACGTAGCTATTTATTACAAGTTATGACAAAAGATTATGGCAGATGGGGAGTGGGTAGTAAAATTCTGTCATTTTAACATTCATATTTCCCTTAGGCTTTTTTGAATTTTCTCTTTTATTCAAGAGTTCCCTTAGAGATGTTACTTCAAAACTCCAGTCTCTTCAATCCCCTCTACAATATTTTCAGATAATTTTAAACAGTGTCTCTAGTTAGGAAACAGAGGAACCACGTATTCATTCTGGCATTAATTTCTGAGTTTTACCTCATCCCTTCTATGTTGTGATTTTCTTTTCTTTTGTTAATTTCATGAATGACAGTTAAAAAGAAAACATTAAAATTCTCAAAAGGTGCCCAAGAATTATGAAAGCATTTAAAACGGACTTTTAGACCTGGTTGATGCTTCATGCCCATGGCAATCTTGGCTAATGAGACCATTTACACTCATGAAATAAAAAAAATGGTCTGCAGAAAGCCATGAGATACATCTTTATACATTTAAATACATTAGCTGTATTATCTGGACGTTATTGAATTGCAAGGCCAGGCGCCTCAATTATTTGAGAAGCATATTTAAAATAGCCAAGCCCTAGTTAAAAAGAACAGTTTGAATTTTTAAAAGTTTATATTGCCAGGATACCATTTATTATGTTAATGATTATTCTTATTTAAAAATGGAACTGTAATAGTTCTTGTTGAAGTGGACCATTAAAGCTTATTTCCACAATTTTCAGTCAATGTAATGCTATACTAGAGTCTCATAGTCTTTAAAACATTATCTGACCCCAGTGAGTTTAGCCAGCTGAATTAGCTATTTCAGGATATTAAGGTACCACTAGGATAATTAAAGCAGGAAGTTACTTAATAATACCCCGGAGCATTCTTCAGCATCGAGGGGCAACTTGGAGAAAAGGTAGATTTAGTTATTCCACAATGTATATATACACTTCAAAATATCATGATGCACATGACATATATACAATTTTATCTGTCAATCTTAAAATGTTGCATAACTTGTCCAAGGTCACACAATTAGTGAGCATAGGTCTTGAGTCCAAGCACTCTGCATACAGATTTTATGACCCCACAGCTAAAACACTTGTATGTTGTGTTTCCCAGGGCTACTTCTACTTCAGAGAAGACAAGTTTTTAGCCAAAATAATAACTTAAGGGTTTATTAATAATTTTTTATTTCAAATATATATATATATGGAAAATGCAACTCATCATTTTATAAGTGATTTGTCTTTTTAATTTCCTATGCATTGTGGAAATATGAGCAAAAATAAGGCCATTCTAAGTAGAAGTCAAGGTACAAATAACTTCGGTTTTCCAATTATATCCTCTTCCCACTGCACCGTGGCCAATGATCCTTGTAAAATATATGGCCTCTGATCCTCATAAAATATGTAGATGTGCCAGTATGCTTTTATTTTTAAATTTTAATAGACTTTATTTTTAAAGCAGATTTAGGTTCACAGAAATATTGAGCAGAAAGTAGAGAGAGCTCTTATATGCTTCCTGCCTCACATATGCACAACCTCCACCACCGTCAATATTCCCCACCAGGATGGTACATTTGGTACAATCTATGAACCTATATTGACACACAAGTATCACCGAAATAGTAGTTTATGTTAGCTTTCACTCTTGATGTTCTATGGGTTTGAACAAATACATAATGACTAGTACCCAATATTATAGTATCATACAGAGTAGTTTCCCTGTTTTAACAATTCCTCTTAATTACATTTAAATTTAGAAAAATTATTCTGGTTTCAGTGCAGAAAATGGATTGGCACATGGAAGGTTAATGCTCTGTGTGTGGGGAGCTTAATGTAGGGGTCTCTTCTTTTGCCATTGTCACAATAATAATAATAGTAATAATGAACCAACTATTTACTAAATTCTTAAAGCAAGCTTATATGCTGGGAACTTTTAAAATACTTTATTACTGAAGAAAATGAAACGGAAAAGTTAAGCAACAGGGGAAGTATAACACAATTCCTAAGTGAAGCAACTGAACGTTGAACCCAGTTCTTTTCAGAGTCCCAGCTTTTGCTCACAAATGCAATATTCTCTTTACCACCATTACACTTTGCAACTAATTCTGATCTTCTGACCCTGAAGCAAGAGGCTTCTCATAGTAGCCTAACTAGGATATTGTTATTCTGGTATAGAAAATATCCAGACATTATACTGGTTGGGTACAGCTACTTTAAACTTTTCACCTATCCCTGGAGCAAGTTGGGTTAGGGATTTTCTATATTTTTCTACTTTTTAGTATCAGTTGGGACTATGAAGCCTAATAATTCAGTCCCTCTGGTAACCACCAGTTATTCTATTTTATCAAAGTCAATGGCAGATTATTAGTCCACATTTTACTTGTTCCTTCTGCAATATTTGAGAGTTGATCTCTCCCTTCTTGAAACACTTTCTTCACTTCATGTTCAGAACATCACATTCTACTTTCTTACTTCATTTTCCACCCTTTCTCACACTCCTTAATTCAATCCTCCATCTCTTCTCCAAAGTTAAGGTCTGAGGGGCCTCTAGACTTAGTCCTCAAAGCACCTCTCTATGTACACCAAGGGTTTACTTGAGATCTTCTAGTCCCCTTGATCAACTCACTGAATAGTGCAAAGATACATCTCCATCCCTGAATTCTTCCTAAACTCTAGAATCTTATATTCGACTTTCTACTCAACATCTTCACATGGAAAACCAATTGGCATCTCAAACTTAATATGCACACACTGATTACTTGACTATTTCTCAGACCAAGTCTGTTTATCCTTCAGTAATTTTAGAAGATACATTTTTAAGCCATATGATGAAACTTTTCTTCATCCTTTCTTGGTCACATCACATATACAATCCAGCAGCAAATAAAATTAAATCTGAGATCAAAAGCAACGTTGAATCTGACTGCTTCTTTCTCCCTTAATCTCCAGTGTCTAGTCTAGTACTACGTATAGGAATGGTGCAATACTAATACACCCATTTTGACTGACGTACCATAATATCCCCTAACAAGTACCTTCACTGCAAGTCATGATCACACAGCTTTCAGAGTGAGTCTCTTAAAATATACATCAAATTATGTAGCTTCTATGTCTCTATCCTCCAATGGTTAATTACACCATGTAAAACAAAATCTGAAGTCCTTTTCATGGACTCAGTGTCACACATGATCTGACTCCCTGTTACCTCTCTGATCTCATTTCTTACTACTCTTTTTCTGGTTTATTCCATTCCTATCACAGTGGCCTCTATTCTTCCAAGCATACTTTTACCTCAGGGCTTTATTACTTGTTCCCCTGCCTAAAACACCTTTTCTCTTGATGTTCTCGACGTTCCCTCCCTCATTTGCTTCATTCATTCCTTTGCTTCAATATTATCTCCTCAGAGATACCTCTTCTGATCAAGGTCTTTAAGAGAGCACTCAGTCTAAAATCTCACATAGAATTTTTTTATTCATGACTTATTCATTGTATTGTAGTCTATATTTTAATATGTATTTATGTTTTTGTCTAGTACCTGTCTCTCTGGCTAGAATGTTAAGTTCTACGTGGATAAGGACTTGGCCTGTTTTTCTCACTCCTATAACCAGAATCTGGGGCAGTGCCTGCCACATCCTAGGAGCTGGTTTCTTCCTCCTTCATGCCACTACCTCTCTGCACATAAGGACCAGATGTTTGGACCTTGGAGTTTTGTAGTCCTAGACTGAGTCTCTAGCTTTCATCTTATTGCCTGCCCCCATGGGCAAATTTGATATATCTCACTTTTCTCAACTCTAGATTTGGCATAAGAGTGCCCACCACCTCAAGCTGCTGAGATGAGAACTAAATGTAGAGCCCTTCTTAAAGTAATGAGCATAAAGCCTGATATATAGTAAGGGCTCTATAAGCGTTATTTATTATTTTTACTGATTCCTTAAGAGATCTTAAATTGAGTAAACTCAGTTAGTCTATTCTTTGGTAAAACTTTTAGTTAAACTTTTAAAACAATCTATTTTAGGTGCAATTTGAGATTGTATTGTAATAACAAACCCATATGTACTAACTATATATTAAAACAATCCCATCAGCCTGCTACAGTCTTGTGTTGCACTACAGTTTCTATTTTATTTTCTGTATGTTACACCCTTAGTGTTTAAGTTATACTCTAATTTACTTATGTGTAGGTAATTCCTTTCTAGCAGAGAAAAATGTGGTCACTTATAGGTAATACCTTGTCCTAAATTCTCATATGTTGAATGTTGTTGAGAGTGAGTCTCTTTGTTAAGATAAAGCATTCTTTTGCAGTTTATGAAAAAGTTGAATTTTTCCATTTCCATTTGAATTACTCTAATTCATATACATATCAATAGCTAAAATGTTTTTTAAAAAACATAGACTATAAAATTATTTATATAGAGCAGATTGCTAATAGAATGCTTATCTTTACATTTTATTTTAGAGCTATAGCCAATTATATTTAGTTTTCAGCTTAATGGAGTAAATCTCAAACAGAATTAGAGGTCTAAATGAGTCATCCAAATGTGCTGTGCTTCATAATATAACCCTTTAGCTGACAGAGGTTTCACTCATTGAATCATGTAAATGGATTTTCTATTTACTCACGTAATATCTCAGAAAATTATTGCTTGAAAGGTCAATAATATCAACATGGGACTTTTTAATTAGAAATAGTGGGTAACTGAGTCATGCTTCTAGGAATTTAATATCTCTTACATTCATGTATCTTGGCTTTTTATTGGTCAACTAATGGTGATAATTATTTTCAGCTCATCCTCATACAGAATTATCATTACACAATAACACCTATTCCTGTGTTTTAACCAGGTAGTTTTGGGAGTAAAGCCAGAAGAAAGGTGTTTGGTTCAAGCCCCTTACCATGTAGTTCTGTCAAGAGTCAGAACAGTCTCGCTTCTGCCACTAGGAGGCTTCGGAGTGGCATTTATATAATGAGATTCCGTTTTTCTCTTTGAAAAGAAAGGGTTTGGACTAAATTATTTCTAATATATTTTCTGTTTTTTTTTTTTTTTGACATTCTATGATGTTTCGATGTCTATTCACTGAATATACGGAAAGCCTCTGGCACAACGGGTATAACCAAGATTCTATGTGACAAGTTAATTCAGTGGTGGAATATCTATATAAATTTGGGATTTTATTGTATATTAAAACTGTTAGAAAAAAAACTCTCAGCCATATTCCAGAAAATTTGTAACGTAATATATTCAAGTCAAACAGCCAGACTGCTCTCATTACATAAAGACTGGGAATTGTCACATAGTTCCATGTATGTGTAAAGGCTGTCACCTGTTAAAAATGCAGCTATTGAATTGCATTGATTGTGTTCATTCTTCTTTAATAGAGTGCAAAGAGTTATTTTTTTGGTAAATAATAGTTTTCTTTTCAGATAAATAACCAGTTTCATCAAGAAGGTAAATACCAAGCCTAGAACTTTCAGAGGTGTTCTTGGAAGCAAAATTCTATATGATTGCTTAATAGAGAATTAATAAGTAAATATGAGACGTTATATATAAAAATGCATCTACCTTTTGGTGTTAAGAGAGAGTATGTTTATTAATATTTATAAATAACATTATTCTTTCGGTTGCTGATATATTGAGATGCTGGGAAATGCATTAGTAACTTGAATAGTTTTCTAAATAAGTGTTGAAGTGGTTCTCAGTGAACTTTGAGTTTCACTTACACAAAAAACCTTCACATTTTAAATTCGTAAGTATCCATTTAAATATGTTTAGAATAGAAGTTGGTCCCTGTAAATAAATATTACAGATTTTGTCTTGATTTTCAAGTTCAGTGAAGTCTATCTTGATAGTAGTCCTAATTTACGATTAAGCATAAATTAAATAAGTATTAATCAGTTTACATGCAAACACACTCAAATATTCAGATGGATTGGCCTTCGGTGTTTATATTTAAACAACCATCTCTTTAGCAATCCCTGATGATAGTTCTGTTACCGCAGAGAACAATAAAACTGTACAGATGGCTTAGCTTTATACATTGGCTTTAAATAAGCAATGCGTCTTTCTTGTCTTTAAAAAGAAGCAACTAGAATTCATTGATTGCTCATTATGTGCCTAGGGGTGAGACTCAATTTTCACATTGATAACCGTGGAAATAACAACTTTTATGCTTGAGGAAGAAGTCGGGTAGGTTCATCTTATATTCTATAACTGAATTCCCACTTCTGATCAGGTAAACTTTGGTTAAAATGTAAAAGGACTCAAAAGACTTTCACTTTTTTTTTGGAACAGAATCAAAATAAATGAACAGTTTGAGAAATGGAAAGGTTTGGAGTTTGTTGATCTAGCTACTAGATTGTAGATTAAGTGATGCTTAACATCTCTTTGAACCTTCATTTTGAGTGTTTTAATATTGAAATTGCACATGAACACAGCATCACACTGGAAACCTATTTTTCCTGCAAACTTAGGTAAATATTCTTCTGCAGATGAAGTTATTGGGTGTTGTAGAAGTATGTACATGCTGGAAATTCAGATTTACTCCATGACCTTATACAAACAAGAGATAAGATGCTAACCATACGTTGCTAAGGGAGGAGATGTATCATGTATTCTCTGTTTATACAGGAGACTAGACGATCTGGTTACCAGAGTATCTGGTGATCCATGCTATGCTATGACAAAATATTCAATTAAAGTTGCAGTGACATGGATGGCAGTATAAGAAATTCTTGATAAGATTACAAGCCAAAAAGTGAATGGTAATATAAAGAACACTACAAATCAAGACTTTGAAGTGTTGAAAACATCAGGACAAAATTGAAAATATTAGAATGGCTTTGTAAGACAGAGGCTGAACAAAACTATTCAGTTGAATGTAGTAACTCAGGGAAAATATTATAACATAAGTAGAATGTTGTTAACAATTAAATTACCCAGTTGGATAAAATAACTCAAACAAAGTTCAGAATAATAGTTTGGAGTAGCCTGAATTAAGGGAAAGGGGTGGGCTAGAGACAGAAAGGAAGTAAAGTCAATAAAGTAAAAAAAAAAAAAAGAGCATATTTTATAAATATGATTGAAGAAAACAATTTAGGGTATTATTGGATATTGTTACCAGCACATGTAATAATCAAATAAATTTAAATAATAAATAATTTAAATAATAAATAATAAATTTGAATAATCAAAATTAAAATGCAATGTAGATTTTGAGAAAGTTATATTGCCAAAGAAACCACAAGCCTAGACTTTTTTAAAAAGCCTCTGAAACTTTTATTTTACACATCTTTTAGGAATCATCCTTCTGTTGGGCCAAGAAAGATGTATATAGCTTGCCCAAAACGACATACTTCGAAGTGTTCGCCTTATATGTACAAAATCATGAGAGATGAGAAGTAATTTGCAGAAGACAGGAGTAGATGCTGTAGAAAAGAAAAAGACACAGGTAATAATAGGGCAAAATTACTACCAGAGGAACCCTATACTTTTTCAGTGTATTATCTGCAGGATTACAATGGTGTCGTGCGAAAATGACCACTGTTGTGTTCAGTTTATTTTTTTTATTTTATTTTTATTTTTCTGAAGCCTGAACTGAACATTATTTATACATCTTGGATTTTGAGCTGAATTCAGTGACTGGGAATCACATTGTACTGTCTCCCCTCAATAAGTTAATTGTATTTGCTTTGTGCGATGCCAGCAAAAGTGTGATTTTGTCTGGTAGAGAGAAGGCTAGGCTTCACCAAATAATGGTCTTCTCCACATTTTTCAGACTCTCTTGTAATTATGTATGGACCATATACTGGGGTTCCAGCCAATGTGAGGTAAGAGAAAGTGAAGTAAGGTACTTTGGGTCATAGTTCTCTAAATCATCTTGCGGAATCCTTCTGCCCTTTCTTCTCTCCACAATCCTGGTGCCATGCATACGAGATGGAGGAGATTCATCCAATCTCACTGAATAGAGATTTGAGCAAGAAGTAAACTTTTACTGCTTTACACTAAGACTGTGTGATTTTGCCATCAATCACAAGCTAACCTTTATTTAGACTTCCACTGTTGCTCTAGAGATTAGTTTCATACTCTCAATTTTTTGAATATCATCTGCTTTGGGGGTCTCTATGTAAAACTTTGTTCTTTGCATTTGGCTTTCTGGAGTTTTACAAGTTGTAAGTTTATTTTTATTATCCTTTCTTGAAAATATTTTGGGTTCTTGCATGTGAGGATTGGTGTCTTTAATTTGCAAAAATTTAAGACTTGAATATTGTTTCTGCTTCACTTTCGCTATTCTTTTCATGAGAATCAATTAAACATGTCAGTTTTTTTATACCATCTCTTCTCTCCCCATCTTTTGTCTCTCTGCCTATCATTTTCTATAGTTTCTTCTGACTTGTCTTCAAATTTATTAACCATCTCTTTAGCTGTTTTTAAACTGCTACTAAACTCATCTATTGGGACCTCTTAATTTTGTTACTGTATTTTTTTATTCTAGAATTTTAATTTTTCTACAAATCAGCTAAACTCATTTTAGAGTTTCTGGTTAACCGATGAAGTTTTTAAGCCTGGTTTTATCTCATGACTTTTTTTATTTTTTATTTTTTAGTTTGTGGTCATTTGTGATGCATCTCACTGTTTCCCTTTATCTTTGTATATCAGAAATGTTATTTAAGAAAAACACATACAAATAACATGAGTCTTAGGATAATATTCTCTTCCTCCAGAAAGAAATTTTGTTTACTTTTCCTACAGGTGCTGATGGTCTGGGGTCCTTGCTGAATTTCAAGGTTAGAGAATTTCTTGGCCATAAAATGTCATAAAGGCAGGCTATAGCTCTTGAGGCAGATGTTCTGGCCTCTCCTGACTACCAGGGCAAGGATTGTTTAGGAGTTTGGCTCCACACATGGCCTAGAAGAACTACTTAGTTCCCTAATCTTAAGGGTTATTGATGGTTACTTGATTTTTATGTTCTGATACAAAAAGTGTTGTGACTTGATCACTTGGAAAAATTCGAGGTCATAAAACTAAGCAAAGGATGTGGCTAGGATTAGGAAAGATAAATACATTTTTCCTCTCTCTTATTTCTTATAATTAGTTAATTGGGAAAAATTGGAATCTACTACTACCATAGCCATATCATAAATAAATCTGCATCTTAATTAAATTTTGTATTTTTGTGTATGAAAAACTACCATTTTTAACATGAACATGTCATTTTCAAGTATGCTTTTCTGTCAAATTTAAAGAACAATTTATATAACTGTATCTCTTTTATTCATATACTTGTTCATGTGCTAGATTGCGCTGAACTCATATGTGCAATGAAATACAGTGTATTGATAGAACAGATGATGTAGGATCATACTTTACAATGTGGTGACAAAATATGTCTAACTCTCTTTTGATGATCCATATTATATTCTTAAATTCAGCTCCATTTCTTTTGTCTGATGTCTATTTGTACATTTTCACAACACTGATTTTCTTTTAGTCTTTCAGTTTCCTCTGTCTTACAAATTACTTGCATAAAAAAAGAATCAATTTTAATCTAAAACCAAAACAACAAATATTTTGAGTTCCAATATTGTATCTTTTTTTTTTTTTTTTTTTAAACTGGAGTCTTGCTGTGTTGCCCAGTCCGGAATGCAGTGGAGCGATCTCGGCTTACTGCAATCTCCACCTCTCGGGTTCAAATGATTCTTGTGCCTCAGCATCCCGAGTAGCTGGGATTACAGGCATGCACCACCATGCCTGGCTAATTTATGTACTTTTAGTATAGACGGGGTTTCACCATGTTGGCTAGGTTGGACTCGAACTCCTGCCCTCAAGTGATCCACCCATCTTGGCCTGCCAAAGTCCTGCGATTATAGGCGTGAGCCACCACACTCAGCTCCAGTGTTATATCTAATTATGAAAAAAACCCAAACAATTGCCATTTTTAAGTCATTTCCAGTGTTAGAAACCAAGTTGTCAGGGTGGTTGCAGTCATGGGAGCAGGTAGTTAAACTTTTGTTGTTGTTTTGTTTTTTTGACATGGGGTCTCACTCTGTACCAGACTGGAGTGCAGTGGCATGATCTCGGCTCACTGCAACCTCTACCTCTCAGGCTCAAGCGATTCTCCCACCTCAGTCCCTGAATAGCTGGGACCACAGGTGTGCGCCACCACGCCCGGCTAATTTTTTGTATTTTCGGTAAAGATAGAGTTTCATTCACTATGTTGCCCAGGCTGGTCTTGAGCTACTGAGCTCAAGCAATCCACCCGCTTTAGCCACCCAAAGTACTGGGATTACAGGCTGGGCCACCACGCCCGGCCTAGGTAAAAGTATTACACAATTTTTAACAACATTTAAAATATCCCAGCAAAGCCTGATTCCAGCTGATTTTAAGTCTAAAAGTCGTAATTCGGTTACAAATTTTTTATTATCTGAAAAGGTCACCGTCATCTAGCAGAGAAACAATTGAAATTACAATAAAATGTGAGATGTTTGGAGAAGGCAAACTATTTTCTATAGTAAGAAATACAGTCTATTGATGGTGTTTACTGCCAACTGCTTAAGCCTCTCCTTTCCAGAATTTATTTAGAACAGATTTTTAGCTCTACTCTGGGATCTTTCTTACTTGCCAAAGAGAAATCTGAAATATTGAAAATAATTGTCATTTTGAAAGGTGAAAATGTTAAATCTGAATGTAGAGGACATTGCAGCTGTTAAAAATGTTGGTATAGCATCTGGCAAAGACAGCAACAGAGGTTTGCATTTTAATTCAAATGCATGGAAAGAAAATCAAAAAAGGAATGTCTGTTCATAAGTCTTGTGAAAGCATAGAAACTGTGTTCTGCCTGACAGAGAGAATAATTTTAAAAGCCCCTAGAAGTGCTAACTAAATGTAATGTCGAACTGTCAACAACTGCTTTCAAAAAATAAATTACCTCTAAGACCATGTGTATTTTTTCACATCTTCTAGTCCCCCATTACCAATTAGTTAATACTCGCTTTGACAGAGGATGATGATTCTCAATAATCTAAGACTTCAGATGTAGTGTGAATAACTTTAATAATGCTCTTACAGGAGAAAATCTCTCATAAAGCCTCACTATATCAAATCCTAATTTAGAGAAATGTGGCAAGCTGCAAAGTGCTCTCAAGTTAATGTGTAAATGTTTATTGGATTCTCATTTCTTGTCAGGTTCATGTTTCACTTATGTATCTATCCTCTCTCAGGGACACATTTCCTGAAGGAATTTATATTGTTTTTATTGATCACCGTAGAAAATTAAAGTTATATTCAGCAAGAATAAAATATATCATTCTTGAATTGCTAAACACTTTGGGCTTTGATACCCATGAGAAACAGTTATCAGAAAATGAGGTCACATTTTTGTGTATCCGAAAGAAGTATTTATATGAAGATGTTGGGGAGGTGGGCAAGGGAATAATAAAAATTACATATTAGTCAAGTAAACAAGCTAAAGAACTTTCAGACTAAATAGGAAGACAACTATGTCTCAGGCAGCAAGCAAGAAAAATTTAACGTATAAAAGTGCCAAGATGATTCTAAGGTATTGCACTATAATCAGAATAAGATAGCTGTGTCAGAGTCAAATCTTAGCAAAACTCCAAGTTTATTATGTTTTCTCTTTGGAATACTCCTCCTCTACTTTCAGTGACACCTCTTTTATGCCAGCCTCTGACCCCAGCCCCAGGTCACTGAGAACACGGCACAACACCCGTATCTGCCTCTGTATTTTTTCCCTTTCCTTCATCTTCCTTCAGTCAAATATTATTAGTCCTGTAGTTCACTAATTCTACCATCTGTCATAGCAATGATGGTTTTTGATATAAAATGAAACTCTATTTATTTTATGATACATACCTGGCACCATGCCTGGAAAAACATGCATTTAAAAAATTCTTTCAATAATTTTCTCCCTACTCAGGAACAGCTGGTAAAATAATTTTATTAAACGTAAGTCAAATTATGTCATTTCTCTGCTCAAAACCCTCCAGTGGATTTCTATCTTACCCAGATTTGATCCTATAGTTCTGGCAATATTAAAATAATCAGCTGGGCATAGTGGTGCATGCCTGTGGTCCCGGCTACTCAGGGGGCCGAGGCTGGAGGATCACTTGAGCCCAGGAGATTAAATCCAGCTTGGGCAACATAGCAAGACCCCTCATCTCTCCATCTCTCTCTCTCTCTCTCTCTCTCTCTATATATATATATATATATAATATATATATACATTATATATATAATGTGTATATCTCTCTCTATATATATATTATATATATATACATTATATATATAATGTGTATATATATACATTATATATATGTGTATATATATACATTATATATATAATGTGTATATATATACATTATATATTATATATAATGTATATTTACACAAGACCCTACATAAGCACTTGTAAGATGAATTTTATCTTTCTACTTTGCTTTTGAAATGGGAAAGTTTCCCTGACTCCTTTGTGGGACTTGTAAAGGGGGTGGTTCATTTACTCAACTTGCAGCTCTCAACCCCTCGCAGGGTGGGGAGCATGCAGGTGAGCGGGTTCAGGGGCTGAGATGAATGCTCTGGGCACTGGCAGAAGCATAACTCCATGCAATCCTGCGGCAGCGTCTAGGGGGGTGCCCGTGACCCTCCAGAGCCCGAGAGGACATGTGCTAACAGTGCACTATTTTAGCTTCGCTGTCCATGGATGGCTTATGTGTTTAACAGCTCAGTGTGACAGCCCTCTGTATCCTGAGCCCTTGCTCAGAATCCAGGAAGAATCAGGTCACACGAATGAATTGAAGATGGTAAATGTGGGGGATTTTATTGCCAATGAAAGTGGTTTTCAGCACGACGGAGAGCTGAAAAGGAAATGGAATGGGAAGGTGGCAGGAGTTTGGCTGCCCCAACCAGACTCTCTCCGAGGTCCCACCATCAAGCTGTCCGTCTGAAGTCAAGCTGCTTCTCTCCAACGTCAAGCTGCTGCTTCTTTTCTGTCTTTCTTTGTCATTGCTCTGCCAGTGGGGCCTGGGGATTTTATTGATACAGGATGGTGGGCAGGGTGTGCCAGGCTGGTTTTGGAAAAGGCAACATTGGAGCAGGAAAACAGGGATGCAAAGTTTTCACTTTGGGCTGTGGGTCTAGGCTTGAGGGTGGGGCCCTCACTGGGGACCACACTCTTCTACCCAGCATTTCCCTGTCTTCTGTCTATATTACTTTTATTCTCTGACTGTACATCCTTTAGGCTCAAATCCAGCAACACTGGCTTCCCAGTTATTGGTCCTTAAAACTCTGGGACACCTCTAACTCAGAGCTTTCACATTTGCTCTTCCTTTTTCCTGGAATATTCTTCCTCAACTATTATGCATGGTTGAGGCCCTTACCTTCTTCAGGCATTTACTCTAACACTATCTTTTTAAAGAGCTCTTTTCTGGTCATGTTATCTAAAATTACTTTCCTCAGGTTTCCAATCTCTACTTTTTTCCCTCTTAGATCTTACTAGTATCCAGCATACTACGTTTTATGTATTTTTCTCATTTTTCTCTATCTTTACATGAGAATGTAGGTTGCATGAGGGCAGGGATTTTTCTTTCTGTTGTATACTCTTTCACCCTAAGTGCTTAAACAGTGCCTAGTGCATAGCATACAACTAATAAACTTGCCTACTGTAGGCAAGCGAATATAGCCCGTAAAACAGGCATAAAAGACTGGACTTTTACAAATGTTAAAGAAAGGAGGAACAGAGAATTTATCCAGATCCAGGAATGGCTTTCTAGTTTTTATGGCAAACCAGTGTAAGAGTTCTGTAATCACTGCGACTGTTTTAACACTGACTGCCTTGGAGGGAATTTTTTGTCAAGAGCATTTCATGTAACAGTTGGAGTTTCAGATGCCTTGCCAAATTTAAAAAAAAAATCATTTTCATTATTTCCCTCAAATCTCACAAATAGGGTGTGCTTTCCACTTCCAATAAAACTGGGGCTCAAATTTGTTTATGTCATTGAGATATTAAGAATTCATCTAAAGATCCAAACTGTAAGAGCTGAAGTCTTCACTCATGTCCTTAAAATAAGAAAAAGGCAGAAAAAAACTAACATTCAATGATTTTTCTTTGATATATCTAAAAACTGAGGTCATAGGACAATAACCACCCCCTACCCAAATCTGGAGAGACAGGCAAATCCAGAGAACCACAGCCAAGTTGAACTTACCTGGAGCAGAATCCAATGAGCCATAAAGTGCTGGGAACACTTAAATGGTAATTTTGACAAATTGCTGGAGGCTGAGTATAGAATAGTATGAGAATGAGAAATTTCTAGGATTCACTGTCTTAAGTCTC
Source organism: Homo sapiens (assembly GCF_000001405.40). Classification (NCBI taxonomy): domain Eukaryota; kingdom Metazoa; phylum Chordata; class Mammalia; order Primates; family Hominidae; genus Homo; species Homo sapiens. The sequence goes on from NC_000018.10 coordinate 65,978,224, forward strand.
AAGGGGACCCCCACATTTTTTAAGGTTTTATTTCAAGGACACCCACTAGCTTCTCATGGTGAAGAGCCAAAAAGAGTAACCATTGTGAAATAGTCCCTCCACCTTCTCCATGACAAAGGCATGCTCTCCAAGATAAAATATTTTGCATGAAATACTTATTACATGTAGGAGAGGGCATTTCCTCTGAGTAACACCTTCACATTTGTGATTGTCACATCCCCAAAACTCCGACCAATTTAACGACTGAGGTTCAGTCATAATTTTATAGGATGCTTCACCAATCCTGCACCTTACAAAGAGGACTCCACAAACAGGTCTTACACAAACAGGACTCCAGTATAACAGTGGATGATAGCTGAAAAAGTTGTAAATTGTACATAAGAAGTTTAGTAAAAGCCAAAGGCAATAAGGGAGGCAAAAACAACAAACGAAGAAATTGAGACGTCTGACACCCACAGCTACAACAAATGTTAAACATAGCCACACTCAACAAGATTAACATAAAACTTCACCCTGAAGCCAAATTTATCTCAGTTACTATCATCTGATGCATCTTGTCTGCCTTTTAACATAAAAGGTATGCTATAATACAAAAGCTAACAGTTTTAAGAGAAAAAGCAAGCATCAAATCCAAACTCAGAAACAGCACAGATTTTGGAATTATCATACATGGAATTTAAAATAACTATAATTAATATATTAAGAACTCTAATAGAAAAAGTAGAAAACATGTAAGAACAGATAAGTAATATAAGCACAGAAAAGCAAACTCTAAGATATAATCTAAAGGAAATGCTAGAAATCAAACACACTGTAACAAAAAATAAAAAATGCCTTTGATTGGTTTATCAGAAAATGCTCCAGAACCAACTAAAGAATCAGTGAGCTTTAAGAAATGTTTATAGAAACTTCCAAAACAGAAATGCAAAGAGAAAAAAAAAAGAATGAAAATAATAAAAAGGAACAGAATATCTAAGAACTGTGAGATAATTTCAAAAGTCTAACATACATACAGTTGTAATACTGAAATGAGAAGAAAGAGAGGATGGAGCAGATGAAAGTCATTATGGTTGAAAGTATTCCAAAATTAATGACAGGCACCAAAGCATAGATCCAGGAAGTTTAGAGAGCATGAGGCAGAATAAATACAAAAAAGTCTCTACCTAGAAATACCAGATTCAAACTGTGTAAAACCTAAAAGAAATACTGAAAGAATCTGGGAGGTGGGAGAGGTGAAGTGGGACACCTTATCTATACTGAAACAATGATCAGAATTACAAGAGATTTCTGGTTAGGAATTATTCAAGCAAGAGGACAGCAAAGTATTGAAAGTATTGAAAGAAAAGAAAATCAACCTGGAATCCTATATTGAGCAAAAATCATCTCTGGAAAGTTAAAGAGAAATGAAACTCTCAAAAAACAAAAACTGAGTGAATTTATCACCAGCAGACCTGATCTACAAGAAGTGTTAAAAGAAGATATTTATTTGTCAATTATAAGTCAATAAAGCTGAAAAATAAATTTGAGACAGAAGAAAAATGCTATATAGATTAGAAACTTGGATCTCCATGAAGAAAGTAAAAGTAATGTTAACAGAAAATAAAGTTTAACAATGTATTTCTTTTTGTTTTTTTTCTGTTTGTTTTTTTATTTTTCCTCAAACTCCTGGGCTCAAGTGATCCTCCCACATTAGCCTCCTGTATTAGTCAGGATTCTATTAGAGGGACAGAACTAAATAATATATATATATATATATATATATATATATATATGTTTCTCTCTTTCACATTTTTCTTCCTAATTTATATTTGCTGGCAGCTGATTAGATAGTGCCCAACAGATTAGTGGTGGAAGGGTGGATCTGTCTTTCCCAGCCCAAGGACTCAAATGTTAATCTCTGCTGGCAACACCCTCACAGACACTCCCAAGATTAATACTTTGTATCCTTCAATCCAATCAGGTTGACACTCAGTATTAACCATCACACCTCCCTAGTAGCTTGGACTACAGGTGCACACCACCACAATCAGCTAATTTTTTTTTATTTTTTTTTTGTTAAGACGGGGTCTTGCTATGTTGCCTAGTTTGGTCTCAAACTCCTAGCTTCTACTAATTCTTTTCCCTTAACCTCCCAAAGCACTGTGATTACTGGTGTGAGCCACTGTACCTTGCCTTTCTTTTATTTTTAATTAATAATTGTTTTGGTAAAAATTAATAACAAAATCCCTGATTTTTTCGCTTCATAATTTTCCATCCACTGACCCCACCCTACCCCTTGCCTGTAAGTCTCCACCCCACACGTTCTTATAATCTTAACCAGTGTCATGAATGACATCTTTAACAGCCATCCATCTCCAGCTGGGAACCAAGCTCTCACCAGGAACGTGAATTGGCCGACACCTGGATCTGGAACTTCCCAGCTCCAAAGCTGTGAGAAATAAAAGTCTGTTGTTTAAACTTCCCAGTCTGTGGTATTTTCTTATGGTAGCCTGAACAGAATAAGACAGGGCACTAGCTATTTTAAAAATCACCAGGTGGTTCTAATATGTAGCCAGGATGGAGAAAGGCTGCTTTATTTTTTCTCATCGTGAAAATAATACAAAAGTCAAACAAAACAAGAAGTTATTCCTTGCTCCTTGCATCCTTATACTTTTTTTTTCCTTTTTTTTTCAGGCGGAGTCTCGCTCTATCCCCAGGCTGGAGTGCAGTGGCGCGATCTCGGCTCACTGCAAGCTCCGCCTCCCGGGTTCACTCTATTCTCCCGCCTCAGCCTCCCGAGTAGCTGGGACTACAGGCACCCGCCACCACGCCCGGCTAATTTTTTGTATTTTTAGTAGAGATGGGGTTTCTCCGTGTTAGCCAGGATGGTCTCGATCTCCTGACCTCGTGATCCGCCCGCCTCGGCCTCCCAAAGTGCTGGGATTACAGGCGTGAGCCACCGCGCCCGGCATCCTTACACATTTTTAATTGCCTTTCTCTTTCTGCCTTTCCTTTCCTCAAATATTTCTTGCTGTGTCTCCATTTTCTCACTTTCTACTCATCCCTTGATGAACTCCAACCTGACTTCTGTCACTTTTACTTTCACAAAAGTCTTAAATGTCCTCCACGACGCCACAGCAGAAATACTCCAGTTCTTCTATGTAACACTTCCCCCGTTTTCACACTCTTGGGCTAACCCTTTTCCGTTCCCTTGCTCATCTCTTCTGTTCTATTTTTTTCACTTCCATTTTTCTTTCTTTTATTTTCACTTATTATTTTGCTTTTTCATTTTCATAATTTCATAAAATCATAAAATACATTAAATGAAAATAATTCTCTTGGGACATACATAGTCTCACTGATCAGGAAAAAAAGTTAAGATTTTGTCATAAATACTTCCTGTTTTATTTTTAAATAAATATTAGAATTAAAGCTGAAGTTTACTTTGGTATCTAAAGGAAGACACTTTCCATTTTCTCATTCCCTAGAGACATTGTCTATCATAAATTTTACGTCAAATATTCAGCCTTACATTTCAAGTTCACATAAATAAGTGAACTTATTCAGGTGTGTGCGTGTATACACTTTGTGGTATTATTTGCCTACTTTAAAAGATTTTCAACGTATGAATAACAAGGCCTGACGCAGACCTTTCCCCTTTGCCTGAACTCATTCTGCCTCCAGCCCACTTTTATTCTTTTGTCCAATAATTGTTAGCTAAGTTTAGAAATGTTTGTCCCCTTAAACTAGCAAAACACAGGGAAAATGTTTCCTGTCCAGCCTACTGATGGAGACTTCTCCTACTTACAAAACAATTCCAAGTGTAAATCATCCAGTCTGTAACTTATCCTCTGTTTCTATAATTATCTAATATGGGACTGCTCAGCTGAGACACTCTGATCTTAGGACAAAGAGTGCTCTCTCCATTGCAGTAGCCTGAATAAAATCAATCTCCTTACTTGTCTGGGTTTTGTGGTTCACAGTATCATATTGAACATGGATTTCTCTGTCTATTATCAGTAAAGACAATTAGTATCATAAACAAATTCATACCATTTAAGCCTCAATGAAGTTATCAGGTATGTATTAATTTTTAAAAAAATTATTAAAAATTATTTCTAAGAATATTTAAGCATGAGACTATAACTCATTTGTATTACTCACCATGCTATTGATGAGTAATTAGATTATACTCACTTGTTTTGCTGACAGTGCTGCAATGCTCACTTGCAATTGTCTCCATATGCCTGTGTGTTAGTGTCTCCTAGTTTATACTAATTATAATAATAAAAATAATAGTACCAGATTTTGAGTGCTTTGCATTTGGTTAGTCATTTTATTCCTATAACATTTGTATAATACATGCTAGTATTATTTGTTTTGAAATTAGGAAACTAAGATAAAAGGTTACAGAATTTTTCCAAAGAGAAACACAATATTTTCAGTTACCAGTGTATATGTATCTTCAACTACGCTGTATAGCATCAATTGCTTTCCAAGGTGGCTGTTCCATTGTATTTTCACTATCAGTGTTTGAGAATGCCCATTTCTCCAAATCTTCATTATATATTATTGTTAGACTTTGGAATTTTAACCAGAGTGATGGGAAATAAATGAGATTTTATTGTTTCCATTTGATTTACTCGGGTTAATGGGGAATTTTTTCCCCATTCACTTTGTGTGTATGTGAATTGTTTACACTGTTCTTTGCCAAGTTTCTTATTTAGTTGTTTGCATTTTCCTCATTGATTTCTAGGCATTCTTTAAATATTCATAGCCGTTAATGCTTTGTGCAATAAATAGATTGTACTTATAATTTTGTTTTTATTTCTTTGTTTACACAGAAGGTTTTTACATTTGGATGTACCCAAATGAAGCATCGTTTTACTTTTTAAATTTTATATTTATGTCTTTCTTAAGAAAGTCATCTTTTCATATGTTGGCTATAGTGAATAAGGACGAAATAAACATGGAAGTGCAGATATCTCTTTAACTTACCAATTTTAATTCCTTTGGATATATACCCAGAGGTGGCATTGCTGGGTCATATGGTAATTGTATTTTTAGTTTTTAAAGAGAGAGCTGCACTCCAATGTTTATTTTAGCTTTATTCACAATATCCAAGATATGGAAGCAACCTAAGTGTCCATCAATGGATGAACAGATAAAGAAAATATGGCATAAACGCCCAATGGAATACTATACAGCCTTAAAAAGAGAAAAATTATCTCATTTGTGACAATATGGATGGCAAAACACAACAGTAGAGTAAGATATTTTAAGAGAGTAAAAGAGATAAAATTTACGTAACTTTTATTACAGTATATAGTTATATTGTTCTATTTTATTATTAGTTGTTAATCTCTTCCTGTGTCTAATTTACAAATTAAAATTTATATTAGGTGTATATGTATGGGAAAAAATCACAGCACATATAAGGTTCAGGACTATCTGCAATTTCAGGCATTGCCTGGGGGACTTTAAACCTATTCCCCACAGATAAGGTGGACTACTGTACAGGCAATCTATTGGAAAAACTCCAAAAAAGATCTTTCTTGATTTCATAGATAGATTCTTTGTTTTCACTTAGGTTGATGAAAATTCACATATTTTACACCTACCTCTTAGGTGTAAAAGAAAGACAGGATGTTTGATAAGAAAGACAAGATGTGTGGCAAACTGAGGGTCAACATAGGACTTCGTATATAAGATAAACAGTGTGCTTTTGTTCTCACAATTTTCTATCAAATAGCCACCAGATGGAGTGTTTGGGATTGCAGCAAAAGCTACTTATATTAATTAAGCTTCTATTATAATTACAAGGAGAAAAAAAGAGCAGACTTGGGTGCTAACCCACATAGTTTTGCCAGATAGAGTTGGAAGCAAAGCACAACTGGATTATCATGTTGTAATTTTATTTCCCACATACATTTTTCATCAGATTGAATATGCTTTATTTCATTCTTAATTTGCTATAATTTTAATTAAAAAATAAATATCTGGATATCGAATTTTTGATCTATTGAAATGCACATTTTTCCTTTATTCTGTTAATATGGCAAATTATAGTAATTTATTTTAAAATGGTAATGTAAACTGCTATTGCTGGAATAAACCTAGAATGATGCTGATGTTCCAATTTATAAATTTATTTTTTCTATTTAAAAAAGCTTAGATCCATCTTTTCAGCTCCAAGTTTAATTTATTGTTACTCAGGTTTAGAATTTCCTTTTGATATTTTTCATAGCATAGAATCTAGTGTATTTCTTTATCATATCATCTGATTTCTGGCATATGTCAGCCATATACATTTTAAGATCTGTGCCTGATAATTCTGATATCTGAACCTACTATGGATATGTTATATGGTCTGTTTTTTGCTCTGTTTTTAGTCCTGCAGTCTTATTTCCTGGTAAGATGTGTAATACTTGAATGCTGGACATTAAATATGAAAAACTGTCTGACGTCGTTTTATTCCTAAGAGGGAAGTAAATAGAGTTAAAGTGCTCTAAAATTCTTGCATTTTCTGAAAAATGCTAATAGAACTACATTATATTACATATATAACATATATATTACACATATATCATATATGTAATATAATATATACGTAATATATACTATATATGTAATATATGTAATATAATATATGTAATATACATAATATGTGTAATATATTTTTATATACATATATACATATATACCTATGTATATTATATATGCATATACATATATAATATATATTACATATATATTACATAATAAATCAAGGAGGTATGTTGCACTCTGTAGTGCAACCACTAAAAGAATAACAAAAGATTTAAAACTAACAAGCTAAAATAGAGACACAAAATCGAACATTACAAATATTTAAATTATTCAGAGTTATTTCTCTCCTTAATATAAGTGATATGCTAAGAAGGAAGCAAGAACTTTTCACCTAGTCTTGATAAAATTTTATGAAGAATACAATATTCTAGTTGTCTATGTTTCTAATATTTTAAATTTCAGTTTGTGAAATAAACTTTAATTTTTTTAAATTTTCCCATGCATTCATAACCGACAACATGAGAATTTTTAATGTTTTGTCAAAATGGCTAAAGGTGTCTGAACAATCAATTGTATATTCTCCTTTGGTTTTTAAGATCATTTTGCACAGTTTCAGCTTGCACAGTTGTTTTTACAGTCCTGCTCTACCATGCAGAATGAGGTCCAACCTGTATGAGCAAAACTTCTGTCTGTAAATGGAAGTGTCAGGGTAAATGGAAGGGTTAGGTTCTACATGCATGTGTCTGTCATTCATGTTTCATGAGGTATGAGGCATGGGAGCTAAGCATGTCCATTGTGTGAGTTCAGTTCAGCAATAAAACATATGTATCCCTGTTATTAAAGATTTTTCCCAAAATAAGCTAGTGACTTTATGAAATTAGTCAGTGTTATTAACCATGTTTTCAAAATAACAAGGTGGTATTGATAACAAGGTGACAATTTAGAAATATTTTAAGCCTAGGTAGCAAATTCCTGTAGAGATTTCAAATTCTAAACTCCAATTTAAAAATTTGGTGACAATATAAAAGTGTATTAATATAAAAAACCACAAAACAATGGCTTATAGTCATACATATAAAATAAACATTTCTAAAAGATTAGACTGGGCTACACTGGGGGAGAACTTCAGTGCTATCCTGAAAAATGTGTGCTTACTTGTGAAAAGCATACCAAAACTATTTGTGATACTACTTCTTGAAATATTCATAGCTTATACTTTCTAGAGCTTACTTTGTGTCAGGCACTACTCTAAGGTCTCCCTATGTATTAACTAATTTTATTCTCACATTTACCAGGTATTATTTTTACTCCCATATTACAGATGAGGAATCTAAGGCACAGAGAGACGAAGTAATTTGCCCAAATACATAACAATAAGAAAACAGCAACATGGAAATTTAAACCAAGGTTTTCTGGTGTAGTGTATGTTTTCTCTCTTTGTACAATATCATAGCATTACACACCATAAACTATGCTATGACACCATTACTCTTCTCTAGGAGATGATCCCACATCATTTTCAGAAGATGTTTTATAATTGGAGATTGTATGGTAAGTACAAGAAATTATGATAGTTGAAAAAATCTAGGTTTTATATGAGTTTAAGGATTATAATTTTTAAATTAAAACAAAATCAATTGATCTGGTAAGACAGATTTATTGTAATAATACCACAAGAAGAAAAAGAAAATTCCTAGTTTTTTAGTTCTAGCTTTTGTTCAGTAATTATACTGAAATAAAAATGTTAGAGGTTTAAATATTTTTCAATATGTGAATGAACACAATTACAATTCTTTTACTATGTTTTTACTTGTCTTATTTTGATTTACGTATTTTCTCCATTTTCTACTACTCATTCTTATTTCCCCTTATTTATCATTATTATTATTATTATTATTATTATTATTATTATTATTGAGATGGAAACTTGCTCTGTTACCCAGGCTGGTGTGCAGTGGCATGATCTTGGCCCCCTACAACCTCCACTTCCTAAGTTCAAGCAACTCTCCTGCTTCAGTCTCCTGAGTAGGTGGGATTACAGATGCACACCACCATGCCCAGCTAATTTTTGTATCTTTAGTAGAGACAGGGTTTCTCCATGTTGGCCAGGCTGGTCTTGAACTCCTGACCTCAAGTGATCCACCCGCCTCCACCTCCAAAAGTGCTGGGATTACAGGCATGAGCCACCATGCCAGGCCAGTCCTTTTATTTTCTTCTAGTTTCTAGCTTGAATGCCCATGATTGAAAATAAAATTCAAAAATAATTAAGGGAATTATTATATTAATTTTATTAGAGTCTGAGTCTACTTTTTGTCTATAATTTATTTGTTTTGTAGTTTTATCATGGGGATCAATGAGTATTCCCATTTTTATTCAGGAACCATGAAATATTCACATTTATTTTCTATTTACAATACTTATCAATGGCTCCGTGTAGTATTTCTGCACAGGTGGTAGCAATGTAGTCTACGAACTCAACAGGTAGCAAAAAAGTTATTTAACAGTAATTGTGAAAACTAGCCTATGTTTTTAAATTGTGAGACTAATAGATATCTTTCCTATATATCTTTTTATATGGTGCCCAGTCTCTTCAGTTATATAACTATGGATAGTGTTCTAATGAGAGAATGTAACCTGCATAAATCAAAACAAGATGTTATTTAAGAATAAATATAACTTATTATAAAATAGAAGAAATTCAAATAATCCAGGTAAACATGATGGTGGTCATTCTAGCATGGAACTTCTAGAGAGGAGTGAGTTCAAAAAAGACTTCAGCCATTCTACATATATTTTAAATTTTAAAACCTTAAAACACAAAGTATAAATAACAGATGCTAAATATGTTTGCATTGATACGTATTTTTAATGTTATTCCTTGGAAGTCATTTCGCTCCCTCTTTTGTAGTTTACTCCCTACCCAGGACTCATTAAAAAAACTTCTTAAATTTTATAGTCAGCGGTGGACATCTCTAGCAAGAAAGTTATCAGACTAAGCAGTTGGCTTTTATATTTATATAATTTTGTATTCCATATATCTACTTGTCAAGGATCTGTAATAAAGATATTGACTAGCAATGGATTCATTTAATTGATAAATGACCTGCTGGCTCATCTTGAAGATTTTTACTTCCCAGCCTACACACACACACACACACACACACACACACACACACACACACACACACATTCATTCTGTTTCTCTGAAGAACTTCGACTAATAGATGGTTTCACTTAATATTTAACTTTTATATTTTATAATACTGAATGCACTGGGATATGGGCATAACTTGCTGTCACAGGATTTCTTCTGACACATTATTTTTAATGTAGCTCTATAGCCAGGATGGAGCCTCTAAAATGTATCTTTCCCAAGCTACAAAGTACCAATTTACAGAGAGTGTGTGATATATGGGAACAATCATAACCATTACTGAAATGCAGATTAACATCAAAGAATAGAAAGTTATCTACCTTCTATCATCTAGTTTAGCAAAATGAAATTCAATTGTGCTTATTACCTTTAGGTTCAAAATCATATTGGATTAATGACTGATTTAAGCATTGACAAATTAGACAGATATAGAAATGTATTTAAGCAAAGTGAACAGTATTCCCCCTTAAAATTCAAATACGTTTATTTTTTAAAAGATGCTGGCTTGCCATCTATTTTCATTTGTTGAGGAAATATTAATGCTTCCTAATCTAAACAAGCATCATAGACATTTAATATGAAGAAATGAGATACACCCACTGCCTTTCAAAATTAGAAAAGATGAGGCTCTAGACAAAGACCCTGCTGCCTAGTCACACATTCTCTGATGAATGGGCAGTGTCATTCCTGGATTCTAATGTTAATGAGCCATTTATAGTTGCTTACTTGAACTAAGACTCAAAACAGGTCAAATTCTTCTAGACTATTTAGAAAGTTACCAAATTATGCAGTTATATGTTTGTTTGTTTTCATTTTACAACATTTTGATTTTTCAAAATATATTGTGTGAAAATAATGTTGTATGTCATATTTATACATATTTAAACAGTAACTAGGAAGATAACGTTTCCACTTTCACTTTAAATACCCCCTATTTTATTAGAGAGGTAGGGAAGAGAGAAAACTAATCTAGTGTAGCAGCCCAATATTGACAAGTTCCAAAATCACACACACACACATGCTGTTCTTTCTCTTCTTTTCATTATCTTATCTATGTCACTCCTCTTTTTTCCTCTTATTATAACGTTATTAGTTTTGTCGTGGAACAAATAGCCTTTGTGTCTTTTTTCTTTTTGGCCCAGAATTAGGTAATTTCATTTTTTATGTGTGCTCAAGTATTCATCCCCCTCAAGCAATTACTTCACAAGTGCTATGTCAGCACAAAGTAATTACATACTTTTACAGATTACTTGATAATTATTTCTGACATCACTAAGTACTTTCAAATATAAATGTGCAATGTTGCTAGAATTCAGGATGACAAACCATTTAAATAGGTATCTGAAAGAGAATAAACCCACATTGGAAAGCATTTGTATTCTATTTTCTTAATTTGCACGTGAAAAGGGAATAAGTGCATGTGTAGCTAATAGGATTTATTGAACATAAAATGATTGTTCACAAAAAGTAAGTGGCCTTGATTTTTCCAAAGAGCAATATTAACTGTAGATACAACTTTTTGAAATCACAGAATGTTATCTCATTTTCATTGATTGATTAATTTGAAAAATATTTATTGGATGTTTATCATTTCCCAGAAATAGTGCTAAATTCTGATGATACATTGGGGAACAAAAGAAAACTTGGTTTCTGTTCTTTTTTATTTTTTTGTCAGCCCGTTGGCATAAAGATTGGTCAAATACTCACACAAATAGATTATTAAAGTTGCAACTTTGTTAAGAAATACAAATGAGTGATACATAGTGCCAAAATATTACATTGAAATTTAACCTAGTCTATGTTGAGGGAAAAGGCAGAATATTAACTACTTATTCAATACTTGAAGGATGAAGAAGATATAAATTTGCAAGTAAATTCCAGGCAAAGACTTCAATTTTGGAGAAAATGCAAGAAATATATATGGCAGGCTCACAGAAAGGAAGGCAGTGTCTGACACAAGATGTGAGAGACACGTTCCCATTGTGGACCATATCAAATATTACACTGGTGCAAAGAAGATTTGGGGGGCATATTTTTATGGTTTTAAGCATGCTAGAAATATGATCACCAGTTGGAGGTGCAATGGCTCATGCCTGTAATCTCAACACTCTGGGAGTCTGAGGTGAGTGGATCACTTGAGGTCAGGAGTTCAAGACCAGCCTGGCCAACAGAGTGAAACCCCATCTCTACTAAAAATACAAAAATTAGCTGGGCGTGATGTCATGCACCTGTAGTACCAGCTACTCAGGAAGCTGAGGCAGGAGAATTGCTTGAACCTAGGAGGTGGAAATCGCAGTGAGCCAAGATTGTGCTGCTGTACTTCAGCCTGGGCAACAGAGCAAAACTCCATCAAAAAAAAGAAAGGAAGGAAGGGAGGGAGGGAGGGAAAGAGAGAGAGAGAGAGGGAGGGAGGGAGGAAGGAAGAAAAGGAAGGAAGGAAGGAAGGAAGGAAGGAAGGAAGGAAGGAAGGAAGGATGGATCACCAGACTGGGAAATGTAGAGAGATCTTATCTCTACCAAAATGTTTTTAAAAATGAGCTGGACCTGTTGGCATTCATCTGCAGTTCCAACTACTCCAGAGGCTAAAGCAGGAATATCACATGAGCCCAGGAACTGAGGCTCCAGTGAGCTGTGATTGAACCACTGCACTACAGCCTGACAGAGTGAAACCTTTTCCCAAAAATAAAAAAGAAAATAAAAAGGAAATACGATCAGATGTGAAAGCACCTAGGTGGAAAACTAGGAAGCAATTTAAGAAGCTGTTAGAATATTTCAGATGAGAGATCAAAAGTTGGGATTTAGATTGTAGTGGTAGAGAAATAAAGAGGAGAGTGATTTTGAAAGATAGTTAAGGCAAGACTTGGCAAAACAGAGGATGAGGGGATAAAGGAAATCAAGAATATCTCTTACATTTCTGACTTGTACAACTGGAAATAAAGAACAACTGGAGATGACTGGGTTTTCATGGAGAATCTTAAATTCTATGTTTTTGAGCATTTTCAGTTTGAAAATAAATCTTCTCAAGTAGTTATGCCAAATAAGTATGTGAATGTATAAGCTGGATCTCAGATGGAAATTCTTGGGCAGATTTTGATGCTTAATATATGTTTAATGAATGAAGAAAGAAAAGCTTGTGTGAATTACTCAAGTTTAATTGTAGAGTCAAATTTCAACTGTTGGTCTCGTAACCCTATACTCTCTTTACTATGGCATGATGCCACATGTTGATATTTTATTTCAGAGATAGCTCTCAAACGGCTATCACTTAGACTCATTTTTATTTATCTCAATTTTGTGCTCTTGGGGGTAACACATGCTTTTGGTGACTCACCCAGGTCCCCTAGCTGCTGTGAGTATGGGTTACTAATAGCTCACAAAAACCCTCTACAAACCATTTCCCTTTACCAACCAAAGCTACCTCATCAGAGAGATCTCTTATATTTGGTACCCTAAAGCCAATGACTAACCCTTATAGGGGTACAAAGGCTAGCTAGCTTCTTTACCTCAATCTGTGAAAACTTTGCAGTGCAATTTATACTTTAGTTATCACACCATTTGGATCAGCTTAGGGGCAGGCAATGTCCTGAGATTACATTCTTGCTCAACCATTTCCAGTTCTCTCACTTCCTTTCAGCTTCTTGTTTCAATATTGTGTTAAAACCACCCTCAGACTGAGTGGCTTTAAAACAGTGACACTTACTTTTCTCGCACATTGAAATTTGGGCAGAGGTTGGTGGGCACAGCTTTTATCTGTTCTACTCATTAGAGATTTGTTTGGCTGAAATCATTTGAAGACCAATTCATACTGACACTACAAACTGGAACTGACATATTCCTTGGAGTCTATCACTTTCCATAATCCCTCCACACAATTCCTCCAGAATGGTAACTTCAGGGTAAACAGACTTCTTACTTGTTAACTATACACCCTGAGACATTATTCACAAAACAGTGTTTAAGCAGAAGCTCTATCCTTCTCACTGTGTAGCCTCAGAAATCACATAGCATCTCCACTGCTACATTCTCTTGTTTGGAGCAGTAACCGGCCCACCCAGGCTCAAGGGAAAGAAAAGCTGACTTCAACTCTTGAGAGGAGATGTGGGAAGGTTCAAAAAGAACATATGAGACTGGACATACCATTGTGGATATTTTTGAAAAGCACAACTTTCCACACTTCAGTAAATCACATTCATCTGTATCCCTATCTCATGCTTTCCTTCTAGATAATCCAGGGAAAGCCATTGACAAGAGTGAATTGGCCTCTTATGCTCCTAATCTTTTGATAGGAACAGTTTCTAATTAATATTATGTTTTTCAAATATACATACCCGAATAATCTAGCTATTAAAAAATGCTTTTAGTAATACTCTTTATGACATTTACTGTCATATGCTCCTGAAATTCTGTATACATAAATTTAGTGTTTGTATTAAGCATGTTGAGTCTAAATACAGTTCCAATAGAAATATGTCAATCAATAATCTATCCTTTTGCATCATTATGTGTTTCATACAGGATTTTCAAGAAATATTTGTGACTTTCTCTAACAATCTTCATAGTACATACATTTTTTTCAAATAAAGGATTTTGTCTAGTTCTTAAGATTTGAAAAAGAAAATTATGTTATGTAATACTGATGGAATTTTATAAAATTTAGTAGCTTTTTAAAAATATAGGATATAGCTTAGAATAGAAAGTTAAATGCTAAAAACCTTATTCTTCAAAGAGTAAACTGAAGATAAGACATCGGCTCAGATTGTCCCCTAGGGACCATGTTGTGCTTATCACTAATTTATACCTTTTTATTATTTCTGAGTCTGTTTAACATTCACCTGCTGACCATTTGCTGATTAATTCACCCGTTCCTCTAGGAACCATTCTATTCCAATATGAAGTAAAAGGAAATGGAAAATAAGAGTTTTTTAAAAGCCACTAGAGAGATTTAAATTTTGGGTCAAAGCATGAGAAGTTGAGCATTCATGAAATAAAATTAAGGAGAAAGAATAGGGTTGTGCTGGTTGAATAACAAAAGAGGTTAAAAAAAAGAAAGGAAAATACAGTGTACCATAGACTGGCCCCCTTTCTCTCAAAGCCAGCCATGGAACTTACTGAGAGTAGGACTGAGCCAGAATTAGAAAGCACTGTAGGCCTAGATTACCACATGTATCTGTCTAAGTACTGAGCTCTGTTGTTGGCTTAGATGTTTTGTCATTTAAATTTCAAAGTGGATAGTTTGTGCATTTTCTTCTTTCTTTGATAGTTCATATGTAGCTTTATTTATAAGAGGCAAAATTTGGCTGGGTGTGGTGGCTCACGCCTGTAATCCCAGCACTTTAGGAGGCTGAGGTGGGCGGATCACGAGGTCAGGAGTTCGAGACCAGCCTAACCAACATGTGAAACCCCATCTCTACTAAAAATACAAAAATTAGCTGGGCGTAGTGGCATGCACCTGTAATCTCAGCTACTCAGGAGGCTGAGGCAAGAGAAAAGCTTGAACCCGGTAGGCGGAGGTTGCAGTGAGCCAAGATCACGACACTGCACTCCATCCTGGCAAACAGAGCTAGACTCCATCTCAAGAAAACAAACAAACAAACAAAAAAGCCAAAATATCTTACAATAGGTCAATGTTGAACAGACTCAGCAATAAAAAGGAATAAACTAATGATAAGCACAACATGGATGTATCTCAATGGTATTGTGCTGAGTGAAAAAAAATCAGTCCCAAAAGATCATATACTGGATGATTCCATTTATGTAACTTTCTTGAAATGGCAAAGTTAAAGAGAGACAGAGACATGTTATATTTAACTGAATGTATTTGAAATATTAATCTATTAACATAAAATTTGTATTATAAATGTAATGAGTTGCTTTGCATTCTTTTTCATACTGAGTCTTCAAGGTCCATTGTGTATTTTATATGCATGGTACATTCAAATTTGGATTTACTACATTTTTATTATTTATTTTATTGCATGTATGTAAGGTATATAGAAGAATGTTTTGGTATACATATACATAGTGAAATAATTAGCCAAGCAAATTAGTCAGCAAATTCCTCACCTTCCATAGTTAACATTACTTTCTCTTTTGAGGAAATGGGACTCAAGGTCTACACTCAGCAAATTTTCATTATGCTGCACAATATTGTTAAGTTGCAGGCCTCATGCAGTACATTAGGTCTCTCAATTTACTCATCTATATAACTGCAAACTTACACATTTTGACCTACTTCTCATTTCCTTCTCCTCCCTGCTTCTGGTTATACCACTGCTCTATTTTATTCTCTGTTTCTGTGTATTCAGCTTATTTTTAGACTCCAAATATGAGAGAGATCATGCAGTATTTTTCTTTCTGTGTCTGGCCTATTTCACTTAGCATAATGTCTATCAGTTTCATCTATGCTGTCATAAATGGTAGTATTTTTTTTCTTTTGTAAAGCTGAATAATGTTTCAGTATATATATGTACCACAATTTCTTTGTTTCCTCATTCATCAATGAACATGTAGGTTAGTTCTGTACCTTGGCTATTGTGAATGATGTTAGAATGAGCATGGGACTGTAGAGATCTCTACAGAGTGCTGGTTTCATTTCCTTCGGGTATATATCCAGCAGAGGGGTTGCTGGGTCATATGGTAGTTCTATTTTTGATTGTTTGAGGAACTGCCATACAGTTTTTCATAATGACATAATTTACATTTCTATCCACAGCATATAAGGAGTCCCTTTCTCAACACTCTCGCTGACTACATATTATCTCTTGTCTTTTTGATAACAGCCATTCTAATAGATGTGATGTGATATTTCATGGTGGTTATGATTTGTATTTTTCTGATGATTGATAAAGTTGAGCATTTTTTAAACATACCTGTTGGTCATTTTTATGACATCTTTGGAAATATGTCTATTCAGATCTTTGCCCATTTTTGAATGTTTCTTTGCTTGTTTTTCCTTTTTGCTATTGAGTTGTGTGAGTTCCTTATATATTTTTGTATTTAGTCCCTTGATTAATGAGATATTTGGTTCAGAAATGTTTTCTATCAGTCCTTATGCTCCCTTTTTTGGATTGTTTTCTTTGTTGTGCAGAGATATTTAGTTTAACTTTATCCTACTTGCTTATTTTTGCTCTTGTTGCCTGAGCTTTTGGTGTGGTGCGTCATCCAAAAAAAATCATTGCCAACGCCAATGTCAGGGAGCTTTCCACCCATGTTTTCTTCTGAGAGTTTTATGGTTTCAGGTCTATATTTAGGTCTTTAATCCACATAATGTTGAATTTTGTGTATAGTGTAAGATAAGAGTCTCATTTAATTATTTTGTATGTGGATATCCAGCTTTCTCAACACCATTTAATAAAGAGACTATCCTTATCTTCTGAGCCATATTTTGCTTTCCTTTATTTCACTATTGTAAACCAAGTTATTTTCATACCAATGTACATGTAAGTAATCCTTCAACTTTACAATCTGGAGAAACACAAGTTGTTGATGTTAATTACTCCTCTGCCACCTGTGTTTTCAGTGAAAGGTTCTGCCAACTCACTTAGGTTTAATTCTTGCTACGTTTAGAACTTCTGAGATTTTTAAAAAATATGTGAATAACTTTGCGAACCATGATAAAATGTTTATCGATTCAAATGAAAATATTTCTCAGTGTTCACTACAGGTTGAACCTATTGTTGGATACTTCATAAAAATGAATGTAATTGATTTTTACACATGCATAGGAGATTAATATTTGTCCCTTTGATTTTATTTATTCATTCTCATGAATAAATGAGAAACTGAGACGCAGATAAATTAAATTGCACTTATGGGGTAAAAGATATGGTAGATTTTAAAAGCTGAGATTTTAATCCATGATTCTCTGACTCTAAAACAAAAACTTATTATATTGCTGTTGGCTCTGAATTAACCAAAATGCTTAAAGAATTCTTGAATAAATGATTGAAAAATTCTCAGCAACATCTTATAAAAATTAATTTCTTTTACCTTGGGTCTTTTAATATTTTGAATAGTTATTTTGGTTCTTGTTTATCATTGAAATATATGTATATATATATAATATTAGTATGTTTTAGATTCCTTAGTATTTATAAGCAAAATAATAACTTCAGATTAATTTGCAGGCAAAATTTAAAGTCTTTGATTTTACTGGGATTGATATTCAATTGATAAATTTTTATATTTTAATTTAAATTTGTTCTGTTCTATATTGTGAATTATTATTACTATTGTATCAAACATTAATTTATTTATTCCAGATAGGGTCTTGCTCTGTTTTCCAGGCTGGCGTGCAGTGCTGTGATCATGGCTCACTGCAGCCTCAACCTCTTGCACTCAAGCAATCCTCCCACCTCTGCCTCCTAAAGTGCTGGGATTATAGGTATGAGCTACTGCGTGTGGCAAAGCACTTAAATAAAGTATTATGAGCATAAAATTAACCCTTGTGAAATTTAATCTGTAATTTACACAAATAGTCATGCTCTAATTACCGTTTTGAAAATGAAAACACAATATGCAGCACTGGTTTGTTTTGTTGCTTATTAACCTAAAATTGTACACACGTTTTTAATCCAACATTTTATATAATTGAATTGTGTGAAAAGTTTCTGAATTAGTAAAATGCTTGGGTAATATTAACCAAAAGAACCATGTAATACCACTTGATAATCATTTGTCATATAAAGTTCTTTGTCAAATAACTAAGAGTTCGATACAGCACACCAGATAAAAAGTTGATATTGACATAAGCATCTAAATTGCAGGTCAACCTATTTCTTAGCAATTTTTGAAGAATGTCTTTGTTTTCTTTAAGAATATAGTCTTTAAACCATTTATGATGGCATTTATAAGGGTAACTGTAAAAATTTCCAAAACTTATTAATAGTTTTCCAATCGAATAGTGCCCAGTAATTGTGAAACAGGTTACTTGCTTCTGGTTCGTCAAAAACAGTCTCTTTTTCTAACAGTTTCATTAAAGCTTCTTTAAATTCCATATAATTCCACTAATTCATATTCAACGAGGACACTGTTTTTTGTCTGACCTAGAGTTTTGGATCATAGGGATGTGGACCAACCAGTCAGTCAACAGATATTTAGTTGGCCACTAGGAAAATAAATTATGGAAGAGTTTTAGTGACAATGTGTTAAAAAGAGAAATATCTGATTATCTAATTGGAGAATCAGAAGATAACACAAAAAATTAGGAGGAAAGCCAACATGTGCATAGATAATAGTTGAGATTTTCTCTGAAATAAAAAAAAAGTAAAGTCTAAGATTTGGGGAACAGAGTGAATAAATAGACAAATGATAACTGTACTCCATGTCTTCTTGGTTTTAATTACTCATCTGGGTCCTCTGCCCATGACAGGTGCTCTAATTCTGTCCCTGCTAAGGCTCCTTTAGGGATCTTCAGGGAGGAAAGTAGGCCCTGTACCCCATCTTCTCACCTAGGCTTGTCCTTTATACTTCAGATCTTTTAAGTTCCATTGTAACCACAACTCTCTGACACTTAAAAAAAAAACATTTTAGTTTATCCGATTTTGTTAATTGTTAGAGTGTTTTGTCATCAACTTCTACAATCTAATTGGAGGCAGAAGTCTTATTTGTCATGCAATAGTTATACCTTTTTGTATATATGAAATATGTCACAGAAAATTTTAATAGAGTCATGTAGATATTTGCTATGCTATGGTTTAATGTTTAGGTTAATAATTAGAGTCTTGAAAATAATGTGAAAAATTTTGGAATTTCACAGAAACAAAAATTTAATTTAAAAAATGTGTCTGAGTGATGAAGATTATTGGTTCCTGTATCTGAAGGAGGGTCTGCCTTCTCCTAGCCATTTTTTAATATACAGTATTTCTCTTAAATGATACAAACATTGTTTATTTGGAGGAATATATTTACCATTGTTACTGAGTGAAGTAAAAACTGTTATATATGCTGTATGGAGTTCAGAATTTTAAAAGATATTCGTTTAGTTCTGCATGCTTTCTGTGAAATTTCCATCAGATTCCATAGGTTTTCTTTCTTTAATTTTTTAAAGTACACTTTTGAACAGGCTCCTTTTTTTGTTAAAGATCAACACTTAATTTCTCAACATGGCCTTTAATGACTTCTGTGATTGAAATTCTTGCTCTCGAGATACAATTTTATCTCTTATATTTCTCACTCACTACATTGAGTAGTGCACTTTATTTTAGTTTTCCAAATACATCAAGGTCCTTTCTGATTCAAATTCTTACATAGATTGTCTCTGGTTCTTGAGAAGTTCCTGCCTTCCTCTGTGCCTAACTCTTAAGCAGCTTTCAGCATTCAGTGTAAATTTTACTTTCCTAACCTCTCATGTCAAGATCAAATTTTTTCTGTTACACCTTCATATAACACACTGTACTTATTTTGACTTGTTCTTTATAATAGATACCACCACTGTTATTATATAATTGTTACGCATTTTTGATTTATTATCTCCGTCCCCCATTAGATTGTGGCATGAGACTATGAAGGCTATCTGTACATTTACAATTATCCCAAGTCTTACACAGAACCTGGTACCTAGTATGTACCCAGTAGTTCTCTTATAGGATCTGATACTCAGCAAATATTGGTGTACAGAAAGCTTGAATGTATCAGCCTAATTTTTTTGTCTTGTATTTGAGCAGCCAAACTATCTTTGTCAATGTTTATTTTTAATTTTTTTCTTTCCATAGGCTGCTTAAGTATTATATTTTTAATAGAATATTTTTAGTTACCACATTTAACCAATTCAAAATAGAATTATCTTTAAGGATTTACTGCATAATATATGTCACCAGAGCTTGTTATAATATTTTCCTATAATTAACTCATATAAAGTAAATGTAAATTGAATCTTAAAATTTTTTTATCTTAACGTATATCTATAGGATAACTTAGGTTGTGGTACTTGGTATTGATTTTTTTAAATGCATGTCAATACCATTAATAATTCATCTGCTTGCCGCATGTCTGCATGAACTTTGTGGTCACTGACTGATGGGAGGGGTGGAGACAGACAATTTGGTTGAGATAATTGAAGTACATACCATACAATTTTTGTCCTGAGGATTATCTGATTTCCAAGTGAACTGGCAAATCTTCATTAAAATGAAATATAGATGCTAATTTTCATATTTTTAAGTGAGAGTGAAAACTGCTATTATGTTCCTCAAAAAATATGTATCAAGAACCTGACACATATTTTTATTTATTTATTTATTTATTTATTTATTTATTTATTTATTTATTTTTTGAGATGGAGTTTCACTCTTGTTGCCCAGGCTGGAGTGCAATGGTGCAATCTTGGCTCACCACAACCTCTGCCGCCCGGGTTCAAGCGATTCTCTTGCCTAAGCCTCCCGAGTAGCTGGGATTACAGGCCTGCGCCACCACGCCTGGCTAATTTTGTATTTTTAGTAGATTTAGTAGATACGGGGTTTTAGTAGTATTTTAGTAGATACGGGGTTTCTCCATGTTGGTCAGGCTGGTCTCAAACTTCCGACCTCAGGTGATCCTCCCACCTAACCCTCCCAAAGTGCTGGGATTAGAGGCATGAGCCAGCACGCCCAGACACATATTCATTTTTATACAGTAATTTATAATAATCATTCTATGACTAACTAGATACACCCACAGAAAAGTGAGTACTTATGTTCTTATGGCAACACCTTAAATATTATGCAACTTGGAAATGAAGTAAATGTGCCTCAGTTTGAAAATGATTATATAAAATTAGTATATCCATACAAGGTAATGCTAAACATTCGTTCAAAAAATAACATTTAAAATTTGGAAAATGAAGATTTTGAAAATGCTATCGGCATAAAGCTAAGTAAAAGCTGATGCAAAATGGTAGATGCAATAATATGTAATGTGTCAATTAGATACAGGCATTTTATACACATATACACATACAAAAACATAGCACAATACTAATACAAATATAAAATACTACATGCAATAGTAAAATGATTAGAAATAAATGTATGTTATACATAAGTGTATATACCACACTTACACATATAGAAACATACCTGGAAAGAAGACAGAAGACATAGTCAAATATTAGTTGTCATTTTCTCTGCATGGATGTTTAGGTAATGTTTCTACTCCATAATAGTCTGTATTTTCTAAAAAAAAATTATATAAATTAAATATTACTTTTATAAAGCTATGAGATATTATTTTTAAAGTTGTCTTACTGATAATTTCCAAATTCCACAATTAATTGGTGTATGATTATTTTATTTTTAGTTCCAGGTTTTGCTTTTTTTTTCAGTTTTCTTTTTTTTTAGCTACTCTTTGATTATGTACTTTCAACACATAGATATCTGTGTTTTTTCCATTTCACAGTTATATACTACACTGAAAAATTTAAATAATTATCCTTTTATTTCATTTTTTCTCTTCTTTCACAATGTATTCAGAAATAGATTTTAAAAGGAATAACATTATCTGTATTGTAATTCTCTAAGAGGAAAAAGTGATAAGCAATCCACACATGATTCTCACTTATGAGGTCTTCAAAGGCTGCTGTGCTTCACTATCTTTTAAGAGTTATAATTTTTTTTGAGTTTTTTATCCTGACAAGAAGATACATGAAGACTGAATTTTTACATTAATGCTGTATTTGTGAAATATAAATATCTTGATCTCCAAAGGTTTTGCAGACAACTACCATTATAAAAATCTCCTGTCATTAAGAACTTTTGTGAATGATAGAAAATATGTTGGTTAGCAAATAAAGATAATCAGCATGTAGAAATCACTGAGCAGCATTATATGTCGATAATTAAACTATTCAACTTGTGAGCATTCTGCATTTCATGTCAGGAAATAGCTTTCTCTGGAAAACTACAGAATGATAGGTTGGAATTCTGAATTTATTGAAGGTTGGAAAATAGGGAAAACTCTCTATTATTAAACGATAAGACATAAAATATGGCCATAGAATCAATTTGTCCTAATGTACAGACCAAACACTGGACAATTTTTTTTCTCAAAATGTTCTTTCTGAGCTTCTGAAATACTATTTTTTCTTTGTTTTTCCCCTATCTCTCTGGTAGTTTCTTGTTCACTCCTCTTTGGAAAAGAGCCTATGATTGAATAGGAAAAAGAGGGGAAAAGGAGTTATCTCCAGTCACCTCAGCATAAAAATTAACATGAATTTTTTATAATCTTTTTGAGCATAACCCTTGTCATACATTAAATTGATAACTAATATTAGACTAGACTCCAATATCAGGCTAGAGTCCAACAGTGCAATGGAATTAAACATCTAATAATAGGATATTCCCTTTTTCCACATATTCCTGGCTATTTGCATGTGATTATGATATGTAATACCTTGTATTCAATGTCTCTGTTTCTGTGATTGTCTCCGTGTAGATACTGCAACTCTTTGAAGCTGGGGTAAGTGACATATTCCTCATCTTATTTGCTTTGCTTAGCTATGTAACTGTACAATGAATGGTAGCTTTAAAATAACATTGTATTCTCATTTAGTGAATATCTTGAACTCTTGCCTTTAAAATTTAAGGAAAGACAACTGCCCCCCAAAAGAGACTAGGCATGAAGCCTTGCTTACCTGGCAGGGTCAGATGCTGCCAAATACATACCAAAAAATTATCTGACATTTTAAAATAGATTTTTAAAAGGATACGTGTTTACTAGTTAGAGAATAGAGAAACTCTAGGGATAGAAGACATTAGGGAAATGAGTACTCCTTCCGGCTTTCCTCCACATGTTATCACCAGATGCTCACAAAAGTCATTGAGAAGAATCCTGAGAAGATTTTTTTGTTTGTTTGTTTTTGTTTTTTGTTTTTTAATGGTACACAGCTATGCTAGAAGAACAGAAGCCACGGTAAGAAACGGAAACTCTGCTCCATGCCTCATCCCCTCCAACAGATTCTTCCACTGCACTGCGGCTCTCCTATGGAGCAAAAAATCTAACACTATTGGAGAACAGGCAGCAAACACTGTCACCCTTCAGAAACCAGTAAAAAATACCTTTAAATTGTGGAAGAGGAACAAACCATCTGCATATGGGGGAGGGCAAGAATACAAGCTGGGCAACAACAAACAGCCAGGACTCAGTGCAAGCACAGAGAAGACCTCACCCCAAAGATCCAGGATCACAGTGCCTACCTATGAATGGGCTTAATTACAACAACCTAGAACCTGTACCTCATCTCCAGTCTGGAATGTGTCAAGTAGCAAGTTATAGATAGGAAGGGTGAGGAGCATGAAGACAGACTGCTCTGAGGCCTGGGACAAAGTGAAGATGTAAAGCTGAGGGTAGAGTAGACATTGAGAAAAACTCCCTAGCAAAACAGTCCTTAAATTAAACACAATGTAACATTAAATGCAATATGAAGCCTCTTGATATAATTTGACTGTGTTCCCACCCATATCTCATCTTGATTTGTAGCTCCCATCATTCCCACGTGTTGTTGGAGGGAACTGGTGGGAGTTTATTGAATCGTGGGGGCAGTTTCCTGCATACTGTTCTCGTGGTAGTGAACAAGTCTCAGGACATCTGATGGTCTTTTAAGGGGTTACTGCTTTTGCTTGGTTCTCCTATTGTCTTGTTTGCCACCATGTAAGATGTACCTTTTGCCTTCTGCCATGATTGTGAGGCCTCCCCAGCTATGTGGAACTATGAGTTCATTAAAACTCTTTTTCTTTATGAATTACCCAGTCTCAGGTATGTCTTTATCAGCTAGCGTGAGAAAGGACTAACACACCTGTGTAGCACTAAGAGTAACCATAGTGAAATCAATTCTCAAACACAGAGAAAACTGTATCTATTGCAACTTAATAACTCACTCTAAAGTTCTGGTAGATGAAAAGGCATGCCAGTTTCCTGGCATAGAATCTATTAACTTCAATCTATACCGTTCTACCAAGATGTTCAGTTTTCATAAAAAAATTATGATACATAATTGAGAGAAAAACCCAGTAGCATATGGTTAAGAGAGAAGACAATCAAAAGAACCAGATTCAGATATGAGCTACTTCTTAGAAAAAAATCAGACAAGAAATTTAATATAACTATGGTTAATATGGTAGAGGATCTGGTAGAAAAGACGGATGGTATGCAAGGACTGATGAATAATTCTAGAAGAGAAATAAAAATTACAAAAAAGAATGAGATGGAAATTCTTGAAATAAAATAGAAAGATTTGTGTTTAACAACATATTCAATGGACTGGTGAAACATAACTAAATTTGACAATAGAGCAATAAAAAATGTTTTCAGTTTACTCAAGGTAAAATAGAAAGAATAAAAAGAATTGGAAAAAAAACAAGGAAAAAGCATTTAATATATTTAGGAAAATATCAAGTAGTCTAACAAAATTAAATCCTATGTGTGAGAGAATGGGAAAAATACTTGAAAATTGCAAAAAATTTTTCCAGAAGGCAGAACAAGATGATTCAATAGAAGCCTACACTATTCATCCCTCCTGCTGAAACACCAAATTTTAACAACTATCTGTACACAGAAAAGCATCATCACAAGAACCCCAAATCAGGTGAGCAATCATAGTACCTAGTTTTAGCTTTATATCACTGAAGAGGATAGGATATATGATATTGAATGGCCAATGTTACCTGTCCCCCAGCAAAAGAGAATCTATGCACTTTGTGGAGGGAGGGCTCAGCAATGGAAAGACTTTACTCAGTGCTGCCCTGTCATGACAGAGGGCAAGGCCATGCGGGGCTCAGCCAGCACCCAGTCATGGAGGGAGCATTTGGACAGACCTAGCCAGAAGGGAACTGTGTATCACAGCCACTGGAACTTCAGTTTCTCAGCAAGCCTCGCCACCGTAGGCCAAAGTGCTCTGGGATCCTAGGTAAACTTGAAAGGAAGTCTTGGACACAATGGCTACAATAGCTAGGGAAATTCTAGTGCTAGGCTTGGCTCAGATCCAGAATACATAGGGTGGCACATGAGGTAGGGGAACACTAGCTGGGGTGGCTAAGAGAGTGCTTGCACCATCTCTCTAACCACCCCAGGCAGTGCAGCTCACAGAAACAAAAATAGCCTAATTTTTCTGCTTGAGAAGAGGAGAGTGAAGAGTAAAGAGGACTTTGTCTTGCATCTTAGATACTAGCTCAGCCACAGTAGAATAGAGAACCAGGTAGAGTCATGAGGCCCTCATTCTAGGACCTACCTCCTGGATGACATTTCTAGACACACTCTGGGCCAAAAGGAAACCTGATGCCTTAAAGAGAAGAACTCAGTTCTGGCAGGATTCATCCACTGCTGACTAAAGAACCATTGGGTCCTGAATAACCAGGAGTGATACCAACGTAGTACACACCATGGACCTTGGGCTCTGAGATTTGCTGGCTTCAGGTGTGATGCAGCACATTCCCAGCTGCGGTAGCTATGGTGAAAGACTCCTGTTTGATAAAACCAGAGGGAAAAGTAAAGGGGATTATTGTCTTGCACCTTAGGTACCAGCTCAGCCACAGTGGGGTAGAGCAACAACCAGGCTCTTATGGTCCCCAAGTTGAGGTCTAGGCTCTTAAATAGCATTTCTTGACCTGCCCTGGGGAAGCCCACTGCCTTGAACAGTAAGTTGCAAGCCTGGCAGCATTCACCACAAGCTAACTGTACATCCCTTGGACTTTTAAGTAAACATTGGTGGTGGCCTTGCAGAACCCCCATGGGCTGGAAGTGGTGGTGGTCACAGGGAGAGACTCCTCTGCTTGTGAAAAGGGGAGAAAAGCGCAGAGAGACATTTGTATTGTGAATTAAGTGCCAGCTTAGCCACAATAGAACAGAATATCAGGTAAATTTCTAAGGTTTTGCACATCAATTGCTGGCTCTCAGACACCATCTCTGGACTTGCCTGGGGCCTGGAAGAACTTACCGCCCTGAAGAGAAGAACACAAACCTGGCTGTCTTTGTGACCCGCCGATTGTAAAGCACTAGGACCTTGAGTGAACATACGTGGTAGCCAGGTAGTAGTGTGTCCGGAATTGGGGGGTTCTTGGTCTCACTGACTTCAAGAATGAAGCTGTGGACCCTCGCGGTGAGTGTTACAGTTCTTAAAGATGTTGTGTCCAGAGTTTCTTCCTTCTGGTTGGTTCGTGGTCTCACTGGCTTCAGGAGTGAAGCTGCAGACCTTTGCAGTGAGTGTCACAGCTCTTAAAGGCGGTGCGTCTAGAGTTGTTCGTCCCTCCTGGTGGGTTTGTGGTCTCGCTAGCTTCAGGAGTGAAGCTGCAGACCTTCGCTGTGAGTGTTACAGCTCATAAAGGCAGTATGGATCCAAAGAGTGAGCAGCAGCAAGATTTACTGCAAAGAGGGAAAGAACAAATATTCCACAGCGTGGACGGGGACCCCAGCAGGTTGCCACTGCTGGCTCAGGCACCTGCTTTTATTCCCTTATCTGGCCCCATCCACATCCTGCTGATTGGTCCATTTTACAAAGAGCTGATTGGTCTGCTTTACAGAAAGCTGATTGGCCCATTTTGACAGGGTGCTGATTGGTGCATTTACAATCCCTTAGCTAGACATAAAGGTTCTCCAAGTCCCCACCAGTTTAGCTAGATAAAGAGTGCTGATTGGTGCATTTACAAACCTTGAGCTACACACAAGGTGCTGATTGGTGTGTTTACAAACCCTGAGCTAGACACAGAGTGCTGACTAGTGTATTTACAATCCCTTAGCTAGACATAAAGGTTCTTCAAGTACCCACCAGATTAGCTAGATACAGAGTGCTGATTGGTGCATTTACAAACCTTGAGCTAGACACAGAGTGCTGAATGGTGCATTTATAATCCCTTAGCTAGACATAAAGGTTCTCCAAGTCCCCACCAGATTAGCTAGATACAGAGTGCTGGTTGGTGCATTCACAAATGCCGAGCTAGACACAGAGTGCTGATTGGTGTATTTACAATCCTCTAGCTAGACATAAAAGTTCTCCAAGTCCCCACTAGACTCAGGAGCCCAGCTGGCTTTACCTAGTGGATCCCGCACCGCACCGGGGCTGCAGGTGGAGCTGCCCACCAGTCCCGTGCTGTGCACCCACTCAGCCCTTGGGCGGTGGATGGGACTGGGTGCTGTGAAGCAGGGGGCGGTGCTCTTAGGGGAGGCTCGGGCCCTGCAGGAGCCCACGGCAGGGGTAGGCATGGCGGGCTGCAGGTCCCCAGCCCTGCCACTCAGGGAGGCAGCTAAGACCTGGCAAGAATTCGAGTGCAGTGTCGGTGAGCCGGCACTGCTGGGGGAGTTGGCGCACCCTCCACAGCTGCTGGCCTGGGTGTTAAGCCCCTCACTGCCCACGGCTGGTGGTGCTGGCCCACCACCCTGGGTTTGGGGCCTGCCGAGCCCACGCCCACCCGGAACTCGCACTGGCCTGCAAGCCCCAGGAGCAGCCCTGGTTCCCGCCCCCGCCTCTCCCTCCACACCTCCCGGCAAGCTGAGGGAGCCAGCTCCGGCCTCAGCCAGCCCAGAGAGGGGCTCCCACAGTGCAGCGGCGGGCTGAAGGGCCTTTGAAGCACGGCCAGAGTGGGCACCGAGGCCAAGGAGGTGCTGAGAGTGAGCGAGGGCTGTGAGGGCTGCCACCATGCTGTCACCTCTCAGTAGTAGTTATAGCGGGTCTTGGATGAGAACCAATGCTGTACTGGCTTCAAGTCTGACCCAGCATAGATCCCGGTGGTGGTGTTGGCTATAGGGGTACTTGCATCATCAAACCTTCAGTTCCAGAAAGCTAAGGCCTCCAAGATGGAGTCTCTGTGTGTGTGTGTGCGCTTAGCTTTCTGAAACTGAAGGTTTGATAATGCAAAACTCTATTTTAGAGTCTCTCTCTCTCTTTTTTGTTTGGGAGAAAGTAAGGGAAAAGAACAAGAGTCTCTGCTTGGTAATCCAGGGAATTCTTCTAGATCTCATCCAAGACCACCAAGGTGGTACCTCTAAAAATCTACAAAACCAGAGTGTTATTGGGCTTGGGACTCAAGTTTATTTGATACCTGCAAAGCCTTCCCCTGTAGGATGGGCACAAGAAGCCCAGATTGCAAAGACTACAGTAAATACCTAACTCTTCAGTGCCCAAACACTGATGAACATCTATAAGCATCAAGACCATCCACAAAACATAACCTCACCAAATGAACAAAATAAGGCACCAGAAACCAATCCTGGAGAAACAGAAATATAGGACCTTTCAGATAGAGAATTCAAAGTAGCTGTTTTGAGAAAAATCAAAGAAATTTAAGATAGCACAGAGAATGAATTCAGAATTCTATCACATAAATGTACAAAAGAAATTGAAATAACTAAAAAGAATTAAGCACAAATTCTAGGGTTGAAAAATGAAATTGATATACTGAAGAATGCATCACAGTTTCTTAATTAATAGCAGAATTAATTAAGCAGAAGAAATAATTAGTGAGCTTGAAGACAGGGTATATGAAAATACACAGTGGAGAAAAAATAAAAAAGAATGAAGCATGCATCCAAGACGTAGAAAAGTCTCAAAAGGGCAAAGCTAAGAGTTATTGACCGTAAAGTGGAGGTAGAGAAAGAGATAGGAGTAGAAAGTTTATTAAAAGGGATAATATTGGAGAACTCTCAAACCTAAAGAAACACGTCAACATTTAAGTATAACATTTAAGTATAAGAAGGTTATACAGCATGAAGCACATTTAACCCAAAGAAGGCTACATTAAGGTGTCTAATAATCACACTATCAAAGGTCAAAGATATAGAAATAATTCTAAAAGCAGGAAGAGAAAAAGAAACAAATAACATACAACGAAGCTCCAGTACATCTAGCAGAATACATTCAATGGAAACATTACAGACCAGAAGAGAGTTGCATGTCATATTTAAAATGCTGAAGAAAATAAAAAAAAACCTTTTACCCTAGAATATTATATCCTGTTAAAATATCTTTAAAGAATGAAGGAGAAATAAAGATTATTCCAAACAAACAAAAGCTGAAGAATTTCATCAACACCAGACCTGCCCTACAAGAACCGCTAAAGGAAGTTCTTCAATCTGAAAGAAAAGGATGTTAATGAGCAGTAAAAAATTATCTGAGATACAAAACTCCCATGTAATCGCTTTATCATAATTCTTAAAATTGGGTAATGTCAATCCCTCAACTTTGTTCTTCTCCTTGAATATTGTCTTGGCTATTCTAGACTTTTGGCCTCACCATATACACTTTTGAGTTAGTTTGTTAATATCTACAAAATAACTTACTGGGATTTTTACTGGGATTGCATTGAATTTATAAATCCAGCAGAAAGAACTGAGATCTTGACAATATTAAATCGTCCTATTCATGAACATGGAATAACTCTTTAACTAGTTTGGTGTTGATTCTTTCATTAAAGTTTTGTAGTTTTTCTCTTACAAAGTTACAGAATCAAGACTGTGTGTTATTAGCAAAAAGAAAAGATAAATAGATAAATGGAAAAGAGCCTAGAAATAGGCCAACATAAATATAACCAACTGCTCTTTGATAAAAGAGCAAAAGCAATATAATTTTTAGAAGACAGTCTTTTCATCAAATGATTCTGGAACAATTAGACATCCTCATGCAAAAAACAAACAAACAAAGAAACCTAAACAGAGTCTTACACCCTTCATGAAAATTAATCCAAAATAGATCACAGACCTAAATGTAAAACACAAAACGATAAAATAGTTAAAAGACAGCATAAGAGAACACGTAGATAGTCTTTGGTTTGGCAATACCTTTTTACATGTGGCAACAAAGGCATGATCCATAAAAGAAAGAACTGATAAACTAGACTTCATGAAAATTAAATATATACATATATGCTGTTCAAAAGATACTGTCAGGAGAATGCAAAGACAAGTTAGAGATGGAGAAAATATTTGCAACAGATATATCTAATAAAAGATTTAGCTAAAATATATAAAGAACTCAAAATTTCACATAAGAAAATAAACAGCCTAGTTAAAAATTGGACCACAGACCCAAAGAGATAACTCACCAAGAAGTTCTACAGATGGCAAGTAGACATATGAAAGGTGTTTCACATCATTTGTTATCAGGGAAAATGCAAATTAAAACAGTAGATATTGGCTGGGCATGGTGGCTCATGCCTGTGAACCCAGCCCTTTGGGAGGCCGAGGCGGGTGGATCGCCTGAGGTCAGGAGTTTGAGACCAGCCTGGCCAACATGCTGAAACATCATCTCTACTAAAAATACAAAATTAGCTGGGCGTATTGGCGTACACCTGTAATCCCAGCTACTCTGGAGGCTTAGGCAGGAGAATCGCTTAGAACCCAGGAGGTGGAGGCTGCAGTGAGCTGAGATCGTGCCACTGCCCTCCAGCCTGGGCAACAGAGTGAGACTCGGCAAAAATAATAATAATAATAATAATAATAATAATAATAATAATAATAATAATAATAAAATTAAAAAAATAAAAATTAAAACAGCAGATACTGCTTCATACCTATTAGCATGGCCAAAATCTAGAACACTGACAGTACCAGACGTTGGTGAGAATATGGAGAAACAGAAATTCTCATGCATTGCTGGTTGAAATGCAAAGTAGTACAGCCATTTGGACAGTTTCTTACAAAACTAAATGTACTCTTACTGTACAATTCTGCAATCATGCTCCTTGGTATTTACCCAGGAGTTGAAAATTTATATTTACACAAAAACCTGTACTTGGATGTTTATAGCAGCTTTATTCACAATTGCCAAAACTAGGAAGCAAAATGTTGTTCAGTGGGTGAATGGATAAATAAACTGTGGTTTAATCAGACAATGGAATATTTTTTCAGGCCTAAAAAGAAATAAGCTATCAAGTGGGAAGAGTCATGGAGGAAACTTAAGTGCATATTATTAAGAAAGAAGCCAATCTGAAAAGACTACATCCTGTATAATTCCCACATATTACATTCAGGAAAATGTAAAATTATGGAGACATTAAGAAAAATCAGAGGTTTGTGAGGAGGGAGACATGAATATCCAGAGCCCAAAGGATCTTCAGGGTAATGAACCTACTTGGCATGACACTATAATAACTGATACATGTCATTATATATGTGTCCAACCCATAGAATCTACAATACTGTCTCAGCCAGTTCAAACTGCTGGGACAAAACTACCATAGACTGGGTGGCTTAAACAACAGAAATTTATTCCTTACAGTTCTGCAGTCTGGAAGACTGAGATCGTGGTGCCAGCATGGTTGGGTGCTTAGTGAGGGCTCTCTTCTTAGTTTGTAAATGGTTTCCTTGCTATGTCCTCATGTGGTGGTGAGAGAGATAGTAGAAGCTGACTCCCTTTTGTCTCTTTTAGTAAGGGCACTAATCCCATAATAAGGGCTCCACCCTTGTGATGTAATTATCTCTCAAAAGTTCCATCTCCAAATATCATTCTTATTGGTGTTAGAGTTTAAAGATGGAAATTCTTTGGGGATACCAGTACACAAACATGGAGTCTATAACACTAAGGGTGAATCCTAATGTACACTATGGTCTTTCAGTGATAATAATATGTCAGTGTAGATTCATCAATTGTAATAAATCATATTCAGTGATGATTATCCTAGGAATGCAAGTCTATTTTGATGTTTCAGAATCAGTCACTGTAATTCAATATATTAATAGAATAAAAATTATACAATCATATGAATTCATACAGAAAAGATACTGACAAAATCTAATATTTACTACTGATTAGAAATTCTCCACACTCAAGAAGAAAAAGGGGACATCCTTGATTAGATAAAAGGCACCTCAGATAAATTCTATGGATTAGATAAAATTCTGAAAATGGTGTCTTACTTAATGTTGAAGACTGAATGCTGTCTCCATTAAATTCAGAGCAAGGCAAGGATGCATCTCTCCCTATTCCTGTTCAACATTATATTGGAAATTATATCCAGTATAAAAATAAAGAAAAAGAAATAAAACATACAGTTTGTAAAGAAAGAAAGAAATTTGTCTTTATTCACAGATGACATTATTGTCTACTTAGAAAATACAAAGAATCTACCTAAATGCTCCAAAAATGACTTGGCTTTGACAAGTTCTCAAAACACTGATCCATATACAAAAATAATTGTGTTACCATTCACTAGAAATTAATAATTAGAATTTGAAGTTCAAAAAGCACTATCTACGAAGCATCCTTCTACAACATAAGTGCACAAATTATGCACCTAAAACTATAAGACAAAGATAAAAGAAATTAAAGGTTTAAAGAATTGGAGTGATATTTTATGTGCATAGATAGAAAACTCAATAATGTTTAGTTTTAAATTTCAATCCAAATCTTTTCTGGATTTATAATTTAAAAAAAATGAGGTGCACAAATTTAAATGGAAAGAAAAGGAAGTAGAATAGCTAAGATAAATTGCAAAAGAAGTTGGAGGACACACACCACCAATTTCAAGACTTACTATAAAGTTAGGGTTATCAAGTCAGTGTGATACTAATGAAAGAATAGATATATAGGTCGATGAAACAGAATAGAGATTCCAGGCACATATCAATAAATATTTAGACAGCTTCCATCCTAAATATATTGTTAATAAAATTAAAAGGCAAGTAAATGACTTGTAGAGGATATTTGCAATTTACATGTCTAACAAAAAACTTCATTCCAGAGTATATAAAATTTTTTTAATCAACAAGAAAACAAGCAATCCAATAAAAAATAGATGAAGGTTTTGAACAAATATTTTACCAAGGAAAATGTATTCAAACAAGCCGACAAAAATCTGCTTAATGCCGTAAGCCATTAAAGGAATATAAATTGATGCCAAAATGAGATATCACTATACCTATTAGAGAGCATTCTTTAAACTTTCCTCTAAATTTCCTTCCCTATTCATTTCTATACTTGTCACCATAGGTAGATTACCTGTGGGATATAAATAAACTATTTTTGTGTTTCTTCAAGTTGCAGCTTTCTGAATAAATTTTGCCAAAAACTTGGAATCTTAGGCTAGCATCAAAGCCTTGGGGAAGTTAATTTCCAGCTATATAGTCAGTGAAAAAACTTTATAAGAATTTCTAAGAGATTTCCCTAACTCTGGAAGTATGTGTTTTCATTTCAAGGGAAAATGAAGCTTGCAACTTTGGATATGTGTCTAGGTCATAAAAGCGAAAGACACTGACATAGATGCTTGTCTGGTCCTTGGTGACATGCATTTACATTCCAAAGGCTAGGGTGAGAACCCAAGTGCCTTTCTATTCAAGGAGCAAAGGTTTCTATTCCTCCTTTAAGGAGGGGAAGGAAAAGGCAACTCCGTCTCTTTGACGTGAATAAGCAGATAAATCTATTTCCTTATCTAAAATACAGACTATGATTTTCTGAGATATGACCTGGCTTTCATTGCATCACTCCAGGAGGAGTAGTAAAACAATAAATATATGGGAAATTAATAAAGATGAACAGTAAAAATGAAACAGTATCTCATCTCAGTCTGATTTCTGGGACATCAGTACTTGGCCCATTTCAAAAGAAATAGTCTATCTTGAAACAGGTTATGTACATGGGATAAAACTCATTACTACTAAATTAGGCTCTTTACCTATTCACTTTGGCCAATACATATTACAGTTTACAAATCCATATGACTTGTATTTGAAACAAAAAATCTTACCGAGAAGTATACTTTTTATTTTTAAATGTGCTTAATATTAATTTTTAAATTTATGTATGATAAAATTATTATTTGTTTTTATACATTTCCATGAAGTTTAACAATGCATGAAGTCTTGTGTCTACCATCATGATCCAGTTGCGGAGCACTTACCTCACCACAAAAACTTTACTTATATTGCCCCTTTATATAAGTCATCCTCACACCTGATCCCACAAACCAATGGAAACCTGCTCTCTATGCCTATACGTTTGCCTTTCCCAGAAAGCTACATAAATGGAGTGATACAGTATGTAGCATTTGAATCTGGTTTGAAAAAGCCTAGCAAAATCTGGTTGAGATAAAGTGATGTCTTTGTATAAACCAATAGTTCTGTTTTATATCTGAATGGTATTTTGTGGATGCACTACATGTTCTTTTTCTATTCAACAGGTGAAGGACATTTGGTCTCTTTCCAGTTTTGGGTGATTGTGTACAAAGGTGCTGTAGATATTTGTATACAGCTGTTTGTAAATATTTATTTTTCTTGGGTGAATAGCTAGCAACGTAATTGCAGTTATCACTTAGTAGGTATATATTTAAACATACAAAAAATTGCCAAATTATTTTCTAAAGAGAAAAATAAAATTAACTCAAATGGCAAGAGAACAACTGAAATCTTCAGAAGCATCCAAGGCCAAAAGATGATGAATAGAACTGAAATGAAGATACCCTAAGAGTTGTTCATAGAAGGTGTAGTATAGTTGCCATTCCCAAAGTTGAAGTGTCCACTGCTTGCTGATATGTGTCTTTAATTACACAATATACAATAAGTTTGTCTCGATTAAAAATAATTTTTAGTAGCAAACCATACAGGTTTTGTGTTTCTTTTTGCTTGAAGGAAGATTAAAGCTTAAAATGGTGACTATATATACATATATATAATGCCTCTCTCCCTTTTTCAGGTTTAATCTGGGGAAAATGTAATCAGCTGAATTGAATGTGCTTGTATGCTAATAGGTTAATCTCTGTAATGAACGGTCATTATGGTTCAACTGGAAAAGATAGAGAAACTCTTTTAATAAGGAAAAATTGAGGTCAAAGACCTCAATTTTTGCATTTAAACCTTTTTAACATTCTATTCAACATAATATTTTAACCTCCTGTTTTAAAGTTGGAAGATTGAAATTATAATTCTGACCCTATTGAGTTAGGGTAAAAGCTCATGATCTGGCTGAGTGCTGCCTTCTAACATGAGTAAATTGGCAGAAAAGGGTAACATTATTAAATGATTCAAATGAGGGTTATTTAAAATAATCTAATGAAAGATTGCCTTTTCAAAAGCAAATAATTCAGCCTATTATAATTTCTATAATTAGAGCAGAATATTACAAAGATTATATTGAATCAGCATTTTAGATTTGAATTTGACTTGTTAATTATGTACTTACTGTCTGTTGTCATAAATAAAAAGATTATTTACCACCTCATTTTGTTATATTCAAAACAAGTTGGCCATCAAAATTTTAGTTTATTGTGATATTATTAATCAAAAGAAGAGAAGACCACAAAATACATTACCAATGACTCATACAGTGTGAGCTAACATTTTACTTGTTCTCACTAGATGGTGTTATATTTCATAACACATATTTTTACTTTGAGACATATTTATCCTGATAGAAATGTGATATTCTAGCCAGCGTCTCGTCACTTACTTATGTATCTTAAGCCTGTTATAAACCTAGTCCCCTAGACTTCTGGGTGACATCTGTGAAATAATTGTAAGTGCCCTAGTTATTTTATTCCTGCACTTTTGCATACTCCTTGGTTGATTTCTAAGTAGACATCACATAATAGCCTTATTTAGGGCATATGGAATGAGGAGTAGCATCTTCAGTTAAATAGTAAAAATAAATAAAAGATAAGAAAGAGAAAGCACATAGTAAGAAGACAGGCACTTAGAGAGCCAAATAAAGAATAGGGAAAGAAAGTTATAGTAATGACTATAAAGGGAATGATGCTTCAACTTGGGCCATATTCTTTCTTTGTACTCCAGTAAAACACTCCAATGGGCATTTGTTTATCTTGGTACTCTCTTATGCTGTCCTTGAAATGCTTTAAATAAAGGGATTGGCTTATCTCCTCTGAACAATATATTTATGGTTGCTAGCAGGAGAAGGCATCCTATTTGATGGGGCCAATTATAACTATTCTTACCAAAGTTTTCCTGGGTGTAGAAAGACCAAAGATGGCCCTAACTCATTCCTACAATGGTAACATCTGCTTACATGCTTGGAAAAGTGAATACTGATGGAAATTTTTCTTTTAAAAAAGCTATTTGGGGTGTTTCAGATAGAAAAACACACGGTACATGTGATATTACAGCCTCTACCCAATGATAGAAATTGATCATCTTTTATGGCATTTTTTACAATCTGAATCTAGAGATAGCTTCTGAAACTATTGTAGTAGAAAAATCAGGGATTCCAATTGATCAGAGTTTGCACAAAAGTGTAGACTTACCAAAAAAAACTTCATGCCTCTTTTTCTAAAATTAGGATGGTATAAATCATATTTTGCTCCTTTGTTTGTTAATTCTAAAGTCTGAAAAATTAATTTTTTAATTAAAGAATTAAAAAACAATTTTTTAAAATTATATTTATCTCAATATTCTGACAATGAGAAAAGAATGTTATATTGTACAAAGATGAACTGAAAATTATAGTAAAGTCCAAAGTGTTTATGTTTCTATTAATTACAGGTGGTTTTATCATTTAATATTATTTGAAATCTACTTTGAATCATTATCATTGTTAACTAATGTATTAGTCTGTTCTCATGCTGATATAAAGAACTGCCCGAGACTGGGTAGTTTATGAAAAAAAAAGAGGTTTAATTGAGTCACAGTTCTGTATGACTGGGGAGGCCTCAAGACACTTACAATCATGGTGGAAGGTACCTCTTCACAGGGTGGCAGGAGAGAGAATGAGTGCCCAGTGAAGGGGAAATCCCCTTATAAAACCATGAGATCCCATGAGAACTCACTCACTCTCACAAGAACAGCATGGTGGAAACCACCCTCATGATTCAGCTATCTTCACCTAGTCCTGCCCTTGACACATGGGGATTATTAAAATTCAAGGTGAAATTTGGGTGGGACACAGAGCCAAACCATATCATTTCACCCTTGGCCACCCCCAAGTCCCATGTCCTCACATTTCAAAACAATCATGCACTTCCAACAATCCCCCACATTCTTAACTCATTCCAGCAATAATCCAAAAATCCAAGTCCAAGTTGTCATCTGAGACAAGGCAAATTTCTTCTGCCTATGAGCCTGTAAAATCAACAGCAAGTTAGTTACTTCCTAGATACGATGGGGGTATAGGTATTGGGTAATACGCCCATTTCAAATGGTAGAAATTGGCCGAAATAAAAGGGTTACAGGCCCCATGCAAGTCCAAAATGCAATGGGACAATCATTAAATCTTAAAGATCCAAATGATCTCCTTTGACTCCATGTCTCACATCCTAGTCACACTGTTGCAACAGGTGGGCCCCCATGGCCTTGGGCAGCTCTGCCCCTGTGGCTTTGCAGGTACAGCCCCACTGCTAGATGCTTTCATGGACTGGCATTGACTGTCTGTGGCTTTTCCAGGCACATAGTGCAAGCTGTCAGTGGATCTACCATTCTGGGATCTGGAAGACGGTGACCCTCTTCTCTCAGCTCCACTAGGCAGTACTGCAATGGGAACTCTGTGTGGGGGCTGCAACCCGGAGGTTCCTAAACCTCAATTTTTGACTTCTGTGCACCTGCAGGCTCAACACCACATGGAAGCTGCCAAGGCTTAGGGCTTGCACCCTCTAGAGCCACAGCTTGAGCTGTATCTTGGCCCCTTTTATCCATAGTTGGAGCATCTGGGACACAGGGCAACAAATTCCTAGCCTGCACACAGAAGGAGGGCCCTGGGCCCCAATCACAAAAGCATTTTTCCTCCTCGGCCTCTGGGCCTGTGATGGGAAGGGCTGCCGTGAAGATCTCCGACATAAACTGGAGACATTTTCCCCACTGTCTTGGTGATTAACATTTGGCTCCTGGTTACTTATGCAAATTTCTGCAGGAGACTTGAATTTCTCCCCAGAAAATGGGGTTTTATTTTCTATTGCATCATCAGGCTGCAAATTTTCCAAACTTTTGTGCTCTGCTACCTCTTGAATGCTTTGCTGCTTAGAAATTTCTTCTGCCAGATACCCTAAATTATCTCTCTCAAGTTCAAAGTTCCACACATCTCTAGGTCAGGGAAAGAATGCTGCCAGTTTCTTTGCTAAATCATAACAAGAGTCACCTTTGCTCTACTTCCCAACAAGTTCCTCATCTCCATCTGAGACCCTCTCAAACTGGACATTATTATTCATATCATTATCAGTATTTTGATCAAAGCCATTCAACAAGTCTCTAGGAAGTTTCAAACTTTCCCACATTTTCCTACCTTCTTCTGAGCCCTCCAAACTGTTCCAGTCTCTGCCTCTTACCCAGTTCCAAAGTCATTTCCACATTTTTGGGTCTCTTTTTACCCAGCACCCCACTCTCTCTGGTACTAATTTACTGTATTAGTCCATTCTCATGCTGCTATAAAGAACTGCCTGAAACTGGTTAGTTTATAAAGAAAAGAGGTTTAATTGGCTCACAGTTCCACATGGCAGGGGAGGCCTCAGGAAACTACAATCATGGCAGAAGGCACCCCTTCACAGGGTGGGCAGGAGAGAGAATGAGTGCAGAAGCCCCTTATAAAATCATCAGATCTCATGAGAGCGCACTATCACGAGAACAGCATGGTGGAAATTGCCCCATGGTTTAATTATCTCTACCTGGTTCTGCCCTTGACATGTGGGGATTGTTACAAAACAAGGTGAGATTTGGGTGGAGACACAGAGCCAAACCATATCAACTAACATGTTGGTAATATATTGCTGCATAAAAGTAATCTAAAAATTATTACTTCAACAATAATGTATTGTGAAGATTCTGAAGTTTAATTGGGCTCAGCAGTGCAATTCTTGCCTTGTATTTTTGATGTTGTTGCCATCTGATGGCAGCTAGAACTGGAGTCATGTGAAGGTTGAATCATGCTAGAAGTCCAGCATAGCTACTTCACTCACACACCTTATACCACAAGTGGATGCTTACAAAAGCCTAGAGTTTGCTAAACATCTCTTTTTCTTCCTCTGGCTTCTATTTGTGCCTAATATGATTGTCACAGGGTAGTCAGATTTCTTACATTATAGCTGGTGTTCTTCAGAGCAGGTGTATTAAGAAATACTGGTGGAAGCTACAAGGTGTCTGGTTTCCTAGCCTTGGAGGAAATTTAGTATCACCTTCTCTCATATTGGTCAAAATACTGAAAGAATGGGCATAAATGCAAGAGGGGCTATGCATGAACGTGGATACCAGGATGTGTGGTTCACCAGGGGTCCATCTGTAGAGATTCACATAATTGCTTAGATTATTGTGCTGGTGTTTAAAATGTTAAATTTTAACATTTACGTTAAAAAAGGAAGGGAAATTCTACTTAGAAAGTTAAAAAAGGAAGGTCTCACTTTAGAAAAGGCAGCAAAATACCTTGGTCACAAAAGTAGATTTTGTAAGGAATGTATTAATATCTGATTCTTTGTATAGAAAAATACACAGTAATTAATGAAACTAAGCAAGAACTTACATCCTGTGAGTTTCATGTATATATTATCATAAATTACATTTTGCCAATGCACACACAAGTTTAAATGGAAAAGTCTTCTTATTGAAACAAGTGATGTTTTATGCTTAATATTCATAGATCATAAACCATACCTTATGTTGCATACTTTATCCTAGATCAGTGCAGAGAATTTAGTAGATATTAAATATTTGCTCAATAAAATTCAAATAATGAATAAATACATGAACATGAATACTCATATATCAACCTTAATTTGTATCTACATTGTCTAATATGATTCTGAGATACCAATTAATTTAATTATGTACTATTTTATCAACTAATTCTTTAGTTTGTGAAATACAGTTGCATTTAGTAATGAAAGAAAAGGCAAATTCTTCAGAAGGTGTTTATACAGCAGCATTCTTTTTCTGAATCAGCAAATAATGCACAATATCAGTGAATGGATTATTCTCCCCAGAGAGTAGTCCTCATTATCCTGCTGCGTGTATAATTGGGATTGTATTGCATCACATTATTATTTAATGACTATTGAAAACTAATTGTAATCTCAAATCCATAGTGAATATAGAATGTATCTTTTATCATGGCATGTGTATAATCTAATGTATTCTTCTTTTCTGCTTGAGTATTCAGTATTGTGGAGTCACAAAAGTGAAAACCTGCAAGCACTCAAAATAATCATTTCAAATTATCAAGAACAACTAGCGTTTTTTCACAGCACAGTGGCCTATTTGATGACTCTACAAACCCAGAAGCACAGGAATAGGTCTGTAGAACTAGTGGCCAATTGGTAGGTCAAAGTCAAAATTTATTCAGTTTGTGTGAGCATGTGTGTATGTGTGTATGTGAGAGAGATACAGAGAGAGTCAGAGAGACAGAGAGAAGCACATATTGCTAAGTTTCACTGCATAAGTGTATATATATATATATATAATTATTTCTGTTATTAAATATATTTATTCAATAAAAATAAATATTGAGTTCTTAATATAGCTATATGAGCCTTTTAGTTTTCCTGAGTTTATACATGACTAGTAGTATTTTAATATCTTAAAGTTTAATAGAATCCATCAATTAAGCAGTAAAGCCCTGCAGATTTCTTTGAGTTAATGTTTTTTATCATGAAATACATATCTTTATATTTTTTCAAGTAACTTTTCCATTTTCTAAACATACTCTGTCAAATTTCAGTATTTTGACATTCATTGAGCATCATTTCATAGCCCAGCTCACAGATTATCTTCATGAAAGTTTTCTGTGTACTTTAATTAGTGTTTTCTTTAATTATTAAATGTAATATTTGTTAATGTCATTTTGATCAAATTGTTTAATATTGCTTTAACTTTCTAAAAAAGTACTTCTGTTTAGTTAAAAAATTTGTCCATTCTTTTAATTTTAGCATGCTCACAATTTTCTATTCAAATTAAATCTTTAAATATAAACGTGACATATAACTGGACCTTCTTTTTTAATCCAAATTAATAATTTGTGACATTTAATTGGATCTTTTAGTCAATTTACATTCAATGTAATTATTGATAATTTTGGTTTTATTTTCTGTGAATTTTTTTTACTTGTGCCTCCTCTATTTTTTTCCTACTTAGAATTAAATAAGTATTTATTTTTAATATTCCATATTTTATCAGTGGGTTAACGAGCTTTAATTTTCTAACGGTTTATCTGTATCCAATAATGTTCATTTTTAAATTTTAAAAGTTTCCTAGATTCCTGCTCTTGGTCAATATAGAGTAACAAAGACTGAATTTCTCAGCCTGCCTAACACGACCAAAGGAACTGGGTAAAATATTTGAAGTAATGATTTTCAGGATGCTGAACATCAAAAAACATGTGATATTGATCCCTTAAGATGGGAGGAAAAACCCAAAATGATGGAAGTTCTATTATTTTACAGCCTTGATAGAGTTTCCATGGTGCAGTGCAGAGACAGGGAACAAAAGCAAAGACCAGAAGACTGCTGACTTAAAGAGATGAAAGAAATTTAGAAAGACCAAGCAATGAGAGTTCACAGGACAGAGTACAGGTAGGAGGGAGCTGCACAAACTGGGCCTCCTAGACTTCTCCAGAAGGTCCTCCTGGACTATGCAGCAGAGTAATTATAAGTTTTTGTACGTATGAGCAAACAATCCAAGGCCAGAGAAACAACAACCCAAAAGAATTAGAGACAGTACCCAGCACTCACTTCATGCTGACAGTGTCTGTTCTCACCAGTATTCATAATTCATGACATATAGTGTAGAATGAACAGAAGAGTCTTACCCTAATAGTGTAATAATGGTTAGAATCCCAAGTTGAGCCCTGAGAATTACACTTCTTATGTTGAAGCCAGCATTAACTTCCTACCTTCTAAAAAACTATGGTGATAATCAAAATTGGGAATCAACAATCAAAACTTGAAATCAACCATTTATTAAAATATTTTTTGTCTCATTCTCACTTTTCATTTTGAAAATCCAGTTATATGTAATTTTTAAACTATTGTATTGTTCCACATGACCTTGAGTATCTGTTACTTTTTTGTCAATACATGTGATGGTTAATACTGTCAACTTGATTGGGTTGAAGGATGCAAAGTATTCATCCTGGGCATGTCTGTGAAGGTGTTGCCAAAGGAGATTAACATTTGAGTCAGTAGTCTGGGAAAAGCAGACTCACCCTTAATCTGGGTGGGCACCCAGCTAATCAGCTTCCAGAGCAGCTAGAATATAAAGCAGACAGGAAAACGTGAAAAGGCTAAACTGGCTTAGCCTCCCGGACTACATCTTCCTCCTGTGCTAGGTGCTTCCTGCCCTCAAACATCAGACTCCAAGTTCTTCAGCTTTGGGACTTGGACTGGCTTCCATATTCCTCAACTTGCAGAGAGCCTATTGTGAAACCTTGTGATCGTGTGAGTTAATACTACTTTATTTGTATGATAATTTATTGATATAATATACATAGAATATATCTAAAAGGATATCTATAGATATATCGATATAGATATATTGATATCCTATTAGTTGTATCCCTTTAGAGAACCCTGACTATATCTATACATATATGTTTATCTATATATAGATATCCCATATATCTATATCTATATATATCTTTGTATCTATATCTGTATATCCTATTACTTGTGTCCCTTTACAGAAAACTGATTAATATAATACATCTACTTTCTGTCCTTCAGGTTGAATTATTTCTATTGTTTTATCTTCAAATTCACTTACACTGTATTCTACTATCTTTTATCTGTTGTTGAAACACTTTTAGGGAAATTTTTACTTATGTTATTCTAGTTTTAGTTCTAAAATTTCTACTTGGTTATATTTTAGTTTTGATTTTAGTTTCTCCAGTTAGTTTATTTATCTCTTTACTCATAAGGACCATATTTTCCTGTAAGTCCTTGAAAATATTTATATTCCTTTTTAAACATCTTTTTATACTAAATTTAACATCTGTGCCAACTTGCGATTGGATAATATTGACTACCATTTTTCTTTTGGTTGTACTTTCCTATTTTTTAAATGGCTAGTGATTTTTGAACTCTATTTAAGATGTTTTGGATGATATATGGGCTCTAGGTTCCCTTATTTCTTCCAAAGAGTTTTAATTTTTGTTTTTGGTGGGTAGTTTGATTACTGGCTGTGAACCTAGACTTTGATGAGCCTTTGTTTGATGGTTTACAATGTTTGACTGTGGAAAGCTCAGAATTCTTTTAACTTTGTATTATTAAACTTCTAAAATCTTTATAAATTTGGGTTTTGGTTACCTATTTTATTAGGTCATTCTTGCATTGCTATAAAGAAATAGCTGAGACTGGGTGATTTGAAAGAAAAGAAGTTTAATTGACTCAGGGTTCTGTGGGCTGTATAAGAAGCATAGAAGCGTCTGCATTTGAAGAGGCTTTAGGAAGCTTTCAGTCATGGTGGATGGCAAAGGGGAAACAGGAATATAACATGGTGAAAGGAGGAACAAGGTTGGAGGGAGGTGCCACTCACTTTTAAAGAGCCAGATGTAATGAGGACTAACTATCATGAGAACAGCAGCAATGAGATGTTGTTCAACCATTCATGAGAAATCCACTCACATGATCCAATCATCTTTCATCAAGGCCCCACCTCCAACACTGGGGATTACAAGTAAACATGAGATTTAGGTGGGGACACTTACCCAAACTACATTACTTAATTTCTATGACTATTGACCAGACCTTCCTCTAGGGTTTGCTCCTTATTCTCAAGGTGTAGCTTTTCTTGCCAATCAGCTTTATGAGTTCGGTATTAATGACATATCTCCAGCCTGGCTGAGCTGGAACATCAATATCTCTGAGCACTGATATACCCCTAACATTACTGTTTTCCTTTTATCACCATAACAGATAATCTCTAATAAACTCTGCATATATACAGTCAAGTCTGGGTACAAAGACACATAGGGGAACTTGGACATAGACTGCTGGATCCCCACAATGTTCAACTGTTTCTTCTGCGGTGTCTTGACCCAATGATTCAAGCCACTTCAGTACCTTTATTCTCAGATCCTTAAATATATATATGTGTGTGTGTGTATATATCTGTTTTGGCTCCAGCTGTCCAGACTGCAGTCATAAAATTGTTCCCAGGAAAAAAATGGAAGTGATATAGCGCTTCCTCTCCTTTCATGAGATTTCTGTCTCTCAGAATTTCCTTAAAGCATTCTCCTCATATGTCAAAGTTTATACATAGTTCTTTGTGTTAGAAAGTTGAGACCAGTAGCAGTCACTACATTATAACTGGAAGTAGAAGTCCTAACTGGAT
Source organism: Homo sapiens (assembly GCF_000001405.40). Lineage (NCBI taxonomy): Eukaryota > Metazoa > Chordata > Mammalia > Primates > Hominidae > Homo > Homo sapiens. The sequence goes on from NC_000018.10 coordinate 66,023,045, forward strand.
ATTTTCACTACATAGTTATGCGTTCCTGAGCAATATTTATTTTAAATTTTACACATTTTGAACTTTAAGGTAAAACTATATTGCATCTTTTATTTTATTTTACTCACCATTTTTATGACCTTCATCCAGATAGTATCTGGTAGAATTTTCATTGCCATGATCTCTTCAATTTATGAATATTCCACAAGTTATATATTTCTTCAATTGTGATGGACATTACTATTACAAAAATGGTTCCGTGAAAAGCTTTGTTTATATTTTTTGGTCTACTTCACTAATCCAGTTGTAGTATGATGTTGACTTGTACACAGAAGAAGGTGATAATGTTAGTGATTATGAGAAGTGGTCAGATTCTGAACATATAGTTTTCTGGAGGAAGAGCCAACAAGATTCTCATGTATTTGCTATTATTATATGGGGAGAAAAAGAAAAGAACAATCATAACTTCAAGGTCTTGCATGAAAAACAGAATGGATGTAGTTGTCATTTGCTGAGACCATAAGAAGAGATTTGGCATAAAACCTCACAGAGTATTTGCTATAATATAATTAAGGTGACTATTAAAACATTGAAGTGGAGAAGCTAAGTAGTTAGTTTTATATGTGATTTTAGATTTTAGAGAGAATGTCTAAATGAAAATTTTTAAGAAATATTTTTATATAAATAGAAGTTAAAGACATGATATTGGATGAAATCCACACAGCAATGAGAATGAGTAGGGAAAAGGAGGTTGAAGGATTGGTGCCTCATGTACCTTAACATTAAAAATTCAGAAATCTTAGAGAAAATCAGTAGCAAGGACTAAAAGGCAAAAGAAGAAGAAAAAACAATGTATGCTTTCTTGAGACCAAGTGAAAATAGCATTTTAAGGATGACAAAGTGACCGAATGAATCAACTACTGCTAAAGTATGATTACAGTATATATCTAATCAGAAGTCATTAAAGAATGTGTTAATCAGAAGTCATTTAAAAGCTTAAATTGTATTTCAATCTCTAATTGACATGCTTATCCGCATTAAGCATACCCAAGTCTACTTTTCTGCTTTATGATTCTCCCTCCTTAGTATATTGTTTCTTATAGTTACTAGCTTCATTCATCACCGTGCAAATAATTGACAATTCACTGCACACCTGCTTTTACACTAAAATTAGCCTTGCAAAACTGTTAAGTTACTGCTGTTGAATCCAAATTAATCTTAACAGGCCTCCTACTAAGTAGCATTTTCTACAGGTAATTTTTTTCTTAACCTATTTCCTTTTCTTGTTCTCTGTGTTATTTTGATTCTTTATGTGCTCACCTGGTTTTCCCCTTAACTCTCCTTTTGTCAAATAGAAGAGCTCATAAGCTCTATTTTCAAGGAGTTTCTTTCTTTTTTTTTTCACTGTCTTAACTGTAACATTTGACAGGGCTCTTTCTTATGTTATTCCTTTACTTCAATTAATATCTGATGATGACTGCAAACCTCAATCTTATGCCCAGATATGTTTTTTGAGCTTCATACGTTTACATCCAGAATAATACTAAAAAAGCAAGATGTACAAAACTGAATTTATATTTACCACCCCAAAACTCAACTTGAACATGTTCTTATATTTCTAGTTTCAATGATCTCTAAGTTTCCAACCCAATGTCCAACTGAGGAACTGAGAAGTTATTATCAATATTTTAAGTTACCTTTCTTTTCCTCTTTTCTTCCATCTCTTAGTTTTGTTAATTCTGTTTCTTCAATATCACATGAATTATTCTACTTCTCCTGATACTCATGATACCCTACCTCATACCATCATCATCTTCTATTGTGTTTATAATCTCCCAAGTGGTTTTCCTATCATAATTTCTCCAAATAAAACCAGTAAAACTATGTTTAACAAATAACATTTCAGATCATGTTGAGTCCCCAGGCCTTTAAAGAGTCTCCACAGCTCATAAAATGAAGTATTAACCCCTTAACTTAACCTGCCAAGCACTTTAAGTTATAGCTCTGACAATGCCTCCATGATGTAGTCATCATTTTGAAATATATTTTTCCTATCCTCCTATTTCTAGCTCCTTGTTATTTCATCACTATACATATTTTTATTTCCTTGAATGTATTTTGTATATCTCACTACCTAGCTTTTAGCATTTTCTTAATCCTATCTCCTCTAATACATTAATTTATTTATTCACTCATTCAATAAATATTTATGAATTTCCTTTAATGGCCAGGAAAGTATGTTTGGTACTGAATATGGTGAGCAAGATTTTGCTCTCATCTCGGATATGGAAAGATCTTGGAAATCATTATACCTCATACTTACAATAAGAAAGAAGCTGAGCAATTTGAAAATCAACAATTTCTTTTGTACCTGTCAGAAAAGTGAAGATATATTAATCAGGGTTCTTCAGAGAAACATAACCAATAGGACACAGATCTATATGTCTCTTTTATCTATCTATCTATCTATCTATCTATCTATCTATCTATCTATCTATCTATCCATCCATCCAAACAGGGAATTATTTTGTGTGATTATGCAGGCTGAGAAATCCCAAGATCTGCTCCCTGTAAACTAGAGATTCAAGAAACTGATAGTATAGTTCCAGTCCAAGTCTAAAGACCTTAGAATTAGGAAAACTGATACTATAAATACCAGTGTAAGTCTGAAAGCCTGAAAACCAATAGTGCCATTGAAAGGGCAGAAGACTGATGTCCCAGTTCAAGCAGGCAAAGTTAGAGAAGCCTCATTTTCTGCAACATTGTTCTATTCAGACCCTTGATGGATTGGACGATGTCCACCCACATTTGGGAGAATTAGCTGCTTTACTCACTCTTTGGATTCAAACACTAATATGCTTTAGAGACAACCTCACAGGTACATGCAGAAATAATATTTAATTAAGTATCTAAGCACTCAGTGACATAATACAGTTGACAGACACATCAATGTAACCATCATAAGTGCACACGTTGCCAACTTGGCACCCATATGCATCTCCCTAAAACATACTTAATCTTTAAATAAATACAATAACATAACTACAGTTCCAGTAAACATAATAAAATTGTCCCACATACAACTGAAAACGCACTAGTCCCTTTCCCAGAAGAAGTAAAGCCCTTATGTGACATTTACTCGTCTTGCTATCCTGTAACTGAAATACTGTAATGCTATAGTTTTGATGTTTGATCCTCAAAAATCATGTCGCAATTTGATCCTCAATGTTGGAGGTAGGGCCTGGTGGGAGATATATGGGTTGTGGGGATGGATTCCTCACGAGTGTCTTGTGCCATTCTCATGGGAATGAGTGAGTTGTCACTTTCAGTTCCTGCAATAACTGAGTGTTAAAAAGAGTCTGGCATGTCCTTTGCCCTCACTTTCTCTTTTGCCAGCTGATTTCTGAATGCTGGCTCCCCTTTGCCTTCCACCATGAGTAGAAACAGCCTGAAGCCCTTAGCAGAAGCAAATGCTGGTGCCATACTTCTTATGCAGCCTGCAGAACCATGAGCCAAATAAACTGTTTTTTTTTTCTTCAAAAATTGTCCAGCCTCAGGCATTCCTTCATAGCAACACTAATGGACTAAGATGCATGATGTAAAATTGACAAAAGTTATACACCATAATATGAAGTCTATACAGTTCATGTTACGTGATAAGGAAGCGAGAGAGAAAAGAAAAATATATTATATACACACATATACACCCACATACATATTCATAAAAAATGAGGAAATACTTATACAAATAACAGTCCTCATCTCTGTAATAGGTCATGTGCTCATAACTTACATTTAAGGCTTCTTCTTCCATTGTGTATTCCTTAATCTTCAGCAAGCACCTCAGCTGGTTATGGGTCTTTATCTGATGGCCTCAAAACCTTCATTCCTGAAGGGTCTGGGCCACTAGTAGTCCTACCTGAATTTGCTTCAGTGACCTGCTTAATAATACTAAGAGACACCCTAATTGATCTCTTGTTGTGTAGACACACTCTTCCTTACTACCACTGTAAAGCAGTGGTCCAATTTCCTTTTGATGATCAGGATCAATCACCCCAGCTAGCATAGTAATACCCTTCTTTGCCTGTGGATTCAAAGGCATGAGGGACCCAAAGTGAACATATGGCAGTCTTCATTTCCAGATCAATAAAATCATTGTTGTATCTTCTGGTAGAAACATTTTTCTCTCCGGAAATGACACCTCCAGGCCAGCAGATCATAAAGTATTGAGAACAGGGAACAAACATTTTGTTACTGGGTCATTAGGGGAGATAGTGAGTGGCACCACACCTATTTCCACATGTTGATTCCTGAACCCATGAGTCCTGGCTACAAAGAAAATAAAAGAACACTATATACTGCATGCTAATTCAGACCATATATTATCTTCTGTAGAACCTTGTCCTAGGCCTGAAAGGCATTGCCAATTTTAATAAGTAAGCATATGAAAACATATTCAACATCATATGTCATCAGGAAACTGGAAGCTGAAGCAATAATGAGGTGCCACTACAAGCCTATTAGAATGGCTCATTCAAAAAACACTGACAATGCCAAATGTTGGCAACCATATGGAGCAACAGGAACTCTCATTGATGGAAACGAAAAGTGGAACAGCCACTTTGGAGTCAAAGATAAACATAGTCTTATCAAAAATCAATCAATTGTGCTCCAAAGTAATTTACCAACAGATTTGGAAACTTGTGCCCATAGAAAAACCTTCAGGTGAATGTTAATAGTAGCTTTATTCATAATGGCTAAAAATGGGAAGAAACCGAAAAGATTCTTTAATAGGATATGTATTATATGTGTTCTATTATATGTGTTCTATTGTATCAAAAAGATCCTTTAATAGGATATGTATTATATGTGTTCTATTGTAAAAACTGATTTTTCTATAATACATACATACAATTAAATACTATATTATAGAAAAATAGTTTTTCCATAATACATACATACAATTAATTATTGTTCCAGGATAAACAGAAATAAGCTATAAAGCCACAAAAAGAATTGGAAGAACCTTAAATCTGTATTCCTACTTGAAAAAAGCCAATATGAAAAGGCTAATTTTTTATTCTAATTATATGACTTTTGAAAAGGCAAAACTATTGGAACAATAAAATAATCATTGGATACAGAGAATTTGAGAGAGAGAGCGAGAAAGAGAGAAAGAGGGGTGAATATGTGAAGCAGAGGGGTGTTTTAGGCAGTAAAGACTGTGAAGATCTACACATGACATTCTTGTGGAACCCATAGAACTGTACAGCTAAAGATTAAATTCTAATCTGTACAAATTTAAAAAATCACTTAGAAGGTTAGAGGATTCCAGGAAATTATGCAAATGGCAACAGAAAATTTACTATGAAACAACCTTATTGAAGGAGGTGGCAACAATGACATTGACCTAAGTAAATTTAGAACTGAGTCAGTCAGGAAGATGAAATGCAAAAGGAACCTCACCTAAGCACTGTACTCTAGGTGATAAAGATGTTTTCTACAAGTTATGGCTTAAACATTTTGAAACCACCACACATGCACATAACATTAAATAATTATGTGAATGGATGCAAGATCATGGAAAACAACTTTCTTACAGTTGGAGTGGGAATTGACAGATGGACAAAGGATGAAGTCAAGAATGATTCAGACACAGATTATTATATCTGTATTTATAGATGTGTGTATATACATGGGTTAGTATACACACATATATTTCTGTGCTCTGTCAACCCAACAAGCCTAAAAGAAATGGCACTGCAGTAGCAACAAGCACACCTAGGACCCTAGATATTGATTTCTAATGTCAGAGTAAGAAAATGCTAAACACACTGACGGTGGTATGTCAAAATGTTCAGAGTAACCAACTGGAATATTTTTTCAGCGTTTAAAGCTGGACAAACTTCAACAATAAAATAAATCAAGTATAACTGGATTATAACACAAAGTATAAGTTAAATATCCATAAGTTTATATGATATAAATAAATGTCTGAATAAATTCATTAATAAAGGAAAGAAACATCTCCCATGCAGAATTCCAAATAATTTCTCTAGTCTGTATTCAAGTAGGAAAAGCATAACTTCCGACTTCTTAGATGTGTGCTATGCATAGTGATTTCCTTCCAAAGAATACAGTAATGAAAAGGCGGTGGTAGGAGTCACTTTAGAGTAGAGAAACATAATAAACACTATCTCAGCCTGGTGATCAAAGCCAACATCAACAGTAATAAGTCATGTTGACAGTATGTACCCTTGATATGATGGAATGAAAATAGAACTTTACCTCTTTGGTTTTCCTCCTAAACACAGTGTTAATATGAGAAAAACATAAGACAAATCTCAATAGTGGGTGTTCTACATAATATCTCCTCAGTACTCTTCAAAACTGCATCACTAACAAAAACAAAAATCCCAGTAGCAACAAGCACACCTTGGACTGAGATCTTGGTTTCAAATACCATTCTCCACTAAAAGGATCCAGGGCTCCTTGGAAAAATTGCTGGTTCTATTACCGGGGCAAGAAATAGAAAAAATGAGCCTAGAATTTTTCTTTCCAGAAAAGTCTGAGCAACTTCTATGGCCAACAGGGGCCTACGGAGGCATGGTAACTAATGGCAGTTTGGATCCTAGATGGAATTCTAGAACAGAAAAAAAAAATAGCAGGTGAAAAGTGAAGAAATTAGAAACAACCATGGATCTCAGTTAATAATAATATATCAATTTTGTTTCATTAATGGTAATATACGTATTATATTTATGTAGGATGTTAATAATGGGAAAACTGTGTGGGGTATATGGAAACTCTCTACTATCTCTTCAATTTTCTGTAAATTTAAAACTGTTCTTAAAAAACAAAGTCTTCACATGCTTGCCAGCATCGATTATTTCATGTCTTTTTGACAAAAGCCATTTTACCTGGGGTGAGATGATAGCTCTCTGTAGTTTTGATTTGCATTTCTCTGATGATTAGTGATGTTGAACATTTTCTTATATACTCATTGGCTGTTTGTATGTCGTCTTTTGACAAATGTCTATTCAGATCTTTGGCCTGTGTTTTAGTTGGATTATTTGGGGAATCCTCAATTACTGTCGGTGGGGATGTAAATTAGTACAGACACTATGGAGAACAGTATGAAGACACCTCAAAAAAGTAAAAATTGAGCTATCATATAATCCAGCAATCCCGTTGCTGTGTATATATCCAAAAAAAAAGGACATTTGTATATTGAAAAGGTATCTTCACTCCCATATTTATTGCAACACTAATCACAATAGCCAAGATGGGTAAAGAAAATGTGGTACCTATACACAATGAAATATTATTCAGCCATTAAAAAAGAATGAAATCTTGTTATTTGCAACAACATAAATGGAGCTGGAGGATATTATGTTAGGTGAAATAAGTCAGACACAGAAAGACACATATTGCATGTTCATTTATTTGGAGCAAAAAAAAAAATTGTTGAAATCATGGAGATAGAGTGTAGAATGATAGCTACAAGAGGCTGGGAAAGGTAGTGGGGAGAAGGGGACAATAAGGGGAAGCTTACTGGGTACAAAAATATGGTTAGATAGAAGGAATAAAATCTAGTGTTCAGCAGCACGATGGGGAATGTCATTATCAATTTTTTTTTGTACATTTCAAAATAACTCAAAGAGTGGACTTGAAATATTCTTATCACAAAGAAATAGTAAGTGCTTCAGGTGATGAATATCCCAATTACCTTGACCATTATATATTTATTTTTGTATCAAAATACCACATGTACCGCATAATAAGGTACAACTACTATGTGTCCATAATACTTAGAAATAAAAAAAATTAACAAAATAAAAAAGTCTTTTTAAAAATTAAATGAGAAAAAATCGAATGGCTTCCTTTTTGCAGGCAGCCATTTAAAATAACTTTAAGCCCAGAGGTATGGAAAATCATCTTTCAAATACTTATTTCTATATAAAATATGAACAGAAGTAAGAATTATGATATTGTGGAAAGCAAAGTGTTCTGAAATCTAAAGAGTAGGTTCCTTTGGCTATATCTAAAAGAATGAGACAACAGAAGCACATGAAATGCCTGGCGTGACAGATGCAATGGAGACCGTGCAAGTCTTAAGACATTGTAGAGCATTTTCTAAAAACAATAGGAAGCTATCAGAAGGGTAAGACTTGCACTTGGAACTATTCAACAGAAGTTGTCGAGAAGGTCACACTTTCATTTTAAAAATAATACTCTCAGCCGGGCACGGTGGCTCAGGCCTGTAATCCCAGCACTTTGGGAGGCCGAGGTGGGTGGATCACGAGGTCAGGAGATCGAGACCACCCTGGCTAACACGGTGAAACTCCATCTCTACTAAAAATACAAAAATATTAGCCGGGCGTGGTGGCGGGCGCCTGTAGTCCCAGTAACTTGGGAGGCTGAGGCTGGAGAATGGCGTGAACTCAGGAGGCAGAGCTTGCCGTGAGCAGAGATTGCACCACTGCACTCCAGCCTGGGCGACAGAGCGAGACTCCGTCTCAAAAAAAAAAAAAAAAAAAAAAAAAAAAAAAAAAAAAAAAAATTATACTCTTGCTACATTTGTAGATAACATTGGAGGGAAGCCAGAATATATGAAGATTTATTAGTGATATTACATTAGGCCAGACAAAGATGACAGAAAATTTTTCCAGAATTGTGAAAATGTAAAAATGGAGGCGAAGAGATAACACACACACACAGGCACACATATTAAATATAAAATATTGGCATAATGGGGTAATTGAGACATATATAAGAAAACCAAGGTTCCCAGCTTATTTAGCTCATTAATGAAATTCAAATTTACTGACAAAGAAAGTATTAGAAAATTAGTGCATTGATTCTAACTCATTCTTTAGATCTCAATGTAAATTCTTCAATTACAATGGGACACTATCACTATGAGATAAAAGCATGTGGATTTTGCTCAGTGTTATCTTTCCCTTTTCTGGTATGATACTTGACATAAAGTAGGAGCCCAGAAAAAGTTCATGAATAATAAAAATATGTTTTATGTAAAAGATACATTTGGGCATAGTTTTTGAGTAAGTTTCCAATATATGTTGGCTTTTTAAACAAAGTATTTATTTATTTATTTTAGAGACTGTCTCAATCTGTCACTCAGGTTGGAGTGCAGTAGTATGATCATACCTTACTGCAGCCTTGGATTCCTGGGCACAAGCTTCTACAGTAGCTGGGACCACTATTCCCAGCTGTTTATAAATTTTTTGTAGAAATGAGGTCTTGCTAGGTTGCACAGGCTGGTCCTGAACACCTGGCCTCAGGCAATCCTCCTGACTCAGCTTCCCAAATTACCACAGGCATGAGCCACTGCCTGAGAGCCTATGTTGTCTTTTTAAGTTGATCTGTGATATTTCTCTTCAAATTCACCTTTTTGCCTTTCCTTCCAAACACACAGTTCTAAAAGTTTTTTTTTGTTTTTCTGTTTTTTTTTTTTTCTTTTTTTTCTTTTGGCTTTATATTGCCATTAGAATTGATGTTCATGGACTTTTGGCACACAATTTTTAAAAAGTAATTTAGATTCAATGCTGAATTATTAAGCATTTCATATTTACATTTGGAAAACTCCTTCCACGATCTTCACTTGTTTTTGTTATATATCATTGTTATTTGATTTTATTTCTGTTACTGCCACTCTCTTTATAACCTGTTAAAATTATTTGTGTTTTATTTTGAAACTGATGATGCAAACATATGAATGTTCATTACATAAGTAGACTACAAATTTTAATTTAACTCAGTACTGAAAATAAACACTCACAAAATATATATTTAAGTTGCCATATTACTCAATATTGATTTTTGAATCCTCAATACTAATTTGATTTCCTGTTATTTGCACAAAGTATTTTATTATGTATGAGAAATATTTTGTATCTGGATATTTGTTCTTAGACTCTAATAAATAGAGTAAAAGTCTGCTTTTGTAAACACACATCTACTTTCATAAAGATTCTTTTTTTTCGTGTAACTGCTTATAACTCTACTCCATTCTAGGTAATCTTAAAATGGGTGTACTATTTCATCAAAAGTCTTATAAACAAAATAGAATTGAATGTGATTTTAATGGAAATCATATATTATGTTAATAAGTTTTATTTTAATTTTATTTCACAAATTCCAAAGCTTTTGTGATCTCATTTCAATATAATTATGATTATGCTTATAAGGGATGAAATATTTTATAATTCAAGTTATTTTTGCATGGCATGTATGTATGTGCTTATCTAAAATTTGCATTCAAATTTAGGCAAATTTATGTTATAAATTTAGGAAAAACAAATGCTAATAAGATATGACCTATGCCTTTGTGACTGATGCTAATATAGTAGTTCTCAAAGTGTAGCGCACAGACAGCAAGAGCATCACTTATGAAATTGCTAGAGATGAAAATTTCATAATATCACCATAGACCTATTAAATCAGAAATTTTTATGGTGGAACCTAATGATATGTTTTATTACAAGCTCTCCAGGTCACTGTGATAGAGGATAAAGTTTGAGAAATACTATTCTAACAGAATAAATAAAAATAACAATTATAGAAAACTATATTACTAAAAGTAAGACAGTCATAATAGAATTGTGATTTAAAATACCAATTATATTTCTATTAGAAAGAATCAGAAAATACCTGTGTAAGGAGCACTATTTACACTGCAGAAGTAAAACTGGGAAATCTATCATGCACTTTAGGCAGAAAGAATGATACAGTTGGCTGGCTTACATTTATGTGCCAGTGGCCAGTTCCCACGTGTTACAGGCTATATGTGGGAGAATCATGAATCAGGCAGGTAAGGCAAATCGAAACATTACTGTGATGAGCTCTGAACATTAAAGTGAAGAATAAAGTCTAGATACTGAATAAAGTTGTGATCCATTTCCTCTTTGTGAGCATGGATTTATATAATCAAGGTAGTATTTTAGGAAGTGCTATCTGGTATTAGTGTATAAAATAAATAGGACTGAGGGAAGACATAAATAAATAAATAAATAAATAAATAGCTATTTTATTCAAATACATTTTATTTGGCAATGGCATGGATGAGGTGCTAGGAAAATGAGAAAATTGTCTGTCTTTTGCTTTAATGTCAATGGAATTACATCATCTGAAATAGGCGAGTCAAGATAGAAAAGATTTTTTGATAATACGGGATGTATTTATTCAATTGTAAGTTCAAAACGTGGTAACAGAGTTGGAAAAGCAGTTAGAATTGGGGTTTCATTAACAGCTAAACTTCTGTCCAAAGGGGTAAAACAGTCCTTTAATATAATAGATTAATTATGCTTGTTTTGAATGCTGTCATACAAATACCATCATATATCATACACATTCATGTGTCTGCCCTCTTCAAAATTATTATTTTTTGTTTCCATAGGTTATTGGGGAACAGATGGTGTTTGCTTACATGAGCAAGTTCTTTAGTGATGATTTGTGAGATTTTGGTGTACCTATCACCTAAGCAGTGTACACTGTGTTCAATTTGTTGTCTTTTATCCCTCACCCCCTTCCCATGCTCTCTCTCTGAGTTCCCAAGGTCCACTGTGCCATTCTTGTGCGTTTGCCTCCTCATAGTTTACTTCCCATTATGAGTGAGAACATATGATGTTTGGTTTTCCATTCCTGAGTTACTTCACTTAGAATAAAAGTCTCCAGTCTCCAGGTTGTTGAGAATGTGTCTGGACTCTTTATATTGACATTGTGTTTGTGGAATTCTTACATTTTTGCCAGTAATTCTAGATCGATCATTCTTGTTGGCTTTCTTTTTATTTCACTGCATAAATAAAACATAATCTGTTTATTCATTTTACCCTTCCTGGACACCTGAATTTTACTGTGTTTTAGAAATTGCCTATATTGTTGTGCTAAACATTCTTATAGCTTCCTTTGGTAAATATTTCTGCACTGTGAATATATTTTGAATGCATTTAAATATATATGAACCCCTGATCACAAGTTATGCATACCTTCTTCTTTAGAAGATACTGCCTACCAGTTTTCCACAAAGAATGTACAAATTTACACTCCCATTAGCAGTATATGAGAGTTTCGGTTGCTCTATCTCTTCACCAATATTTCATTTTATCTGTCCTTTCCATTCTTCAGTGGGGTTTCAATTGCATTTCCCCCAATGGCTAATAAAATTGAACATATCTTCATATGTGTTTTGGTTCTCTGGTTATCATAAAATGCCTGTTCAAGTATTTTGACCAATTTTATTGAGTTGCCTGTGTTTATCTTACTGATATATGAATTACTTTTATATTCTGAAATAAGCCTTTATCTATATAATGTGAATATATTTTTTATCTCTATCATTTGCATAATATTTTTACTTTGTTAATCTATCACAATTTAGCTATATTCCAAATCCTAGTCATTTAATTGCCAAAAGAGTTATAGTCAAATGAATCCAGGCAAGCAGGTAGTGTTTATTTTAATAAATATAGCGTTAAAATAAGAGGGATCTGAAATCTGGGAAAAATTTTTGAGCTTGAAGAAGAAGCAGGATACATCAAATAAATTAGCAAAGTAATCAGAATAAGCAAAGAAAATATTCTCAGATAAAGCAATACTCTGAAATTTAAAGGTAAACGGATTTTGAAGGTTTTTGGATAGTTATCAATATCTCATACTCCAGAAGGTCAATGACTGTAAGTATTTAGAGACCAATTAATTTGTCCTGTAATAGGTTGTTAGTAACAAAAAGAGATTAATTTAAATAATTTGAGCAATAAACCAGAGTTCAGTGAGTCAGAAATGAGGAAAAACAGACAAAGAATGCATGCTTCTTTCTGAAGCAGCTTCAAGCAATGGAAAGGAATAGCATGAGAAGAGGCTGATATTGCTATTTTGACTTTCCTTTTAAATGAAGTGTTATTTATATGGGAATATTTTTTTCTGCTGTCAAATTGTTGTTTGCATATTTGTTTTTTATTTTTGAAGGTTTGTTCTTCATGGTGTAATAGTGTATAGCAATGATTCCTACATGCCCCAGGGACACCGGGAAGTAGATTCATTATATATTTCAAAGGTATAAGATTATATTTATATTTAATGTTATTGAATTTAGTATTATTGAGTTTATTCTTCACCTACGTTATACATGTCTGAATGACATTTCCAAATATTTCTTGGCTTAGAAAAGATATCTGTAATACTTTCAACCTTCTCCCTGTTAAAAACTATTTACAGCTCCCACTGTTTCAGGAATAAGATAAAACTTCAAATATCCTATAAGCCTTTGTATAGTATAAGGAGGTTCCTGCCTTTCTCTCATGCCAGCTATCCTGGTCTCCCTCTCTGTCTGTCTCTCTGCCTTTTTTTTTTTTTTTTTTCCTTTAGCTCTTAAGCAAACCTTGCTCCTTCCTGTCATAGATGCCTTAAAGTTCCTTAGAGTGTTTGTCCTTTCAGACTTCTTTTCTTGGTTAACTCTCAGGGGCTGTTTTCGCTCATAGTTGTTTAATAGCCTTCTCAGCATCTAGAATCACTCTTGAAATCATTCCTCAAAGTGTAGAATATGTTAGCAGTGAAATTATAAAATAAACATGAATGTATAATTTAATATATTAAAAAAGCCAATTTTGATGAGGATCTGAAACTGCTATAATGTCTGTTATAAAAAAACTAAAGCTCTAAAATAATAAAAATCAAAATTGTACATGTCTCTACAATAATCGGAAATTTAAAACAATCATATGAGAATATGCATGTAAGACAAAAATAATGATCTAAACGTTAACTTGTAAATAAAACTCTAGGTTATATTAAGTAAAAACAGATGTGAGGGGATCTTGGAGAGGGTAATTGGGAGATGGTGACAAAATGATTAATATAAACAAAAAATGCAATTGGAAAATTTTTTTCCCCAGCTTGAATTAATTCAGTGGTTGACTGTTCATTTAGGTAGGAATTGAGAGAATTGAACTCTTTATCCATTGTATTATACATCTTATATACGGTGCTCTCTATTTTAGCCATTATTTTTTGTACCTATTATTTTTGCTTATGGTCTTGGTGATTCTTTGTTTTGGTTTCATATTGCTAACATCTTTCCTTACCTCTTTTAGTGGGTTTATTACACCTGTTTTAAAATCTAGGTCCTTCTATGCTAACATGTTTGCTACTGGGTGGCATGTATAATCTATTTGTCATTTCATGTTTGTTTATTTGCTTAAGCTCCTATTCCTTGGGTCTACTGGCTATTCTCGCAGTATATATTGTGGAGGGGCCAAAGACTAAAGGGTGATCTGCATCACCTTGAAATAATTCAAGGAAACATGACTGAGTGAAATACAGGGTGGAAAGTCACAGCACAGATTTACTGTTATGTGGAATTTATCCTCCTCTTTTGTATCAACTCATTAAGCTACTGTTATGCTAGGCACATCAGCTTTGGAATTTCAGGAAGAAGCTGCATGGAAGGAAGCATTCTAGACTCTCATTTAGCAGCTATGGGAGTTTGGAGGGAGGGATGAGAAGAAAACTCAAAGCTGATCACCTCTTGTTTCCTCTGCAACTCTTTGCCTAAGCATGATCACCTCTTGTTTCCTCTGCAACTCTTTGCCTAAGCATGAGTTTAAACTACCCACATTTTTCTTCTATAGACACTATTCAAATGATCCTGGCCTTGCCAAAAGATTTGCAATAAAGGAACAAGTAACAATTTTTCTTTCTCAAAGCAAATAACATGAGGAGCAAGAGAATTTAAACCATATTTTAAAAAAAATCTCAGCCGGGAGTGGTGTCTCAAACCTGTAATCCTATCACTTTGGGAAGCTGAAGCAGGCAGATTAGTTGAGGCCAGGATTTTGAGACAAGCCTGGCCAACATGCTGAAACCCCATATCTACCAAAAAATGCAAAAATTAGCCAGGCGTGGTGGTGCATGCCTGTAATCCCAGCTGTTCAGGTGGGTGAGGCATGAGAGTCTCTTGAATTTGGGAGACAGAGGTTGCAGTGAGCCAAGACCACGCCACTGCACAACAGCCTGGGCAACAGAGCGAGACTCCTCTCAAAGAATAAATGAATGAAGAAAAAAAAAAAAGAGAGGAAATCTCTTCAAAGCCTTGCTTGCTACCTTTTTAGATTCTAAGATTTTCTTCAGAGATTTCTCTTCAGTTGGTCTTTGGGGAAGTTACCTGCATCCTGGACAAATTTACTCTCTTGTAAATTTCTTTCCCACCCTTGAATTGTTGTGCCTGTATACTTCTTGGCAGCAATAGGCTCCAACATAATCAATTATGAGTAATTTTCAAAAATAAAATAGGGCAATCAGATCAATGGCAGGAAGAGTTATACAGAGACTTTTGTTCAAATAGGTTTTTTCGTTTGGCTTTGTCATTTTCGTAGTAGACAGTGGGACTTTCAAATCCTAGCTTACAGTACAAAATCTTATTTTGGATGCAGAAATAGAACTGTCAAGGCCATATTGCAATATTAAATTAAGGAGTCCTTGTGTACATGTTGCCTGTTTAGGCTTCTGAGATGTGGAGTGACTTGTATAAGGGCTATTTCTCAAAATGCTATTTGTAATTACTTTAACGTAAGAGAGAAGAACAATAACAAAATATTGGTCTTAGTTTGGGGGATTTTTGAAAAGAACAATATCATCATCTCTTTGTGAAATAAAATAGAAATCACATTGCATATCTTTAAATGTGTTCTTGAGTCTGTTTCCGTTTAGAAAGAATCAAAATACAGAACTTTCTCCTACACAGTGTACAATAGTTTTAATCTGAATCACAGAACACATTAATTCCTATGCAGTGATTATTTATATTTTCCCAAATTTTCTTAAGCATTTTTTGCAAGATAAAGCAATGTAGTTGGTACTATATGAGCTTCTATTTTTTTTGACTAAGTCTCAAAAGAAGATAAGCCAATGGAAATAGGTTTCCCTTTTTGATTTAATAACCATCTAACCATTGGGAATACTATTTACTCTATAATAGTGATTCTCAAAATTTAAGGTATATCAGAATCACTTGGAGGACTCATTAAAATACAGATGGCTGTGCTCCACCTCCGAAAGTTTCTGATTTAGTTGTAGATCAAGGTGGTACTGAGGTAGAAGTTAGGACTAGACTCCAGACATGGGGCTTGAACACTGACCAAATTGAGGAGCAGCTAAAACAGGTCTGATGTGGAAAAACCTCCCCATAAGACAAAAGACTAGGGTCCGATGTCAGTTTACCATTGTCATGGTAACACCTGGAAGTTACTGCTCCTTTCCATACCAACAACCTGATAACCTGAAAGTTGTCACTATTATGCTATAAATTTCTGCATTAACTGCCCCTTAATTTGCATATAATTAAAAGTGGTTATAAATATGAGTGCAGAACTATCTCTGGGCTGCTACTCTGGGCACATTGCTTATGCGGTAGCCCTGTTCTGCAAGGAGCAGTGCCTCTGCTGCTGCTATGCACTGCCACTTCAAGAAAAGTTGCTGTTTAATACCATTGGCTCACACTCCAATTCTTTCCCGAGTGAAGCCAAGAACCCTCTTGGGCTAAGCCCCAACTTTGGAGCTTGCTTGTCCTGCATCAATACCTAAAAATTTGCAATTCTAAAAATCTCCCAGGTGATACTAATCTGCCAGTCTAGAGGCTGCCTCTTGAGCGCTACTGTTCTGTAGAAAAGTACATGTGGAATAATCTCTGTGAGGCCTCTGATTCCTGGTCAAAGGGTGGGATGGTTTTACTATCTCTCTTTCTAATTCAGAAGATGAATTATAGCTTGACCACCATTATTATTCTCACAAAAAATAGCAGTCCAGCAACATTCAAATCTCATTCTAACAAAGTCCTTTCACCTCAGAACTATTGCCATGCACATCAATCCTGAGGCAGAAGGCCTTGGCTTTGAGAATATTTTGACTTAGTCCAGTAATGAAACAGTAGATAAAGGATGCTCTATTAGGCTGTTTCCTTCTTTTCCTTATTCACTGACTTCACATAAATAAATTAAATAAATTAATAAATTAGAATGTTTAGAGATTTTGAAATAAAATATATTTCAACATTTTTCATTACTTTTAGACTTATTTACTTTTGCCAAATTAAAGAAAACATCAATCATTGAAAATTCTTAACGTGTATTTCTTTCCAAACAAAATTTGTTTTGTTTTATTTCTTTTCGGATAAAGGAAGGGAAATGCAATTTTTGAATCGAAAAATTATATATTCATAAGACTTTTTTTTGCTTTGATAGCTCAAGTGATTCTAGCTAAATTGTTAAATAAAAGGACACAGTGAACAGATATCATCAGTTACTATTTTTTTTCCACCAAGTAAAAGCATTGTCTCTTCTTCAGATCTTTCTAGGGTAAAGGTAACTGAGAGACAGTAATGTTACCCCTGACATTATCTACATATGGACCTTACACTTCTAAAATGAATTCAGAGCCCATTTAGGAATCGTAAGATACTCTCAGAATAGCCAAAGACTACAGAATATAAATCACTTTATTCCTTATTCTTCATAATTATAATTTATATAAAAACTGCTTTTAAAACTCTCTGTAACTTTGATGAATGAAGAATATTATAAAGATTATCTTGTTTGATTTTTCAGGTAAAATTTATGGCTTTTTTTCCTGCATTTTCTGTGTGTATTAGTCTGTTCAGGCTGCACTAGAAAATATCACTAAAAAAAAATGCTGTATCTCCAAATGCAGTCACATGAGGAGTTAGAACTCCAGCATATTAAGTTTTTACCAACACAACTCAGCCCATAACAATATTATAACTACATAACATATTTTGGAATAAAAATATTTTAAAAGATTGTTTAATATATAAAAAGTTCAATAATGCACTTACATTTTGCTTTCTAAGTGAGATGAATGTCTTTTTTTTTAAAAAAAAAAATCTTTTCTTACCTTGAATGTGCAATTTTTTCCACAGGTTAAATTCTAAATACCACATCATATTACAAGTTAGGAAAAAGCATTTTCACACAGAAAACAATGGATTTTAAGAAAGCTTGGAGCCCACGCTAGTTTCAAAATATATCTAACCTCTGATATATAGGGCTGAAATAATAGCCCTATGACAATCAAACCATTAAAGATAAAAATATTTCTTGAGTAAAATGTATTCATAGATCTGCCTTGGATTACTAAGAACCCAAAGCTTTGTCAACCACATATCTATATGCTTTTCTGCAAGTTATTGAATCTCACTGAGTTTCATTAATTCCTTTAATTCATGTTTTAAAAGAATAAAGGAAAGAAAGAAAATAAAAGAAGAAAGAGAGAGAGAAATAATGCAAACCTTAAGCACAGGATTGTTTTAAAGAATAAAATTATAAATCAAGGACTATCTCTCTCTTTTGTTTTCTATCTTATTCCCAACCTCATAAACAGAGTTAAGCAAGTAGTAGGTGTGCAAAATATATATTTAGAGATTTCATTAATAAAAACATTCTTCAAATTAATATACATTTATGGTCAAAAAAATTAAACAAAGAAGTGTTTATAATGAAAATCAAGAGTCTCTTGCACCATCCTATTAAATTCCTGGTTTGACCCTCAGAAACCATTACATTTATTTTTAGCAGTTCTTTTAGGTAGAGTCCTTCATATGTCTAAATAATATGCTTTTACTGTTTTTTAAAATTATAATTTTGAACTAATTTTACTGGTTTTCTGCTATAATGATGAGGTTAGGGCTAATCTCTGCCTCCTAGCCTCAAGCAATATTCACACCTCAGCCTCCTGAGTAGCTGGGACTACAGGCGCCCATGACCACACCATGATAGTTTTTGTATTTTAAGTAGGTACTGGATTTTGCTATGTGGTCCAGGTTGGTCTCAAACTCCTGGACTCAAATGATCCTCCTGCCTCGGCCTCCCAAATTACTGGGATTACAGGCATGAGCCAATGCGCTGGGCCTGAATCTTGCTCTTATAATTGAGTCACTGTTCTTCCTTACTTTGAAAAGCGTCTTCTAATTCTTTCTTTTCTTCAAAATGAGATGTATATCACCCATCTTCAAGTATCCTGACCTAATATTTCTATCTATTCTCCAATTTATCTTCTATCATTAATTGCAAATTTTTCAAAACGGTTATTTGTATTGACACTGTTTTATTCCTTCTGTATGATTAATTACCTGTCCTCATCTTACCTGACAATGCTACCACACTAATGTTTGCTGCCTGAGTCTTGAAACAGATACTTATCTGCTCTTCCTTTCTCTTTTTACTTTAAATTATGTCATTCTCTCTAGGCATTTGAATTGCCTCACTACGTAGTCTCACTCAAAATATTTAGCTAGATTTTTCTCCATTTTCTAATCCAAAAATTGGGTATTGAATATTGGAATACCTCAGAGTTCAGTGCTTGAATCTCTTTGTCTGGTTAATTTGTGCTACTACAACAAAACAATGAGACTGGGTAATTTACACAGAACAGAAATTTGTTTTCTCACAGCTCTAGAGGCTGCAAAGTTCAAAGTGAAGGCACCAGCATCTGGTGATGGCCTTCTTGTGTCATCTTCACATGGCAGTAGGTGGAAGGGCAGCTAGGACAAGCTCCTTCTGTCAATTCTTCTTATAAAGGCACCTACTCCCTTCCATAGAAGAGGAGTCCTCATGGCCCTATCCCCTCTTAAAGACCCTACCCCTTACTGCTATCATATTGACAACACCTGAATTTTGGAGGGGAAGCATTCAGACCATAACACCTTTTTTTTAATCTCTACCTACACTCACATCCTGTGTGATTTCATTGAATTTTGAAATTACCTATATGTTGTTATCACTTAAATACAACATGTCAAAGTCTGCACTTTCAATATCCATCTAAAACCTGTGGCTTACAGGAGTAAGGTGGTATTTCATCTCCATTTCCCTGATAATTAGAGATGTTGAGCATTTTTTTGTGTGTTGGCCATTTGTGTATGTACTTTGAGAACTGTCTATTCATATCCTGTGCCCACTTTTTGATGGCATTATTTGTTTTTCTCTTCCTGATTTGTTTTAGTTCCTTGTAGATTCTGGATATTAGTTCTTGGTCAGATGCATAGTTTGTGAATATTTTCTCCCACTCTGTGGGTTGTCTGTGTACTCTGCTGAGTATTTCTTTTGCTGTGCAGAAGCTTTTTATTTTAATTAGGTTTTATTTATTTATTTATTTATTTATTTATTTATTTATTTATTTCATGTGATTTTGGGTCCTTGGTCATGAACTCTGCCCAAACCAACGTCTAGAAGTGTTTTTCTGATGTTATCTTCTACAACTTTATGGTATAAGGTCTTAGACTTAAGTCTTTGATCCCTCTTGAGTTGATTTTTGTATAAGGTGAGAGATGTGGATCCAGTTTCATTCTTCTACACGTGGCTTGCCAATTATCCACTGCACTTTAGCCTCGGTGACAGAGTGAGATCCTGCCTCAAACAAACAAACAAACAAACAAAAAAAAACAAGATTCAGTGCACAGGTATAATGCATATTTTGATGGTGAAATTAGTTAATTGTTGGTAAACACTTAGAACAGTGCTCACCACAAAGTAAATGGGTATTAAGTGTGCATTTTTGTGGCATTAACTGACAAATCTTCACTCTCATTCTAGATTTTGGTTTCTTTTAAAAGTCTCCATCATTTACCACTCTACTTCTGCTTTTCCCCACCAAATATTTGTTGAATCTAATTTTTGGTAGCCCCACTCTTACTCTTTTCATTGTTATGGGTTTATATTTCACCTATTAATTTAATTATTATTTTGCTTGCTTCTACAATGGGTATGTTAAAATCGATATGTGATCACCATCAGTAACTAGAGTCTTCATTTATAAATGTGACTTTATTTACCTTAAATTTTGTTTTTATTTTTCTATCTTAAAGATATAAAAATCTAAATCACAGAGTGCTACAGTGATTTTTTTTCCTAAAGTCAACAAGTTAAAAGAAGTAAACTATGTAACTGAAAATTCTAAATGTTTCTGTATGACTCTATACAGAAGCCACTTTATGACTAGTTATAAAAATAGGTAAAAAATAAAACTGGGATTTCTTTCTTCAGTTTTCTAAATGCTTGGAAACTTTTTAAGCACTGAAGACAGTTTGCATCAATGCATAAATTGCGTAAGTCCAATTAGGAAAAAAAATAGAAACATTAGATTTGTCCAATCTACTAAATCATAGTCAACAACCACCGGTCAAAAAGGCTCTGTGCATAAGTGTTGCGGTTGCCCTTTAAAGTCAAATAACACCAGTCAAAGAGAAAATAATAGCCATTTCTTTTTAATGCCTTGGCATTCATAACTTAAGGACTCTTTAGTTTGGAGGCCTCATTCTTTCTGGTATATAATTAAATACCTTAATGGTAAATCTTTCAGGATGTGTCATTAATCCTAGTTCTCTATAACAAAACTGCTGGCTGCCAGCAAACTTACTGTGGTAAATATACTGAACTCTCTGTCCAAGCTTCCTTCAAACCAATACTGATAGTTAGTCTCCAAATATAGCACTATTTTCCTAAGCGGGAAAGTGAGCTGTGGAAGCTGATCCTGTTCTACATTTGGCCCTGCACACAGTTTTCATTTTGAGCAAATAGAAAAATAGAAAATAAAAAAGCTGCTCAATAATCTGAATTTGGAGAGAACAACCTTTAGTGTTTCTGCCCAGCAGCACAGTATCCAAATGTCTTTCTTCAATATATTCCATATCAATAGGCTACTGTTCTAATAAAAGGCAACAGCAAAATTAAGTCAGTTCAGAATCCGTAAAATCAGCTTAATAAATGAGTGGGGTAATGCCTCCAACTATGTTTAAATTAACTTGCCTGTTTCTAATTGGATTCAACTTATTTTAAACGTGAGAATATTTGGTTTAAACTATTTAAACAGTTATATATGTATGAGATGGAATACAGCCATGCTTCAAAGACTATAAAATCAGATAAAAATTATAGTAAGTTTCATAAGTTTTTCAAAGGTTAAAAATGACTGGAAAGTTACATGTGAATAGGCAAAACTGTAGAGAAAATAACTGGAATTCATAACTACCTTTAAATCAATAAAACAAAAATAATGAAGTGCTTACTTTTTTGCTTTTTCCATATGGAAAGCATTTTGGAAAGTTCCAAACAACAATATACAAAGTAAGAAAGCTCAGTGGGGCTAGATACACAGAGCTGGTATTAGAACATTAACAATTTATGCAGGAAAAGCATTGTCAAAGAATGTGCTACAAGCAACCTGTGTAATTAAAAACAAAACAAAAACAAACAAACAAAAAAACCCAAAAAACATTGATTCTATGAACAGACAAAATTAGCTTTTAATCCCAGCTTAGCATTACATGGATATGTTACAACTAGGGAATTCGTTTAAATTCTTGGGACTTTAGTCTCCTCGCTTAGATATCACTAAGTGACAGAATGCTTGTGAGGATTTAATGAGAGAACATTTGTAAAACCCCCTACCATAATACCCAGAATAAATAATATTTTCAATGATCCAATAAGAATATTAGATTTTATTTTTATGTGTATCTACACATATATCCATGGTGGTAATATTTGTCTTGCTTGACCTTTCTAAACCTTCTAGTGCCTATACCAGTAAATGAGTTTTCAATTTTACTATTTATTATAAGGATTCAAAGGTCACAGACTCCAAGCAACCTTGATCATTGCTTGTTACATTTAGAATTAGTATGACTAAAATAGAAATTTAAGTCCAACTATCACTAAACTTGATTTCAATCAAGAAATATTCAACAAATTCAATAAAGAATATTCTTTTCAATTTATTTCATGTGTTTAAATTTACTTCCAACCTGTTTAAGCAGAAACAAAAACAAGGCAATGGAGCTTGTCTTGGTATCTTTTCGTAAGAAATAAAGGCCATTAACCAAACTTATGTGCATTATGTTACTCAGGTCTCAAGACAATGTTTCTATTACTCATACAATGACAGTTTCTTTCAGGTCAATTTTTGGTACTGTAAGAAATTATATCATCCTCAGCTGATATCTGGTGCATAGAGTGTCATATGTTTGCATTTCTAGTGTCATTTTTGTTTAATATATATGCTGTAAGATTAAAATAGATCTATGTATCTGTCACCTGGAAACTTGGCTGAGTCGGAGTTAATCATTATCCCTTTTAAGCAAAAGCAGGGCAGTAGCAAGAGCAGGAAGGTCATGCTATCTAGTGGCCAAGAAGTATAGGCAGATTTGCTGAGCTTCCTGCTTACCTGGAGCATGAACATAATGTAAAAAGCATTGCAGGAAACACTGACAGACCTACTAGGGTGGGAATTGCTTTGCACACAAAACCAAATCTTAAAAACTAAAAACAATGTAAGTAGTCTCTCCTTATTCTAGGTTTCACTTCTCTTGGTTTCAGTTATCTGCAGTCAACTTCTGCTGTAAAACTTGCCTTGGTCTCTCACTCTGCTTCATGCCCCTCAGTTAAGTTCTTTCTTCTGAGGAGACAAGAATTGAGATTGCTGCAGATCCACATGGATTTGCTGCTGGTAACACTACAGTCAACTCTAGCTCAACTTCCCACCAACGTTTTCAGTCAGATAATGTCCCAACAGAATGTCACAGGACTAAAATGCAAAGCAGATCACTCATTATGTAGCAAACAAAAATTGACAAATATACTGTCGTTTTTCTTTCTGCTACTTTTAACATTAGGGACATTGACTTCATTTTTAGGCCACTATTATTAAAATCTGATCTGTCCATAGAAGCCTTATCCTTCCACATATTAAAGTGTTATAAGTGAAAAGGGTAGATTTCCAGTTTTTCTAAATAACCTTTCAGGTTTTGCTATTTGTCTTTTTTTTAATTTGTCCAGCTTACTTACGTGCCCTTCCCCTGGCTCGCTGCCTAGTTGCTGATGTCCACTGCAGTAGTCATTCTCAAAGGCATGGACACTCTATCTCTCTCAATAAATGTGTTAGTTTCTAGAGGATGAAGACAAGGGCCCCACACACCCAGCACAGTGCCAGAAAAATAAGAGAAACTTATGCATTTTTGATAAAATAATTCATAAACGGGCAAGTGAATGAATGTGTTAGCATATAAAATGCTATTTTCTTTTCAGCTAAAAATCAAATTCTATAGATCTCTTGATTTCATTCTTTCTTAACCTTGTGATTCCAATCGTTTCCCAAATCACTGGAAGAAACCCAAGATAATGTATTAAAAAACTGAATTATAAGAGCCTTACCTTATTTCTCTTTTCTGTGTATTTCTTTTGCTAGGATTCATCCAATCTGAAGTGGCCCGTTGGCCAGGATTTTATTAAGCCACTTTACCAATCTTTTATGTGACAGCTTAGGAAAAGTTTTTCATCACTACTAGGGTAAGAGAGCAACAAAATAATGGACTCTTCCTCAAGGCAGAGAGTAGTGCACTACCTTGGGTATTGTGTGCACATATTACACTGACTTTACATTTTAAGCATCCAACATGGTAATTAGAGTAGTTTTATGAAAATTTCCTTTTTGCCATTCTTTTTGTGTTGCTACTGATCAATTTGAAATACACTGCTTGCATTTTAAATAGCTCTTCAAGTATGGATTAGACTTTTTTTTAAGTTTTAGATTTTCAAATCTTGTATTTTTGTAAACAATATCTAGCATTGGTACACACAGACCAGACCATCCAAATCAATTAAGTCCATAAGGAAAAGAGAATATTTCGTTTGTGAAAGACTAAAAAGAACCATTCTGTGTTTCTCAATGTTTTCTAATGAAAGACATACAATACAGTATACACGAATTTGTGCCAATATAATGACTTTAGTTCATTAACCTGAGCTCTGGGCTATTATTACACATTCTTAAAGTGTCAGCTAACCTCCTCAAAAATACTTGACAGCAGAAAACTAGCTGTAAAAATTTAGAGTGAGAATTCATAACTGCATCAAGTATAGTTAAACACATTAAGCAATATATCATCAAGTGTTAAAAATAATGGAAATGAAATGGCACTTGTCAAAATAGGTTTTTAAAAGGATATTTTCTGAATTGCTTGTTTCAGGTTTTTTTTGTCATGTTCATAATAAAATGTAATTCAATAGATTTGGTCACTAAAATTAGTTTTCCACAGCATTGATGTGATCTGTTAAACATTTTCTAAGTTTGATGATAAATTTAGAAGCTCTAAAAACTTTTTTAGACATAATACTTTTAAATCATTTAATAAATGGCAAGGAAACTTGAATATTCATTTCTTTCCCATTCCTTTTGATCAAAATAGCCTGATCATTCCCTTGGGCCTGACTAAATTTTAGACAGGCTTTATTTTCTTCCCCCCGACTCTAGGCTCCTACCTCCCTTTTGTTGAGAGCATTTACTTTATAAAACTTATTATTACAAATCCTTTCTCGGCTCCTTTAAAATATAAAATAATCTGTTGCCCTTTTTACAATACAAGATTTTCTTTCTCATTTACTTGGAATCCATCCCCTTGAAATATAATAATCAAGAAAGAATCCCTGTCTTCCCATCCCTGTGGGAGGGTAGGAGCCTAATGTCATGAGTGGCAATAAGTAAACACAGATGGCCTAACCACACTGACCAAGATCCCCATAAACTCCTCCAGCACTTTTCCATTTGTTCAACTCCAGGGCTTAAAAATCCATTTGTTCAACCCCAGGGCTTAAAAATCTTCCCATCTATTATTTCCATGAGAGTTGAGTTTAGTTAGTCTTCTCTGTTACAATAGTCTTGTCTCCTGTGGCAATGCTCTTAAATAAAATTTTTCTTCCCTATTAAACCTGTCCCATGCAATTGCTGTGTGACACTTTAAAATTGTATTATGAAAATTTGTACCTGTTTCCTTTTCTATATTTTCTATTTCTTGTCCTTGCTATCCCCTAGGTAATATGGTAAAAGGTAGAAAAAGTATAAAACTTTGAAAAATAATAATATTGTGTTTTTCTTCTCTTTAATCCTTTCTAATCAGTTAATGTTTCATAATCAGTTAAGGCTCTCTCCTCAAGTCAGTTGAAACTACTTTTTTTGTTTTCTAGTCAGTGACATACATATATGTATAGACCATATAAGAGCTTCTTAAGGAATGCTTACTTACTCCTGATGTTATAGAAGAATACAGTAAGTAATATTTAGATGAGCATATTTTATTTTAATAGTTATATGTTTATTTTAATATTATTTGACATTTAATATTATATTCAGCTTATTTTTTAACTTTATTGTCACAAAAGCAATTGCGTTTAAAATATGTACTCCAGTTTTACCAACTATGTGAAGCGGATGCAGGAAGGACTGGTGTTCGGGAAATACTCTCTTACCCATGACGATGAGGCTCTATGACACCGTGGTTCCTGTCCCACGGGTTTGTAAACTCCTCTAAGAAATAATTAACAATTATTAAAAATATTCTTGCAATTCAATTTCTGATATGAAGAATTTTTTACCCATAGATACATTTAACAACTGATATTTATGTTAATTAATTTTTGACATCAAATATTTATTAAGACCAACTATAAGTCAAAAGTGTTCATGATTTTGGAGAGACAAAAATTACAACGAAGTGATCTTGCCCTGAAGGTGTTGCAGTTGAAGGGGTCAAAAAATATGTCAGGAGAAAATCAGTAGGCAATTAAAATTACATGCAGTAATGAGATTCCTTGGAAGATGATGTACAATAATGAAGAAATTGTGAGATATTTTGTACATGGAGTACAACGTAAAAAAGTGTCTTGGAATTTATCAACAAGGAAAGAAGGAAAGAGATTCCTGGCAAAGGATCCAGCTTCCAGCTTTTACCAAGGCAGCAAAGATATGGAAAGCTATGACATGTCTAGATATAAGGAAATTTATGGAGTTGTTTATTGGTATGAAGAAAGAGATTAGCTATGCAGATTGATATTGACTGCTGAACAGCCTTTTATGCATTGAAAAGTAATTTAAGTTTTAATTTCATTTAGCTTTTATCTTAATACTGTTTATGTCTTCCCATGCCTTTTCCTTATTTTTAAAATTTTAAAATTTTTTTTATGCTTCTTGTAAAGAGTAGGAGATGCTTTTTATTTAGTCTTGAGTTTATCTGGTAATTATGTGTGAAAGTATCTTATATTTATTGTATTAATGATAAATTTAAGTTTCTTTTATACCATCTTTTAAAACAGCTTTATTAAGGTATAATTAACATAGAATAGATTGCACTGATTATAGTATATACAAAGCCACCAACACTATCATTACAGATGTTATCTATCAACTCAAAGGTTTCCTTATGCCCCTTAGGAATTCCTTCCTTCCACATCCCACACCAATCATTGATCTGATTTTTGTCACTATAGATTATTTTGCATTTTCTTGTTATATAAATGAATCATACACTAAACATTCTTTAGTTGTTCAATTTCTTCCATTCAACATAATTATTTTGAGATCTATCAATGAAGTTAGTGTAGAAAACATCTATTCTTTTTTATTGCTAGGTAGTATTCCATGACTTATTCATGTTACACCATATGTTTATCCATTCACTTGTTGAAAGAGGTGAATAAAACTGCTATGATCATTTGGAGGGTCACATGCTTGCATGTCTCTTGATATATACCAAGAAGTCACATGATTGGGTCATAATTTAGGTATATTTAACTGTTTAACAAATTGTTTTTCAAAGTGGTTAAACAGTTTTTAATTTTAACCTGAAATGTATGAGAGTTCTAGTTCCTTTCCATCCTCATCAAGAGTATGTTCAATTTGAGCTATTTTCGTAGGTAAGTTTGGATTTTTTTCTTATTGTTGTGATTTTCTCAATAATATTCTTTATGTATTCTGAATAAACATTCTTAATCAGATTTTTTCCCAGTGTGGAACTTGTGTTTTTATTTTTTAAATGTATTTTAAAGGGCAGAAGATTTTTAATTTTGATAGATGTATATTAATAATTCTTTTCAATATTTTGACCCACCTCCACAGGCTCTATTTATACATACATTAGGCTAATTGAAATTGTACTTGCACTTACTGATGCCATGCTCTGTTTATTTATTTATTTTTATTCTGTTCTTTTCTCTGTTTTATTTGGGATACTTACTCTTGCTATAGCTTCATGTTCTCCCATCTGTTCTGCTAAAAACTTAACCTTCCATTAATTCCATCCAGTGTATTTTTCATCTTAGACATTGTAAATTTCATCTTTGGAACTACAGTTGGGTCTTTATTTATTTTCATGTTTCTATTTACGAATATTTGGAATACTGTTTTAATGTACTTCTCTGCCGATGCTAAAATCAGTGTCAATTCTGGAGAGATTTCACTCCATGATTTCTCTCCACATTATGGGTTCTAGTAAATGAAAAATGTAAAATTTATTTTGATGGATACTGGTTATGTTTTATTTGCATAATAACTAATCAGCTTTATTCCAAAATGTAATTATGCTACTTGGAACCAATTTGATTCTTTAGGAATTTTTTAATTAAAATTATATGTGACTTTTTTTTTGGGACAGAGTTTTTGCTCTTGTCACCCAGGGTGGAGCGCAATGGCGTGATCTTGACTCACTGCAACCTCTGCCTCCCAGATTCAAGCTATTCTCCTCCCTCAGCGTACCGAGTAGCTGAGATTACAAGCACGTGCCACCACACCCGTCTAATTTTGTATTTTTAGTACAGACAGGGTTTCACCATATTGGCCAGCCTACTCTCGAACTCCTGACCTCAGGTGATCTGCCTGCCTTGGCCTCCCAAAGTGCTAGGATTACAGGTGTGAGCCACTGCGCCCAGCCCTTAATTAAATACCAGAACAGTTTCATTCCAGGGAAAATTATTCCCCACCACTGAGGCAAGACCCTTCTGTGTACACTACCCAACACCCCATGAACTACAGGTCCTTCCAGTCTGGTTGGTGGGAATAGCCACTATTTCCAGTACTGGATGAATGCTGTTCCCAGTGGTTCCTTCCTAGGTGGTTTTCTCACCTTGCAGAGGAGATGCTGCAGTCTTTTCAGTTTTCTCTCTGTGCATGCTCTCAGATACTCTAGGCAGTCTCCCCAGTCTCCCAACTCTATCTCTTCATCTCCTACAGGTCTGCTATTTTCTGTCTGTTTTCTTATCCATTAATAGAGAAGCATGCTCATCAATTACAAAATGGCAAAGAGGAGAAACAGAAAATGAGACACTGCATTCAGTAGCCAGAAGGAAGAAAATTGTGAAGAAACCAACAGAAAGTGAATTTAAGAGGACACTTAACTGTGGGCCATCCTTTGCAGATGTTGCAACATAGCTAGAGAGAACACGCACTTTCTTAAGCATATAGCATTTTAAAAAATATATGAATCCCTTAATTCCCTATACTCTGCTTTTTGCGTGCCATATTTTTGCCGGTTTCCTTTAGTTAGTTCATGAATTTTCCACTCTATTTTGTTGATTCAGTTTCTGATTACTCTTAATCCACCTTGTTCTATGTCTTCCTTCCCCCTTATACTATTGCCCTTAACTCAGTGCAAATATTCAGATTTGCTTATCTAAATCACAGCTGACTATAGTTGTAATCTAATCATCTGGAGTAAATATATCTAAATGTAAAATGTCATATATGTAAACCAAATTATATGTTATAAATAATTCTAGCAAAAATTACCAAAACTGTGACAGAATATTTAAGCACTTACTAATTGATAAAAGCCCTTAAAGTTCAAAATATTTTAACAGTGTATATCAGAAAAGAAATTTCATAAGGTTTCATTGGTGCTTTTCTCTAAAAAGTAAAACATTTGTTTGCAACTCAATCTATTCTCAAGACTACTTATGTTTTTGTCTTTTGTAGTTACAAAAATATTTTGTAACTACTTTTTTCTTATGCTTTGAAAACATTTCAACTTTGGATCCTCTGATAAAATCCATTATACAAAATTTTGCAAATGTCATTTAAGAAACATTTTCTTTTTTTTAAAAGCTACAAAAAAGAAAACAACTTTAAGAGACCATTTGTAGACATAAAAATTTAACAAAAACTGAATTTTTTAACTTTCTTCAATGACTTTTATTTGTTAATTTATATATGGCTGTCTTTGAGATGAAAGAGCATTAGTTTTTGCATTACAGAAAGTATGCCTTCCAATGACAGACACTTTTTAAGCAGAGATTGAGATTACCTAAGAGGGGTAAGGGTAACGTCTATGGAAACCTGAATCGTTGTTTCTATTTACAGAATCCTGCATTTAAAAAAAAAAAAAAAAAAAAAAAAAGCATGGGCAACAACTTTTACACAATGATACAGAAGTTCCTGTCATGTGATACTTTTTCCCACCTTTCCGTTTTACCTTCTTAGTACCCAGTGGACAATTTTTCTTTTATCCCAACTCATGTCAACACCAATCTTCCAAGAAGTGTCAAGTATGGCGAATGTTAAGTTAATTTTGTTCCCAGCTTAGCCTTGAAGCAACTGGAATTTTTCCTTATCCCTGTATCTGGCCCACGTTTCTTAAGGCTTTATGTTTTCAGTGGATTTTTAATCAATCTACGGCTAACAAATCATGGTGGACCAAAACTAATAATAGTGACATACTTTATCATGGAAATAAATTAATTATATAAACTTCATATGAATGTTCTCAATGTTCTTGATAAAATGCACACATACAAATAATGTTTGCTTTTTGCCGATATTTTTAAGGGGTTGGTGGAAGGACCTTAATAAACGGGTGTGACCTTGTGCCATGCATCGTGCTTGTACTTTACCTGTGTCTCCTTTAAAATTTTGATACATTTTTAAATGCATACTAACAAAAAGCAAAGTAAGTGCAATAGAAATTAAGACTGAAATTCATGGGTAAAAACTTACATTCTGAATAGAGAGTGACATATGTTAATATCCCCTTAGGCAAAGTCAGCCAGCATTTAGGCGACAGATGGATCATATAGACACTGACATCGATGGAATTCTGGGATTGAGTTTTTGACAAAGACAGACTATTATCAAACAATGAATTCATCAAGGACATCCTCATCATTAGACATGTGTGCCTTCAAGTTTGGGAAAGAAAACATATTACAGCAAGATTAGTGTGCAGTAGCATTAAAATCATTGCATTAGACTTTCAATCCTCCCACTCTTAATTTTGTGGAGATCGAGTCATGCTAGCTTGTGTAAGATGGAAAGCCACACCTACTGCTATGTGATCATATCTGTTGAATGTAAGAGGTGTTTTTATTTTGACTGTAACTTTAATTTTCACTCTTGAACAAGAGTTCTCATTTCTCTAAAATTATACAAAAATTTTTGCTATTAAGTGAAAATCTTCGTTGTGATGAATCTAAAAATGGAGTGAACACGGAAAAATTGTTTTATATTAAAAATATAGCAGTTTTAGTGATTGTCTATTCCCCAGTTAATGATAATGAGGAATAAAAGAGAAATAGTTTAAATTTATCTTCTCCCTTAACCTCACCTTTCTTCCCATATTGTCAATTGAGTTCATTAGTCAGTACAACATCCAGAATTTCAGTGTCATATGTAACAATTCCCTTAAAATTCTATTCTTCTTCGGTAGAACTGACATCTCAATGTTTATGCACAAATTCCTTTTTTTTTTTTTTTTAGTGTGTGTGGTCGTTACGCTTTTTACTAACTTCTAGAACTAATTTATATTAAGACTAATCAGTAGGTGAAAATAGAGTATGGTCTCTTACTCAAGTGAAATGATTTTTTTTAAGTGGTGCCTTCTGAACACATACTATGAATCCAATAGAGATGGTGGATTTATAGAGGAAGCATTGTATAATGTACAAGGTAAAGAAGAAATATAGTTTTACTACTTCAATAATAATCTTGTTATTTAACCTTGAAAAAAACATTTTCTAATTGTCAATTTTCTACTTCTGAGAGGCACTTCAAATAAGGTAACCTTTCAGCATTTCCATCTTAAAATTATTCAATCCAATTTTGCAGTAAGACATGACAAACCACTATAAGTTTCATTTAATTTTTTCTTTCTCTATCAGATAAAAATCCTTCAAATCTATATGGAGTTGACATGATAA
The DNA here is from genome assembly GCF_000001405.40 of Homo sapiens. Lineage (NCBI taxonomy): Eukaryota > Metazoa > Chordata > Mammalia > Primates > Hominidae > Homo > Homo sapiens. Next base: position 66,055,063 of record NC_000018.10, read on the forward strand.
ATTAAAATTACTTACATAGAAAGATCTTGAGATTGTTTTGTGGTTATAATCATCCTATTTCTGCTCCTACTGTATGCATTTTGTCTGTATGACTAACTTCTAAACCATTAATCATTTTAATTAATTCAGGCAACATGTTATTGCCAATGTTTAAAACAGGTGCCTCAAATGCCAATATTCTACTCAAGATTTGTTTAAGATTTCAAATTTCCAATCCACCTCTTCTTCATTAAACAGGACCTATTTTCCCCTGATACTGTCTCTTTTTGGACACTGTCTCTGGCTATGAATGAATTTGCTTTTCATTCTCATTCCTCCCTGAGATTCGGAACTTGCTTCCTTTGTGCTATTTTTGGATTCATTTGCCTCTCCGAACCCAACATTTTCAGCTGTCTTACTAACAACTACCAATGTCTGATAAAATTCTGTGAAACCCCATTCTTACATTACTTCATATGATATATTTCTGGGCCAACACTGGACCTGTGTATACAGAGATATAAATTCAAATGTTTCTGGGTTTTGAACTTTCATAATTTTCATTAATTATATGACTGACGAAATGTAATGTAGGTATTTCCCTTTAGAGAAATATGCCCTGAACTCATCCCACATCCTTACACACTTAGTAACTCAAAGTTAAGTTATATAAGTATGCTCACTTTAGAACAACACGTCCAGTCTCTGTCTCTCCTCTTCGCTGTTCGTTCCTGTTATTTTCTTCCCTATTAGTTTAAGTTATTCACGCTAAGAAAATAGAAAATGTATGAAAACCAGTAAACATTCTGATAAAGGTTTCCAAAGGATTAGAGAACGTTTCTGACAAAGGCCAAAATGTACCCATGTAGGGGTAGGATGCGGTGGCTCACATCTGTAATCCTGGCACTTTGGGAGGCTGAGGTGGGTGGATCACTTGAGGTTAGGAGTCCAAGACCAGCCTGACCAACATGGAGAAACCCCATCTCTACTAAAAATACAAAAAAATTAGCTGGGCATGGTGGTGCACACCTGTAATTCCAGCTACTCAGGGGCTGAGGCAGAAGAATCGCTTGAACCTGGGAGGTGTAGGTTGCAGTGAGCCAAGATCACACCACTGCACTCCATACTGGGTGACAGAGTGAGACTCTGTCAAAAAAAAAATGTAGGAACATAAAAATTATAGAAAATTGGAAGTAGCTGGAAGTAGGATATGCCAAATTGTTATGCCTACATAGATATAAATTTTTACTTAGATCTGTATCAAACATAATACAATCATTTTCCCTTATTTTCAGATAAAAATTAGACCTAATATCAGAAATCTTTGTCATCATAAAAAAGTACATATAAAAATATGCTAATATATCAAATAAAATGTATTTATAATTCAAGTTGATTTATAAGATAATTCACTGTTTTTTGTTTTGTTTTGTTTTGCTTTTTAGACAGAGTCTCTGTTGCCCAGGCTGGAGTGCAGTGGCACGATCTTGGCTCACTGCAGCCTCCACTCCCTGGGTTCAAGGAATCCTCCTGTCTCAGCCTCTCAAGTAGCTGAGATTGCAGGTGCCCACCACCATGCCCAGCTAGTTTTTGTATTTTTAGTAGAGACAGGGTTTCACCATTTTTGCCAGCCTGATCTCAAACTCCTGACCTCAAGTGATCCGCCCACCTTGGCCTCCCAAAGTGCTGGAATTACAGGCATGAGCCACCATGCCTGGTCGGTTATCTTACATACAGAAAAGAATGCATATCATCCAAACATATGTTTTGACAGGAAATTAAAAAGACATCTTTTATTATGTGATCGCCAATGACAAGATTCCTATGATTATATTTTAATCTTTTTTATTATTCAGAAGTTTCACCCTGCTTCCTCCCAGCATCAACTCATCCCCTTCTGTTTCATAACAGCGTCACAGAATAAAAGAGACATGCAGGCAAAAATGGGTGAATAAGAGTCTGCTGAGAGAAAGAAATCATGTATTTTTTTAACTTCATTGACATTTTCTAATTCTAGAATGGATTACACATTTTAAAGTTCACGTGAAATCAAGCAGAACCAAAACAATTTAAAAATATAGAAGCCTGAATACTTAAAAACAAGATCTATTTGCTTGGTACATGTAAGCATTTATCCACTTATTTCAATATATGAAAAGAGCTTATATACAATAACTGACAAATGCTCTTGCTTGTATATAAAACTTTTTTCCCCAAAACATGTTAGATTATTATGCTCTTCATTACATGTAAATAAGTTAATAGAAATAAAGAGAAGTCATTGTGTTATAAAAAGAAAAAAGTAGCATGTATGCATTAACTTCTACTGACCTTGTCTGTAGAATAACTCACCACCACAGTGTCTTAATGAATAGCCAGCATCATTAATGACAGGTTAGCCTCTTTCCTCAAATTTGCTGTTACTTTCAGTTCTTTCAATGTTATCATTTTATTTATCATGACATAGTCAGCTAAATGTTTCAATTCCACGTTTAGTGTAAACTCCTCTTTACCTCCTTGGTGCAGGATAGACCTGATACTCTAGTGGTTTTGGCACAGGAAGTGGCACTTTTACAAACACTCTCCCTTTTGGGGCCTTACTGTGCTATGTTTGTGTTTGGGAGAAGAGAGAGGAGAAAGATATTCCCAGTTAACTAACAGGAGTGAGCTCCATGTACTCTCCTATATTAAAAGATTTTAATCTTGTAATCTCCTTCTCAATGTATAGCTTTCATTTGATCCAAGACAACTTAATTCTGAATTAAGCAGAATTTACCTAACACAAGAAAAACTGTGTTAACCTTGCCATATCAAATGGGGCCATTTCTTCCTTCAGCTCTTTCATGCCTCCTTTGCTCCATCTTCAAGTTCCAGCAGCATCAGACACTCTACCAGTCCAGTGGCTCACTAACATTTTTCAAAATGTATTTATACTTACCTAATTTAGTTAAATGATTTTTTTTGCAGTGTCAGCCACATTTTTCTTCGGAGAAAAAAAAGAGGAAACTGATGACATCTGCTTACAAGTTCTGTGTTTCTCCAAAAGACTGCTGCACCCACTGTCTCTTCCCCAGCCTTCTTTTTGTTGAAGAGATTAGGAGGGATAGCTAAAATGGCACATTTCATCAAGCCCTTCAAAGTCATGGCTGGACCCTCAGCATTTAGTTCTGTGTACTTGGATTGGGAAACTACTTAACACACTGCCAGTTCTCAAATTAAAATAGGTGCTAGGAAAACATTATCATCCAGGTCAAGTAATCACGGTGCTGAAATTCGTAGTGTTTCAAATGGACTGTGAGATCTTTTGAGAGTAACGATCCTGTTTTAATAATCTTTGTACTTGCAGCTCCTTGTGCCATTTAGACAATTCACATATTGAAAAATGTTTAGCAGAAGATAATGGTTTTGAAATAATTTTTAAAGCCATATTTGAGTAGTGAATTTTTGCTCATTAGTATCATGTGTTTCATGTCCTAAGAGCTCTTTATAAAAACATAAAAATATAGAATCCTAAATGGCTTTAAGATTCATAAAAATTTGTAATCAAAGAATGGGAAATTACAGGAAGATAAAATCATAATAAGCAGAGAAGAGTATTTTTGAAGAAAATCACCAAGACCAAAAAAAACAAAGTAATACCATATTATTAATTTGCTTTATTTGACCTGACTGTTACTGAAAAATAAACATGTACAACTAGCTATTTGTTAAACAACAACAATTTTAAACACACACATGCATACACACACCATAAATGATATGAGTTAAAAATGGTTAGGATCACAGTGCAAATATAAACTTTTATTTTAGAATACATCTTGTATCTCTTCAATTGTTGAATGTACCATGTAAGGCTATTTGATTGTAAGCAATAAAATCAACCCTATTAAGGAAATACTTGTGTCATACAAAAAAAATGAAACACAAAAGTAAGATAAGAAAAGGCAGGGAGTAAAGTTAACTATCCGTAATTGGAAGTTGTATAGCTTTGTAGGATTGGAATAAACATCTTCGTAGACACAGAAAAGCATTTGGAAAAATAAAACACCCTTTCATGATAAAACACCCAACAAACTAGGTATAATACAATGTGCTGGAAGTAATAACTGGTATCTATGACAAGCGCACCGCTAACATCATACTTAATGGTAAGTAACTTCCAAGCTATCCTTTTATATCAGGAAAAATGTAAAGATGTTTAGTCACCATACGTTGGTTCAATATTGTGCTGGAGGTATAATCAAGGACAGTAAGGAAGAAAATGAGATAAAAGTCATTTGAACTGAGAAAGAAGTAAACTATGTGTATTTGTATACAAAATCCTAAAGAATCCCCTAAAAAGCTATTAGAACCAGTAAACACATTAAGCAAGGTGGCAGTGTCCAAGATCAATATACAAAATTCAATTGTATGGCCATCAACATTAAGCAATCTAAAAATGAAATTTTCAAAGCATTGTATGCACAATAGCATCAAAAATACTTAGCAAACAAATTTAGCAAAATAAGTATAAAGCTTATATTTTGATAGCTACAAAATGTAGTTGAAAGGAATTAAAGAAGACTTAAGTAAATGGAAAGTCCTCTCAAAGACTTATGTTGTTAAGATGGAAATACTCCTCAAACTGATCTACTGATTCACTGCAATGCCTAACAAAATACAAGCTGTCTTTTATACCGAAGTTGACAAACGAGTTCTCAATTTCATGAGGAATTGCAAGGAACACAGAAAGGTAGAAACAATTTTTAAAAAGAAGATTAAAATGGAAAGACTGGACTTCCAAACTCCAAAACTTACAACAAAGTTACAAAAATCAAGACTGTGTGATATTGGCATAAGAAAAAACATAAAGATTAATGGAATGGAATTAAGAGTCCCCAAATAAACCCCTATATTGGTCAACTGATTTTGGACAAGGATGCTCAATCATTTAATAATGAACAACATCTTTTCAACAAATGGTTCTGGGACAACTGGATATCTACATAGAAAGAATGAAGTGGAAACCATACCTCACACCAATCAGAAATTGAGTACGGACCTAAATGTAATTGCTGAAAGTATAAAATTCTCAAAATAAAACATTGAAATAAATATTTGTAACTTTAGGCTAGACAAAAGACTTCTTAGATATAATACCAAAAGCACATGCAACAGAAGAATAGATAAATTGAACTTTTTTAAAAAAGAAAACTTCTATGCTTTGAAAGACAACACGAGAACACTAAAAGGCAATCCACAGAATGGGAAATATTTGCAAATCATGCTCTCAACTCAAAGATAAAAACACAAACACAAAATGTGTGATTTGCAGTCAAGTGAGAAATCGATCTAAATAGACATTTCTTCAGATAAGATATACAAATGATGATTAAGCACATAAAAGGAATCTCAATACCGTTAACCAATGAAAATCAAAACCATAATGAGATACCATGTCACACACTCTAGAATAGGGATAATGAAAATGAAAATAACAAGCGTTTATGAGGATGTGGAGAAACTGGAATTCTCATACAGCATGCACTACTGGTAGGGATCTAGAATGTGCAGTCACTTTGGAAGGCAGTCTGACTGTTCCTCAAAATGTTAACATAAAGTGTTCATGTGACCCAGCAATTCTAAGCATTTACCTAAGAGTTCTGAAAAGGTGTGCTTACACAAAAGCTGTACACAAATATTCACAACAGCATTATTAATAGGGGCCAAAAGAAGAAGCAATCTAAATGTCATCAATTGGTGAATGGATAAATAAATATACTATATCCATACAATAGAACAGTATTTGACTATGAAAAGGAATGGAATACTGATACTTGCAAAAATATGGATTACCCTTGGAAACACAATGCTAAGTTCCAGTCACAGTCACTACATACCATAAAGTTCCATGTATATGAAATGTCTAGAATAAGCAAATCTATATAGACAGAAAGTAAATTAGTGGTTGTCTGGGTAGGGTGAGCGTAGGGGTTGTGGAATGGTGGAGGGAATAATAGTGGTGAGATTTGTTTCTAGAGTGTTAAAATGTTCTTAAGAGTATTGTGATGGCTGCACAACTTGGTGAGTATACTAAAAACACTGAATTGTACACTTTAGCTGAGCAACTTGTAGGGCATGCATATTATATCTTAATAGAACAGTTAAAAAATAAAATAATGACATAGAAAAACTGCCAACATTTCCACTAAGGAGTTGAGAACCCACTGTCAATAACTGGAGATGAGAACAAATTATCAGCCCTCCTCCAATTACATAAGATGCCTTACTACATTTGCTATAATTAGCTTAAATTGCAAACATTCAAATCCAATCATGGTTATCATGATTCAGAGCACAAAATATTTTACAAGGTGATTGAATTACCTCTTCATTGAAAGCCATAAAGTCTTACTTAGTAAGTATCATTGAAAGGCTTGAGATCTATGTGCTTGATTCCTAGTGAGGGATGTTGGGCCATATCCATGACCTGGGTGAAGTAGATGAGTTCATATGCAAAACTTTTTTAGGATTGCCAGATACCCGTACTCAGTGAGTACTGTGGAATGGCATTGTGAAATTCCCAAAATGTATAGAGAGTATGATGGTGCTGTGATGGAAGGTAAGGACTAAGATGAGGATTAAGTTATGAATAAGAATCTGTGACTAGAGAAAATACTCTGTGGACTCATTGCATTTACCTGAATGCATAACCAGGAGAGATATTGTGTATGAATAGGCATTTTGCCCTTATCCATTTTGTAGGGAATGCCAACTAACTCTGTTATTTTCCAGTTTTAATTAACCATGATGAATAGGAACATTTGAATCGCCCAAACCCTCCAAAGCAGGCAATTTTTAAGCATTACTTAAGCAATACTGAATTGCTGCAGGACAAATGTGAGATCATCTTTTTGATTATAACAATACATGAAGTAGAAGTGTTGATTGCAAAAGCTATCTTTTCATGTATGTTAAGAGTAAACTGTTAACATCAAGGATGAAACAAAATATTTCCTCCAACGACCTCCCCATATCTGATATGTGAAAAACTATCCAGGAAGTGCAATGGTCAAGGAGGAGTGGTGTGCCATTATTGTCTTCCTTAATGTCTTCTTTTCAGTGGTAATTTTGAAGTCCAGCAAGAACAATTTGCATGTTGGTGGCTTGGATTCTAACTGTGTTTACCATACTCTGACAAGGATATTTGAATTTGCTGACTGATTGCCATAATTTAGCAAGGTGGGACTTGGGCTTGACAATCAGTTTGTTAGAGCAGTAGTACATTGATGATATTGTGACTGATGCCTCAGCGAAAAAAAGTGTAGAAGGCATTGAGGACTATAGTTACCCAGATGACAAATAGAAGCCTTCTAATAAATTCCGCTTAAATTCTAGGCTTTATCTCAGTCTGTGAAATTCCTGGAGCAACTGTGGTCGTTCTTCAAACTCTGAGCAATATGTTCTCTCTCACTGACCCTGCCACTAAACAAGGATCTCAGAGACTAACAGGTTTGAAAAAAATCACATTCTTTATACAGGAATTCTGTTGATCCCTATACCCAAAAGACCAAAAAGATATCTGAAAGTAAATGGAGGCTGAACTGAAACAGAATTTGAAATTTTACAGGAGACCGTAGCTCAGGAAGTTCTGCTAGATTCTTACAAGCCGACTGTTCAAATGATAGTAGTAAAATATTCCAAAAACAAAAACAAAAACCAAATAAACAAACAAACAAAATACCCCAATACGCACAGACTGGTGTCACACACAGAAATCAATCGAGGCTACCAGCAGAGTGTTCTTGCCATTTGCACTCAAAATATGCTTAACGCAGTTTTTCAGTATAGCTCCTGTGAAAGACAATTGCTAGCTTCCTCCTGGGAGGATGGTAGCTAATTTCTTGAGTTAAGAAAATTCTGAGGTCAGAAATACTGATCACCTCTGGGTGATGTCAAAGAGATATTTGATTAGAGAGAGACATCAGTCCTGTAAAGTTTACTCACTAAGCAGAGGTAGTATTTTCAAGAGCATATTCCCAAGGGAAGCTCAGGAGCAGTGCAATGCCTATGTAAGAAAGTTGTTTTCACTGCTGAAAGGACAATTATGCAGACTTTTAAAGATCTTTCTTCCCACATTGCTTTGTGTTTTAAAAACAATGTCTGGTTATTGGATAACAAATTCAGGATTGAGAACACTTTGCTGTTTGTAAATCAGCAGCAATAAGCCACGCAGAAGGTACGACTGATGAAAGAGAGAGAGGCCAAGTTAGCAGAGGGAGTAGAGTGCTAGAAGGGGAATTAGTGTTCTACCTTTTGGGGGAGTGTCTACATATTTTTAGAACTTTAGATGATAGCCAATGTCCTTACTCTAATGCCAGGCAAATAAGCATGAGATAACAGGACAAATAGAAAAAAAAGCCCACCTCGTACATTGAATTATAAAAATTTCTATGGGAATTTGAAGTATTAAAGTGAGCCATGTTTCTCAACCACCACATTAAAGCCAAGTTTCTAATTCAAAGAGGTACTGAAATTTTAAAGTAGAAGTCTTAGATCCCTAGACATACACATGAAATACATGGCAGGAGTGCTCAGGCTATGCACCAGTGGTTTGAGAGACCATACACCCCGTTTGCACCTACTGTAACCACTAACGTAATTTTAAAAAATCTCTCTCAATGTCAACAGGTGAAGAAACCGCTTGAAAACTGCTGATGATAAAATTTCCTGGGACATTTACCAATGCACATCTGACAAGAGGAGTTTGTTGCAGGTCTACCAGAAGCTCCAGGGGGCTGGCTGCAATAAGGTGCTGACTGCGATGGAGACTTACTCTACTGTAGGCATTAACCTGTAATAGAAGCAAACATAGAAAATGCAGTTTAAAAATAGAAAAAGTGATTTATCTATAAATTTGAACCATGTGGATATATTTCTTCTGGTAAAATTGCTGACTTTAAATGCTATCAATTTATGAAAACAGAAAAAAAGCATAATATTATGTTGGAATATGACATTTCTTATTACCATCAAAGCAGTGTCCTCAGTGAAATTTAGAGTGGTCAAATTAAATACTCATTATACTAAAAAGGAGATGGGTCAGAACTGAAAGTCTGGCTTTCCCAAATATGTCCCTAGATTGAATATGCGGAGAATAAAGATGGGAATTCCACTGGAAATTTTTCTGAGAATAGATGAGAATGAGGTAATGGGAAAAGGTTGAAAATATACATTTTAATAATCTGGACACATCCCAAAATTTTTATTTTATATTTTCCTCTTATGATGGTCTCAGGCTCATATTTAAACTATGACTGCCCAAGAAGAAAATATCAATGCACGAGAAACAACAGCCATATTATTAAATTCACCAGCACATACTACTAATGGTACCATTGGGTGGATATTAATTTTATCCCATGAAACCATGTTAGGAGTAACAATAACTGTGGCCTTATTATCAAGAAACAGGGACAGGTATGTGATCCTTTAATGTTTAAATCTTATTACATCGACAGGAGATGAGAGTGAGGCAAGTCTTAGCGTGAATGTTGTGATCGTTGTTCCTGTGTGTGAACGATACATCTGAGCCAGAAAATTCCAAGTACTGGGGAAGGCTGTGGGTTAAATCAGGTAATAAATGGATATAGGTCCTCATATATGGGTTGTAATCTCAGGAAGAAAAGCAACCATGCCTTTGAAGAGTGTCTTAGAGAGGAAATTCTCAGCTCTCTCTCTCTCAGATGTGATGGTAGCAAAATGGCATTGCTGAGTGAAATCTCTGGACTTGTTTTCTCTAGCTAATGGGAATTAGTGTTTAAATGATTCGGAAGCTTGGCCTAAAATCCCTACCTGAATACCATGGAGAGAGCAGGAACAGAACACCCTCTAATTTTAAAACCACTACATTTACCTTCAGTTACTTTGTGGTTCATGGTTTAAGTGCTAAAACTAATTATTATGTTTAAATTTTTGTAAACAACCTGCGATACATACGACTAATTAATATAGGGCTGAGAATACTGAATATCATAGCTTCCTCATTCTGGGTGCCTAAAATCAAAATCTATTGCTAACATAAACACCAAATGTGATGGGATGTAGATTGCTGGTGCCCTCCCAGGTTATGCCAAGACCTGATTTGCTACTTTTTACCTACCATGTGAGAATGTGCATAGAATGCATTTAGTGTAAACTGAAGTGGAACTCTCAAGGGAGGATAATTTTGATGTGACTTGATGGCTGGATATTTCTAATAACTTGCTTTCAGTGATATGCCAAAGACATCTACCAAAAGCCTTATGGCACACTCAGATGGACCTCTAATTGAGGGTGGAATTCCCAATTTAGTCCCTTGGGCACACATGATTTTTGCATGTATTAATTTTTTCTAAGTTACACAAAAACTTACCAATATTCAATAGCAAAAACATAAGTAGTGGTTTAATAAACACTGAACCATCTATACCAGATATTCTGTGGAGAGTTTTGGAGCTGGTCTTGGTGTGTATAGTCAGGATGAAAGAACATTCTTGAAAGCTTCTCATCGCTTTTATCCTTGCTAATCATATAGAGGTCCTAGCGGGTGCTTTCTTCCAGGAGACTGGACAGGATATCAGATCAGCTAGGAAGGACAATAACACGAACAGCAAAAGTTCACATGCTTAACTAGTCAAATAGAACACCATGCCAATCAACAACATGGGGAAATATCTTGTACCCCTATAGAGGAAGGACCTTTGGATATTCTAGTAATTGTGAGCTCCGATACCTCTTCAGATGAGTGGCCAGGAGTGCTGGAGGGCCAGGCCCTCATGCTACATGGCTTATAGCAAAGTGGCTCCATATTAAAGTGGAGAAAAAAATAATTTATAACAATGATTTTTTAAAATTAATTGGATATCCGTGTAAAAAAAAAAGTCTTCACCCAAAGCTTCAACCCTTATCTCAGGACAAAAAAAAGTGTTAAGATATGAAAGCTAAAAAAAAAAAAAAAAACAAAAAAACTTCTAAAAAGAATACAGGAAAATATCTTTATGACTCTAAGTGACAGATATTTTCAACAGGACAAAAATTAATAACCATAAAGTTAAATTGAATTTCATCATAATTAATAACTTCTTTGTCAAAATCCTCAAGGGTGTGAAAATGCAAACCACAAACTGGTATGCATTTCTAAATTAGATAAATATGTCCTACAAACCCATAATAAAACAAATCAGATAAAATTCTCCAATAACACCCTCTTTGTTCCTCAAAAGACAATACAAAAGAATACTGGGCAAAAGAACCCAGCAGTCAATTCACAAAGGAGGATAGCCAAATGGCCAACTGATACTCTATGAATGATGCTAAAGGTATCATATAATAGTTAGGAAACACAAATGAAAACCTCAAAACCACAGCACAGTTGCCAGAATGTCTAAAATAAGAATAACGTAAATTGGTATGACTATTTTGAAAAGCTGTTTGGCAATATCTTCTAAACCTGATCACATTCACACTTGACGACCAAGCACTTTCAATCATAAAGTCATAATAAAAAATGAGAATATGTGTTTGTAAAAAGACACATTTACCAAAAGACAAGGACAAGTAAGTTCAACATTTCAGTAGGAGCCAATAGATGCATGTTATTGTGTGTCCATTTGCTGTTTCAAGCTGTTACATTTTGGAGTAATTCGTTATACAGGGAGGGATCATTAATTCAGCAGATCCTCCAGTCCCCAGAAATGAACAAGATATTTCTCCTGGGTATCAGAACATAAATATGGCTGTGTTTAAAATAAGATAGCTTTAAATTTTGTATTAGTTTATCAAGTAGACAAGGGAGGAATTTTCTGTCTATATTTAACAATTTTGCCGAAGACCAGGCAGATAATATGGCCCTGCCTACTGAATATAGCCATTTAAATGGAACTTTTGTGGTTTAGACATTTACACATATAAAGTATACAATGTAAAAACCTTGAAAACTACATTTTTTGCTACATATTTTGCCCTACTACATGTTTGTAGGAAGAAAAGTATTATTTCCTCTTTAATGACTTTTTAATTACATTTTGACCTACTATTGTACATGTGCTATTGTTAATGTAGATTAGAAGAAGAATTTAACAAATCCCTCTGTTACAAGAGCAGAGAATAAGAATTTTACAGGTATAAGTTTACTATAATTCATGTTACTTGCAACTATGTGTTTATTGTGGACATCTAGATTATCATGAGTCAATAAAAATTAAATAAAATATTTAGAAAGGAAGTGAAATATTTTAAGTTCTTAATTACTATAAAGAAGCAATATTAAAGGTTTTATATATAAGCTTGTGTGTGTCTTCTCTCTTTTAAGGTATAGAGAATACAAGATGAACATGCATAAAAGTATAAAACATCCACATAAGATGCAAGATGTCATTGATACAGGTGAATTTTAGGTGTCATTAATAACACTTAAATGTATTTTGATTATTTTGTTTGATAACACCTTAATTTACATTTGAAAAATTTAATTTAAATTAGAAGAATCACATGAAAAATCAGATTTTGTATTTAAAATGGAAGGGACATTTAAAAAGAAAAATTACAGATATATCCAAATTTAGAATAGTTTAGTTTTTGTTTCTTGCTCACAATGAACCAGAGTCTGGATCCTTTAAAAAAATAAGGCAAGTACACAGATAATTTTAATTAAAATAAAGAGAACAACCAAGCTTCAGTAGAAGAAACAGCCAGTGTAGCCCTGGAATTTATTTAGAATATTGTGAACTATCTCTTTTCTTCAATGATGCTTTGGAGAGGCTCACTTCTAATAGCTTTCAGTCGTTCCTTGGTGCAGACTGTACTGTAATTTATGCCCGCAACAAGGACAACAAAAAGACAGAGTGCAGTTTCCCATAGGAAAACTGGGGAAACTTCACGAAAAGAAAAGGAAAGAGAAGATAGGCCTCAAAAGTATAAGCTGTTCAAGCTGTCATATACACATATATTCATACACATATGCACTCACGCACGTTCAAAGTAATCATTGGCAAAGCATAATTAAAACAGCAAAAACTTTACTTAGTAAGGTTAATCATGGGAAACACAGACTTTGCAGTCAGCCTTGGATTCAAATCAATATTTTTATTTACTACACCATTTGTAATTGCTAAGCCTCAATTTATTTTATTTACTCAATATTTTATTTACAAGCCGTTTGAGGCTTGCTAAGCCTCAATTTATTTGTCTTTAAGTGAAAAAAATCTAGATAATAATAGTACCTACATAATAAGAATCTGCATCATTTCTAATGTGCAATTTAAAGAAATAAGAAAGCAAGTGAGCTATAAAGAGAAAGGAACAATGAGCTTCCAGGTTGCTGACCCAAGCCTTGTTCTCCCTCCTTTTGACTTTCCCGGCTCAGGGTGTTTTTGTTATAGACAGACACAAGGAGGTAGCTGTGCTTATTGTTTCTTTTTTAAAATGAAAGTTGCATTTATTAGGGTGACCCATGCGGCCAAGACAAGCAGGTTGCCACTCAGACCAGAGTGAAGTGATGTGGCTCTCCCTCCTTATAGATACTCCTCCCCCAAGTAATCTCTCTTCAGTTCCTCCCCACACTATCTGCTCAACCCTAAGTCTACCCTACTGCTGAGGAGAGGCCCAGATTCCATAAAAAGGAACAGGGCCTTAGAATTTGAGGTTCCTTTTCACACATCTTGACGAAAGGCCACATCAGCGATTAGGTGCTAAGCTTTATAAAGTGAAGAATCTCTGTCCACTTCTGGCAGATACAGATTTGCACATTCTTATCCTTGAGAACCAGTTAGGTACTATTGTGGTCAAAGATTAACGACTTCACCTCAAAGTGTTATGCAACTGCAGTGCCTTATGGCTCTTAACCTTGCATAGACCCAAGAGTTTGACAGAAGAGTTGTTGGCTGCTGTAGACAGGTAGTAGCTCATGAAGAAGAGAATGCTAAGGCTGGGCTCAGAGGCATCAGAGAGGTTCATGCCATTGGTGTGCTCCCTGAAAGCTCAGATCTTGACCCAAAAGACTCAGAGAATGGAAGTGTGCACGGGCAAGAGAGCATCAGAAGGTCTCATCTGTCACCTTGGTGAGCACACGCCCTGTCAAGACATTGGAGAAGACCCAGGATTGGTCACTGAAGGAGCTCAGGAGATAGTCACCAGTAGCATGGAGGCTGAGATCTGTCTCAGAGCTCTTCTAGGCCCAAACACCTTGCACACAAGTGACATTTGAGATCAACTAAATTGTGATATTAGCACCTGGGAAGGCAGAAAACAGCAGGGAAGGCTGAAACCCCACAATGGTGACTTTCTTGGTATGACTTCAGAGGCTGGCCAGGCTTTGCTCAGAACTCTTGTGGAAGATGGAAATATTTTTATCTTCCTTCCCAGGGTCTGGTGTTGAAGAGTGGGCAGAGGTTTGGAGTGAGGATACCTGGAAAGCTGGTGCTGCACAACCCCATGTGAGATACCACCTGTGATACTTACTGAGATTTTCTGGCTTTACCAGCTCCTCATCCAGTTGTCCCCTTCTTTCAGTCCATGGTTAGCCAATCCCTCCTTGGTGTGAAGGTTCTGGATGATCTTTGGAGTCATTGTCACCAGCTTACCCAAATACAACACTGGTTTTTCATCAATCAGGAAGATTTCTGTGGAAATGAAAGTAACAACAACTTAATTCACTTAGAACACTTCCTGGAGGGTAGTAACCAATCTATATTTTAATGAAAATAAAGATGGGGATGATGATTATATTGATAATGATGGCTTGTGCTAGATTTCATGGAGTTCATACAAAAAATATTATACTTAATGTATGTTTTCATTCATGTGCACAAAACATACACACACACACACACACACACCTTGAAACCAACACCTGCCAGATAATTCTTCCACAGAGTCAATAAAGTGGTTGAAACTTGTAATTATGTCCTTATTTTGCAGATAATGTAATAGGCTTAGAGTTTAACCAAGGACATGAAGTCAATGAGGCAGAGGAGGCTCAAATATGTGTTTCTGTGAATCAAAATCTGCTTTCAGTAACACTTTTCTATTATTCCATCTGAAGATGTATAATATAAATTTATAGCTCTCTTTACATTCCTAGTCTTTTAAGAGAGTTTCTAGTTAAATATGGTGAAATACAATGAAAAATTGAAAGGAATAAATGAGAATTTGGCAGGAAACCTAAAACAATATTTGTATAATAGGTTATTTTATTTAGAAAATAAAACTTCGGCACAGTTCAGAAAGCTGATGATGGCTCAACAGAAGAATGTGGTAGCATTGTTTGTCATCAGGTTCTTAACACAAACTGCTGTTAGTACCTATTAAGATGATGACATAAACTTGCGTAAGCAGTAGTCTCCTCTAAACTCTACCACCTTTCAAATCAAATAGAGAGCAAATCAGTGTGTTAAAACAACAATGATATTGTTTGGAGGTTTGTCTCCTCTACATCTTATGTTGAAATGTGATTCCCAGTGTTGGAGATGGGGCCTGATGAGAGGTGACTGGATCATGGGAGCAGATCTCTCATGAATGATTTGGCACCATCCCCTTGTTGGTAAGTGAGTTCTTGCTCAGTTAGTTCATACAGATCTGTTTGTTTAAAAATGTGTGGTACCTCCTCAACTTGCTCTCTTGCTCCTGCTCTTGACATTTAATGTGCCTGCTCCCACTTCACCTTCCGCCATGATTGTAGCATCCTGAGAACCTCACCAGGAACAGAGTAAATGTTGGTGCCATGCTTGTATAGCCTGTGAACCATGAGCCAATTAAACCTTTTTCTTTACTAATTACCCAGTCTCAGGTATTCCTTTATACTAATGCACAAGAGACTAATACAGAAATTTGGTACCATGGGATGAGGTGTTGCTATAAACATACCTGAAAACATAGAATCAATTTTGGAACTGGGTGATAGGCAGAGGTTGGACAAGATTGGAGGTCTCAGAAGAAGACAGGAAGTTGAGAAAAACTTGGAATGTGTTAGAGACTTGTTAAGTGATTGTGATCAAAATGCTGATAGAAATATGGACAGTGAAGGCTGGGCGCGGTGGCTCACACCTGTAATCCCAGCACTTTGGGAGGCCAAGGCAGGCAGATCACGAGGTCAGGAGATCAAGACCATCCTGGCTAACACGGTGAAACCCCATCTCTACTAAAAATACAAAAAATTAGCCGGGTGTGGTGGCGGGCGCCCATAGTCGCAGTTACTCGGGAGGCTGAGGCAGGAGAAGGGCGTGAACCCAGGAGGCAGAGCTTGCATTGAGCCAAGATCGCATCACTGCACTCCAGCCTGGGCGACAAGCGAGACTCCATCTCCAAAAAAAAAAAAAAATATGGACAGTAAAGAAAAGGTTGATGAGGTCACAGATGGAAATGAGTAAGTTATTGAGTACTGGAGTAAAGGTCACCTGTGTTATGTCCTAGCAAAGAGCTTGGCTTCATTGTGTTCAGGCCCTAGGAATCTGTGAAAGTGGAAGTTTGAACTCAAGAGTGTCTGGTGGAAGAAATTTCCAAGCAGCAAAGCATTTCAGAGGTAGCTCTAGTTGCTTCTAAGAACCTACAATCAGATATGGGAACAAAAAATAACTTAAAGTTGGAACTTATATTTAAAAGGGAAGTAGAACATAAAAGTTTGGAAAACTTGCAGCATAGCCATGTGGCAGAGAAAGAAAAAGCATTTTTCAGAAGACAAATAAAAGCACAGCAGCAACTTGCTAGAGAGATTAGCATGACAACAAAGGAGCCAAGTGGTAATATCCAAGACGATGGCAAAAAGGCCCTAAAGACATTTCAGAAATCGTGGAGACATCTCCTCCCAACACAAGTTCGAAGACCTAGGAGGAAAGAATAGTTTTGTGGGCTGGGCCATGGACCTCACTGCCATGCATGATATTGGGGCACTGCTCCCTGCATCCCAGCTGCTCCAGCTCCAGCCACAGCTCAAAAGGCCCCAGGTACAGCTGAGACCACCACTCCAGAGGGCACAAGCCATAATCCTTGGCAACTTTCATGTGGAATTAAATCTGCAGGTGTACATAATGCAAGAGTGAAGGAGGCTTGGCAGCTTCCCTGTAGATTTCAGAGGATGTATGAGAAAACCTGGGTGCCCAGGTAGAAGACTGCTACAAGAGTGGAGCCCTCACAGAGAACTTTATTAGGGCAGTGTGGAGGGCAAATGTGGGATGGAAACCCAACACAGAGTTCTCACCAGGGCACTGCCTAGTGGAGCTATGGGAAGGGGATCACTGCCCTCCAGACTCCAGAATGATAGAGCATTGGCAGTTTGCCTAAGCCTGGACAGGAAGCAGGCACTCAACTCTAACCTGTAAGAGTAGCTGTGGGTGCTGCACCCTAAAAAGCCACAGTGCAGAGCTGCCCAAGGCCTTGGAGCCCATCCCTTGCACCAGGATATGGGACATGAAGTTAAAAGAGATTATTTTGGAACTTTAAGATTTAATGACTGCCAGTAGCCCCATTCTCCCTTTTGGAAAGAGAATATTTATTTAATGGCTGTACTCACATTGTATCTCAGAAGTATGTAACTTGTTTTGATTTTACAGGCTGATGGGTGGAGGAGATGTGTATCAGGTGAGACTTAGGACTTTGTAGTTGGTGTTGAAACAAAGAGTTTGGGGAACTATTGGGAAGGGGTGATTGTTGTATTAGTGCATTCTTATGCTGCTAATAAAGACATACCTGAGACTGGGTAATTTATAAAGGAAAGAGGTTTAATTGACTCACAGTTCAGCATGGCTGGGGAGGCATCAGGAAATTTATAATCATAGCAGAAACAGAAGGAGAAGCAAGGCACCTTCTTCCCAAGGCAACACTTACAAAACCATTAGACCTTGTGAGAACTCACTCACTATCACAAGAAGAGCATGGTGGAAACCACCTCTATGATTCAATTACCTCCCACCAGGTCCCTCCTATGACAATATGGATTATTATGATTCAAGATGAGATTTGGGTGGGGACACAGAGCCAAACCATATCATTCTGCCCCTTGCCTCTCCCAAATCGCATGTCCTCACATTTCAAAACAAAATCATGCCCTTCAACAGTCCCCCAAGTTCTTAATTCTTTCCAGCAATAACCCAAATGTCTAAGTCCAAAGTCTCATTTGAGACAGGAAAAGTCCCTTCCACCTATGAACCTGCAACATCAAAAGCAAGTTAGTTATTTTCTAGATACAATGGGGGTACAGGCATTGGGCAAATGCAGGCATTCAAAACTGGAAAAATTGGCCAAACAAAGTGGCTACAGGCCCAGTGAAAGTCTGTAATCCAATAGAACAGTCAATAAACCTTAAAGTTTCAAAATGATCTCCTTTGACTCCATGTCTCACATCCAGGTCACACTCATGCAAGAGGTGGGTTCCCATGGCCTTGGGCAACTCCAGACCTGTGGCTTTGCAGGGTATAGCTTCCCCCCAGCTGCTATCATGGGCTGGTCTTGTCTGCGGCTTTTCAAGGTACATTGTGCAAGCAGTCAGTGAATCTTCCATTCAGGGTTCTGGAGGACAGTGGCTCTCTTTTCACAGTTCCACTAGGCAGTGCTCCAGTGGAGACTCTGTGTAGGGGCTCCAAGCCCACTTTTCCCTTCCACACTGCCCTAGCAGAGGTTCTCCATGAAGGAACCACCCCTGCAGTAAACTTCTGCCTGGATATCCAGGTGTTTCCATACATCCTCTGAAATCTAGGTGGAAGTTCCCAAAACTCATTTCTTAAGTTCTGTGCACCTTCAGGCCCAACACAACACATAAGCCACCAAGTCTTGGGGCTTGCATCCTCTGAAGCAACAGCCTGAGCTGTACATTGGCCCCTTTTAGCCATGGCTGGGATACAGGGAAGCAGGTCCCGAGACTGCAGGAAGCAGCAAGGCCCTGGGCCTGACCCACAAAACCATTTTTTCCTCCTAGGCCTCTGGGTCTGTAATAGGAGGGGATTCCATGAAGACCTCTGACTTGTCCTGGAGACATTTTCCCCATTGTCTTGACGATTAACATTTGGCTCCTTGGTACTAAGGCAAATTTCTAGAGCCAGCTTGAATTTCTCCTTGGAAAATAGATTTTTCTTTTCTATCACATTGCCAGGCTGCAAATTTTCCAAACTTTTATGCTCTTCTGCCCTTTTAAACATAAGTTCCAATTCCAAACCATGTATTTGCAAATGCATAAAACAGAATGCTTTCAAGAGCACCCAAGTCACGTCTTGAATGCTTTGCTGCTTAGAAATTCTTTCACCAGATACCCTAAATCATCTACCTCAAGTTCAAAATTCCATAGATCTCTACAGCAGGAGCAAAACGTCACCAGTCTCTTTGCTAAAGTTCAGCAAGAATGACCTTTATTCCAGTTCCCAACAAGTTCGTCATATCTATCTGAGATCACTTCAGCCTGGACTTTATTGTCGATATCACTATCAGCATATTGATCAAAGCCATTCAACAAGTATCTAGGAAGTTCCAAACTTTCTCACATCTTCCTGTCTTTTTCTGAGCCCTCCAAACTGCTCCAACCTCTGCCTGTTACTAAGTTCCAAAGTTGCTTCCACATTTTTGGGTATCTTTACAGCAGCACCCCACTACCTTGATTAGTCTCTTCTCATGCTGCTAATAAAGACATCTCCGAGACTGGGTAATTTATAATGGAAAGAGCTTTATTGACTCACAGTTCAGCATGGTTGGGGGGGCCTCAGGAAATTTACAATCTTGGCAGAAGGCAAAGAGGAAGCAAGGCACCCTTTTTATAAGGTGGCAGGAGGAGATGTGCCAGCAAAGGAAATGCCAGATGATTATAAAACCATCAGATTTCGTGAGAACTCACTCACTATCATGAGAACAGCATGGGGAAACCACCCTCATGATTCAATTACCTCCCACAAGGACCCTCCCACAACACGAGGAGATTATTACAATTCAAGGTGAGATTTGGGTGGGGACACAGAGCCAAATAATATCAATTGTATTTTGCAATATGAGAAGAACATGAGATTTGCAGGGCCAGGAGAAGAATGATACGGATTACAACCTCCAAATTTCATGTTGATACATGACCTCCAATGTTGGAGGTGGTGCCTAGTTGGAAGTATTGGCCCTTGGGGCTGGATCCCTTGTGAATGGCTTAGAGCCATCTCCTTGGTAATGAGTGAGTTCTCACTCAGTTAGTTCACGTGAGATCTGGTTGTTTAAAAGGGACTGGGACCTTCCCCTTTTCTCTCTTGCTCCTGTTGTCACCACATGATATGATGTCTATCCCTTTGCCTTCCACCATGATTGGAAGTTTCATGATGCCTTACCAGAAGCTGAGCAGATGCTGGCACCATGTTTCCTGTACACCTTGTGGAACTGCGAGCCAATTAAACCTCTTTTCTTTATAAATTACCCAGCCTCAGGTATTTCTGTATAGCAAGTACAAAAATGGCCTAATGCAAACAACAAAAATTACCAGGCTGAATTAAATCTACCACTTGGGAAACATATATTTCTGGAACCTACATCTTAATAATAATATAATTTGGGGGTTAATTACACTTACAAACAAACTTCCCACAAAATTCTGTCCTACCAGATCCTCTCCTCTCTAAAATTGACAAGGGGTTTTGACCACCATTTGGCTACTCCTCCCTCATGCTTTCTTTTTTCACAAAGTCGCTAGTTCATCATTTCTACCATACATCAACAGTACTCTTCCTTTGCTAGATTAAGATTTTTCACTATGAGTTCATTTTTCTACTCACTATAATAAAACCCTCTGTATCTTCAGTTCCTCATCATTCTTCACTTCATCTTAGTATTTCTCACTATATCAGTGATATTGCTCCATAAGATATTATTTGTTTTGTTTCTTTAAGCCCCTATGTTGGCTTTTCATCCTCTGCTCATGTATATGATTTTTTTTTTGCAAAACACATACACACATATATACAAACACACACACAATCACACACAGTCTTCTCAAAGTGTTCTCAGCCTAGAGTCTACACTGTTTTACTCTTGTCTTTATTTAAAGCCATGTATTAAAATACATTTTACAACATTGTTGGTAGACCAACCAGAGTAGGCTCACCAGAGGATAACTAAAAGTGAATACTTCTCATCCCTCAGAATTTTAGGTATAATGTTGAGAAAATATGCATATTAGCTAGCTTATGCTGCTACATTTGAGAATCACTAACTTAATTGTTTTGTCTCCAATTTTCATAATTCTTGGTAAGTTTTTATATATAAATCTCTGATACATCTCTTCATCAGAGGAGAGAAAGAATAAGGAAAACAGATTTAGTGTGATTTGACATTTATTGAACACATGAAATGTGTAGGGCTCTGTACTCAGCTGTTCTAAATATGTTATATCATATAGAGTCTTTTAATGTAATTTCTATTTCTGAATTTCTCATTTGCCTTGCTTTTCAGTAACATTTGATATATTTGGTCAACATCTCACTAGAGAGAGAACACTGTGTAGTATTTAATACCATGGAATCTTGACTTCATTTTTGCCAACTATGGGACTTTAGCTAGGTTATCTGAGCTCTTTATGCCTTAGTTTCTTCATTTGCAAAACAGTTATGGTAATATCACCTATCTAATAGGGATGCTATGAGGCTTAAATGAGCATGCTTATAATACTGCCTGGCCCAAAGTCATTGTTCAGGGTACGTTAGTATTTGTTGGCTTTTATTTTCCTTAAAATAAGCTCATGTGGATTCTGAGATTTTGTTTTTTAATCTGACCTCACAGTGTTGGAATTCTTATGTTTATATCACACTTGAGAATATGCAGAACATATTGAAATTATTTTTTGATTTCAGAGAACCGTAGGAGTTTGTGCCACATTATTAGGAATGTTTAAAGGTCTAGAAATATCTGTCTTCTTCATAGAAATAAGTTTTGTTCTTATAATTTGTCTTATGGGTTTGGCTTGTGACTCACTCATTGTTTTCACTGTGATTTAGTTATATTCAGTCATGAATATTTAATGGCTTAGGGCAACAAGTTTAAGTTGGTCAGTAATGATGACAGTAATTGTGCTAGGAAGAGTTTACATGTGTGTGGGACTTTGTACCTTATGTCTTTCATGCACATATCAATTGATACTCATAATAACTATAAATTGACAGGGAACAAACTTTAAAAAAAGCAGATAAAAAATTAAAGTTCAGGGAGGCTGATTCACCAGAAGTCACACGAAAGGAATGAGGAGGAACACATTTTTCTCCGTGGCCCAGGAATACTGTGAACTCTTCAACCTGATGTGCTTTTACCTTGGATTCTTGTTTAATATTCTTTTCCGTGAAGATGATTTGCACAGCCAGGTGCATATGGCATAGAATGAAAAGTAACCTGGACTACAATATGTGAGCTCTCTGATTGTACATAACTGTGTAGTTTTTTATAGAATTAACTGGACTTCTACAAATTTATATTATCACCAGGCAGAAATAAGTTGGGGATAATGCTGGATCAGTAGAGGAAACTTCAGCTAGGATTAGACTTACTCCAAAATTCAAGAGGCAGAACCTTGTAAGCAGGACGGTTGCTAAGTAAACCCATGGATTTTGATTTGTTCAAACTCCTTTCCATGATTATCCAGCCTTTTTGAACATCTCTATTTCTTCTTACAAAGTTAATCTGAATATGAAAAAAAAAATGCCCTTCCAAAATCCATCAGAGTAAAAGCCATGTTGATAACACGTTAGTGGCCTCATTTCATTTTATGAAGGAAGTTATTTACATATACATAGCTTGGTTTTGGGTAGACTTCTAATTAGAATTTTCAAAATTTAAGGCTGAATTGCAAACACATTTTGATTGCTTATTTGGTAAGGAAGCAAAATGTATTTGTCATTTTTAGTGTTTTTTTCCCAATGTATTATTTTTTATGTTGTTTTACATGATCTTTGCAGAGTTCTGAAAAGTAGTCTGATTTTTAGATAATTATTTATTTTAATGAATAGATTGATGAGTGATATATGGTCATTTTACATTATTTGGCCATAATATGTGTGTTTGTGTGTGTGCATATGTGTAGTTTTCAACATGTAACACACATATAAAATTTAAAATTATAAGAATTTTTAAAACTAGGAAGAAAGTTTATTTAAAAATAAACATTTTTAGGGTAATGACAGAAAGTCAAAATTTCTTCATGGCATTTTTTTCCCATATTTATCCCTAAGAATTACCTCTTACTGAGGAACATTGACTGCGTTTGGCAGAAATCATTTATCTCAAAGCATGTGAGAATAAACAAACATTTCCCTACCTAATTTAATTTTTCTTTCGCCAATTAGTAATTTTATATGCTTGCTGGCAATAATACAATTACACTCTTCCTTGCTACCACACCATGCAGAAGACTTGAGAATAGAAAAATAATATTTATTTTCCATTTTTGAATTTAATAGTCTACATATAACATTTTCACTTAAAAAACATGGTTTATTAGAGAGTGATTTTAATTATGTCTCCTGCAGCCTGCCTGTCTTAGTCCTGGTCTTTCTTCCTCTCTTTTCTCCTTCCATTTTTTTTCTTACCTATAGAAGTAGTAAAATTGCCACATTTTTCAAACAAAGTAGCAGTATCTAAGATGGAAGTGGACTCCAACTGATTTTTGCAGACATAGCCTCAATTTCATGTTAAAATCTTAAATGAGACTGAATAAATTTTGTTTACTTAGCTTTATTCTTCTTACTGAGATTGATTGATTTCCTTAGGTAATGTCTAGCGTTTAGTTGGAAAGGAGAGGTATCTCCTTTTTGTGACCATAGTTTGGACAATTTACTGTATAAAATCACAATTTATGTTACAAATATAAATGCAACAAGTGTACAGAATACTCAAGGCTATATCTCTAATATTTATTTCTGCCCTATTATTTGGAACAGGATGACATTAACAAAAGCTATATGAAATAAGCTCACTTACTTTTATTGAAACTTTGACCCTTCTTTCATAGGCACAGAGAACTCAACAATTCTGGTAATTTTATTATCAACAATAGCTTTAGCAAAGCAATATCAATCTCTGAAACCACTGGAGTTTCTGATTAGCATGTCAATAGCTCTGTATCCTCCTTTTTAAAGGATTACATCATCTGCTGCCAAGATAGCCTAAATACCTTAAGTACAGGTCCAAACCAATTTAAATCTCTGCTGCTCTATCATTTCCCATATTAAGATTTTTTTCTATCCTAAGAAATAGGATCCAAAATGTATATCTCCTAAAATTGGTTGATGAAGTAGAAGGGGGATGTGTCATGGGGCATCTGATGCAATTTTTTTTTCCTCCACTGGTAGCAATTGTAGCAGATTATAATGTCTAGATGCAATGTGTGTATGTTATTGAATTGTCAAAGTGTTAGTATATTATTTAAGCCATAATATTGCTATTACAAAACGGATTTAAGCTATGAGCCTTGTCTAAATTTATTTTTGTTTTCCATTCATTTAAATGGCACTTCTCAAAAATAACAGTCAACACAAAAATAGGACAGATATCCCAGTACACTGAGGTCTGGCAATAAATGACAAATGTGATGACAATGCTCACAGTGATCATGAGGGCTCTATCATTTTGACAGTTATGCAGTGTCTTCTATAATTAGTCTGAGAATCAAACACTACTTTACTCAACCATGTGGTAAAGTGGAAGAATTTAATTTATTGAAGATTAATAAAGTCACAGGGAACATTAAAAGGTTGCTGAACTCTTCAATACAGATTGTAAATCAGGGTGTTATATTATTTTGTTTGCTTTTTAAATAACAAATTTGAAAAAAACTTCTTACTAATAAATTGCTACTACACTGAAATGTTATATGATGCTTTAAAAACTTATACTTTCTTTCTTTTAAAGAATAAGCAATTTTCAGCAGGACCAATTATTTTCAATTCTGCTTGGAATTAGTATGATAAATACACCTTAAAAATCAAAATAGTACAGCACTATCAGTCTAGAACCACCTGGAGTATTGACTTTTACATGCAATTTTATTTTTAAAAGATGCTAAAAAGGAAAATGCAAACTAAAATCACTTAGTTAGACACTTCTGGCTGGGTACGGTGGCTCACGTAGTCGTAGCATTTTGGGAGGCTGAGACAGGAGAATTGCTTGAGCCTAGGAGTTCCAGACCAGCCTTGGCAACATAGCAAGACTCCATCTCTATTTACAAAAATGAATTGTTAATAATCAAAATACATAAAATAGACACCTTCATAGGTACCTTTGGATGTACGTAAGAGTGAGCATTTTTGTGTTTTTGTGTGTGTGTTTCAGAGAAGTAGACAACAGAATTGTCTTTCTTAAAGTACACTATAGAATTTGTTAAAGTAGGCTACAGAATTGTCTTTGTTAAAATTTTATAGCATGAGATAAGAAGTTTAAAGTGAGAATAAACGAAATTTTACTTGTTAATACTTTCTTTTCTTATTCTTGATGAAAATGTAAGAGAACTGGTTACATGGAAAACCATTCAATCACTGAGCTATGTATTCTAGGTTCAAATTTTCTTTTTCTTTTCAAATATTTTAGTCACTTTAATTTTTCTCCTTGGGACCATTTCCAAATTTTCTGTATCTCTCTATGAAAATCTAAGAAAATTTGCAAGAAAGAGGATTGTTTCACTTTGCAACTTTATCACTATACTTCTTATTACTGTTCAGTAGTTGGCCCATTCAGATTTTTAAATACTTCCAGATGGATTATGTCTAGTCTATGACTCTCCCATTACTATAATTGCTATTAGTGAAAATACTAATATAGGTAGGCAAATTATGACAGAACTCAGCATGTGGAAACTGGGACATGTGGATCTGATCCATTAACATTATCGAGGCCAGGGTGAGATTGTACAATTAGCTGGCCATGGATTAGAGGCAGTTTAAAGTTCTTTCCAATGCCAAGATTTTATCATTGTAAATACTGCAGTACAGTAACTGATATTTGCAATTTCAAGGAAGAAAACTGTAATACCAAGACCATGCACTTGGTATGAGAAGTGGGCGATGTGGTAACGAGGTGCATGTACCAGGACAAGGGACCCTGGTGGTTTTGGTGAAAGCATTTGGGAAAGTGAAAGGAGAGATGATAGGAGCACTGAAAGAGAGCCCATTATTGCTGGGTATGATAGCTATAGGTAAATAGGATGGAAGCAGATGGCATTTGTTCTTAACATTTTTCATTTTCTTTAAAGTAAGCTAATTAAATTTTACTTCTAAAACCCATGAGGTTTTAGTTATAATATTAATTATAAAGGAAAGGTATTTAAAAGAAGTTATTGACTTTTTTTTTAAAGGGCAGCTATGCAATAGAGATAACTTCCTTTTATCTTAGCTTCTGTGGTCTCTTGTGGAAAATAATCTGAGAATGTCATCAGCACTATGTCATCTAGAAGAGTTTATCACCCTAAATCAAATTGCACAAATAATTGTTTTTTAATACAGGGACTTTCTACATACAAAAAGTTATATAGGCATATAATGTCAACCTTCCTTGTACTTTTCTTCATTACCTAATCTTATGAGTGAAAGTAATGCAATTGAGGTTGTGTACCTAGGACCCTACATACTATGTTAAGTTTGGAAATGGCTACATTATCATTTGCATAAGCCTCTCATGCAGAATTATCTCACAACACAGGTTGTGAAAGCAGATTTACGGACAGCTCCTAAGTACTGTACGGTTAAATCCACTCAAGGTGAACCTATCAGACTCTTTTACATAGCAAAGAGTCTCTGGAGTAATCTGATTCTATCCTTACACATCGTGATGTTTATTCAAATAATTATGAAATATATTCTAAGTTGCCCATGATATTGAATATCTACAACAAATAAAACTAGTTGTTCACCATTTTGATGATCCTGGCTTTGCAGCAGCTCTTCCAGACCTTCTCCTTGCTGCAGAATTGTAATGGCATGGTTCGATAATGGAGGAAATCCATTAAAAGGAAAGGAGCATCGACAAAAATGTGGGCCTATCACCCTGAGCTCATTTTGACCTACTACATCCTCCCTCTGCATGAGCAAGATACTTTTCAACCAAGACATCCCAAAAACCCATTTAATAATTACCTAGATATATACACATTCCACCATTTACCTCTGCGTGTGACCACTATCTTGAAACCACAGAGAGCTATTTTGGATTGAAAAATATGCGGAACCATTCCATCAAGAATACAGCAAATTTTCTCCCTGTAAGAAACTAGAGGAATCACTCAAGGCCTACTTTTAGCAGCAGTAGCTGCAGACATTATCTTTAAATGAGTGCTTGGTTTCAGCTGAATATGTCCAAAGGAAAATGACTTCAAATCAAATAACAACAGGGGATAGAAAATCTTGCCATCTGATAGATCTTGAGGCACTGTCCTTTTGGAACATGTTAACATCTACAATCCTCTTCAGAAGAGTCTGTTATAATCAGATGCCAGATATAATTTCACATCCGAGGTTTAAAAATTTAAGAGGTCAACTAAACTTTCTCAGAATAAAATGGATACAAAATTTTCCCACCCCAATTGCTGGGAAATCTAATCAATCTAGATTTTTTTTTCTCAAATATAACTTATTTTCAAATATTCATTGAACAAATGTTAGAATTATAAACTTTGTTTTTCTTTCACACTGACGCTAGCCCTACTACATACTTAAAACATAGATAAGACAAAAAGAAAATGGTGAAAAATTATATGAGTCTGTTATTTTTCTGCATTAGTAATACCAGTCAATATACTTCTTGATTGATTTTTGTGTCGATGAAAATTCTGCAGAGCATTACAGTATATAAACTCTTTGCAGGCCTATTTAACGTCACTATTCTCTTAGGGCACCAGTTCAACTGAATTTCTACTGGGGTTTATTTATTCCCTGGCGTTTATTCACATGCAATCTAATCTCAAATCCTCCCAATGCTCACCTAATTCATTCGTTAGTCACTTCACAGATATGTGAAGAGGCAGAGGACCCCTCTAGGTGGTATATTGTAATTACTCTATAGATATTTGTGAATACATTTATTCATAAATGATTTCATTATTCATAAATTAAATAATCTCTATCCTAAGGGCAGCATGACCTGCCGACCTGATCACTGCAGCCTCCTTTGGCCCAGTCGGAGAGAGCATCCTCTAAGGTGCACCAGAAAGGAAGTGTTCACATGTCAGCTTCCTGTGTGTCATTTTGCTCAACACTGTATAGTAACACTTCCAACAATCATGTCAGACATGCAGGTAACTTGATTGATTGCTCTCTATCATTATGCTTCTGCTGCAGCAACAGTGAAGAGAAGGATGTATCAAGATGAATATGCCCTCAAATGTTCATAATGCCTATTTAATGGACACTTCACTATTTGTCAGGCAATCCTCCCAACCTCTTATTCATTCTACATCAGAGTCCTTGGAAGTTGATACCTTATTTTATTATGCAAGGGCAAAATGCAGAAGTAGGAGGACTCATATAAAATTTAAGTTATTGGTTTACAGACTTAACTTCAAGTAAAAGTTTTATGAAAAATGTAGAACTATTTAAAGATAAGAGGGTAGATACCATTCATGTCAATATTCAAATGGAAAAAAAATTTAAATCTGTTAAATAATCCCATAAACTGAAGTTTTTCGATTATTTACAGTACATTTGGGTGAGAGAGAAGTATAAACAACTATAATAGCTTATGTTTTTAGTTGTTTCTATACTCAGTTACTTCCAGTGAGTAAGGAAATGGGGTGATTCATCCGACTATTTAAACTCCAATTGCCGTCAGTTTATGCAGACTGTTGAGCTTGCATGAACCTGATCTTCTGGGATCTGCCTTCTGACCTCTGCCTCCCAGATTCAAGTGATTCTCCTGCCTCAGCCTCCCAAGTAGCTGGGACTACAGGTGCATGCCACCATGCCCAGCTAATTTCTGTATTTTTAGTAGAGACGAGGTTTCACCATGTTGGCTAGGATGGTCTCAGTCTCTTGAAATTGTGGTCTGCCCACCTCGGCCTCTCAAAGTGCTGGGATTACAGGCATGAGCCACCGCACCCAGCTGACTCCTCCTAGTTTTAACTGACTTAGAATGTGATTAGAATTAGTGAACTGTGTTAACAGCTATAATACAAAACATAGGTATTCTATATCCTGAAGAATTTCATGCACTTTTCAAACAAAAATTTATTTTAAAAAACTAAAATTTTCTATATTATTTCTTAAATAACAACAACGGTAATAAGATAGAAGAAATACAATTTCCTAATGATGGAAGTTTGACACAAATTTTTCTTTTGTCTCTTTTTTTCATTCATCTTCAAAATATTCAGCTGTTCCCCAATATTTTCATCTTCTTTATTCTCTTTCTTAAGTTTCTTTCATCCTAACATGTTTGGTAACGCATTATGTGAGTGAGAAAAGTAATGGACAGCCTCTCAAAATAGCTCAATCATAAGGAGGGGTTGGTTGCAGATTATGGAAATGACACCTGGACCTCCACAAAAAGCTGGATTTTTCTGCCAAAGTTCATCCATGGTGGACCAATTGCTTTCCACACCAACATATCCATCTTTGTAGATGATCTTAGAACTGAAGATGTCCTGCCCCTGTGCCAGGCAGGGTTGTTATTTAAACACTCATTTCATCTGCCCCACAGGAATCTCTGGCTTAAGCAAAGTCTGAAACACCTTTTTTTTTTTTCTAGTCTTTTAAGTTTCTTGTATATTATCTCAATAATGGCTTAATATTTGAAAGTATTTTGCTTCAGAATCTTGGAATCTTTTCAAATTCCTTCATTTGTACATTTTTTTCAGAGACAAGTGTTTTAGAGATGTTTTATGACTGATGAGGAAATTTACATTAAACAGTTTCCACAACTCTTGAAAGTCACAGAGAGAAAAAGTCATATTTATTTTATACTCTTTTAAGGAAGGCAGGATATTTACCTCAGATTTAAGTCACAATGTTTATGAGAGGATAAAGCCATAATATATACTTGGCATATTTACAAACATTATATTATATTATGTCATTATATAGTGTTTTATATTAATATACATATTATACAACAAATGACATATGCACTATGTATATATATTTAGTGATAAATGATAGAATAAATATATGCATAATATACTAAATATATGCATTATGGCTTTTGCTTGTTCAGGAGCAATATGAGTTAGATCTGAGGTAAAGTTCTATGTATAAAACATAATGCATATATTAGCTAAATGTTATGTTATATGTGGGTCAAATGTATATAATACATAATGTATGAGATATAATGTATATTAACTAAAAATATAATACTATATATAGGTCAAAGCTATTTAAAGCATAGAAAGTTTTAAATTCAGAGAATAGTTCACAGAAATACTTACATGTCTCAAATTATACTATATCTGTCTTTTAACCACTCAGTGACAAAGGAAAAATTAAAGTCCAGAGATTTGCAAGAAATAAATACACTTTTAGTAAAGCCTGTATGGTTTTAGCAAATAAATAAAGTACATAAAATAAATAAACTTTTAGTAAAAACCTGTAACATTTTACCATGAAAAAAATAATGAGGAGCAAAACTTTTCTATATCCTCACCTCTATTTAAATAAACTATTATGGGAAAATGAAAGATTGATAATTGGTACATGCATATAAAAAAGTTAAAGAAAAAAAGATCATTTTGGTGTTTCTGGTAACACTTTATTACTGTAACCATGGAAAGTTTGGGTAGAAGCCTATTTTTAGAGGAAAATATGAGTGGCCATTTTGGTTTGAAGCAGAAACAATGAGAGGTCCTGGTTTAGACTTGACGGAAAAGTTGAAGAGAAATGGTGTTAGTTGTTCTACATAAAGAGTAGCAATGGATATAGTTTTGTATTTTTTTGTAGGATTAGGAAGAAAAATAGTTTTCTTCTCTTTTTGTAAAAATATATATCTGGAATAAGAAATAGACTTGTGAAATTGTTTCTAAAAAGCATCAGACAATAGGATTCACTAGAGTGGCTGTGCTGATTTAAAATCATCAGAAAGATCCATTAGACACCACAGCCTTGCATTCCTGGTGCTCTGAAGAAGAGGGAGCTATACCTACAGTTTGGATGAAGTTGCAGGGAAAGAAACCAGAGCGATAAAGAGGTTATGCTTCAAAATGAGATTACAGTGGAAAAGTTAATTAATATGCAACACTTCACAAATAGAGAAAAGTCAAACAACAAGGGAATGTAAGAAAGTCCTCCACCATTATGATTCCGTGGAAAAACTAAGAGCAATCACAAAACCTTCCATAGCAACATGTTTAAATGAAAGAATTAAACTAAAAACCTTGAACTTTTGGAAACATTGGTATTATATCAGAGATATGATAATTCTAATCTTATCCTCTGGGTCACCTTTCATCTTTTTTGTTTCTCTGGAGTTTGTAAAATTATTATACTTATTTCTCTCGGATTTTGATATACTTTAATAAAAAATATAGCTAGACTAATCCAATTAGCCATTTGGTGGCAAGTCAATTACAATAAACTTCTTGGATCCTGAAGATCCGTCAGTAACTCTCACATATAGACACTTATTCTGAGCATGAGTGTCTTACATCAGTGCAGACGGAGCCCCAGCCAGCAACATTATCAGGTTTTCTATGATGTTTGATCTACATTTCATCCATTCAGAAGACCCATTTTTCAGCAAAGGATGTATAGGAATGGGACCATGACATGAAATCTATTCATTGCATTACATACAAAACCATTCAGAGGCAGTTAACATTGTAGAATGCTAGAGTAGTCTATGAAAGGCACAGATGAAGCGTGAGCATGGGGACAATTCTCAAGCTGCATGGGTACCTTTTTTTACAAATCAGTATAAGTATTAAATCAGAGACTATGGCATTGTTTCTCCAATAGGAAGTGTTTACGGGTTCAAAATACAAGGCATGGTAGCAAAAGTGGGCTACTTACAACTCCCAGTAACTCATCAGGAGAAATTTGGCTTTCTGTCTCTGCAACTGTGCACTCTACATGGTTGAGTTTCATCAGAGAACTTTAGGCTCCTTGTGTCTACAGATCAGTAGATGAGAAGAGGCGTCAACATCTTCCAGTAAAATTGACACTGGGCAGCTGGGGGAGGCATCAACCTTTTACCCAATGGGCTGTGGAACACAGGAGATCCACTTAGATTTGCTATAGTAACTCTGACCGTAGAAGAGTATGACTCCCAAGAGTTCAGATCCCTCATTAATCAGGGATTGGTCACACCAACATTTAAGCCATCAAGCCTTGCTATTTTAATAGCTGAGAGAAATTCAGCATGGGTAGTGGTGAAGGGAAGAAAAAAAGTACCAGTTTTGGTCTTGACATACATTGCAGCAAGAAGGCTTAGATAGATAGTTCATCTTACTAACAGTATTCTTAAAAATTCCCTTCAGAAAACAGGCACCACAAGAGCCCTGCAGTTCATACTTCCTGAGCATACATGGAGAATGGACTCCGCATTAACCCAAAGGATGGACTGTGGGCTTCACAGAACTGAGCCTCTCAGATGTCCTTCAAGAGAAATGTCTGCAGGAAGCACAGAGAACTGAAAGTCCAGGGGTGCACACACCAGGGATACTAGGGGTACCTCCCAACCCCAGTCACCAGCCAACTACTTAGCACTTCACAGGTACTGGCACTGGCCTATTCCTACTGGAGGCAGGACTCTTCTAGTGAAAATTTTGTCTTAGATATTCTACATCTGCTTAGCAGTAATTTTCTTGGAACAGTCCTTAAGTCTGAGATTTTTCTGCCCAATCATTCTTCCTGCTCCCTCTCATTTCACAAGAGTCAGAACTCCTTTGTTGCCAAAGGCTTTCCTTGCCTGCCTCTGATTTTTCCCCCTTTATCCTTTATAGGCACTTTTCTCAGTGAATCTCTTGTTTGTTTAATTCCATCTTGGTGTCTACTTGTAGGAAGACCCAAATTAAAAGACAACATTTTGCCTGGAATCATAATAGTATTTTTAAATTATTATTACTTGAGTTTTAGCTTTTTCCTGATCTCAATCTTGGCATAGATCCCTCTGTGCATATAGTCTTCAAATCTCTCTGGAGCTTCTATCACAAGGATTCTTGGTCTGAAGTATATAGACCTATATAGTTGGCAGCACTATTTAGGGCCTTTTTTCAGGAACCAAATCTTTACATAATCTGCCTTTTCCTCACTTCTCCCCTCAGTCCTAAAAATCTTTCAGAAACAGTGTTAATCAGAGTAGGCTAGGGAAATCTCCAAATCCCAGTAGCTTAAAAAATTATTTTCTTTTCTTGTCTTAATATCCACAAGCATAGGTAAGGGACAATTTCCACAAAGTCACTCAAGGAGTCAGAAAAAAAAAACCAATTCTCATAAATGACAACATTTGGAAACAGATCCTCAGTTTCCAAGAGAGCAAGAGAGAGCTAGAGCATCATGTAATGTGTGTGTGTGTGTGTGTGTGTGTGTATGTGTGTGTGTGTCATGTAGTGTGTGTGTTTTATGTTTTGATTTCCTTACAACATGTCATTTCATCTAAGAGAGCATTGGATGAAATGAGCTATCTGGCCATGCTTAACTGCAAACATGCCAAGAAAGGTAGTTAGCAGCTAGAATGTTGAGCACTACTCTCTCTTCTAGAGAACTTACTACTGCCAAGATGTTGCTTTTAAAAGAGAACGCTAGTTGCCTTGTTTTCTGCTATTAAAAACATTTTCATGGTGAAAAATCTGCTTAGCTGCTTGAATCATGGGACGGAAAAAGGATACAAAAAATGTAATGAGGAAAAGACTTGTTGGTTAAGTCTCAAAATAGTAAACAAATATATGCATAGTAGGATGTCATATTGGTATAGCAACAAAGGCACCAAGGTATGATAGATATCAGATAGCCACCTGTGTGTGAAATGAGTTAGACCACTCCAGAGCACTTGAAAGAAGGTGTTTACTTAAAACTGGTTACATGACTTTATGCCTTTTGCTTATATTAAGAGTAAAGTGTTTGGAAGAAAATGTCTTTAGCGATAGCTATGTTGTGGTTCTCAATAGCCCAAGATGAAGAAAAATTTGGGAGAGTGTGTTTCTACTTATATATGGTCAGAGGAGATTGTCTTCAACTTGAAGAAATTAGCATGGGTTCTCTGTAGTCAGGAGATTGGGTGGATGGCTCCCTGCCTCTTGCCCTGGGAATGCAGATGGTGGGAATGAAATTTCTAATTGCTTGACAATAGGGTGAAATAAAGCAAGATGCAGTAAGTGGGTAGGACTTTAGTGTCAGCTCTCCTGAGGTGAGTGCTCTGTGATCAGGAAGAAAGATAAACATGGATATTTGGGCGACCGGTGGGATAAACTTCTTATTGTTCTCCAATATCATTCTCTCTTTCTTGCACAATGTAAGAACTTTCATCTCGAGAAATCATCATCCAAAATAAAGATTACATGTCAAGTCCCTCCTGGGGTTGGGTGTCACCATGTATCTAAGTTCTGGCCAATGGAATTGCTGAAAGTGGAAGGGTTTTATGGCATGCTTGGGAAATCTTCCTTAAAAGCTGATGCACACAGTTTGACAACTTCTTGTTCCCTTTCACCATCATGTTGCTAGAATAACTGGAGTTCAATTTTACATCATTAGTGACTCTCTTTTTTTTTATGCTACATTGCCATAGGAACTAATAATTTAAGTATGCACTTGGTATCCTAAGGACAGAGAAAGCTACAGCAGCCCTAATGTGTCATACATTGCACCATGCATTTTTCAGCGTCTTCTGATAGCATACTCTACTTAGGTGAATGAATCCACTGAGGAATGTCATAGTTGTGATAAGGACATGTCTTAGAAAAAAATGTCATGGTAACAGATGGAATTAAAAATCTTAAGAGAAATCCAGCAATAATACATACCAATGTCTGAAGAGCAGCGGAAGCAATATACATCACAGCACATGACCCAAAGTCCCAGAAATAGCTCCTGCTCCAATGCCTTGATATTACCGGCAGTTCAAGGATAAGGTGATTTTTAAAAAGTACTGGCAAAGTGAAATTCCTAAGTGACTAACTGTAATAGGGAACAGAAGACCAAATTAAGTTTCTATAATACACAACCTTTTAAAATTATTATTTATGTATGTATTTATGTATTCATTTATTATTCTTTGAGATAGGGTCTCACTCTGTCACCAGGCTGGACTGCAGTGGTGTGATCATGGCTCGTTGCAGCCTTGATCTCCCGGGCTCAAGTGATCCTCTCATCTCAACCTTCAGAGTAGCTGGGAACACAGGCACTTGCCACCATACCATGCCTGAGCATTTGTATTATTATTATTTGTAGAGACTGATTCTCACCACATGTCCCAGGCTGGTCTTGAACTCCTACAATCAAGCATTCTTTCTGCCTTGACCTCCCAAAATGCTGGGATTACACATGTGAGCCACCACACCTGGCCTTATTTTGTTTTAAAATTTAAATCTTTGTCCCATGATTTTCATGACTTTCATTGGTCTAGGAAAAATACAATTTTCTGCTTATAGAGTGATCAAATGAAAGCTCTTGTTCCAAGTGAACTCATATGGAAATCATAAATGGTAGGTATTAACACATGGTCTTGATTGGATTGTGTATCATTTGGTGAGTTGGCCAGTTGTCCAGGTCACCTGCACTCACAATTCCAACCAAAAGATGAACCAATGAAAACTGTTAGTGCATTGGCTGTTATGTTCCTATATGTAAGAAAAATGAGGAAGGTGGTGGATTTCTCTGAAAAACAATTAACTGTACACTTACAAAAACAAATCAAAGCATTTCTATTATATTCTACTTTAAATATCCTTTTTTTGAGAGGCTATTCTACAAAGACAAATTAAGGCAGTTAAATATTTTTGTTTTTAATTATCTATGTGTTTTCACTTTATCAAGTAAGTTTATTTTTCCTGAATAATGATTTAGCTAACATAAATATATTTATGAATATATTAATCTTATCATCATGTTGAATCTTTTGGTCTTGACTTCTGCCTTTGCCACTAGATTCAATAGCACATTTGGTGTTGAAAGACCTTTGTGATTCTATTATCATTGTAGTTTTTCATGTAGACATTTAAATTTTGCCAATGAAAAAGAATACTTGTCTTAAATTCTAGAGAAAACTAAGTTAAATTCCACTGCATTTGTTGTTAAAACAGTACATGTTTATGTTTGATTTTTAAGATGGAGCATTACAACAGCCTCCTGGAAATATTCACTTACAAAGAATGATACCTAAATGCATATGATTACAAATGCAATTATAATAATTAATATTAGCATAATATTGTCCTGGTTGGAGAATTTTAATCAACTATCTGTAATTTTGTGTAAGTTATGAGCCTATCTAGTCATTGCGGTTGCATTCTAGAAGCTTATAATTTCTGTAATCAAATGTATTCATGAAAGAAGTAACACAAAGGCGACATATTTCAATTGTAAAGTTTCAGAAATAAATGATTAACAACTGTTTTCATCAAGATTACTGAAAAAAGAAAATATATAACACAATTATTAATGAGTTTCACAAGAAGATTTTACTCTATTCATATATTAACATTTGATTTAATTTAGTATTCATATTTTGCTATATTAACACTAAAGTGTTTTATACACACACATATGTGTGTATGTATATATATGTATATGTTATCTGCAGATTACATATACATATTATCAGCACACATTAAGCCTTGTGTTCATTTTTTATTACCAGAAATATTTAATGTAGCTTTTTTTTGAAATCTCACTTTGCATCTTAGATATTCTATGCTTGCCTCTATCATAAAGAGATTTGAGGCATTGAAGTGTGCCTTAAACTATATGGTTTTAAAAAGAACTGTAATTGCAGCTGACTAATAGATGATAGAAATAGACATGTACATCTGTGTTCTATAAAAGTCATAACTCTACATATATTTTCAAAACAAAAATGTGTTATACAATGCCTTCTACTGTGAGTTAAAAAGAGATATTTTAAACGCCTCTGAAAAAATGTTTGAAAATGTCATTTTTGGCAAGGGGGAGGGTGACATACATCTGAGGAAAGTGAATGAAAATTATTATGCCAGCATCCCTATCCATTCTGCTGAAAAATTTTGATATTTGCCCTGTCATATCCATGGATACTTATTAAGTGTCTAGAATTTTGACTGCATTCTTCATTGTATGTTTTAGAGCCAACTACCTGATTCAGAGTGCAAAATCCATGAAATAATTTCCACAATGATTATGACAAATTTAAACTCCAGCAGGAAAGCTTAAAACAATTTGATTGCACAGGTTGTTAGATAAATAACATTGTCAGTACAGTCTAAAGATCCCAGAAACAAGATTGATTTCTTTGTTCATACTAACAACATTTTCTTGGGTCCCAAAGAAAATAAAAGACATATAGCTTAAGTCACATAAATCAGTGGACACACCAGACAATAAATAAATAGATTCCTACTGTCTTCTGTCTAGCAGTAGGAGGCATAATGGTCAAGAATTTGGGGCTCTATGTGTATATTTTGGCGTTGTGAATAATGAGTTTCTTCTCATATTTTTGTGAGATAAACTTTAACACACATTATTGAGTCAGGAGAATAGGGTCTGGAGGGAGGAAACCTAAAGTCTATTTGAGCTGACTTCCTAGAGCTGTATCAAAAGGAAAAGCCCACCTCTCCAAACTCAAGTAACAGAAGAATCAGAGGCTACTCCCTTTTCACTATGTTGCAGATGAAAAATGGAAAGTACCGCTAGTTGGTCCCCTTTTGCAACCAATCAGATTGGTTGGTTTCCTCTAACAACCAATCAGACTGTTTCTAAGCCAGGTCTTCATGTATAACTTTGTAGCTTTGCTTCAGCCTCTGACTGGTCGCCTCCCTCAACCAATCAGACTGGTAGTGAAGTGGGGGGGCACTCCTTCATTTACCTAGGGAGTAACCAAGTAACTAATGGGAAACCTTTAGAGGGTATTTAAACACCAGAAAATTCTGTTACCAGTGCTCTTGATCTGCTTGCTCGAACCTGCTCCCACTCTATAGAGTGTACTTTTGTTTCAATAAATCTATGCTTTTGTTGCTTCATTCTTTTATTGCTGCATTTTTGTGTTTTGTCCAATTCTTTGTTCAAAATGACAAAAACCTGGATGACTCAGTCAAGACCCTCCACTGGTAACATCATGACAGTAAAGATGATTCTCAGGATAGTGAAAATTCTCTAAAAACGTTTAAAACATGTAGTAGAATGGTTTTTCAGGAAAGCAGTCTCTAATATGGGTTGGACAGGCAATATGTGTTTAGAGAACCCTTGGTATCCCTACCATAGGAAGAGGAGGAAGCAGGGGAGGAAGAAGGAGGCACAGATCTGGGTCCGAGCCCAATTACAGACTCCATGGAACCCTCCACAGGGTGCTCTGTAGCTAAAATGGCTCTGTAGAGTTGTCCAGAGTTGGGTCAAGAGTATCAAGTCTTAAGTTTCCTCCTACCCTCCATTCATATAAATTGGTCATGGGATGTGCATTGCCTAGATAAGAGGTATGAACTTGGGTGAAGTGGAGTTTTGCCAGAGACAAGTGTGGATGAGGCTAAGTGCTGAGAGTTGCCTGAGTAGTTGGGGCCCAAACTTCACCAAATGTGAATCTGGGGGTATATCTCAGCGTCGTCAGAGGCCATAATTAGTAACAGGGTTCTTTGAGGATTGAATACCTATACAGTATGCGTTCTGCAAGGAGTGAATATCCATAGAGAAATATCTAAGATTCACCAATTTCCCCTTTCTTTTTACATATTGTTAAGAACACAATATCATTCAGCATTATCAGAATGATTCCTTCAGGGTTTCTCCTTGAATTATAACTGCAGGTGACTCAGCTGACTCATTCTATGATCTACAATCAGATCAAGATCACTCTTACAGATATTTTGTTTTGTAATATTATGAACCACGATTGCAGTGTTCTATGCTATCCCAAGAAAATGAAAGGAGTGCAAATGAAGTCGAGTTTTTTAGATCAGACATAATCAAGAAAAATTTTAGTTAAGCCACACTCTTTTATCATCAGAAAAAGTTAGAGAAAGTGTGTAGTTTTGTGTTGTGAAAGTATATATGAGGTATATTGCTTAATGTTCAAATATGTAAAACGTTCAAATATAATGATCAAGGAATAAATATGTTATTTATATGTAGATAAAAATAAATAAATAAATAAATAAATAAATACATGGCTCTGTGATTCATCTTTTCATTAAGAACCTGTTTCAAATCCAAATCGTCTATTGCTGCTAGATGACTTGGAATTTGCTATTTTCTACTCATCAAATAACCAAATTATTCATTTTAAATGGCATTAATAACAACATTAGCCTTTATTAAATAATTTTAAGAGTTGGATGACTGTATATATTAATAAATGTACATTGATACATGTTCTAGACATTTTAAATATCTCTATTGGAATTTTTACATATGGATTAAACAGAGCTTGAAAATATTGGTAATAAATTACCTAACAGAAAACTAGTTCTGATAATTGGTCCTCTTATTACACTAATCCTAGGAGCAATATTTTATGGGCCTAGGATTCTTGTAGCTTCCCGTTAGTAAACTTACTGCTTAATAACAATCTTCTGCTTTGAGAGTCTTGGCAAGATGTTTCGATATCTGTTTATGAAAAATTAAACATTTTTGACAAGTTAGAATAATGTTCTATCATTATTTTTAGTACTAACAAACAATTTACTTTTTCCTAATTTTTAAAAACTCTTTTTTGTCATTTGTATATATTATTATTATATATTTTCAGAAATCATGCCTGTTTGTACTCTCCACAGACATGTTCTGTGTGAAATGTGTCTCTCTGGATTCATTATACATATAATTAATTGACTTCACCTTCCCAAACTAACAATTCTACCTCAATATAATTCCCTCTTGTGGGTCATCCTCATTTGACCACCACAATGACTCCTAAGATTTTTTAAAACATCTTTTGCATATATATCAAGTGAGGGCAGCTTAGTTTTCAAAATTCACGGCAGCTGCTTGCTTCAAAGTGCTGTGCAATCTAAGAGAAAGTAAAAATAAAACATACTAGCTCTATTCTTCTAAATGGGAATAATTTGCATAGTTTAAGAAGATCCTATGGATCACAATAGATTTTCCATATTTTAAGTTTTAAAAATATCCATGTTATATCTTGGAACTTTTAAAAGCTCTTACCAATAACTGCTTTCTTAATTTTTTTTCTAAGAACTTCTCTAGCTTTGTTTATAACCTCTTTTCTGAAATTATTATATTTTACAGATACTTAACTTTGTTTTATTAACATAAAATGAATACATGAATCATTTATGGCAAAGAGTGAAACTATACAAATTTTTTAAAAGTAAAACTTTTTGTCTTTCTCTCAATGTGTAGTGATTTGTTTTTTAAAAATTCTTAGGTGTTTCATTTTTAAGTGTTTAGTTTTTTTCCTCACATATTTATGTATATCTGTCTACCTAGTTTATTTTCACTTACGCAAATGGGATCATACTATACATGTTGTCTGTAATGCACTTGTTCCAACTAATAATATTTATTTGTTTTCTCTTTCATAACACAAAAATATAGTGCATTCTTGTTGCATAGTGTTTTATAGTTTGGAAATAGCAAAAAAAATCTATTCATCTATTGATAAACATCGTATCCATTTCTAGTTTTTGCTGTTATTATAATGCTTTTGCTTATACTTGTACAAAATCTTTGTGTTCAGACACTGGCTTTCCTGTAGAATATATTAATAAAACTGAAATTGCTATATCAAATGGTATATTACTTTCTCAAAAGCATCAAACATGGCTAAAACTAATTTTAGACAAATAAGAATATGAATGCACCTTCTTTCCCAAACTTATGGCATTGATTTTTTTGGTCTCAGTTTATATTTTGAAAATATGATTATATTTTTTAAGATTTTATTCACATATATTTTAGTATATTTTGGCATCTTCTATACTTCTATTGATTATTTGTATTTCTTGCATTAATTCCCTGCTTACATAATTTGCCATTTAAAAAATGGATTGTTTGTGTCCTTATTAATTTGCATACATTCTTCATATATCCTGTAAATTAATTTTATGTTACACATATGACAAAAATGTGCAACAGCCTTAATGCATTTATTTAATGTATGTTGTCTTCTTCACATTAAAAAAATTATTTCGATATTTGAATCTGTCAGTTTTGTGCTTTGTGGTTTCCACTTTAGACGGTGTCTAAAAAGCTGTCCCTAAAACAAACTTTCACAATGACTTAAAATGTCCCTTTTCTATATGCTACATTTCTAAATGTATGATGTGTTCCTCTTTTTCTTGGCTCTCTGTTCTCTAATAGTTTATTTGCTGATTCTTGTCCCAGTATAATGTAATATAAATAATGTTTGCTTATAAATCTTTTGTTAAAGGCAAAAATACAAACTTATAAATAGATGAGTGAGTAAAAGACTAAAAGGGTGCTCTATTCACATAAATCAAAAGATACAAAAGAAAAATGAATAATATTGATCCACAGATTTATTTACACTAGACCCCTAACTTACCAACATTAAGCTTTGAGAGAATGTAGATAAAACTTTTGTTTTCTGTCCTCTAAATTCTACCTTAATGGGTATAAAAATATTATAGAAGGAGGTAAGTACTATTAGAAAGAGGGTATACTTTTTAGATCTATGTGTAAAAATAGATAATTTTGTTGTTGTTGTTGTTGCTAGCAAGTCACTTTTTTTCCAATACTCTATTGCCTGGGAAATATTTGACTGTAAGTGAAATACTGGAACACCCCAATGGCTGTTTGAAGTGTACTTTTTGCTAATTTTATTAACAACAATTTCCATAATTTTTTTTTTTACTATTTATGTTGGCTTGACAGTGAGTTTCACTATTATTTGATTAATTTTATTGTTAGGTTTTTTTTTAGTAATTATTTGGTTTTGCGGTAAGAAAAACAGAGAGAAGATACACTGAAATTCAAAACTGAAAACTATTAACAGAACAACTCCTAAAATTCTTCCCATACACAATTTTAAATTTCTGATCAAATAAAAACAAAATATGTGGAGAAAAGAGAAATACACAGTGAATCACATGGGTCAAAATAATGCAGACATTTTAATTAAAGTGTGGACTTTTGCATTTTCTGTTTGGTTTATTTAGGGCAGGAATGAGATTTAATGCTGTCCACAGAAACCAATTAAATAAAATTGAATTATATTGTGTTCATGCTGCAAAAATGGATATAAAGATGAACTTTTTGTGTAAAATTGATGGGTGAAGTAGACATGTATGCCATTAACAGTAAAAATGAAATCTCACCAGGAAGTAGGTATTAAAATAATACGCTACATGGAAAGGCTGGGAGATATGTTAAGTCTGATCAAAACTGATTAAGAATAATGTGACTTTTCAATGGAACTTGATAAATATTTATTTCTTCTAGGCAAAAGGTAATTCAGACAGTTAAAACAAGCCATATCTATATTTTAATGAATCATTGAACTTGAAAGCTTGTGGTGTGGTGAATAAAAATTAGAGGTTGAATATGAA
Source organism: Homo sapiens (assembly GCF_000001405.40). Classification (NCBI taxonomy): domain Eukaryota; kingdom Metazoa; phylum Chordata; class Mammalia; order Primates; family Hominidae; genus Homo; species Homo sapiens. Next base: position 66,097,619 of record NC_000018.10, read on the forward strand.
CTTGGGCAATTGACTTAAAAGTGGTTGACCTCAGCTGGGCACGGTGACTCACGCCTGTAATCCCAGCACTTTGGGAAGCCAAGGCAGGTAGATCACCTGAGGTCAGGAGTTCGAGACCAGCCTGGCCAACATGGTGAAACCCTGTCTCTACTAAAAATACAAAAATTAGCTAGCCGTGGTGGCAGGCACCTGTAATCCCAGCTACTGGGGAGGCTGAGGCAGGAGAACAGGAGAATCGCTTTAACCCAAGAGTCTCTGAAGTTGCAGTGAGGCGAGATCATGCCACTGTACTCCAGCATGGGTGCTGGAATGAAACTCAGTCTCAAACAAAAGGAAAAAATAAAAAATGCTGAAGTTGTTTTTTCATCTTTAAAAATTAACTTTGAGGGTTAATTTTGAAGATGAAGTTAATTTTGAAGATTTTGAAGATGAAAGAAAATATACACATCTTGGACAGGCTTTCCACACTACACGCTGCTCACTCTTGGGGTTCCTGGCATTTTTCTTCTCTCTTCTCTCCCTGACTGAGTCTTCAATTCCTTTGTGAAATTCCAGACGTAGGAATTAAAGATCTCCTTTGGCTGACTGCATTTTTTTATTGGTTGCTTTCCTTACTTTAATTATTTCTGTGACTTTCTCATGGTTCAGCCCATTTAAATTTTCCCAACTTTCTCTGACAGATAGTAACTATTGCTCTCCAACAACCAAGTGGCAATGTCCTGGAGAAAAGGCTCTTCCCAAGTTTTCATTGTTCACAGGTTGATTGGACATATACGTGGGGGAATCACAGTTCCCTTCCTATATGTAGCCTTCCTACTTCCTTTTCCAGAAGGCCTCTGTAAGAGGGGAGTTGGTCACTGGAGAACAGAGGAATTACTGTGGATACTGTACTCATTGTAGAGAAAAAACAGAGCAAGTAGTTCAGGAATGTTCATGTAAATTTAGCTACTGCATGACCCTACAGGGTAATAAAGGATTCATGTTAAAATGGTACCACACCTTGATTGACCAAAAGACAATAAATACTTTAAAGTTGGTATCTATGTGGACATATACATATCAAGAATTAGACAACAATTGCTGTCTGCATAGAATAAGTTGTGGAATGTGTCATTTTATATGTTCCAAATGAGAATTAGGCAAAAATCAATACAATAAGACAGCCAATTCGTCATTTAGTTTTCTCAGTGTCTTGAAAGGCAAAATCCTATGACTTTGGTTTCTGTCTCTTTAGTCTATCACCTCATGAATATTTCACAGTTCAGTCAAATCTTTCTAAATCTTATATGTGAAAATGTATATTCTGGTGTATTCCTAGAGATTAAAAACTTCAGATGAATTCAAACCTTTAGAAATTAATATTTACTATTCAAAACTATAAAGTTCCTTACAAGATGTATGTACAATATTAAAATGAGTTAACTAACATTTTCGATTTATAATATTTTTCTTTGTAATGTAAGGTAACATTTACAAAGTTTCAGGTAGATTAATGTTTTAAAAAACGAAACCCCATGAAAGTATTAAAATGAGACATAGATGAATGTTTTCGTCTATCTCTAATTATTTCTTTTTCCTGCTTATAACCTCGTAATTGCACATTTGGGTACTGTAATAAAAGGTTCAATCTCCAAGTGTGGCATAAAAGTCTCTTTACTTTTTCTAGTCACTATCTTTCTTTCCTCTTGTATTGATCTTTAAGATCTGCTCACCTGCACGCACTACTCAATTAAACATTCTTTCATATCTCTTTTGTAGAACTGATAGCACAGTATTTTAGTGATGTTTTTGCTTTCTGAACTCTTTAAAGTCAAAAGACATGCTTTTAATTTTTCTCCCAGAAATGCCTAATAAATACTACATGTTTAATAAAGATTTGAAAATAAGTTCTCAAACAAAATCTTGGACAATACAGATTTTCAACAAAAACTCCAACTTGGCTATTATGCTGGTAGAGACAAAATATATTTTGGACAATCAGTGGGAAAATATTGAATATGATATAGTCTGCAGAGTTGGAGAATAGAATTCAAAATGAAGAAAAAAGTTTCCTGCATGCTAAAGTAAACAAAAGTACATACGAGGGTCAAAAATGATAATAAAAGTTATTATTTAAAGATCCCTTGTGTTATTCAGTCATTGGTTTATTGGGGAATGAGAAATGTTGTGGCTTTTCTTCCCCTAACGTGGATTTGATGGGGAAAGCATGCTCTTTGCATCCACACTGCCTCCTGTGACCTTGAAGGACATAGATACAAGTCATGTCTTCATGCCCCTCATTGAATAAGGAAATTTGAAGAGGAAGCAGAATTACACAGTGGTATTACACAGACAGCCACATGACAGGCTAGGTCATCTCTTTTTTGGAAAGAAAATTAGGCACTAGAAAGGGTTTAGGGGATAAAACATGCTACAAAAGTGGCCCTCTATGAAGAAGTCGTCACTGAAAACCTGCACCAGGGTGAAGTTGAAAATATCCCCAAGATAATCATGGATAAGGTGTACCGTGGGTCACCACATCAGCTCGGTACAGTAGCAGGAAGAACTACTGTTAGCCAGAGATGGACATGAGGCATCTCCACAATACGGACTAGAAATTCGTTATGCAAGATAACTGCAGCCTTCTCCTTTTCCCAACCCATTAGGGGAGTAAGAGTCTGTAGTCATCCTTCCACTCAAAGATAAGGGAGTTGAAAGGGGATTTAAGAAGCATGTTACCCTCACCTCTTCTTTCAATCATCAACGCAAACCCTGGACACTGATGTTGAGGACTTTTGGAGTATAGAAAGGGGTTCCGAATTGTATATAAAATCAACAGGAATGGGACACATTTCTTAAACCTTTTGGTTAAAAGTGATTAGAGGTTTGTGGACTCAACTTGAGAAATCATTAAAAAATAGAAAAGAAACATCCAACAAAACATGGGTGAACTAGTGAATGGGGAAAGAAATGAACCTCATTTGTGGCACTACTGATTTCAGGATATTTGATAAACTAGTTACATTTATGAAATAATATCATCAATCTCTACATATGAGTTTTAGTTTCTATTGAACTCGAGTTTGTGATGTTTAAGCTTTATTGGCCATTAGTTTGAATGTGAAAAAAATAAAGGTGCAAATTAACATTATGTGTTCAAATGGTAGACTAAAAAGTGTTTCGTTTAATCAAACTGTTACGCTCTGTGGGTTTCAACATGCTATACTCTCATTTGCATGCATCTCTTATTAACAATTTAAGCTTCATTTATCATTTTTCTAGTCAGGCTCGAGACATTGATGATATATGATTAATTAATGTCCAATCAACAAGCATCTACTTTGTTCCTATTATAAGTTATAATAAGGATAATTACATAGTAAGCCTTTTTTTTTCCTTTTTTTCCATAAAACACTTCTAAAAACCCAACTTATAAATCAGATAAAAGTAGATGAATGTGCTTTCATGGAAGAGAGGGGGGTGAGGCAAAAAGTCCATGTAGTCAGCCCCTTTCAACCCCTGCAGGCACTTCTACTACAGGGAAATATAGGGTATTGAACGTGTGTTTCCCCTGTAGGTTGTCCTGAAATTCCTCAAAAATGACGCAAAAGGGGAGATTGAAATAACAAAATAGAAGATAGTAAAAACTTTCTGGACACCCAAAAGCAGGCGAATAACTGATTAGATACCGTGGCAGTTATATGGAGGCAGAGGAATGCTCTCAGATAGAGGAAGAAGCAAGAGTGGGTTTAGAAAGAAGAATTTTCATTACCTTGTGAAAATTTGGAAATTCCTCAGCTCAGTACTTTTTGGGATAACAATCGATCTATTTCCTACACATCAAACAGAATATGACCCTCTCATTTTTAAAAGTAAGGATTATGCTTGATGAACCTCTGCTTTATTATAACATGACCCTGAATTTTATGTGATTGAAATTTTTGGACTCTTCTCCTTGCTCTGTGGTGAAGTATTTTCTCTATTTCTGTCTCTACTTCAATTTCTTTTTTCACCTCCATTGGAAGTCCACATTCTGTAAGGTTATTATAGAGAAATTGAGACACTTTTACATGGCTTCACTTCTCCTGAGACCTATTCAGATGACTGAGGATCAAATTCATATTTTGTGCCCTGCTTGGTATATCTTTGGGAGAAAAAGATTAATTTTTTAGGCCTTTAAGTGACTTATGACTATATTTGTTTGACAAGTATGAAGTTATTTATAATTAACTATTGAAAACTGAGACATATTCATTTTGTATATCTAAACAATATGACTTTATAGCCTTGCTCAAAATAAAATAATTTTCTGGCTTTGGCAACTTTTCCTCTGATATGTAAGACATGTCATTGTCCACAAACAACCTATTTGGGGTGACCAGAAAAATAAAAGTGATGATCATACAAATGTTGTATCTATCAACATCAAATATTAACTATACAAAGCTAAATTTTGTGATACGAAAAGTTAGAGAGTAGAAAAGTGAATAATCATGTGATAGTTGTATAGTACAAAGCATGTAAACTAAATTAATTTTTTTAAATTTTTTTTTGAGACAGAGTCTCGCTCTGTTGCCCCGGCTGGAGTTCAGTGGCGCGATCTCGGCTCACTGCAAGCTCTGCCTTCTGGGTTCACACCATTCTCCTGCCTCAGCCTCCCGAGTAGCTGGAACTACAGGCACCCGCCACCACACCTGGCTAATTTTTCTGTATTTTTAGTAGAGACAGGGCTTCACCGTGTTAGCCAGGATGGTCTCGATTTCCTGACCTCGTGATCCACCCTCCTCGGCCTCCCAAAGTGCTGGGATTACAGGCGTGAGCCACTGCGCTCGGCCAAACTAAATAAAATTAAGAAGGGAAAAATGGGAGTTGGAAATCACTGAGGGTGATATTTTTATAAAGGTATAGTCTGAGTTGTTATTAAAGAAAAAATATTTTAGTTCAGAAGTTAGCAAAAATGAAAGAGAGAAACAGGGATATGACATTAGAAATAGTTTTACGGTACCATAAACATGTAAGAATGCATTTAGTTTAGCTTGTATATTTTGTCAGTTTACAAACTGGAAATCTTTATAACAATTACTTTGAAAAGTTACCACTTGATTTATTTTTTTTTGTTCTTTAAAAATGGGAAGGAATTTGACCCATCATGACAAAGAATGCACGCTTATTTTTTGAAGGAAACATGAGCTAGAGTAAGCGTGTGATGTCTTAAGTCAGACCTACCAGAATTTAAGTAGTTGCCTCATACTCTGCTAGTTGCTTCTTTAGGGTAGGATCTTTTAACTCTTCTTAGCCTCAGTTACCTTTTCTTAAAAAGTAGTTGACAATATGCCATATAATTATTATAATGATTAAATGAAATAGTATTTTTAAAGTGCATGGTATATTACAGATGGACAATAAATATAATGTGTTTATTCTTTGTAATTATATATAACTAGTTAAAATTAATATCGTATTTTAACTCAGGATGAAAAGAAGCTTATAAAAGTATAAATTACTGTGTCTTATGAGATATTCTTAAAAGTAACTAAAAAAAATCAGAAGGATGACTTCTCAAATCTGATTCAGAATTATGACATTAAAAATCTTGAAGGTGTGTGTTAAAATCAGCCAAGATAAAATTATGATCTTGATCAACATGATGCTATGACTTCAGCATTTCCTTATGTTAGAAAATACTCATGCAAACTCTTTAAAAGTTGAATTATTTGATCTAAAATAGGATGACGATACTGAACAGACTGCCAGAGTACAACCATGAAACAAATAGAGTGACACAGTTTCTGAGACAGATACAATATTAAAGAGTAACAAAGAGAATTAAAAGATGTAGAAATAAAGCAAGAAGGCTTGTAGCTGTTTTAACTTAATGTTCTGACTTTGGTCACTTTTCCTTAAAGCACACTTTAACAAATCACATAAATTCTCAGCTACCATGAGTGAGCAAGCTATTTCCCAATGTGCGTTTGTATATCACTGGGGAAATATATAAATTGTTTTAGATCACTTTGGCACCAAAGAAGAAAGGCCTATCCCAGACCAATACACTATTTCAAGACACAGTACTCTCCTGTGGTATGTTTCAGCAAGCCAGTTTATTTCATCTATAATGGTCAGACATTAAACAAATGACAGTTAAGATCTATTGCCAAGAAGTCAGTGATATGCCATTCTAAGTGAGTTTGCTGTTTACATTCAGATTATTCAACTGTGAACAGACCTTATATACAGAGTCTTAATGTAATAACGTAATAATGTATAACTTTTACCCATGACATGACAAGATTTATACAGCATCACAGTTCTTGCTGTAGAAAATAATTCTTTTCTGTGAAACAAATGCACTGGTTGTATAAGTAGAATTACTGTGCTGAATAATTTTTCAATTCTTTGCTATGCTGGATTTAATATATAATTACATAAATTCTAATCATTAGAAATGCAATCCAACACCTGGAATTTTTGCCATGTTAGAACCAATGAATATAAACTAAGCAGGGCAATATAAAATGCTTTTACTGTTATTAATATAATTTCCATGTTTGCATAATAAGGTTGAAATCAATAAATAATACAGGAAAGTGAAAACATGATGTAATCATTGGCCACGAATAGAAAGTTAGGCTGCTTGGTCGTGCTAAACTGGAAGGCTGGGCTCCTAAAATCTCTTACAATCCCTTTAGTCTTGCATTCATTTTCTCCTTTTGTTCTCAGGCGCTCACTAAAAATTTCTAGAGGGATTTCTGACTCTTTAAAATAAAGGGGAAAGAAATTGGCTGAGAACATTGTAGTTATCCTTTGATAGAGTTACCAAAGTTGCCAATACTCAGCTTAAAATTCAAACCGTAAGAAACTCCAATATTACTGGTGTTAGATGGCAGAGTAAAGGCAGTTTTATTTCACCTGCTTCAGTGAACAAAACTGGAGGAACAAATGGGATAAAAACAAAATGGATAAATACAACTTTAATTAAAAATAATAATATTGGCCGGGCGCGGTGGCTCAGGCCTGTAATCCCAGCTCTTTGGGAGGCCGAGGTGGGCGGACCACCTGAGGTCAGAAGTTCGAGACCAGCCTGACCAACATGGAGAAACCCCGTCTCTACTAAAAATACAAAATTAGCTGGGCGTGGTGTTGCGCCCCTGTAATCCCAGCTACTCGGGAGGCTGAGGCAGGAGAATTGCTTGAACCCTGGATGCGGAGGTTGCAGTGAGCCGAGATTGTGCCATTGCACTCCAGCCTGGGCAACAAGAGCAAAACTCCATCTCAAAAAAATAAAATAAATAAATAATAATAATATTAACAGTCAAAACATCAAATCGTAAGTGTGAAGAGTATTGGGAATACTGGACCAAAATGTAGTGATAATGTGAGAACTTACTCAAACCTCTTTATATGTCTGATGAAAATTATTCCTAAAAGTGGGTGTCACAGTTTGAAAACCAGCACCAAATGAAGCTTGGATTACAGCGACTAGATGGAGTGCTCTGGGTTGGCAGAGAAAGAAGAATGAATAACAACCACAGAACACAAAGGGGTGAAGCTACAAGAATGGATGTTGTCACAGGTTTTTAGGCTGTACAACTTGGCACTCAACTTCAGAGAGGCTTCTATAAATGACTTTTGTCACAGAAGAAAGTGGAAGTCGCCATTGCCAGATCACAATGTTGCAGGGAGATTGTTATTTAAGACACTTTGAACCACAAAGACCTCCTAAGGGCCAGACACAAAGGAGATGAACTCGTGGAGCAGAAATATTTGCATTTAAGATTTTAAATCAAGAAATCTGACCTACGTTTATTGAGACCAGGCTGCAAATAACTTATTATTATTCAGACAATAGCAGGTCAATTGAAAGATGAAAGTAACTTGCAAAACAGTGGAAAGAAATAAAAGAGAAAAAAATGAAAATGTCATAAATGTAATAGCTCTATTATAGCAGCCCCAAAACAAATAAAATCACCAATGGAAATATAGTAAACAGGCTGGAGGAGAATTTATAATTCATTAATTATTAAATAAAAATGTGAAAATAAGGAGAAATGGTAGATATGAAAGATGAATGAAAAAAATAATATGTATATTTTGTAAAAAAAGGATAGAAAGAGAATAAGAATAACAGACAAACTAATCTAAATTTTCTTGATATAAAGAAGATTTGGACTCTTGATCAAAAAAGAAGGTAATGTCCAAGGAAAATTGATACAGACTGAGCAATAAGATATGACTGGTAATAACTGAACTCTGTAGATAATAAAAAAGATCTCCTGAATATTCAGTCAGAAAAATGAAATTACCTAAAATGTATGCAAAGTTTTATTCAAAGCAAAATGGATATGATAAGGTAAGCATCAGTATGATCTGGATAAATCCTCTTGATAAAATAATCCTGGAACAATCTCTATAGAAGTCAAAGAAAGTGTGAGCCACTTATACACAATCGAGATTTAATTCAGATACCGCAGATTATCAAGACAGTTTCTCAAATACACAAAACTCAGACTGTAGAACCCCTGTCTCATTCTTGAAAAAAAAAACTTGAGAAAAATAGTCCTATCAAACATGAGCTAAAGTTTGGTAATCAATGGTAAACAGGACAATTGGTGGTTTTTAAATTCACTTAATATAGTTAGAGAAGACAACAATAATCAAAGACAAAAACAAGAATGTGTGGAGAATACAAATAAATCAGTAATGCATAACACAAACATCTCAGTGTCAGACACATTATAGAAACTCAATATATATTTGTTAGATGAAAGGAAAATAATATGTAACAAAAATGTGAAAGTATCAAGGCAGTGACACTGAAAAAAATAAGTATTCTCATTTACATATTTTTTAAAGCAAAAAGTAAATAATATGGAAATATGAATGTAAAAGAATTTCTGACTTAGCCATTCCACAATCCATATATATGTTAGCATAACATGTTAAATATGAAAAATATACAATTTTTATTTGTCAATTAAAATCTATAAAATAAATTTAAAAAGCCTAATAAAATTTATTTCACACAACTTGTAAAAATTAACAAAGAACACTTTATTGAAATACAAAAGAATACTCAGTGAATTCAACCGTTTAGTTTTTCATAATTTTATTTTATTACTATTTTTAATAATTATTGCTTTTTGTAAATAATACTGTGAATAAACACTTAACTGAGGTTCAAAATTTTTTATTCTTTGTGTTTCTGTTTCTTCTTTTAAAGTAATTAAAATTAGAAACAATATATTTAGTAAGTAGTATGTGTAGTGTGATCTCAATTTTTGGTAAAATTATTTCTCTTCATTTTTTTATCTGCTTATATTTGTATCAAAACATGGAATGACATTTTCAAATGTTGGCTGTCGTGATTTCTGGGCAAGTGAGGGTAGAATGTTGGGTATTTTCACTCTTTTCCTTCTGCTTTTCTGCATGGCTTGTCTCATTAAAAAAAAAAACTCACTTTTTTTTAAAATTTGTGTTTTATGACAGAAATTGTGGTTCTTCAACATAAATAATTTTACAAATGTGCATTCCTTGATATATTTTAGCAGAAATATAATATTAAAACCTTAGCTAGATAACAGTAAATCAATAAATTCTTCATGATTATCTTATGCTAGTTGGAAAATTAAAAATATAATCTGAATAATAATAAAAGGTTTATTTTCTTTAATTGTATATAATTATATGTAAAATATATATATATATCTAATATATATATATACACACACACGTGTGAGTGTGTGTATATATGTATATCACCCAGTTTTCCACTTTGTTTGACATCAAGCAGGGAGTTGAGCAAAAATATAAACAACTAAAATGCTTCCAATAAAATGCTCTAAAGTTTGGATGCTTGACATTTTTCACCTTTTATCTGTACGTTAATTAAAGTAATTTTATTGCTCTAACATAGAAATGAGTCATTTTGTTTTTTTTTATTTTCATAGTACCAAATATCTGTCTTTACTATGTATCGTACTTTTTAACTAATTTTTTTAGTATCATTGGGACAATAGCTGATGTGTAGCTAAACATATGGTGGGCACTTATAAAGATACACAACTCATTTTGGGATTTGGGCATAAACATACAACATTTAATAATATATTCCCATATTTTGTACAGTAACATAACCATGACGTCAGCAAATTTATTTTGTGAAGTGCAGTGGACTAGATAGTGTCCTCCCAAAATTCATATCCTTCCTAGAACCTCAGAAGGTGACATTATTTGGAAATAGGTTTGTTGCAGATGTTATTAGTTAAGATACAGTAATACCAGAGTAGGGTGCGTCCTTAATGCAATGTAACTGGTGTTCTTTCAGAGAGAAGAAAGGGTACACAGACAGGCATGCAGAATGTCGTGTCATGCCATCATAGGGGTTATATGCCTCCAAGCCAAAACACCAAGCATTGCTAGCAAACAGCAGGAGCTTACAAAAAGCCATGAAACACACTATTCCTCAGAGCCTTCCAGAAGGAATTAACCTACAAACACCTTGGTTTCAGACTTCCAGCGTCCAGAATAGTGAGAGAAAAAATCTCCATTGTTTTAAGCCATCTACATTGTGGTACTTTGTTATGGCAGCCATGGGAAACGAATGCAGTAAGTTATGGGCCTTTGTGCCATTTGGTCTCAGTCATAACTACTCAGTGCTAACTGTGTGGCTGTAAAGCAACCTTAGACAATGTGAAAAGAAAACAGCTCTGTTCCAATAAAACTTTATTTACAGAAACAATCAGACCGACTTTGGCTCCATGGCTGTAGGTACACCATATGCCATTCCTCTTCCTCCCTTTTCCTCCATGTCACTCTCCTCCTTTTTCATCTCCTCCTCAGATGTCTCCTTGTTCCTCTTTCCGTTATCATCCCCCACCTTCCTGTTCTTGTTATTCTTATTAGTATCATGGTCAGAATAACTATTCTGGCTCTGTACCTCCCCTAACAGGATTTTGGTATCTGATAGAGTGAGTATAAAATCAAACATGATTATCCTAGAGAAAAATATACTTAAAAATTTTACTTCATTTTAAAGATTAAACTTTAGTTCCTCTTTTATTTCCGGAGTTTCAAATTATTCAGCAGATGAATCATATATTTTCACAATCTAATCATGTTTGCTTCTTCTCAGGCCCCATTCTGAACAAATAATTGTTAATTTTTAGGACTTCTTCATGAAAAATCTACATTTATTAACTCATTTAATCTTTAGAACACCACAATCAGGGAATTAGTATTATTATCTTCATTTTGCCAATGGTGACACTGAGACCAAATAAGATTTATGTAACATGCTTAGTCAATGGTCCTTTGTGTTTGGCAGAACTAGTATTTGAATGACACTAGAATTCTTACTTTTATATTTTACCAACGACATCCTACTCCGTAATGATTAAAATAAATTTTAAATATTTAAATATTAATATTAAATTTTAGTAAAAATTATTTTTGTAAGACATAAAGCTAATATGTCAGTAATTTTATTTAATATCCTGAACACATACTATAAATATTTTGAACCAATATTTCTTTGTAAATACTCACTAGTGATAGTTTAAATATTGTAACATTCTCTAACATGTATGTTCCAATTTTGTAGTAGGAAAATCCATATGTCACCATCCATCATTTGTTCACATCATATTCTTCTAAGTGAGATTTTAAAAGGAACTAATGCAATTAACCATTGGGTATTTATTTTCAACCATGCCATTTTAGATTTAAGTATTAACTACAAATATTTAAATAGTAGATATCATTTATCTTAATGTAAGTATGTTATGTAAAATATAATTTGTGGATCATTTATAATGTAGTAAAAATACATTATGTTTGCAAAACATACTTAACAGAAAAAAACTCTTCAAAAATCAACATAATAAACAATTTGTAATATTTTGACAAGTTCGAAACCCGTTTGGGAAAACTTAACACTCTAACAATTGTTAAACTACCAATTCTGTTTTCGAATTGGAATTTTTTGTCGGGGGGTGGTGCAGTAAATAGATTGAAAGACATGAACTACTACCGATAAACTATATCCAAAAATTGGTTTTCTCACAAATCTGCTATGATCAAACCGAAACTGTTGATAGGACATATAATTTCTAATTTGCATAGAATAAATTACATAAATAATTGCTAATCTAAATTTATATAATCATTAATTTAAAAGACTCATTTTTCAACAGAGAACATCCCATCACACTTCAAACACATATAGCAAACTTTGTTTCTAGAGTCTTTTTTAAAATAATTTTATTTACAATTCTTTGTAAATTGTTTCCATGGACATTTTTGCTGAAGTTGTCAAATCTTTGTTTTATGATGAAACTTTTATCTCTCTGTTGTAGTGCACAAAGGGATTTCAAATGCAATGTTTTATTCATTTTTCAAAGTCCCACACTCCTGAGAATCTCTACAGTTTTTAGTTTTTTTCTTCTTCTCCTAGAATTTAGTAACAGTGGCATGTTGGGAATGAGACCCTGTCTCCTCCCTCAATCTTTTCATTCCCTACTTCACTCACTCCCCTGCCCTTAACCTCTCCCTCTAACTCCTTGCCTTTTAGAAAATCCAGCTTCCAAATGGGACTTCACACTGACAGGGAGAAAAAGAAAAATTTATTGCTTGAAGTTGTCTTTCTCTTTAAAGGCTTTTTTAGTGACAACCTTTCTTCTCTTAGAAAGGAGAAAATGGCAAAGGTGAAAGGTTGTTACTATACATTTGAAAGCGTCAATTTCTGTTAGGAATAAATTTTTACTTAGATCTAGATAACACCTGCTAGGGCTTGGCCCTTGTGCACACTTATTCATTACTATTTTAACATGAATTTATTTTAGCTAGAAAAATAAATCCTGTGTAAATCTGTATAAAGATGTAACTTGGAATTTAGATTTAAGTTAACATAAATAGCATGTTCTCTGAGTCAGTAATATTTGCTAGGGGAGTTGTATTCTTTAAACATAAAATAATACTAATTTTTTCAATCATTTAATTATGTGAACTTGGGAAATCCCAAGTGGAGTACATACTGCATTTCAGTTCTTTTTATATAGAAAAGATACAAGGGTCTGAGAGTCTGTCTCATGCTTCTTTGTTTCTTGTATGTTGGTGAACTGTAATGAAAATAAAATTTAGCATTTAAGGAAAGCATAGATACAATTTTATTTATAAGGATACAGTACCCAATTAAAAATACATATCTTTGTGTGAAATTCTGCTTCATCTTGATAGTTTTATTTTTATCTTCATCCTTCTTTCCCTCCCTTCTTCCCCCATTCTCCCCCTCCCTCCATCCGTCTCAAGTCCTTGAAGTGGTCTACTTACCCTGAAACTGTCTCTAATTCAGCCTCTAGATGGGGGCCATAAGGACCTTTAAGGTTTATTACACATGGTACTCTATGGAGAGGATTGTCAACACTGTGGAAGAAAATCCTGATAGAGAGAACATCGTGAAATTCTGGAAGGATTACACCACTGAAACTGCGACCATGGCTATAGGAAAAGCTGTGAAAGCCACCAAGCCTGAAACAATACATTCCTGCTGCAGGAAAGTGGCCAGATGTTGTGCATGATTTCACAGAATTTGCAACACAGCCTATCAAGAAAATCATAGGCCGGGCGCGGTGGCTCACGCTTGTAATCTCAGCACTTTGAGAGGCCGAGGTGGGCGGATCATTTGAGGTCAGGAGTTCGACCAACATGGTGAAAACCCGTCTCTACTAAAAATACCAAAATAGTAGCCGGGCATGGTGGCGGGGCCCCTGCTACTCAGGAGGCTGATGCAGAAGAATTGCTTCAACTCGGGAGGCAGAGATTGCAGTGAGCAGAGACTGCACCACTGTACTCCACCCTAGGCAGCAGAGGGAGACTCCGTCTCAAAACAAGAAGGAAGGAGGGAGGGAAGGAAGGAAGGAAGAAAGGAAGGAGACAGAGAGAGAAAGGAAGGAAGGAAGAAGGAAGGAAGGAAGGAAGGAGACAGGGAGAGGAAGGAAGGAAGAAGGAAGGAAGGAAGGAAGAAAGAAGGAAGGAAGGAAGAAGGAAGGAAGGAGACAGAGAGAGAGGAAGGAAGGAAGAAGGAAGGAAGGAAAGAAGGAAGGAAGGAAAGAAAAATCATAGATTATGGATATGGCAAGGAAAGGTGGGGAGTGAAGGATTTCAAGATATGAATCTTGGAGAAGTTCAAGAGCTAATAGGCACCACACCAGAGGAATTCACGAAAGATGACCTGATAGAGATAAATGCTTTCAAACCAGTGCCAGACAACCAGGAAGAAGACATAGAGGAAGCAGTGCAGGAAAACAAATTGACATGAGAGAATCTGATAGAAAGGCTCCAATTATTCAAGACTGATTTGAATTCTTTTATGACATGGAATCCTCTATGACACGGGCACTGAAACTAAAGCAAATGGTAAAAGAAGAGTTGGTACTGTATAGAAACAATTTTAGAGAAATGGAAAAGTAAAAACTCAGGATTAAAATATATTTCTGTAAAATTACTTCAGGAGTACCTGTCTGTCCTCCCTCCTCTTCCGCCTCCTCTTCCTGACCTCCCTCAGCCTACTCAACGTGAAGATGAGAATGAAGACCTTTATGATGATCCACTTCCACTTAATGAATAGTAAATATCTTTTCTCTTCCTTATGATTTCTTAATATTTTTTTCTCTAGCCTACTTTATTGTAAGAATACACTATATAATATGTAAACATACAAAAATGTGTTAACTGAACATTTATGTCACTGGTAAGGCTTCTAGTGAACAGCAAGCTATTAGCAGTTTTGTTTTGAGGGAGTCAAAAGTTACATGCAGATTTTCAACTGCACACAGGGTCAGGCCCCCTAACCCCTACATTGTACAAGTGTCAATTGTATATTATATCAACTAAACTAAAAAGTATGGAATTTCTAAAATCATATTTATAAAAACAGTATAAATGATTGAAAAACTATAAAACCAAATACTGATAAAGTTAGGTATAAGATTACTGTAATTTTAAATATAGGTATAGAGTCAAGAGACAATTAAGAACAAAAGTTTTACAAGGAAGAAAAATACATATTTAAAAATAGATACATGTTAAAGTATTGCAGACAGTGTTTTTTTGGGTTTGGTTTGTTTGTTTTTTGTTTGTTTGTTTTGACAGCATCTTTCTCTGTTGCCCAGGCTGGAGTGCAGTGGCACGATCCCTGCTCACTGCAACCATCACCTACTGGGTTCAAGCAATTCTCATGCCTCAGCCTCCTGAGTACCTGTGACTACAGGCGCATGCCACCACGTCTGCCTAATTTTTGCATTTTTAGTAGAGATGAGTTTTCACCGTGTTGGCCAGGCTGGTCTTGAACTGACCTCAAGTGATCCGCCTGCCTAGGCCTCCTAAAGTGCTGGAGTTACAGGCGTGAGCCACTGCACCTGACCTGGTAGTGTTCTTAATAAGAGTATTTTGAGACTAAGGTAGCGTTTATTTTAAGCCTAGCTAGTTTTATTATTTAGCTTTCTAAAAGTTTTGTGGGAAATGCATTTTATGTTTGGACAGTTCTGGAAGCAGATGCTGACCAGCTTCATCTAAGATGTTGATAATTCAAGAATAGCCATGTGCTTCTCCGTAATTACTCTGACTGCTTGGTCGACTACTGTGGTAGTTACTGACTAACATACCAGCAATGTAGCATTGTATGATAAAATTCAAACTTGTAAGGTATTGGTTGTTTCCAGGCAAACCATTTGCCTTGATAAAGCATGCAAATAATTAAAATGGTATGAAGAAGTAGGCACTAAAGTAAAAGATTTAGTATTACCAACTTCTGAGTAAGGAAACTAGCTTACTTGGATTAAGCTACATTAATCATATTAAATAAATGATTAGTTTTATGTTTTTTAGTGTGGGTACAAAGAAATTAACTAAACAAACATAGAATGCTTGGAACTAGACAGCAGCTTAAATTTGGAAGTTGTGTAGATGATTTTACTACTCTTATCAAAATTATTTGTTAAGCTCTAAACTTTGAATGATCCAGTAGGAAGAATTTTCATGAGAAGTTAAATGGATATTGTTTCTTTGATTTTGAGAAGGAAGAGTCTCATGGGCTCTTTTTCTAGGCATGATGTTTATGTTTGCATTTTAGTAACGATTGAGAATTGGAACTGACAGTTTCTACATCTTGCCAATTTGTTAATATAAAGCATTTTGAGTATTAAAGGACCAGACACCTGGGATAAAATATGCCCCCCTTCCAAAGATTTCATTTCCGTGGGTGGATAATTAAGAGTTATCAGACAGAGATTAGTAGAAAAACTTTGTAAAGCAAAGGACTATAGTATCAAAACTTACAGAGGCTTTAAATAACTAGGAATAAATGGAAGTAAGAATTTAGTATGCCTGTGTCATAGAATATAATAAAGAACTGGTGGAAATTAAGTGGGGAGATATAGGAATAGGACAAAATGAAGGGTCTTTTAAAACAATTATAATGTTTGGACATTATTAGGTAGATTATTGCCTCTAGAATTTTTGTATTTCACAAGTAGTAACATTTAAACAAGAAGACAAAAATACTTAAAATAGGAACCAATATATGAGTTTTATTTTGACAAATATATACTTGGAAAACAAACAGAAGCAATAGCTATCATTTATCATCTACTATCAACAGATTGACTTCCAAAAAGTAGAAATGTTATTACAAAATAATGGATGCATTTAACTTATGTAGAAAAGTCATGATATTTTCACATTTTTTCTCACTCTACCAGTGAGACAGATGACAGTGTCCTCAGAGAGACATTTGGTCTGTGAATCGGCAGTTTGAAACCAGGGCTACAGGATCACTGACATATGCAATAGAGAAAGAGAGATATAGAACTTCAGGATTGCTAAATAATTTGCTCAATTTATGTAGCACTAAGTGATGGTACTTATGATATTTATATTGCTCTTGAGAAATACAATGCGTTCTAGGCAAATATTTCAAAGTTGAAGAATAGTCAAAAATAAAAATTAGATGACTATCATGATTTCTCCTTTGTTTTGCTGAATGTATTTAAATAAAGAAAATTACACCTGGCAAATCATCATTGAGATAAAACATCTGTTGATTACTTTAAACCATCTATTACAACTAAAAAGAATTATTAGTTACTTGTGTTCACCCTTAAATGTTATGTTAGCTAAACTATTTCTTACATGAAGAGCATATCAGCAAGAATTTTAAGGAAGAAAAATGTATTCCATTGGTCTCAGTTATTACATAGCATGCTGTAACTGCATGGTTAAGAAAATCATATCAGCTGTGCCTTTCATTGGTATATTATATCCAATTTTAGCTTTTCCCAGTGAAGCTCTATGTATAATTTGATTGTAAGTATTTAAAAGTTCATCTCAGCAGAAGATTCCTTAAAAAATGTGAAGAAAAAGGAAGAGAATGACAAGCATGATAGGCATTGGGGTGCTGGTTCTTAGGTCTAGTCAGGTTACTTAACTTAACATGTCTAAAACTAAAATTCTAACGTTCTCTTCCAGTTGTGCTCTACCAATTGTTTCCCCGTGTCCTATAATGCCAATACTAACCCTTCAGTTACAGAGGCCTAAAACTTTATCATCCTTTGCTCTCAAAGTTCACATCAAGAGCTTTTCTCCTAAGTTTTTTCTCAGGAGTTTCATGATTTTGGGTCTTCTGTTTAAGTGTTTAATGCAGCGTGAGTTGATTTTTGTTTAGGGTGCTAGATAAAGATGCAATTTTATTCTTTTGCATGTGGATAGACATTTTTCTCTGGAAACAGATTTTAATAAATTTCAAAGGACATACAAAGTATATTCTATGACCACAATAAAATTATAGTGGAAATTAATAACTAATCTGGAAATCTCAAATGTTTGTATAAAAAGCAACAAATATGTCTTTAATAACACATAAATCAAATAAGAACTTACAGTAAATGTGAGAATATATTTTAAATGGAATGAAAATAAAAAGTATATCATAACTTGTAGATTTCAGTTATGGCACTGCTGAAAGCCAGACTTATAATCATACGTATGTACGTTGGAACATATAAAACAATAAAAAGTCAATGACATAAGAACTTATTTATAGGAAGTCACGTAAAGAAAATAATAAGCCCCACAATGGAAGAAATAAAGGAAAATGTAAGAAACAAAGAAACAAATGAGAGAGAAGGCAGACACAACTGAAAAAATTTAGAAAGAAAAATAAATGGCATTTTAAGAATAGAAATAAAACTGATAAACGATTAGCAAGATAAATCAAGAAGGAAATAAATAAACCAAAATTTTTAAGCATCAGGAATGAAAAGAAGGGATATCACTACAAACCACACAGACATACAAAACATTGCATGAGTATCTCATTAACAATTTTGTATCAATATATTTAAAAATTTAACAAAATGAGAAAAACATTTGAAAACACAGAAATAACATAAGAAATAAAAGATAATTATAATTAAAGAACTTACATATACCGCGCGCGCACACACACACACACACACACACACACACACACACACACAGACACATAGTCTAGGCCCAGGAGCTTTAACTGGTGAATTCCTGCCAACATTTAAAGAAGAAATAATATA
The DNA here is from genome assembly GCF_000001405.40 of Homo sapiens. Lineage (NCBI taxonomy): Eukaryota > Metazoa > Chordata > Mammalia > Primates > Hominidae > Homo > Homo sapiens. The sequence continues at coordinate 66,116,197 of NC_000018.10, forward strand.
AATCTTATGTACAGTATTCTTGAGAATAAAAATGAAGAAAACACTTCCCAGTATATTTGATTACACAAACATAACCCTGACAACAAAAACTAGTAAGAACATTATAAGAACAAAAAATTAAAGGCTACTCTCATGAGCACAGATGTAAAATCTTAACACATTATCAACAAATGGAACACAATAACCTAAATGGAAATAATACATATGAATAAGTATCATTTATTTCAGAAATACAAGCTTGGCTTAATATTTGAATGTCAATAAATTTATTTAACCACATTAACAAAAAATTTAAATGGTTCCTTCAATAGATGTTGTAAATGCATTTGATAATATCCAAAATTATTAATAAAGCGGAGATAAAATAGAACTTTCTTAGACCTATAAACAGTGTCTGAAAATCTAAAACTAAGATTATACTTAAATGCAAAATACTTACTGTTTTCCTCTGTGTTCAGTAATAAGACAGAAATTTCCACAATCATCGCTTTTAATAATATACCTAGTGAAATTATTCAATGAAAATAAATGTAAGTATAAACACTGAAAAGAATTTTAAAATTTACATTAATTTTCAAATGATTTAATTTTATTTGTATAAATTCAGCAATTTTACATATTAACTGATGAACAGTTAATATGTAAAATTAGCAAAATTTCTGAATTCAAAGAAAATATATAAAAATCATATGGATTTTGAATATATTGGCAACAAGCAATTAGTAAATAAAAATCAATAAATGCCAACAAAGATTACAATACCACCAGCATCAACTATCAAACATGTCAGAAGTGCTAAGAAGTAATGCTCAAGATCCTTTCCTGAAAACCATAAAACCTTGTTAATAAGGATTAAATACCTTAACAAATTGAGAGATAAACTATGACAATGGTGTGGAATACCTGATAATAAAGTTGTCTAAGTATTTAATGAAACTTCAATAAAAAAATCGCAGGAAAACATTTGGTAGAAATATAAATGGGCAATGGTGTACTGGATAAGGTAAGTGTGGTCCATATACACTATGGAATACTATACAACCAGAAAAAATGAAATCATGTTCTTTGCAGCTACATGGATACAGCTGGAAGCCATTATCCTAAGAGAATTAACACAAGGACAGAAAATCAAATATGGTATGTTCAGTTATATAAGTGGGAGCTAAACATTGAGTACACATGGACATAAAAATGGAAAAATAGACACTGGGGACGACTAGAGGGGGGACTGTGACAGGGGAGTAAGCGTTGAAAAACTGCTTGTCAGTACTCTGCTCACTACCTGGCTGACAGAATCATTTGTACTCCAAACCTCAGCAACACACAATTTGCCCAAGTAACAAACCTGAACATGTCTTCTCTGAACCTAACATAAAAGTTAAAAAAAAATAATAATAATGGCAAAGCAAATGGCCTAGATCTGCCATGGCAAGTTGGAAGAAAATGTTCAAATATGAATGACTCACACTACCAGATATTGCCTTTTTAAAATTTACCACAATTAACACAGTATGCTATCGGTACCAAGATAGACAAATAGTTCAAAATAAAAAAAATAGAGTACAGAAACAAACTTATGTGTGTGCTATCAGCTCATGCTGATAAAAGCACCAGTAAAACTCACTGGGAAAAAGATCACCATTTTCAGAACTTACACCGCATAAACTCAATAGTCATAGGAACAAATGACACTTAAACTTTACAAAAAAAGTACACAATTAATTTGGAATAGACCTAAGCACAAATTTGTATTGTATAACAATGAAACTTCTAGAAGAAAGCATTAAAAAATCTTCATGACATTTGATATTTAAAAAAATTTAAACATGAAAAATATTTACCATAAAGGTAGAACAGATAATTGGCAGTTCACTGAAAGATAATATTAAGATACTGAAAATGCCAGCCACAGACTAGGAGAAGGTAGACATGTGCACGTATTGGTCAGCGGTCTCATATGCAGAACATATGAATAATAACAAGAAATAAATAAGTGAAACAGAAGCAAATCAATTCAAAATGACAAAAAGACCCAAAAAATAGTTCCTTAGAAGACATTGACGTAAGCTTCTGTAAGAATAAATGGCATGGTACACTTAAGATATACACACTTTGCTGTATATAAACGGTGTTTCACAAAAAAAGACAAGCAAAAAACACCTTTTTTTCTATGTCTGATGACAACATTGTATTGTTTTCAGAGTATATTTTATACATACACATATATATATTAAAATGCTAATTTTGTTTATGGATCCCAGTGAATTCTGAGAATGCAACCATTAGCATCTTACTAAAGATTCCATAGCTTACTGGCAAAGGAGTTTTTTTCACCAGATCTTGAAAACCATCTATGTTTAGTCACTTTTCCCAGGAACATATAGTTAAATTTTTGCATAGCATGGCCAGGGATACACTGTCTCCCCTTCCCCCAATCTTCTCCAAAATCATTAATCATAGTAAAGATTCAATAAAGTCACTCTTAAAGCCCTTGACTTTCCTGTTAATTTTTTTCAACTTTTATTTTAGGTTCAGAGAGTACATATGCAAGTTTTGTTACTTGGGTAAATTGTGTGTTGCTAGGGTTTGGGATACAAATGATTCTCACCTAGGTAGTGAGCAGAGTACCCAATATGTAGTTTTCAACCATCGCTCCCCAGCCACCTTCCCCGCTTTGGTAATCCCCAGTGTTTCTTCATTCCATCTTTATGGCCATGTGTACTCAATGTTTAGCTTATAGCATATTATGAATCATTATAAGAACATCTCTATTCAACATACTTAAACGTTAGAATGATGTGTTGCATTGACTATCAGTTTTCACATACATAAAAGGATGACTCTATAATTGCAAACTTGAGATAACACTGAAGTGTAACGATTGGCTATACTAAAATAAAAATGAAGTTATGGAATACATGAGATAAATAGGGTTGAGGTATGTCATGTTTCCATCAAGAAACAAGGATTTTTCTATTCTTTTGCAGCAGAGGTTTTGTACATGTAAATTCAAAGTACGGTTTCATTTCAGGATTCACTGCTTTCAGGTGACAGACTAATTCTTAGTACTTTCTTAGTTCTTAACTTTCTTAATTTCCTAAGTCTCTCAAAGTTCATAACAAAACCATCTTTTATCAGAAATGATGTTTAAAATGAAAAGAATTTTTATGTTAGCTGGGTATCATTGATTTTTTTTGGAGAAATTACTCAATGATAATCCCACTGTTTGACAAAGAGAATATTCCTTCTTAAATTCTTATTTGTGTACTTACTTTGCTCTTTTATATAAAGCAATTTCTATGTAAACTAAAACCTACACCCAAACTAAAGTACACAGCCTCATATGCAACAAAGGAAAGAAAGGATTGACATGCTATAAGGAGTATGCAATATTTACATGAGGGGTAATAAAATAATTCATTGTGGTTTATTGAAGGTTTTTGAAGCCTCTTGAGAGATTTATAACATTTTCATGTATAAAAGTAGATGGTGGTAAGAAATTATATGTTATGCATATTTTATCACTTTTTAAATAAAAAGTAGATGATGTTGAACAGCAGAAAACAGAGATGCATAGATTATTTTCAGGATCCAGTGATTAATATTCCTTTGTCAGTAAGGAGCTATTTTAACATTTTAAACAGTGGAGAAGTCTTATCAGGCGTGTTTTTAAAAAGAAAAATATTGAAAGCAGTTTTATAGTATTTTAATTTTAATTTTATTTTATTATTTTAGTTTTGAGACAGACTCTCATGCCTCACTCTGTCACCCAGGGTGGAGGGCAGTGGCCCGATCTCAGCTCACTGCAACCTCCGCCTCCCAGGTTCAAGTGATTCTCCAGTCTCAGCCTCCTGAGTAACTGGGATTACAGGTATCTGCCACCATGCCTGGCCAATATAGCATCCTTAAGAGACAATTTTCAAGGAAATTGAAGGACTAATTGCAATAAAACATTAATAAGACTGAGAATTTAAAATACTGGAAATGAATTTCCAGTATTTAAGAATTTAAAATACTGGAGAATTTAAAATACTGGAATTGGATTAAAAATGGTTGACTAAGAAGAGGAAGATTTAAATATCTGTTGAAATTTTGAAACTTCAAGGCTAACTTTGTGAAAACACAGGCACTTAGTCTTCCAGATTCATTAATTTAGCATGAATAGATGAATGAATGAATGAATGATGTTATTTGGGTAAACTGTGTGTGGCTGAAGTTTGGGGTACCAGGTTTAGTTTACAGGCACAGAGGTCTTGCAAGATAAAAATATATTGAAAGGAGATGAGAAATTCAAATATGAAAATATAATTGATCAATAAGATGTCATTCACGACCTTCTGGAAATAACAGTTTTAACAGAGTTGTCGTAGTGAAGCAATTAAATTTGAATAATCAGTTTTCAAACAAATCTACTTCTTTCCCTTCCTGCAATATTTAATAGAGATTTTAATGGGAGTGATAAGCATCAGATAAAGCCATATTTAATCCGGTGCACGAGGATTTACCCTGTTTTTCAAAAGTCCTGGCTCCTTTTGATCGTTTTTCTGCTTCTTTAAGCCTTGTCTGTTTTTGATTTCAAAGTCACACATGATGCCTGTAATTTTTCTTTTTTCTTTATTTTTGATATTCTTATTGTAAAACATATCACTTTCTAATTTGGGACCAAGATATGTTGTTCATTTGGACTTTAACATTGATATCCTAAGTCATGATATAGGTAAACCATTCCCCCTAATGTGGACCTGTGCTTGGTTTGTATCAATAACTAGATTAAGAAAGTTAAGAAGGAGTTAAAATCTCTTTTGGTTCAACAAGTTAAGTAATTATTATTATTGAGCACTTAATAGATGCTAGACATAATGAGAAGTCAATGAATATAAATTAGTTTGTAAAAAAATCAAAAATCTTCTTTTGACAATAACACAGTTTCAAATACCTCTGACAGGTACCTCCTCGCCTCATGGCAACAGACTATTGTTGATTTAAACCTAATTTTATCCTTCTTTGAGTCATCTTCCTACCTACACCATGACAGTTATTATCAGCGAAATGTGTTAACTGTTATCATGCATTATATGTAAGCACTTATACATTATCCTCAAGATATGTCCACTCTTCAAATTTGATCTACCCTCTCTTTTCAGGACACTGAGTCATGCTGCCCACTTTAATTATGCAGTTGCCTGTACCTGAATTCTTTCAGCTTGTTTTAATACTTTGAGACCAGCCTTTTGTGTTTTGTTCATAAAGTCTTTCTTCTTAGCAATGAAAAGCTAGATTGAGCATTACTTCCTATGAAATTTACAGACTTTTGTTCATAGAGAACAATTTAGCAGTGGAATTCTTAATGTGTTGAGTAATTGAAGGATTTAAATCTTGCTTTTTCCAGAATCAATTACATGCTTCTTCAGAATAATATTTCTTTTACTTGAAGTCATCAGGGAACCCAAAATACAGAATGGGTGTTTAATTAACATCCGCACTTGGTTATTAATTGGAATTGCTAATCAATAATATTTTAAAATTTTATTTGTTAAAATTTAATTAATGTGTAATTTTATTTATGTTACTTTTGTGGTGATTGCACTGTCTTTTCAATGGTATATTTTTTATTGGAAAAAATATATTTAAAATAAGACTGGAGTTTAAAATAATACATTCAATTGAACATAAAGATTTCCAAGACATATAAATGCTACCCATATGTTTTTTGTTTTTCTTTTTGTCTTTTTACAGAGTCCCACTCTGTCTCCCAGGCTGGAGTGTGGTGGCGCAATCTCGGCTCACTGCAACCTCCATCTCCTGGGTTCAATTGATTCTCCTGCCTCATTCTCCCAAGTAGCTGGGATTACAGGTGTCCGCCACCATGCCTGGTTAATTTTTGGATTTTTAGTAGAGATGGGGTTTCGCCATGTTGGCTAGGATGGCCTTGAACTCTTGATCTTAAGTGATGTGCCTGCCTCGGCCTCCCAAAGTGTTGGGATTATGGGCATGAGTCACCATGACAAGCTGGCCCATATGTTTTGAATGAAAGAGACATTCAAAAGTCCTTCAAATCAATTTTGTCATTAAGCACACAACCACACATGTGCTAATTGCAGCAACCAGCCCACTTAAATGATGTTAAAGTACACAGGGCTGTTGGTGTCGGTGAATTGGGTTCCTCATTTTCTTGCTGTTTTATTTTGCTGGTTCTCTGTGTGTGGACAACCTCTTACTGAGGCTTAAGCATATGGTATATATTGTTGGGATTCCTGGTGTGTACGCATCTAAGGTAAATGCTTAATTAGCTGTATATCATCAATTCCACATGTGAGTTCTTTTTTCTAAATGTTGCTTTATAAAGTTCCACAATAACATATTCTCTGCAGTTATTATTTTAAATGTATTTATTTATTTATTATGGATATTTGCTCTTCTTGCCGAGGATGGAGTGCAATGGAGCCACCTCAGCTCACTGCAACCTCCGCCTCTATATCCCCAAAGATTAAAAAAAAAAAAAGTTCCAGGGCTTTTTTTCTCACTCCAGATTTCCTTTTCCAATTTTGGGATTTCTCATTTTAAGCAGAATAGATATATATTTTTTGTGGCTTCCACCGTAACTCATGACGTTAAACTCACTATTAATGGAGATGCATTATAGCTGAGAAAAGTTTAAAGGCTTGCTGCAATGCAGAGAAATAACCTGACGGGTTGCTTATCACAATTGCATCTCACCTGCCCATACCTTTCGAATTTATGAAATTGAGCTGAGGATTCTAGGAGAAAATGCAAGTTTTACAGCGAGATTTAATCTTCCTGCAAGCAGCTAGTCCAGAAATACCATAACAACAGCTGTTCTCACAGAATATTAGCATTTCTGCTTCTGGTCTCAGCTGCTTCTCTGAAGTGCAAAGAAATGCAAACATGGAAAATGTTCATTTTTAACATTAGCTTGAGTTTGGAAATCAGGGGACATTCATCGATCCCCAAAAGTAATGGATACACATTTCTGCTGATTATTTTATTCCTGAAGTAATGTATGACATGCATAGAATATCTTTTATTAACTATAGGAGGGTGCATATTCATGATTTGGCAGATGATTTTCAACTATGGTCCATAAAGTGAGTATAGTCCTTGATGACATGTGAGACAAAAATAAAAGGTAACTCTCATCTTTTTAATATCGCCATACTTTAAATTTCATTCCTTTATATTTTCATGCCCATGACTAAAAAAGAGAAACTATGACAGAAACTGTATCAATTTTGGTAGTATTTTTCCCTTCAAATTTGTTTATTTATTTAAATTAATAAATAAAAGTGTATGCATTTATCAGGGACAACATGCTTTGAAGTATTGTGGAATGGTTAAATTTAGCTAATTAACATATGCATTACCTCATATAGTTATCTTTGGTAGTATTTTAAGCTAATAAACTCTCCTATCCAATTTTTACCAAGAATAATTTTATCATAGATCACTTCCAACGGGGTTTTGAAGATGTTTATGTCATCGGTAGAACTTTCATTTAATTCATCTTTTAATTTGTTTTATTGAATACCTGTAGCCTTCATAATTATTAAGCTCCACAGACAACATGATTCTCAGTGATCGCATCAAAATAAGCTAACCAGTGTTTAACAATAAGACACATGTCTTCTATTTCCCCGTATTATTAGAGGGTACTTTGCTAAGTGTAGGGTTCTTTAGAGTTTCTTGAGAAATAATTGATAAACATTGCAACTGACTATTTCTTGGCATAGTGTTTAATCTTCTCAGGAAATATGAACAGTTCATTAGGCTAAACATGAATAATTATGTTTCTATAATTGTGATTAATCAAATAATAATTTGCCTTGCTTAGATACTGTCCTATTAATTGTTTTATTTACCCAGTGTATTCATAACAAACTCAAGGATCTTGAAGCCTTTTGGATGGTGCTTTTTTTTCCCTTAAATAAAAATCCAGCTGGGCATGGTGCCTCACGCCTGTAATCCCAGCACTTCGGGAGGCCGAGGCAGGCGGATTACCTGTGTTCAGGAGTTAGAGACCAGCCTGACCAACATGGTGAAACCCCGTCTCTACTAAAAATATTAAAAAATTAGCTGGGCATGGTAGCACATACCTGTAATCCCAGCTACTTGGGAGGCTGAGGCAGGAGAATCACTTGATCCCAGGAGGCAGAGATTGCAGTGAGCTGAGATGTCTCCATTGCACTCCAGCCTGGGCGACAGGTGAAAATCCATCTAAAAAAATAAATCAATTTAAAATAACAACTGCAGAGAATATTTTATTGTGGAACTTTGTAAAGCAACATTTTAAAAAAGAACTCACATGTGGAATTGATGATATACAGCGAATTAAGCAGTTACCTTAGATACATACACATCAGGAATCCCAACATCTACCACATGGTGGAATCTTGAGACCATGTCTTCTTTTTACAGAAATGCTAATGGGCTCTTAACTCAAAAACTCTAAAGAACTCTACACTTAGCAAAGTATCCTCTAATAATAGGGAGAAATAGAAGACATGTGTCTTATTGTTAAACACTGGTTAGCTTATTTGATGCTTTTATTTCTTTTATCATCATTGATGTATTTATTGTGGAACATTTTTTACTTTTACATAGGCGATTTACAATGGTTCATATTGAGGACCAGTTGCTTTGCCAGCAAAATATTGATATCTTTAACTCTGTTCCTAATATATCTCACACATATCCATGCAAATACAAGAGGTTGGAGTTTGCCCTCTTCACAGTAAAAAATTCTTTCTCACTTGCCTCCTAATATCTAGGGATTTTTTTTCTCTTTATCTGTTAGAACAATAGCAAGGGAAGAGCTAATGTATGAGGCTTATGAATTGTACTGACTTTTGAAAAAAAAGAAAATAATCTATAATGAGCACTATTTCATAAAAATGTTTCCATACTTAACATTCTTTCTTTTCAAGTTTCCACTGTAAAATATAAACCTGAAAATAGATTTTAAAGTTTAATTATGTTATGTCCATCTACATGCATCTTACACCTTGTCCCAAGACATATTTTTGATAGTACAACTCAAGCAGGTGAACTAACACTGGTAGTTACTCTTAGAGAAAGTTCATGAAATCACACCTCTTTTATGTAGTTCATTTACATATAATTAAATCTAAGCTAAATTACAAAAATACAGAAATATGTTATAGCAAGAGAACGCAGGGAGGCGGAGAATGAGAGGGAGAGGAAGCAAAAGGAGAGAATGAACATTTGAAAGCTAAAGTGATGATATTCAGTGTAAAATGTAAGGAAATATCACGTGGAGAAGATGGTATTGGAAACAGATTTTAAATGATAGGTAAGATTTTTCTAAAGAGTAGAAAAAAATTTCTCAGTACAGGAAAAAAGGTGGCAAAGTAGCAAGATTTGGGAATATTAAGAGAAAAAAGAAAAATTTACTTTGACTTGACGGGATTTTTTACAGGAAAGTAAGAGGATATGAAGTAAAAATGTTATGAGCCAGATGGTGGAAGGTCACGAACATCAAACTGAGGAGCTAATCTTTGATTTGGAAGGCATGGGGGAGTCATTGCTTGGGTTTAAGAGGAATATGGCTCTACACAGCAGGAAAATCATCCCTCTAGGCACAAAATTCCAGTAGTTTTCTATACAGTGTTCTGAAATAGGAAAGCCACTGGGCAAAATTAAAGCAACAATTTGACTATAGTCTTTAATTTTGACCCTATTGTTTATAAATATAATTTTATTGTGAAATAATAAGTAATTGGTGATGGTGGTCACAGGTGGTGCCTGCTTCTCTTTAATGCACACACTGCGTTTAGAGCAGAAAAATGAGAATTGTTATAAATGTATGCATCCCTATTTTATGTGCTCTCAGCACTCACTGATAAAACTCCCTATGCATCTTTCATGCTCTTCTTGTAGTGCTCTAGCAGAAATACACACACACACAACACACACAAATTCAGGAGTCTTTATCATTTTAGTTAATTATAGCAACCACAGGGTGATTTGGTCTTACCTAATTTGTGCTGGGTGCAATATTTATCATAATTTTAAGCTTAGGATGGAACCCAGTTCTTAAGCATTCAAAAATATATCATGCATTTTTTTAAACCATTCCACAAATCCCTGAGGAGGAAGAAATCGGCCTGATAATTTACAAAATTTGCTTTGAATACAAACGTCACCATGTAAGAAAGACATCATCTCCCACCCTATATCTTTGCCTTATTCTGCATCCCTAGAGAAATTAATTAGCCTCTGGTGATGGCTTCACTCTGTTTCAAATAAAGTAGTGCTCAACAAGCTTGTATACTGGGCAAGAGACTGCAGTGATTTGAGGAAGAAAAGCAAAAAGGCATCATCCCTGCACAGCAAGGGAATCAAAAGCAAAAGAGAAAACAATGAAGCATGAGCATGAAATAACTCACATAGTGAGTGAGGCATTCACATAGTAAATTTATTTCACTGGAAAATATTATCTGAAAAAATTTTATTTTGACATGTGTGTATGATGAATATAATTGTAGTTTGTTTTCAATACTCTAGGTTCTTGTTTCTCAAAATATAAGAAGGCTTTTCCTTTATATCTGTCATAACAGAGAACATGTTCAATAACATAACGTTTTTGTAAACCTTGGGCACATCTGTTTGGTGAGTGGAGATGGACAGGTAACTAGCCATTCACATACATACATATATATATACACACACACACACATATATATATACACATATATATACACACACACATATATATATTTAAGTTGGCAATAACTTATGAACCATTATAAATTATTCTTCTACAATATGCTAACATGAAAATGTATGGTATTCTTCTTTTTTTTTAAATTCAATGCTCTCCATCAGTGAACTAAGGGGAAGAAAATAGTGTTGGCTGGTTTTTTTTTTCTTTTTGATATGCCTTAGAAATCCTGTTAGAATTGAATTAAATATTTACACTATGTGGCGGATTTGTTCTGAGCCAGCTTAGTTAAAATGGAAATACACTTCCCAGAAAGTTCTTTTCTGTGCAATTATAGGGTGGTGTGGTAGCCATAATAATGGTCCCCAAAGATGACCATGCCCTAATCTCTATAACCTGTACTTGGCAAACATGTTTTACAAATGTCACTAAGTTAAGAATCTTGAAGTGAGAAGATTATTCTGCATTATCTCCCTAGATGGATCTAAGGAAATAACAAGGATCCTTAACATATGAAATGGGAAGGCAGAAGAGCCAGAGAAAGAGATGAGAATATGGAAGCAGTGGCTGGTGTGATGTGATTCCTATCTTTGAAGGTGCCACAAGTCTTGAAATATAGGAGGCTCCAGGAAGCTAAACAAACAAACAAACAAAAACAAGGGAATAGATTGTTCCCTAGAGTCTCCATATGGGATGCAGCCCTGCCTGCTTATGAGAGCCCTCTGAGACTCCTTTCAGACCCCTGACCACCAGAGGTGTAAGATAATATAGTTTTGCTAGAAACTACCAAGTTTGCGGTATTTGTTCAGAAATAGGAAACTATAGAAAACAGGAGACATTTGTACAAGATTTGGATGGTGAAAATAAAGAAGTAGTTATTTTTTCCACACTGTTAAAATCAGAATTATGAACCAGCACATCAGGATTTCATGCACACCACACCATTTGTCCTTGTTGGTTTGGGGAAGCACTTCCAGCTTTGCAGGATCACTTTAGTTCTCTGGGTTTTGGTACCAGGTATGTACGCAGCTACATGGTAAAGCATGCCAGCTTCTGTTGCAGATCACCTACAGCATCAATGTTGGAGCTGGTGAGGGATGAATGCAAGTTCTGGTTTGTCATCAAGGATTCCCACTAGGGCTTGTGTCCATCTCTCCTTTCCAACCACCTGGCTAGATGAACTATGCAATCTTCAAGCCTAACAGTTGACATAGTGTCCTTGAGCAGATTTCTCCATGAGCCTCCCCAAATGCATAACATCAAATCCTTTATTCTATATCACCCCATTAGTGGTATTCTTATCAGTAGGTGAAACCAAACATCTAGGATATTGACCTTTAGGATTTTGGAGAAAAGTGATTCAATTTCTTGTAGATAAATAATCCTTTGGAGAAATACCTCTAACAACTTGTCTTTAGTGGTGACTGAACCCTAGACTGTAGACCACCAAGTTACCCTGAAACCTAAGCTGCCTGTCATTAAGTTTGGCAAGCCTTAAAGTTTAGCATACACAGCGTACTCCATTATCAAATGTAAATGCTTCAGGTTTAAAAAATGACCTAAAGGCATAAGTTGCATGTGCAAATGACTCATAATGTCCCTGGCCCATACTCCTGCTACATTGCCTTCTACTTCTTAACTCACGATGCTGGTCTCATGAGAAACTCCCTGTAATGAGCAGACTGAGTTATAAAAAATTCAAAGCACTGTGTTTAAGTACTATGTGCTATGCTTCTTCACCAAAAGTGAATGTCTGTGACTTTACACTCATTCTCTGTTGTGGCACTGAGAGACAAGGGTGAGGAAAATTCTCCCAATTGGCAAAACTTCAAGTAGTGCACCTGAATGTATGTTTGTTTTAGTTTTCATACCTTTATTATTTCAAATTTATTTATTTTTCATTGAAATATAAAATTGTGTGTATTTACCTTGTACCACATAATGGTTGGAAGTATCTATAGCCAGTAAAATGGTTAAATAAACTAATTAAATGCATTGTCTCACATAGTTATCATTTAATGATTTATAATTAAGTGATGAGAACACATAACATCTACTCTCAGTATTTTTCAATAATACAATCCCTTACCTGTGGAATCTAAAAAAGTTGATCTCATAGAAGTAGAGAGTACAATGGTGATTACTAGAGGCTGGGGAAATTGGGTGGGGAGGGCTAGGGAGTGTTGATCAAATAATACATATTTAATTTATATGGGAGAAATAATACAGCATGGTGACTATAGCTAACGTATGTTTATTTTGCATGGAAGGGTAGACAGCAAAAAGCATGGATTTAAACTGATTAATGAGAAGTGAACAATGGCTTGTGTTTCAAGAGGACAAGAGGGAAGAAATCTGTGGTTAAATCTGTCTGAAAGGACACAGAGTATAAAGATATTTGTAAGCCATTGGAATGCTTGGCAACGAAAAATCTCAGCTAAGAAGAAATCTTAATCAGGTGAACAAGATGACTTGTTCTGTATCTGGCAGTCACTTGACCCAGCCACCTGTGATCCTGCTCAAAGGGCTCGTAAATCAAGCGTCCATGGTAGCAGAAGGGTAGGTTAATGCAATATGGATTGGAGCCACTGCTCTGTCTTCATCTTGCCAACAGCAGAGATCAACACCAAGTCCCCAACATTATCCTGTTTCCATAGGGAGGGTGTTTCAGCCCGCAATGGATGTCAGGAGGACTATACTTCCATCATGGAGGGCAGTGGTTTGTTCTCATTATTATTAGCTCTTACTCTGCATGTGAATTTCTTACCCTGAAAACTCTTCTTCTGCTAAAATTGCCATCTCTGGAATTGCAAAATATCTAATTTACCACAATGGTATCCTAGCCAACATTGTCCCTGAGAAGAATTTTTTTTTTTTTTTTAAGATGGAGTCTCACACTGTCACTCGGGCTGGAGTGCAGTGGCACGATCTCCATTCACTGCAACCTCTGCCTCCCCGGTTCAAGGAATTCTCCTACCTTGGCCTCCCAAGTAGCTGGAATTACAGGTGCCTGCCACCACACCCAACTTATATATGTGTGTGTGTGTGTGTGTGTGTGTGTGTGTGTATATATATATATTTTGTGTGTGTGTGTGTGTATTTATAGTAGAGACGGGGTTTCACTGTGATGGCCAGGCTGGTCTCAACTCCTGACCTCATGATCCGCCAGACCTTTCCAGCCATGCAGAACTGTGAGTCTATCAAAACTCTTTCCTTTATAAATTACAATTATGGCCAAAGGGGAAGTAACCACCTTCTTCACAGGGCAGCACGAGAGACAAGAGAAGAAGGGGAGACTACCACTTATAAAACCATCAGATGTTGTGAGAACTCACTTACTGTCAGAAGAACAGCATGGGAGAAATCGCCCCTGTGATCCAATAATCTTTGATCAGGTTCCTCCCTCCACATATAGGGATTACAATTCAAAATGAGATTTGGGTGGGGACACAGAGCCAAACCCTATCAGCTGGAGAGACAACCAGGATGCTTTGACCTGCAAGGATCTTAAGCAATGACTAATAGGTAATAGTGATCTTAGGGACAAAATAGATGGCAACCTAACTTGGATATTACTTGATTGGAAAAACAGAAAAGAAAGAAGGAGAACTAATGAAGTAAATGTGGAGGTCAGCCACAGCAATTGTAAATAATGACCTATGATTTTCTAAATCTAAGCCAGTTATCAGATGCAGAATGTTTTAACTGAAGGAGAGGTCAGGACTCCTAAATGTGTGTGTGTGTGTGTGTGTGTGTGTGTGTGTGTGTGTGTGTGTGTGTGTACTACACACATTATTGAAAAATTGAAACCACCCAAAAGTTGTCGGTTACCAGGTTTGAGGTGATTCTGATACCAGCAGAACCAAAACACCATACTTTCTGGTTAGAGTGAAAAGTCGTGGAAGTCAGGTGTGATGGTTAGTGTTAAGGGTCAACCTGATTGGATTGAAGGATGCAAAGTATTGTTTCTGGGTGTGCCTGTGAAAGTGTTGCCAGAGGAGATTAACATTTGAGTCAGTGGACTGGGAGAGAAAGACCCACCCTCAAGGTGGGTGGGCACCATCCAACTGGCTGCCAGCACGGCTAGAAAAAGCAGGCAGAAGAAAGTGGAATAAGCTGGCTTGCTGAGTCTTCCAGTTTTCATCTCTCTCTCATGCTGGATGCTTCCTGCCTTTGAACATCAGACTCCAGGTTCTTCAGCCTTTGAATCTCGAACTTACACTAGTGGTATGCCAGGGGCTCTCAGGCCTTCGGCCACAGACTGAAAGCTACACCGTGGGCTTCCCTATTTTTGAGGCTTTGGGACTCAGACTGAGCCACTACTGGCTTCCTTGCTCCTCAGCTTGAAGCTGACCTATCATGGGACTTCACCTTGTGATCGTGTGAGTCAATTCTCCTTAATAAACTCACTTTCATATATATGTATATGCTATTATTTCCTTCCCTCTAGAGAACCCTGACTAATACTTCAGGTGATCAATAGAGTAATGGAGTTCAGGCACACGTATATTTCTGTCACTCCAGAATGTCCATGTACTCATCCTGTGATTATTTTTCTAATCGTGTAGTTAGGATGGATAAACTTTAACTGAAATCATTTACATAAATGTTTTCATCTCATGAATTAAAATCTATTCAGTTGGGGAAGGCCAAGCAGAAGTCCCTGAAACTTTCCTCCTCCACCACCACATAAACAAATTCCATACTAGGATGAATTAAAAAGATTAACACAACCATCAAAGAATTAAAGCATTCTGTGGTGGTAGACCCTAAACATCCACATTTAGTTCCAGTCTGGTCACTATAAAAATCAACAAACTGTGCCAAAGAATGGCAAGGCATCATAAAGTTAAACAAACGGTATCTCAGTTGCAGCTGTCGAGTCCCATATGGTATTGACACTTAAATAATTTAACACCGTCTCTGGCACTGAGTATGTGGTTATTGATCAAAGTTAAGAACTGCCATTAAAAGATAACAATGAGAGAGTTAAAAAGTCAGGCTCCAGATAGATACTTGTAATAATTATAAACATCAAATTATTCATATTGAAATATTAAAAAGTGCTGTGTATCAATAAAAATTCAGGTAATATACTCAGGAAAAGGGCACAACTAATTGTGTGTGTTCTTCACAAAATAAGATATCCAACTGGCAATAAACACTGAAATATACTTAAATTATTCATTATCAAGGTTATAGAAATTAAAATCACAATGTGATACCTCACAATGTGATAACACACAACTCCATTTATCACAATGTGATAAACATGCACCCAAATTGCTAAAGTACAAAAAAGAAATACAATGGCATTGGAGGGATGTGCATCAATGGGAATTTTCATGCTTATTAATAAGGTAGAAACTGGGAGAACAGCGGTTGAAAACTGGTTGGTAGTATATACTAAAGCCATACATCTGTGAACTTTATCACTTAATCGTTTCTCTCCTAGGTCTATTCCAGAGAAAAATTTATATGAATATTTAACAAAGGACATGTAAACAAATCTTTTAGAAGTGCTGTTTATAACATCCCAAATTTGAAAACCCAAATGTGCATAAACAGTTGGCTGATTAAACTGTAATATATTCATAAACAGAATCCTATAGAGCAGAAAGAATAAATAATTTACAACTACATACAATAACATGGACAGATCTAACAAAGATAATGAGGAACAAAAGTCAACAGACATAAAGGAGTACTGGAAAGAAGTGCAGTAAAAAGTACTGAAAAAGGCAAAAGCTATGTGTGGTTTTAGGTGTCAGGATAGTGATTATTATTCATGAAGAAAGCGATGATTAGAAAACAGCTGATGATATTCTCCATCTTTTTGTGGGAATGGCTATAAGGGTGTGTACAGTCTGAAAAGATACCATTATGCAAGCATCTGATTTGTTTCCTTTGAAACCTTTATTTTACAGTTTAATAAACATTAACTTAAATGGAAAACACAGCAGTACAAATCCATTGCCTTGCTCAGGACTATGTTGATTCTTCTGTTCTCTGCCACAATGTACTCTGCAGGGTTTTTGCCTGTTGGTTATTCTGCCGAACATTACTCTGGTGCACTATACTGATGCAACTGTGCTCATTGCGACCACACTAATCAGGCAGTAGTTCTCTGGGTACCATAGCAAGATATATGCACACTAGATGGTGGGAAATAAGGCCCACAAAGGTTAAAGGACCTGCCCCTCAATCACTTTTTTGAGGCTCTAATAGTATAATTCACGGCATTGTATCTCCTCTAAGGCACAAGGCTATTTTTGGAACTTTGTGCACCATCTTACTAAAACTTGCTGGACCTCTTGGATTTCTGAACATGGTATATATGACATCTGGAATGCTATTCCATGGAATTCATCAGGTAACTCAGAAGTATTTGAGCAAGAACATCTTCTGCATCATGTCTAGCCTGAGTACAAACTGCCTTTCCACTCATGCTGGATAACCCCACAAATCTAACACTACCAAAGGTATCTGAGAAGATAAGGTCCATTTTGGAATCTCTGGCACACCAAAAAAAGGAGAGTTACAGAGACCATTTCTTAAAAACGAAAGCCAGGTCTTGACTTGACTGGAAGAGAACTCCTCAGCATTTTAAAAACAGCTGTTGATGTGGTACTTGTCCCTATTTGGGCTTGAGCCCTAATAGAGCATCAATGACTTTGCAACCAGAGCTGCCCATCTTGACCTGCTTATTCTAAGATATATTAGACAGCTTGGGCAGGAGCAGCAGAAATTTATTTATATAGGAAATAATGCATTATAGATCTAGCCTCATAAGGTTTAGAAGGCAAAAAATATTTTGAATGAGTTGGTGACTTAGATTCCTTTGTCCCCTACCTCTGCTACCTCAATGCTTCTTACTCAGTTTATATATGTAGCCTTGTAAAAAGTTCTCCATAACAACCCTGTAAAAGAGAATAATAGCCTTGTTTACAAATTCATCAGATTACCATGCTGCACTACAGTGACTGTGCATTATATTTATTTTGCTACACAATAGGCCTATCAAGGATGGCCTTCAAGGCAATAGTCAGGAGAAATCTTCCCACTGAATGGAGTAGTTAGTAGTATACTTGGTCATTCACCTCATATGGAGAGATGCCTGAAGTAAAGATATAAACAAATTCCTCAACAAGTAGCTCAGATGTTTAGTCAGGAACGTTGGAGAAGAAAGTTTAGAGAACTGGAGCGAAAGGAGTTTGGGAAGTGGAAAACTAGTATGGATATATGAGACTGGGGAAAAAGAATGGTGATCTTTGTTTCTCATTTTCATGAGGAACAGACAGCATCCATCACCAAGGAGGAATGACTAAAACAGAAGGATAGAATTCTTCTAATGCAAGTAAGCTACCTTCTCTTCCTACCCTCTCTTCTTAGCCAGACCAGTTTCTATAAAATGAGCCTGAAATAACCACTATCCATAAACTAACAAAATATCTGATTTGTCAAAAGAGATCCCACATAATATTATCTAAAATCAAGGGACACATTTTGCATTAAAAGAGATGCAACATTTGGGTCAAGACCATAGGATTCATTGGTCCTGTTAAACCATGTCAGTTTGAAGTGTCCATTTAGATGACATATTAAATTCTTGGTTAAGATGACAGCTCAGGGATAACACCCTGCAGAACACAATATATACATTATACCCCAGTGAATACAGGAGTCCTATATCCACAATAGCTAGAATGTGGGTCTGAGTACCAGTGATGTCAGTTTTGGCTCCATCACCATCAATCCTAGAGATGTATTTGTGAAATATGTTCTTCTCAAACTTGTAAGTATACACCATGGTGTGGTGGATTAGAAGTCCTAGTTCCACGGACTACAGATTTCAACTGGCCACCAATTTTATGTCTGTGTGATGGGTTAGACTTTTTGTAGGTTATAAATGTTCTGAATGGTGTAGGGTGTGGATATTGTCTGCCCTATTATAAATCCTTTTTGAACTCTGAATTCCAGCAAATACTACTCATCAAGGCAAAGGTTTAAACTGAGGGCAGCTCATCTCAGCAGCAATGTATTATCTTTCACTTTTTGCCACAGACCTTCTGTGACAGCAGTATTTGGCACATCTGTGGACAACTTAGCCATTTTGGCATAAGAATCATCTGGAAGGTAAAGATCATTCACATCTTGACCAGTTGGTAAGTGCCCTCCTCTTAGGTTCCTATAACGGGCAGTGCCCAGTTTCCCACAGAGGTTATCAACTTTATTACTTACTTGATAAGTGAATTTTTCTTTGTCTTTTTTTCTATGCAGGCTATAAGCAGTTTAATTTTTTAATTTCTGATATTCTTCCATCTTTCATTCCAACAAATAATTATTAAGATCTTAATTTCTTATATGTGAGTAAAATATGTTTGTTTCAATATGATGGTCTTGATTAGATCATCTGAAACTGCTGAGTATTAATATCTGCAACATTTTAATCAGTGGAGGTGTATTTTTGTCAAAGTCCAAGCTATTTTATTGTATTTTCATTCACTCTTGAGTACTAGAGGCCCAGCTTCTGTCTACCATTGTGTACTTGTTTGCAAACTCGCTAGATATCAGACTACTTAAAAATATTTAGCAAATAATTTAATATCATATATACCTTATTTTTCCTTCTGGTACGTGGTATAGCTAAACACATTTAGAGAGCTTGCCTGATGTCAGATTTCCAAAAAGCAGGAAGCTTGGCAAAGAGCAATGGCTACAATATACGCAGGGGAAGAAATGAGTGTGTTTCACCACAGGGTCATAGGTAGCTATACAACTAAAATTAGGTAAGTAAAGAAATTATCAGTACCAATTCATCTCTGTTAATTGTGGAACTCTGATCTGGATTCAGGCTTGCCCTTATTATATGCTTGCATGATCTTTACAACATGGTAGATACTCTTAAAGCTTCAGTTGTCAAATTCTCTACAAGAAGTAGAAAAGGAAGAAAACAGTCGTACAAGGTATTTCCAAATTACATGGGCATTCTTGTGAACTGACTCAAAATTGAAACTTATATACATATATATCTTTTCCTTTAAAAACAAATCTGCCAAAGTAAGAGGTATCTGGTGACTTTATTTAACTCTAGTTTAGATTTAATTTTAGGTAGTGATCTTCATAAATGTTTATTTATAAAAAATATAATTATGTGTAGCACCTCTATTATGGTGTAAGAATGAAAGGATGAACTGAGGAAGTAGACACTAGGATAGCTGAATGAGAAAGAGAAGCTAATTACCCACTGCTGTACCTCATGGCATGCCATGAGCCCTGAGTGCCCCTTGAATAGAAAGAATCTCTTCTTGTTACAGGGGAAAAATGACTCATGGTCTGGATATAGCCTCTCTATTCTTACTATACAAAGGAGACAATGCAATTTGGAATGCAGGGGGAAGGGTGCTATCACCATAGAAGCACACATAATTGTATACTCCTGAGAATAATGACATTCCTCATCCATTCCTTCCCTTTCTTTGTTATTGACTAGAATAGTGTCATCTTTGGCTTTTTGTGTATTCTTGTATTATGTCGTGTACAATAATAGAAAGAGACATTTAATTACTCCATTTCTAATCTTGATAGAAAAATATTTTATACAGGGATTTCTCCTTTCTTCTACCAGGTAACATGTATCAGAAAATAGGCAAAAGAAGGAAATCATTGATTTACAAACAGATGGTGTTCCAAGTGTCTATATGGTAATTGTTTAAAATGCAACAAATGTTGTCAGAGGAACTTTCTGGAAAATAGTGGTAAGGTCTAACTTGCATCATGAAAAACATGATAGAAGGAAACGAAACAAAGAAAGAAAAATAGGAAAATAAGTAGACACTACGATCACTCACTGAAAGGGAAAGAGGACCTAATAGGAGAAAGAAAGCTTTGTAACTCAATGTTCCTCAACTATTTATTGGTAGCATTTCTCATTCAGAGAAAAAAGGGAAGAAAAGGATTCGATGGGAAGAAAGAAAATTAATTATGAGCCTTCTTTGTGCCAGACAATTTAGTCAAAGTATAATGTTTAATTTCAACAATGTGCTATTAGGAATATTGATAACTTGTCCAGGGTCACTTTAAACATGTGAATAGATAAGCTGTCATACACCCAGCTCTGTCTGCTTCTAAAATTTTCACCTACTGGATTTTTTTTTTTTTAGAATGGCCCAAAATTGGATCTAGCCATATTTCCCTTACAGAATCTTAGCACCAGTTCATGGAAGAAAAGATATGAAAAGTAGACAAGCATCTCCACCTAAGCTCAGAAACACACTTTTTAAAAAAACTCCAGAAGAGACCTTTTTAAAACCAAAACATTATTATTAGAACTCAGTCCCGTGTCTGGGGATCTGGAGAGTAGAATATTGGCAAGAGGGCAGGCAAGAAGCAGAGAGAAGCCCTGTTTTTCCCTAAGGGTAGACCCCAGGTACCTGGTTAGTTTTGTATACAAAATTGAAGTTTTATAGCTATGTTGTGTGTGTGTGTGTGTGTGTGTGTGTGTGTGTGCCATTAAAATCTTTAAAAAATAAATTATTTAGTTTAGTTTACTTACAATTTATTTAGTTAAAATGTCACTGCATTAATCAGAGTAAAGAAACTCTTTTCCTTTGGATAACTTTTTTATCAACAGATAACAACTATTTAAAATTCAACATGGAGGAGGAATCTGGGTTCTGTCTGTCTTCCTAATTCAGACTTGCATTTCCACCAAGAGTGACAATTCTTTTTTAAAAGATCTATTTGATATTTATTCAATTTCACCAGGTATGGTTTGGCATTATACAAAACATCTTAATGACCAGTAGAGTAAAAAGTTCTCTAAAAATTAAAATGTGATAGCCTTGTTTCCAAGTATTTTAATTGTCATAAATTTGTTTAAAAATAAGCATTAAATGCATGTTTGACATGCTAAACTTTCTTTAATTTCAATACCACAAAATACATATAACATACAGATGTGGAAAAGTCCAGTTAGTATATAATACTCTGCACACCATTAAAAGCTTTTTATATGAAATGCACATGTACATACTGACTTAGAAATCCCAGCTTTTTAACCCAATGTAGCTCTGAAATGTTAATGTATTGCAACAAGTGAAAAATCACAGTATATAATTGAAGTTTTGGTTGAAAATGTCAGATGTCCAATATTTTGAATGGTGTACAAAATAAAGGCATTCTATCGTCACTAACAGCACCTTTCTGCATAATCAACAGGCTTTTAATTACCTCCCCTTCAAATCCTGCCCCAAATATCAAGCCATTATTTACTAAATAATTTTAATTTCAAATGAAAGGATTTTCAGTAAACCTATAAGCATTTCCATCCCCTATATACAAATTTCATTTTTTTTTTTTTTTGAGACTGAGTTTCATTCTTGTTGCCCAGGCGGTCTCGGCTCACTGCAACCTCTGCCTCCTGGGTTCAAGTGACTCTCCTGCCTCAGCCTCCCAAGTAACTGGGATTACAGGCGCCCGCCACCACACCTGGCTAATTTTTTTGTATTTTTAGTAAATACAGGGTTTCACCATGTTAGCCAGGCTGGTCTCAAACTCATGGCCTCAACTGATCCGCCTGTCTCGGCCTTCCAAATTTCTTAAAACCATTCACAATGGAGGCTAGATGGACGTTCCCATGACGGTGCTGTAGTGACCCCACAACTGGCCCTCAAGGTGATGCCTTCTCCAACACTGCCAATTGGGCCAATCCTTTAAATGTATTTTAAACAGGACAAAAAGCTGAGTGGATTTCTGGCCCCCATCTCTGTCACTACTTCTTCCAGCTGTGTAGTTGTGATTGATTATGTATCTAGTGAACACAAATTTGCATTTTTTTCATGAATGTTCATTAAAAGGCAGAGGTAGTTGCTTAAGTCACCAGGCAAGTAATATCCTCTTCCAAGCGCAGTCGCACAGCCAGCATGTGTGGTGGATCAGTGACACCCAGGATACTATTCTTATCCTTTGGCTCATGGGAGAATGAAAGGAATATATAACTCACTTTCATGAATTGGCAGATACTAAAATAAAAAAATAAAGTCAGTGTCTTCCCCGCGGAAGAAGATAGACAGCTCACTACTCTTGTAACGTGCTGAGTAGTTTTTGCTGTATTTGCTGTGGCACAAGTTCTGGGAAATAAAGAAAACTATTTATTTTAAAGAACATAATAGAGTTGTGTATGTATTTTTACAGTTATTTTTTAAAAGATATAAATGTATTTTAGTGAAAACTCAACAGCAAACCACTGTAAGAAGGAAGACTTGCCCTTCCTTTTTCATACCATAAGCATGTTACATGTGTGTGTATTTGTTTGCATGCATACAAATTATTATTTAAAATAAAAATTCTCAGTTACCTTATTGTGAGCAAAATTCTTCATTATTTTTATTAGTGGAGAATCTAAATATCTCACTGATCCAAATGCAACAATATTTTATATGCCACAATTTTGAGATGGTTCTAATAAATTATATAAGATTTGATTAGATGTTTATTGCATATACTACAATTCAAACTATTATATTAACATGATATATGCACATAACCGCTCATATTACTTCTCTTTCTTATTGTGGACATATATATATTTATATATACATAAAAACATATATATATTTATGCTCTGCCTTAATTATTTGCATATTTTGATAATTTTCGTAAATTTTCAATTAAAAATTGTATAATTAATTTATTCCAACTAGTTATTTACAAAGAATGATTTTGTCATTTTAAAAAAGGGAAAATGATAAAGGGTCCAAACAAGAACAGGTGGAGAAAGAAATGATTAACATTTGAGTGAGAACATTTTTCAGAAGTCTCATAATTTTTTAGCATAAATTAACTCGCCTTTACAATATATATTCAAGCAGGTATGAAAATAAAGAATATACATTATTTAAATAACTTCAATTATTTAATTGCCCATTTGCATTTTAATATGAATTTTGATTTCACCACCTGAGACTTTCCAGAAGGCCAGGATTTAAATATTAAAGCAATTAAGGACTGAGAAAATTGTGAAATTTTTCTCTGATCTGTTCAATAATTGTGTTTGCTGCCATCCACTGAACCCACCTTTGTCAGGCTAGAATGAAGGCACTTTCCATCGCAAAAGTAAGTGCCCTAAATTTTAAAATGTGGTCCTGTCTTAGTTTGTTTAGTTTGTTTTGTGCTGTGATAACAGAATGCCTGAGACTAGGTAATTTATATTGAAAAGAGATTTATTTCTCATACTTCTGGAGGCTAAGAAATCCAAAGTCAGGGGGCTTATATTGAGCCAGGGTCTTCTTGCTGTGTCATCTATGGCACAAGGCAGAAGGACAACAGAGCATGCCAGAGACAGAGAGAGACAGAGGCCAAGCCCATCTTCTTATCAGGAACCTATTCCCATAACAGCATTCATTCATTCACAAGGGCAGAACTATAATGTCCTAGTCATCTGTTAGAGATCCCACCTCCCACACTGTTGCATTGGGGACTGTGTTTCCAACACATGAACTTTGGGGGACACGTCCAAACCATAGCAGACCCTAAATTTAAACACAGGATAATAATAAACAGTTTCTGTGACAGTTCTCACACTGAGGGAAACAAAAACAAACAAACAAAAAACAATTAGGACTGATTCACTGCTGTTTTTCCCTTTCTTATAGTGAAAAGAAATTCAGAAGCTAAAGAAGTTCTTAGTAAATTAATTCTTAAAATGCTTAAAATGGTCTTTAATACACTTACATTGTAACCTTTGATTTGTCTGACACTATGCTCATTATCTACATTAATTTTTTTTCTTTTTTTTTTCTTTTTTTTAGACAGTGTCTCACTTTGTTTCCCAGGCTGGAGTGTGGTAGTACAATCACAGCTCACTACAGACCTCCTGGGCTCAGATAATCCTCTTGCCTCAACCTCCTGAGTATCTGGAAACACAGATGCATGTATATGGAAGCACAGAAAAAAAAATTGTATTTTTCTGTTGATAAGAGATTTTGTCATGCTGCCCAGGCTGGTCTTGACCTCCTGGGCTCAAGGGATCCTCCGACCTCAGCTTCTCAAAGTGCTGGGATTTCAAGCTTGAGCCACCATGCTCTGCTGTCTACATTAATTATCCTACCAAATGTATATTTATTTAAAATAATTGCATATGTATGTATATATGGTGTGTGAGTGAGTGATTATGTTTGTGTGTTGTGTATAAACTGGGACTAGGTTACAATCTTGTGCTCCAATAAAATAATTTTGGCTGGTATTTCCTATTTTTGTCAATTCAATCTTTGCAGTTTTTCATCTTATAATAAATGACTGCCTCTTAGTATAAATTTCATAACAGAATTCTGAAGGAATCTTAAATTCAGAAAAAAGCTTCAAAAAGTATTATAGAATTTGTAGAGTTGGACCTTTAATAAATTTGTCAAAGAATTATATTTGCTTTCTCCTTGAATATAAAGCAATTATATAGATGACACATTTTGGGGACTCATTTTATTTCACTGTGAAAGCCACTGCTTTGGTGTGAATGTTTATGTCCCCCAAATTTATATGCTGAAACCCAATTCCCAATACAATGGTTCTAAAAGGTAGACCTTTGGAAGGTGAGTAAATCTTGAGGGAGGAGTCCTCATCAATGGGATTAGTGTTTTTGTAAAAGAGGACCCAGAAAACTGCCTTGCTCCTTCCACCATGTGAGGACACAGCTAGAGGTACCTATTATGAATGAGACACTGAATCTCCTGACACTTTGGTCTTGGACTTCTCGCTTCCAAAAACTAGTTTGAAACCAAAAACTAGGACAAAAAAAGTGATTGTTTTAGAGTTAAATATGTCAGCACATATTTCCCCACTAATTTTCCCAGGTGTTAGCATCAATGTGATTAATTACACTAAACTTCTATAACGTGGCTATCACATTCCAGAAAGTGTACTCACGACTAAGCACTCAAAGATGAGTAAGTCATAACACTCTTCCTAAAGAAGCCTAAAGTGTAATAGAGACACATATAAATAAATAAATAAATAAATAAATAAATAAATAAATAAATAAAGTCATTTTAGGGCAGGATTTCCCAACCTCAGCACTATTGAAATTCGCGACCAAATAATGCTTTGTTGTAGGGTCTGCCCTGTGCACTGCAGGATGTTTAGCTGCATCCCCAGCATCTATCCATTGAATCCTAATATCTACACACATCCCCTCTAAATGATCAGAAGCAAAGATTTCTTCAAACTTTAGCAAATGTCCCCTAGTGGCAAATCACCCCCAGGTGAGAACCTTTGCTCTAGTTTAATAAATGCAAAACCAAAAGTGTTAGGAAATAAAAATTTAACTAGATTATGAAAGGGTTAATTCTGGTGTGCATGGGGAGTGCAGGAAAGGAGAGGTCAGAGTCATATTCACAGGCCACTTTTTCTGAACAGCCTCCTGAACTATAACTAGGATAGTGCACAAGTCAGCCAGGAGGAGGTGAGACCATTACAGGGAAGGAGACAACTTCTGTAAAACATGAAGACCTGAAGGATCACGGGGATTCTTGATTCATCATTCCACACTGAATGGGGGAGGTTCAGAAAAGAAAGCAGTTTGTTATGTAGGTGCTAGATCGTAGCAGACACTGAAGCCTTTCCAAGAAACTGACAAACAAAACCATGTTTGTGATGGGGAAAGAGTGATCATTTTCGCAGGCAAGTAATTTGATCAGATTTCAGGTTGAGAAATGCAAATTGGTTGCAGTGTGAAGAAAAAAAAACTGAAGGGAGACAGTTATATACAAGTTAAGGACTTGACTGCATGTAGGCAAAAATACAGAGAAGAAGGAAGAGGAGTATCTGCCATTGAGTATAACTGGGAAAATATATTAAACTGAATTTTTGGTTCATAATGAACATAATTATATTTATATTTATTTAAAATAATTGCCTACTATGTATATTTAATGTGTGAGCATGTGTGTTTGTGTTTATAAACTGGTTCTAGGTTCCAGTATTTTCTTTTTTTAATTTGTGGGTATCAATCTTGCAACAGTCTAATAAAATAATGACTTTGGCTGATGTTTTCCACTTTTTTTGTCAATTCAATCTTTACAGTTTTTCATTGCTTACAATAAATAACTACTTCTTAGTATAAGTTTTGTAAAAAGAAATATTAAATTGAAAATGGCCTAAAGATATTTAGACTGAGCCATATAGCAAACAGTTTGTTTCAGTGCTTGGGCGCATATCACCATTGGATGCCTTTACATTTTTAACACATTGACTCCCAACAGTCAACACCTGTCTCCTTCTAGAAGCCTTCCCTCAAGTTGTGATATCCTGCCTGCTGGCACTCATGGGTGGGGACATTGCCTGGGAACTTACATTTGCTTCTGAGGCAGCACTCAAAAGGGACATGAGGAGAAATGCTCCAGATCTTCTCCTCCTGAGCAGGGCAACTCTGATGTGGCCTGTGCTAGCCCTGGAGCTTCCCTGCAGGATCGAGCCAAAGTTACTCCTTATCATATTTTGCTTGATATGTCACCTTTTCTTAGCCTCCATCCCTTCCTAGTACTTGCTTTCTCTAAACACACGACTAGTGTTTCCAGAAGTCAGTTGCTAATATGTCAACACAAATCCTTGTTTCAAGACCTGCTTTTGGCAAACCCAACCTTTCAGTTTGTTTGTTTGTTTCAGTTACCAGTGGAATACTGCAGATGACTAATCATCATCAGGATATCTGGAGATGAATACAAAAAAATAATCTGGTTGAAGTTTTAGGTTATGTGGATCTCAAGGAAATAATCGTCATTTTTAACTGTTTTTATCTCTTATCCTATGTAACACTATTCATTCATGTTTGCTCAAGCCTCTCAACATTTGGATTCAATACCTTTCAAATAAAAGAAATATGAACACGGATTTGTTAATGTATAAGCTGACCTATATGAAAACAGGTGGGTAGCAAAATTAGCATCCTGTCCTATTTCCAGTATACTTTTTAAAATTATGACCTCTTTCGCATTTGTCATTTGAGCTGGAGTTTTTTCTCATTAACCCTGACATTTACTCATTCATTTGCTTGTTCTCTTATTCATTTATTTATTCTTGCATTCATTGATAATCGATGTTGTTATTAAGTGCCGGGCTCTGTGCTAGTCATTAGGAAACAATCATGCATTAAAGAGTTCCTCTTCTATACACAAAGTGACACTAATGTGTAATATCTTAGAGGCATATGCTCCTATCAATTAATAAAAGATAAACAATTTGCTATATTCTGTCATGGAATATTAAGATATTACACATCATAGTCATTTTAAAAAGTAAAAGCATAACTAAAGATAAATTAGGCAATCCTACCTTACACATACAAAAAATTTCAGAAAAAGTAAATGCTAAAAGGAAGAAATTGGTCAGTTAAAATCAGAGTGGTTTTGCATAAACAGGCTGCAGGACAGACACTGAATGTCTCTTATGCTTTAGCGAAAGCATGATGGGAATGTGCAGTTAGGGGCTACCTGAGATTTTTCCTGATGTAACTTCAAGAGTCTTAATAAGAACTATGATCCCCACTATGCGGTGTGCTCACCCTAGCTGAATCTCCAATGCTGCCCAGAACTGTAATTTTTATGATAAACCTCCTATTAAGTGTTCATTTAATTGAATAACTGCATTTAATTAATCAAAATACTGTTCATAGGCAATGAAATACATTATCCCCACATTACACATGAAGTAATATTCAAATAGCCTCAGGAGGTTAGCACATAATAAATTCTTAGTAATATCTTCTATCTATAGCACTGTTTTTCTAAAAGTTATCTTTGCCTGAGTAAAGTATTAAGGAAATAATAGATGTGCTTTTCCCTATTTAAGACCTTGTGTGAGGGTGATGGGTGTAGGGTCATCCTCTGTGTATGAAAACAACCTAGGAGCTAGGAGTCAAAAGCACAGGTTTAGGGGTAGCTCAGATACTCCCTGCCATATCTTTCCTTTGTATAGTTTTTAAAAATGTATTTAACTTCTAATATATTTCATTTTATTACTTGAATTAGGAGAAACAGTGCTGTAGCTTAGAATAGAGCTTCATAGTGTTTAAGGTGTTTCCATTATGGCATGAGCATATTAGAGACAGTTCTCTGTTTACCTTGCAAGGATGATTCAAGGTCAAAAAGTACTTAGAACACATAAAAAAGTTCGTGTGTGTGTGTGTGTGTGTGTGTGTATGTATTTAAATTAATCATAATACTAATATGTATGACTTGTCAGATTCATGGGGAATTCCTCCAATCACATAAAATTGATTTCTAATTAATGAAAACCAGAAACAAAGTAGAATTGATTAATAAAAACTGCATAGGACAGTGATGAAAAAAACATTTTTAGTAGCTCTTATCAAATATCTTGGTGTCTATGGACGTTCTGTTTTTTACAAGTTGTTGCTATAGTCTAGCTGCAGATAACTGCCAAACATTGATTTCCAAACTTCTGTTTCAGCTGAATAAATATCAATAAATCGCTAAAGGTAAAAAAAAAATTCTTTGTTCCTGATGTTGTAACATCCTACATTTCTTGCTATCTTAAAGTACTCTAACCATAAAGGAACATCACTGGAGGTAAACACTGTGAACAGATATATCTGGTGGTTGTTTTGTAAATGAATTTCTTTCTTAATTCTTTCTTTTGAAATGGTTTGACCTCATATTTATATTTTGAAACTTCATGGGTTTTTAATTTTATAGCTATGTAGTAGGATAATACAGAGTGGAGGATGGCATTTATGAATTTCACTTTTTTATTGTATGGTAGCAACCTTTCCAAACATTCTCAAACAAAAGCAATCCATGATTCAAAGACTAGCTGAGAAACATAATATAGGTTGACAGAAACAGAGCATGCACCCAAATAATGCAAGTTTGCATAAAGAGGATAGACCTCCTAGGTAGGAAGAAAACAACTCTGTTTCTACAAACAACACATATAATTCTTGTTTTGACAGCTGGCTTAAAAATCCCTCACTGTAGAAGAAGAAATTTCTCCATTAACACTGAAACAGTTTTCACTGATTAGTTGTAGGGGAGATTAAATAATTTTTCTCTTGGAACATCACATACTAAAAGATTATTCACCAAAAAGACATATAGCAATGACAATATTCACTATATTATATAATATTTTCCTATGTTACTATTTTTATTCTAATTTTGTATTCAAATTTGTGTTTTAAAAAAGATTCCACCATTCTTAAAATATAAATTATGAAAACTTTCTACATTCATGATATTTTATATCCTTAACAAAGTAATCTACCTGCTAGTTGCAAAGGGATGGAATATATACTATATACAATATAATATATAGACCTATAACAATGTAAGTGGCTCAGAAGACCCACAATAACTTTATTGTAAATAAACTTGAGAGCTAGTTTACAAAAGTGGACATTGGGAGACAATAAAATATAGCATTGTTCAACTCAATAATATCTCAGTCTCTACCACTTCTCTGAATGTTATGTATTATCAAGACAGCATTAAGACAAATACTAATTTACTTTATAAAATATCAATATCCTATTAATTTCAATGAACTCAAAATGACAAAAAAGTAATTGCTTCAGAAATTTAGCAAGATAATTAGATTAGTCTACTTATCAAATAAGAAAGTTCTCAAACATCTTTCATACAAAATTCCACAGGCTGCCTCTAAAGGGTTTATCACACCTTGATATATGTTCAAAGTTTCAAATATTCCTTCATAGCCTTCTATTGGAACAGATTTCCCCACTTCCTTGACCTGAAATTTACATTACAACAATAATTCTTCTGGCTAGCTTCTAAAAACACAACCATTTTCTCCAAAAGACAAAAATTAAAATAAAAATGTTCACCGTATTAGGTAGAAATGGCTATTTTAAAAGTTTACTTGTTAGTTTTCAACAGTGCCCTTTCAGCAGTGGACAGGTATTCCAGAGAGATAATCAAGAAAGAAACATCAGACTTAATCCTGCAGTCTAGACCAAACAAACCTAATAAATATTTATAGGATATTTCACCCAATGACGGCAAAATACACATTCTTTTCCTCAGCACATGGATCATTCTTAGCAGTAGACCATATGTTAGGTCAAAAAACAAGGCTTAAAACATTCGAAATGTTGAAGTAATATCAAGCATCTTCTCTGACCACAACAGATAAAACTAGAAATCAATAAAAATACGAATTTTGGAAACTACATGAACACATGGAAATTAAACAATACGCTCCTGAATGACCAGTTGGTCAATAAAAAATTAAAAAGGAAATTGAAAAATTTCTTGAAACAAACTATAATGGAAATAAAACATACCAAACTTGAGGGATACAGCAAAAGCAGTACTAAAAGGGAAGTTCATAGCTATAACTACCAACCTTAAAAAAGAGGAAAAACTTCAAATAGACATCTTAAAGAACTAGAAAAGAAAGAACAAATGAAACCCAAAATTAGTAGAAGAAAAGAAATAATAAAGATCAGAGCAGAAATAAATGAAATTGAAATTTTTTTAAAAATACAAAAGATCAATGAGATAAAAAGTTGGTTATTTGAAGTTAAAAAACAAAAAGAAAGAAAGAAAGTTGGCAAACATTTAGCCTGATTAACAAAAAAAGAGGGGAAAACACCCTCCCCCCTGCCCAACCCTCGCTCTCACGGACTAACCTTAACAGCCTCCGAAAGCCATCCTTCCACTCTCTATCTCCATAAGTTCAAATGTTTTGATGTTTAGATCTCGGGAATAGGTGAGAACATATGTTTGTCTCTCTGTGCCTGGCTTATTTCACTTAACATAATGACACCCAGGTTCATACACAATGTTGCACATGACAAGATTCTATTTTCTTTTTCATGGCTAATAGTCCTCTATTGTGTATATGTATGACATTTTCTTTATTCACTGCAGGCTTGAATCCCTAGGCTCAAGTGATTCTCCTGCCTCAGCCTCACAAGTAGGTACAACTATAGGCCCACAGCACCAGACCCAACTAATTTTTTTTTGTGTGTGTAGAGATGGGTCCTCATCAAATGGCCTATGCTGGTTCAAACACCTGGCCTCAAGCAATCCTCCCACCTCAGCCTCCCAAAGCGCTGGGATTACAGGAATGAGCCACCAACACCTAGCCATCAATTGATTTTTGACAAAGACGCCAAAAATACATCATAGGAAAAGGACAGTCTCTTCAATATACGGCATTGGCAAAACTGGATATACACATACAGAAAAATAGAATTAGGTCCTTAGCTTACACCCTATACAAAAATAAGCTCAAATATTATTGGGAATTGTATATGTGTCATTTCTTTCATGCTGTTTTCAAGATACCCTTTTTGTGACTTTTTAGAATTTGAGTACGGTGTGTCTAGGCATTAATCTCTTTGAGATCATCACACTTGGAGTTCTTTGAATTTCTCAAATGTTTATATTAAAGTTTTCATCACACTTGGGAAATTTTTGGCTATTTGTTCTTCTAATACTCTTTCTTCCCCTTTTTCTTTCCACTCTTTTTCTGGGGTTTCAGTTATGCATATGCTGATACCCTTGATGGTATCTCACAAGCCCCTAAGGCTCTATCCATTTTTCTTAATTATTTTTTCTTTCTGTTTCTGAGACTAAATAATATCAAATGACCTAACTTCAGATTTGCTATTTTTTTATGCCTCAAATTTGCTGTTGTGTTCCTCTTGTAAAATTTTCATTTCAGTTATTTTACTTTCTAATGTCTGTGGTTCTTTATATACATATATAATGACATCCAGGTTCATACATGTTGCACATGACAGGATCATGTGAAATAACATATGTGTGTGTGTGTGTGTATATATATATATAACCACAGGAACTTATATATATATGTGTGTGTATATATACATATATACATATATATAGTATACTATATATATAAAGAACCACAGAAATGAAATAAAATGAAAATATACTTTCTATAGCTTTATTGGTAATCTTTATATATACATATATATACCCATACACACACACTTTCTATATCTTTATTGATAATTTTTATCTGGTAAGACAATAAGGTCATAATTTGCTTTAACTATTTAGATACAGTATCCTACAGTTTTTTGAAAATATTTATAATAGCTGATTTGAAGTCTGGCCAATACCTGAGCTCTCTCAGGGACAATTTTTCTTGACATTTTTCATAGGTTCATAGGTGTTACACTGTTCCATTGGTGGGCAAGTCTACGGAAACCTACTCCTGAAGGTCCAAGGAAGCGGAGAGGCTGAAAAAAGAAGCTGTCATATCCATTTGCTCAGAAAGAAACATTTAATAAGGAATTCCGACTACAAGCGGCATCTGTGTCTTTGGCAGCCGCAAGACAAGACAGTGATCCCCTCACCATTACCCTCCAGACCCAGGGCTTATATAACCATAGGAAAGGGAATACATGACTCAGAAGAAATGTGTGGGACAATTGAAGAGCGATTATATCTAGGTCGTTTGGACCTAATGATTTATGGTAAGTATGGACTTTTACACAAGGAACAATAGATAAACTGGAAATCACAAGCCTTCCCGCAACTGTAGTTAATCACAAGTCAACATGGTGGATTAGTGTCTCAGAGGGAGTTGCTTCAGTCTCCACACACACTTTCTATTTCTGTGTATGCTTAATGATATATTAGTGAAAATTTGATTTTTAAATTAAGTATTGAAAATGGATAATATAATGTCCAACTCTGAAAATTATATTTCCTCTCAGGGCTTTAAATCAAGGACTTAAAATGGATAATATAATGTTCAACTCTGAAAACTATATTTCCTCTCCTTTCAGGGCTAATTTTTATTGTTTATTTGCTGTTGTTGCTGCTATTTATTCATTCATTGACTTGTCTGGACTAATGAGTGAAATCTGTATTTTCTATAATATTAGCCAAATGATATCTCTTTTTAGTTAGATTAGTGCTCAGTTAATTATTGGTCAGTGATTTCATTAAATGCCTTGAATCACTGTTCTTTTACTCTTTGCCAAGAAGCTCTGGGTGAAGGTTGAAATAATTTTCAATAGTTGGCAGTTGACAACATTTCATGTTCTTGCCTTAGCCTTCCCTTAATAGTTAAAACAGGTCCCAATTGTTAGCTAAGGGTGACAGATGGGACTCACTCATCTCTCCTGGACATTCAACTAGCCCTACATGCACACTTCATTTTCTAGATCCCAAGTAGTATGTGAATATACACGTGTTTTTCAAAAGTCCTAATATACATCTTGCTCCCAATATCTTCCTTTTCTAAGACTGGCCAAGTGCTTTACCCCAACTGGTATCCTGCCCTCAGGCAGCCATAAAGTTGGATTACTGTTACTGATTGTTTTTGAAAAATGCCCTGAAGATAGGACTTTCTCTCCAGAGTGAGCTCTAAGCTGGTCAATAACAGTTGTAATTGGGTTTTTTCAGGGAACTGCAAGACAGGTCAAATAGTGACAAGGCTGTAGTTATTGGATTTTTTTTGAGAAGCTTGAAACTGGGTCTGACCCTCAATGGCTGCTAAGTCGGTACATTTGCAGCTTATATGTTTTCCAGGCTGCTGGTTTTCAACGTTTCCGTGGATCTAGAGAGAGGGTGATATGAAGTAGGAGGATGTGACTTGGTAAAAATCCACACAAATCTTCCATACTGAGGTTCAGTAGTTTTCCTTAAACTTCTCTCAAATAGTTGCAAGGTTTTGGTTAATTTCTAGGGCTCCAAAAATATTAATTTTGACAATTTTACCATTTTTTAATGGGGAACAGATTTATGGAGGTTCTCACTCTGTAATCTCAGAGGTACCACCCTAGCCACTTATTTTAAACCATATCAAAAAGGCCAATAATATTTCCAGGATGCTTATTTCAATATTAAGCAATTTAAAATTACTTCTCACTGTCCTCCTTTCTAGTTGTGGTTTCAGCCTTTGAACCACAAGACATTTTATACGTACACTGACTTTCTAAACTAAAACCTCATTTGCCAGCACTCTGTTTCATATGAAGCATGGTTTCATATTAAGAGGAAAGACCATGTTTCTTACCAAAAGTCATTTAACTTCCTCTTGGGGGTAGGGAGGTATGCCAATTATCCTTTTACCTCCCTAAAATTAAACAAAATAATATTATTGTATTAGAGTATAAAAATGTATGGGAAAGATAGGAGTACTTGATAGCACTAAATATTGTAATATGCATTTAAATTCAATCATTTAAAGTAAAAGTCTAAGTGTTGTAACTGAAGAGTGAGAAGATCTTATTTTTCTCTCCATACCAAGGCATTTTTTTTCCAATTTATAAATTAAATACTTTATAGAAAATATATCACTAAGACATTCAATGGATTGTTTAGAAGTATAATGACACATTATTATTCAGGAAACTAACTACATGTTTGAAATTGCTTTGAAAATTGTTGCTTTCTGCCTGCTTATGACAATAAATTGGTTGCTTTTGGAAACTGACAACCAGTACAAGACCAGTTAAGAGAGTAAATATTTTGTCGTAAGGACAATTGAGTCCTGAGGCCACTCAAATTATTTTCATGCCTTGCTTTGATTTCCATGCTTGAACACTGGAGATCTTTTATGTTTTTTTCTTCACGTGCTTATTTATACTTAGGAATCTGCGTGCAATAAATATATACATGTTAAATCTCGTCAGTGTATGAGTTCTATACCATTGTGTAGGAATAAACATGATTTTGTTACTAAAAGTCTTTTGACCCCTGTTAAAACAAACAAAACGAACATAACCATCAAAAAAACCTTTTACAAAGTCCACAAATAACATAAATAAAGACAAACAAACAAACCAAAACAAGAAAGCCCTGAAATTATACTTCTTGGAGGAAATTGGAAAATACCCCCAAGATACGGTAGGGAAGAATCAAAACAATACTACATAGCGTCATATAATAAATATTTACTTTGACATAAGACACAACAAATTTCATGTGTTTTCAATGATGTGTCCTCATATAATTTCCAGTCATTCATAATTACAATAATTTCTCTAAATTCATATGATTTATCAGTCTGGTCTTCTGCAGCCATGCCCATACAAAATACTATGTAAGAGCTCTCAAACTGAATCTGGATTTGCTTAGTATTCAATGGCCTTAATGGAAAGGTGTATTACTGCTGTTAACACTGCCTAATAACTTGAATTTTATTAGGCTCTGTTGGTCTTAGAGTCTCTTATATATTTTTCTTGTGTGGGTGTTGTATCTGACCTTAAAAATATGGCTTATCTTCAGTTGTCTGCCACCTACATCTAAGTTTCAATTTTGATGGTTCTTAAATGCAATGATTCTCAAATGGTGTTCCAAAGAGCCCTAAGCTTCCATTAAAATACCTTATAAACTATCACATAATGGGTGACTGATAACAGTATAGACCTCTGTGTCAATCAGAACATTTACTTTTAATCTTATATCCTGTCTCAAGTTTCATTTGAAAATAAAGAAAACAGAAGGAAAAAAAGAAAAAGCAAAGAAAAAAAAGGGAAAGAAATAGTTGAGGAATTCCATATAAAAGCAGAATTCTGAATAAAATACAAAGCTCTCACCAACATGCAATACTAATTTATTTGCCTCAATGATACCTTGCTATCCTTACCTAAGGCTCTGAAATAAGCATTTTTCCTATTTCTTTTACATCAACAGATGAATATATTGTGCTCAGAGAAAAGACACTAGGAAGGTAATAGCAGAAAACAATAATCCCCTTTGTTATGGTTTTTGCCTATTCTCACATTTCAGATTTTCCTCTAAGACCAAGAACAAAAACATGGAAAATGTTAATACTTTTAAGTGCTTCCAACTTACATTCACACCAAAAGTCCTTAATGAGTTCTTGGCACCACATATACATTTTAGAATCATTTTATGATGGCCTAGTGTAATTTAATTATGTACAACAAATTTGTTCAGCAAGGACAACAAGGAAATATTTTAATGCTTTTTATTGCAATGTCAACTCATTTTTGTACACTCTGTCTACAGTTCTTTCGTCAGAGCTGGCTTGGAAATTCATCATATAAAGTACTACAGAAAAATATCTTACCAGAGTCAGTACACTGTCTTTTACATTCATCCAAAATCGCTTCTCCATTTGCCTATCTAAACTGTTATACTCTCTGTCTTAATTTACTTGGGAGTTTTCCAATGTCTTGACATTGTAGTTTGGCTTTTTGAATTGTCTTCTTCCCTTCCTGCTTGTTTTGGTGACTTATTCATAGCCTCTTCTCTGCATCACAAAATTCTGCCATCCTATTCAGTTAACACTCTTCTCAGATATTTTGATTTTTATATGATTTTCTAGTCCAACGAAGAAGACTCAATTAGTCTCTGTACTATGAGATCCTATGAATTAAAATATTCTTATTTGTGTCTCAGCTGAGAAAACAAATGATGGAGGAGGCAGGTGCCATTAACAATTACAAATCCGAAGGACAGCACTTTTTGATCGACTCCTAGTGCCTGGACCCATGTACTGTATAGCAATTAAGTAATTAATGACTTACCTTCAAGTTCTGCAAGAGCCGTGGTTACTATTCTTGGTGCAAGTAACACTAGGTGTTCACTGGTCTTGACAGTTTTTCTATTGCAAGAAGCATATACACCATCAATTTGTATCACAGGAACCATAATTCAAGGATAACTTCAGTGTGATTACAGGGGAAATATAATGATGAGTTTTCCTATTTTAACAACTATAAAAAAATTATATTTTAGTTGAGGGTTCCTTGACTTCCTATAGAATACATCTGACAGATCTGTCAATTAAGTTTGAATCAAATTTGGAAATTGTTCATTCTGTCAAAAGTCAGAGGCAGTGGCAAGATATGCATTTTTGTTCTCATTTCCAGTGAAACAAGTTTATTAGAATAAAGTTTAAAAGTAAGCTTGATTTAGGAAAGAAGAAGAAAGACGAAGAAGGAGGAGGAGGGGAGAAAAAGGAAGAGGAGGAGGAGGAGGAGGAGAAGGAGGAGGAGGAGATATCCCTAAAAGAGGCTGTTCAGGATAGACTAATAAATTTCAAAATATGTAGAAAGCAGAAAATTTTGACCTAAAATCAAGAAAATAAAATAGGTCTATAGATGGTTATTCATTGATTATGTAGATAATAAAATTTGTAAAAATGTAGTTTAAAATAACTACTATAAATATAAAATTTAGACAATATGGTTACTACTACAATAGCTGAAGAGATAATATATTTCAGAAGAAATTTGAAAACAAAACAACAAAATAGAATTATAGAACTGAAATACAAAAATGCCAAATTTAAAAATTAAATAAATCGATCAAAGGAAAAATGAATACTGTACAAAAATTTAATAAATCTGAAGACAGGTTAATAGAAAATATGAACTATAAAAATGAAAGACTGAAAAAAGAAGCATAATATTATGGACTGTGAGATAATATTAAGTCATCTCCCACATGGGTGATTGAAGTTCCAAAAGATCAGGTGAAAAAAAAAATGGGAAAATGATATAGATGTGATGATGAAAATAGTTGAATTATTCTGAATTGCATTTTTACATGAAATCATGAATCTAAGAAACCATGAAACCCAAAAATACGGGGGAAAATTATCTAAAATAGAGAAAGAATACATAACAATATTGTCATCTTAAAGTTATATATCTAGCAAAATATCCTTTAAAATTGAAGACACAAAAATTCATATAAATGAATGTCAAGAGAATTTATTGTTTATAGAGATGAACTACCAGAATATTAAATAAAGTTCTTTAGGATAAAGGGAAATGATACCAAAAGGATGATTCATTATACTTTAAACATCATAGATTAATAGGAATGTTAAATGTGTTAGTAAATGCAAAAGACTATGTCTTAAAATTTATTTAAGTTATAGTCCTATAAAGCAAAAATAATATTTAGTAAGACAAAAACTTTATAAATTAATATTTGACAATAATAATACAAAAACTTGAGGGAGTGTAAAAAAATTTGTACTATTATAGATTTCTTACACTAGAAGTGAAGTGTACTGTAACTTTTTCCTAATATATAATGTAATCCATAAATAATTTTTTTAAATACTTTAAAAATTTTATATAGAGACACAGTCTCACAATATTGCTCAGGCTGGTCTCAAACTCCTGAGCTCTAGTAGTCCTCTTGCCTTGGCCTCCCAAAGTGCTAGGGTTACAGGAATGAGCCATAGTGCCCAGCCATCCATAAGTAATTTGTTGAATGTAAAATTAAAAACAACAACAACAACAACAAAAAACCACATAGCTAAAAGTCCAATAAGGCAGAAATACGTTAATAACTAAAACAACTAAATTATTGATTAACCAACATAAATTTCCAAAGACACAAAAATATAACTCATTAAGTCGAAATAAACCCTGCCCTTGATTTTAAAGCAGAAATTGTCAAATTAGAGGAAAAGAAAGAATACTGTTGTTTAATATAGGCACAATTTTTAAATAAATTAAAAAATTTAAAATTTGAAACACAATTCTACATTTTTTAAAATAGACACAATTTAAAAATAAAGACAGATAGAAAAAAATGCCGTAGAAATATATTACATGCAAATGAAAGTCATAATAAAGCATCCCTAATATCATGCAAAGTAGATTTCAAGATGGGGAGTATTAACCAACAACAACAACAACAAAAGGAACATTTTTTAATGGAAAGAGATCCATTCACGAAGAATACCACAATTTAATATGT
This sequence comes from Homo sapiens, assembly GCF_000001405.40. Lineage (NCBI taxonomy): Eukaryota > Metazoa > Chordata > Mammalia > Primates > Hominidae > Homo > Homo sapiens. The sequence continues at coordinate 66,155,605 of NC_000018.10, forward strand.
GAATGCCTATAAGAGACTTTCAAATTTAATAAAAGAAAAACCTGAGCCGAATTAAATTTAAAAGCCTTTAATTGTGGCTCACACCTGTAATGCCAGCACTTTGAGAGGGCGAGGCAGGCGGATCACCTGAGGTCAGGAGTTGGACAGCAGTCTGGCCAACATGGTAAAACCCCGTCTCTACTGAAAAAAACAAAAATTAGCCGGGCGTGGTGGCGCGCTTCTGTAATCCCAGCTACTCGAGAGACTGAGACAGGAAAATCTCTTCGCTTGAACAGGGAGGTGGAGGTTGCAGTGAGCCGAGATCGTACCACTGCAACCCAGCCTGGGTGACAGAGCGAGACTCCGTCAAATAAAAAAAACAAAAACAAAAACAAAAAAAAACCTTTAATTGAGCAATGAACGATTTGTGAATCGGACAGCCTCAAAAAGGAAAGCAAGATACAGAAAGTGAAGTGAGATATAAAAACAGCGGGATTGATTGCAGGTTGGCGCTTGCTACATTTAATTGGCCAAAACCCGTGATTGATTTCTCTGTACATTTTGAACTATAACAAGTGAAGATGTAAACAGGCCATAGTCTCCTACTACTAGCCTACTATAGGCTATGGTCTATTTACAACTCTACTTGTTATAGTTCAAAATGTACACAGAAACCTTTAGGCTAAACTTAAAATATGTAATGAGGCAGCTTTAAGCTAAACTTGATTTAACAAAATAAATGGAGCACAATTAGATAGAATTAAGAACTCAATACACAAAGCTAGAAGGTTTCAACGTTCTTCTCCAAATAATTGATAGGACAAAATAGAAAATTTAAGAATGGAGGATATTAGAAAAAGCTATCAATTAAATAAACCTAATTATCATGCCTAGAAGACTAAAACCAAACTGCAGTGTACACATATTTTCTTTAGCACACATAAAGCATTCACCAAAAATATGAAAATATCTTATTAAATTTCAAAGTATGGTCATTTTTATTTAAGATATGTGTGGAAAGTAATTGGCAAAAATATAATTAGAAAACTCCCCTATATTTGGAAATAAAGCAACCCATTTCAAAATAGCACAATAATTAACGTAGAGGACATTAAAAAATAGGAAATATTTCAAACTGAATAATAATGAAATATGGCATACAAAAACTTCTGAGATGCAGTTTAAACCATACAGCAATGTTTACACCTTTACAAATTATATTTAAAAAGAAGAAATATGTAAAATGAATAATCTAAATTTTCACCTTTAAGAATAAAGAAAAATGTTGAGTATATTAATCCCAATGTATGTAGAAGAAAGTGCATAAGAACAATAGCACAAACAATTAAGAAAAATGATCAACCTATAGGTAAACTAGTCCAAGAAAAGAAGAGAGAAAAAACAAATTACAAATATCATAAATGAAATCACTGAAAAACTTCTATAAAAGCTTAATAAAGAGTAGCAACTTCATGCTAGTGACTCAGACAACCTGGCTGATAAGTCACTTGTTTAGCAAAAACATAACTCAAAATGGGTCAAGAAGAAACTGAAAATCAAAATAATGAACTGTATATTTAGAAAAAAAGTAATTTGTAACCTGAAACTTTCTCACAAGTAAAACCCAATGCCCACATGACTTAAATGATAAATTGTAGTGCACATTTATGAAAAGGAAAAAAATATATATATATACTCTTTCTGGAAAAAAAGAAAAATATTTCTTAATTCATTTTTGTTGCCAAAATAAACATTATTTAAGATTATTACAATTTTTTTATTTAAGCAATTATTTTTAAAAATTGCAGGGGCATTACAAGATTTAAAAAATTACAGCCAATAACTCCTGAACTAAGAAGGCAAACTCATCTCTACACAAATCAAGACCAAATGAATCTTACCACAACAATGCAAAACAACTGTCTACATAAATCACCATACAGAATATACTGTAATCACAAACATATCTGATTACAAACAGAAGAGGCCTTTAACAAAACCAATACCTATTTATGATTTGAAAAAAAAACTCTCAATAACTTAGGAATAGAACCAATCAACCTCAATTTGATCAAAAAAATCCATGAAGAAACCTACAATGAATCATAATAAATGGTTAAAGTTTAGTACATATTCCATTAGATCAGGGTAAGATAAAGGTAGCTTAGTTTCCCACTTCTATTTACTATTAGCTTCATGATTCTATCCCATAAAATAAATTGGAAATAAGACATAAAAGGCACAAAAGTAGAATTGATATTGCCATTATTCATGGAAAACTTAATTTTGTATGCACAGAAACCTAAGTAAAGAACAAAACTCTACTATAAGTGATAAGTGATTCAGCAAGGTATGGGACACAAAATCGATATAGCAACTTGTTTTTTTTTTATTTACTAGCAACAGAAATATAGAAAATTAAATTCAAAACAATGCCTTTTGGACTAATGCCAAAATTGTAATCTTAGAGATACAATTATCAGTGACATGCAAGGCCATTTTCTTGAAAATACAAATGTTGTAAACTGTAATTTAAAATGATCTAAATCAGAAGCTGGCAAACTATGGCCTGCAGAGCAATCTGGCCTATTGCCTGTTTAAGTGTGGTCCACAAGCAAAGCACATTTTTTTTTTTTAAATTTTAAGGAGATATCTACACATCTCCATCTAATGGTCTATCTGCCTATGACAGAAAAAAATACGTGACACACAATACTTAAATATTTTATTTCTGATTTTTAGAGAAAAAGCCTGTCATTCCCTGGTTTAAACAGAGATATATACCATACTTATGGGTTGTATGACTACATTCTTAAACTATTATTTGTCTTTAATTTGATCTCTGTATTACTGCAATCTGTATCAGACTCCCAGATTTTTTGTTTGCTTTTGTAAAGACTAACCATTTTATCCTTAGACATATATGGAGCTGTAAAAGATCTATCATATCCAAAACAAATATCTAAAAAAAGAACAAATGCGGAGAAAATTTTTAGGGCATTAAAATATTCTAATTTTTTGTAGTTGGTTAAATAAGTGTATTCACTTGTCAAAGCTCATCAAACTATATAGGTAAGGTCTATGCTTTGTAGTTTGTAAACATTGCCTCTGTTAATGACAGAAAAAGAGAGAGAGAGTAAAAGAAACAGAGAAGTCACAAAAGAATGTCGAAGACGGTGCAATCCCAATACCATCTTCTAGGGCTGAGAAGAATAATGTGTGTCTCCGTGGAAAGAGGTCTTGAAATCAGATCCTATCCATCCTTCCACTATGTTCTTCTTGTTCAAAGTGTTGTTAGCTATTCTAGATCCTTTGCATTTCTGTATGACTTTTAGAATCAGCTTGTCTACTGCTATAGTAAAGTCTGCAGGGATTTTGACTACAATCAACTGGATGTAGAGATTCAATTGGAGAGAAGAGGCATCTTAAAAATATTGAGTGATCCATGAAGAGAGTATATCTCCTCACTTATTTAGATATTCTTTATCTAACATTATTTCTGTAATGTTTTATAGCTTTAAGTGCATAGGTATTACAGATTTTAAAAATTTATCCTTAGATATAATGATATTTAGATATTTAGATACCTTAGATATTTAAATATTATGTATTTTTCTCACTTTTCTTATTCTTTATTACTAAGATATAAACATGCATCTATTTTTCTACATTGCGTATTCAGTAATATTGCTAAACTAACTTGATAGTTATAATATTTTATACATTCTATAGATTTTTACATTTTTAATTTATTTTATCTGTGTACATATGTGTGTCTGTTGAGAGCGATACATTGGAAACCAATGTTTAAGAGGCTCTTGACTGTTAAACATTTTTCTGTAATCTTCATGTGTCTTTCCGTCCAGTGATTCTCACCAAAACCACAGAGCTTCTACTCCAGCCTTGGTCCTTTACACTGACAAAAATTCATCTTGGGGAAAGTGATTTGACAACTGTAACAAATTTAAAATGCCCTTCCTGTGGGATGATTCTACCTCAACACTTTCCTCATATTTCTACATCTAGAATGATATATTTTAGCCAGGTGCAGTGTTTCATGCCTGTAATCCCAGCACTTTGGGAAGCCGAAGGGGTGAATCACTTGACCCCAGGAGTTTGAGACCAGCCTGGGCAACAGGGTAAAACCTTGTCTCTACAAAAAATACAAATATTATCTAGGCATGATGGCCTGCACCTGTCATCCCAGCTACTTGGGAGGCTGAAGTGGGAGGATCCCTTGAGCCTGGGAAGCCAAGGTTGCAGTGAGCCATGATCATGCCACTGCACTCCAGCCTGGGTGACAGACTGAAAACCCATCTCAAAGGAAAAAAAAAAAGATATATTTCAAGAAATGTAAGTATGAGATCAGAGGCTTCTGAGAATTCAAAGATAATAAAGATGATTTTAATGTTCTTTTTTGCACTTCAGCTGGTGGCTAATTTGATAAGCTGTCAACTTCAACTTTGATGTACTCTGAAATATAATTGTATGCTTGAGTTCTGTCTTAGTCTATTAGTGCTACTATAACAAAATACTTCCCATAGGGTAATTTATAAACAATAGAAATTTGTTTCTCACAGTTTTGAAGGTTGGAAAGTCCCATGTCAAGGCACTAGCGGATTCAGCATCTCGTAAGGGCTCTCTCTTGCTTCAAAGACTGTGCTTTCTCATTGCATCTTCACCTGCCAGAGGGAGAAAAAACAGACAAAGTCTGTGCTATCATGTGGCAGAAGTGGTGGAAGGGCCAGGTAGCTTACTGAAGCCTCTGTATAAAGGAATTAATCCCATCCGTGAAAGCAGAGTCCACATGACTTAATCACTACCCAAAAGACACCACCTTTTAAAAGTATTTCAATGGGGATTAGGTTTCAGTATGAATTTTAGAGGGATACACAGTTTTAAATCATCGGAACTTGAGATAGGTTCCTTTTTAGCATGAATATAGTTTCCTTTGTGATAATAAAAATACATAGTCTGACAATGCTATTATGAGTTGAGTACTCACCAATTCATTCAATAAATATTGATTGAGTTCCCACTATGTGCAGTATAAGTCAATATCTGACTTTTATCACATTATTTTTCTACTCAGTGATAGAAAATAATTTTTTGAGAATATGCATGAACATTCTTATGCTCACCTGAGCACTGAGCCAGAGAAGAATTGCAGCCCAACAGCTCAAATTGAAAAGGCGAGACTAAGTGTAATTATCAGCTGCCTCCCTTATATCTGGTGTACTTCTAAATGTAAATCATATTGCTAGAGTTCCAGTCGCATTATAGAAGAAGAGAGGAGTTAAAATGTTTTGTTTTTGTTTTGTTTTGTCTGTTTTTTACTATCAGTTTTTGTATCACACTTCTGCTTCCCCAATGTTTGTAACAGCTTCCACCATTGGTCAACCTGCTTTGCTGCATAAGTTGGTAAAACCGAATAGTTGCTCCCTATAGTCTCCTTTCTCTCTCTCTCCTCTCTCTCTCTGTCTCCCCACCCTCTCTTGTGCACACACACGCACACACATGCACACATGAGCCTAAAAACATGTGACATTACTCTGGACTAAAAAACAAAACAAAAAATCTTCTCAAAATTAGAAGAGTTCAAAAAGCAAAGGAACCAAGAGTGATGTAGGGAAACTGAGTTAAAACATTATTTGAAAAAATAATAATAAAGACGGCAAACAACCATTTGAGCAATTAGATAAAAATCTGAAAATTGGAATTCTTAAGATGTTTCATAAATACAATATTTTTTTTAAAAAAACTTTCAAATAGAACTTTCTCTCTTGATGGGAAGTTTTAGAATAAATTAGCATATTCAAACAGACAAAAAACAACTTAAAGCACAAAACCATTAGATATAATCCTGTTCTGACTTTCCCATTTTACAGAAAAGATATCTGAGACCCAGAGAGGTTAAACAACATGTCTAAGGTTAAAGCTTTAGCTAGCTGTTTTGAAGAGATTTGGGTTATTAATCCACTAAAAATAATTTAGTGTAAAAAATATTCAGGAATCAAGAAGAACATAGATAAATCAATAAATTTCAAATATTTGAAACATTATGTCTTTCTAACATAGACTATAGAAGGTGATATAAAAAAACTGATAAATGATCTCACTAATAAGACTGTGTTTGGGGGAGGGAGATGAAGAGAAAGTTAAGAATACCAGCAGGCATCATTCTTAGATATGGAATGGTCTTTGCATATCACAAGCTACTGTAGCCTGAGCTTCATTCGATTTAGGAGATTATACTAGTTTTCTATAATATTGAGTTTTGTTAAATCACTTTTTAATCACAGCAATCTTAGAGGATAAAATATGCATCTATCTTGTCACAATTGCTATATTTACTAAACTTTATCACAATTTCCCAGTGAGAAACTTTTGCTATTCCAATAATCGAAGTGAATCATGAAAAGTAAATTAACATCAAAATTATCAACTCTAACATGACAGTCCATGGGAAAAATGTTCTAGAATTTTTTTCTTATTTATTAACAGGTATCTATAGCAGTGAGGCATTGATATATTAAAAATGATCAATTTAAAGGAGATTACTCATGTTTAATTCTATTGCTAACTACAATGTATTTGTTTCACAATTTGACAAATGGGTCCTACTTTTCAGGAATCAGAAACTAAAAAAAGTATGTTATGGAAGATTTTACAAAAGCATAAAATTTCATTTGAAGTTCTGCTATTCTTTCATCTTCTACTTCTCCCCTTTTTTCAAAGAATAGATTTTGTGCCATACAATGTGATATGTTAAAACCTTATATAAACTTCCAAATGTGATGAAAATATTAGATGCTTCTAAGATGGAGTAGACAAACGTTTTCCTATTCCTGCTTATTAAGTTCAATTAAAAGCCCTGAATATTATATAGAAAACACTCATAGGAAGACTTTTAAGGCTGGAGAGAAGAAGGCAGACCCACAGGTTAGCCAAAACCGGGGAACAATATAGTGTGAGGCTTTGTGTTTCCCTCTTGTCTCATTTGTTCTAGATTTGGAGCTTAAGAAGATTTCACCCCAGAGGAAAGGATAATAAATGTAATAAATGGTGCTGGGAAAACTGGCTAGCTGTATGTAGAAAGCTGAAACGGGATCCCTTCCTTACATCTTATACAAAAATTAATTCAAGATGGATTAAAGACTTAAATGTTAGACCTAAAACCATAAAAACCCTAGAAGAAAACCTAGGCAATATCATTAAGGATATAGGCATGGGCACGCACTTCATGACTAAAACACCAAAAGCAATGACAACAAAAGCCAAAATTGACAAATGGGATCTGATTAAACTAAAGAGCTTCCGCACAGCAAAAGAAACTACTACCAGAGTGAACAGGCAACCTACAGAATGGGAGAAATTTTTTACAATCTACCCATCTGACAAAGGGCTAATATCCAGAATCTACAAAGAACTTAAACAAATTTACAAGAAAAAATCAAACAACCCCATCAAAAAGTGGGCGAAGGATATGAACAGACACTTCTCAAAAGAAGACATTTATACAGCCAACAGACACATGAAAAAATGCTCATCATCACTGGCCATCAGAGAAATGCAAATCAAAACCACAATGAGATACCATCTCACACCAGTTGGAATGGCGATCATTAAAAAGTCAGGAAACAACAGGTGCTAGAGAGGATGTGGAGAAATAGGAACACTTTTACATGTTGGTGGGATGTAAACTGGTTCAACCATTGTGGAAGACAGTGTGGCGATTCCTCAGGGATCTAGAACTAGAAATACCATTTGACCCAGCCATCCCATTACTGGGCATATACCCAAAGGATTATAAATCATGCTGCCATAAAGACACATGCACACGTATGTTTATTGCAGCACTATTCACAATAGCAAGGACTTGGAACCAACCCAAATGTCCACCAATGATAGACTGGAGTAAGAAAATGTGGCACATACACACCATGGAATATTATGCAGCCATAAAAATGGATGAGTTCATGTCCTTTGTAGGGACATGGATGAAGCTGGAAACCATCATTCTCAGCAAACTATCGCAAGGACAGAAAACCAAACACTGCATGTTCTCACTCATAGGTGGGAATTGAACAATGAGAACACTTGGACACAGGAAGGGGAACATCACACACCGGGGCCTGTTGTGGGCTGGGGGGAGGGGGGAGGGATAGCATTAGGAGATATACCTAATGTAAATGACCAGTTAATGGGTGCAGTGAACCAACATGGTACATGTATACATATGTAACAAACCTACACGTTGTGCACATGTACCCTAGAACTTAAAGTATAATAAATATATAATAATAATAATAAAAGAAAAAAAGAAGATTTCACCCCAGAAATGCCAACAGGTACAGAGAAGCCATAAAAACTTGCCATCTCTAACCACATGAGGAAGAAAGGGGGACACCATAGACACAGATTATTTTTAGATAATAACTGTTCTAACACAGACAAAAACTACAGAAAACTACTGTGGCTCTACTCCAATCCATGCCAGCAAAGCCCCAGGGGAGTACCTGAACTTCCATCCTTAGAAGGATGTAATAAGGCATCTGCCTGGTTTACGTCACTGAAGGTCAAATAGGGATTCAGTGCATTCATCACCATTGACCCATAGTACACCCTCCCACCTCCAACATGTCAGTAATGACTGCATGAGGGCAGAACTCTCATCCAATTCAGCAGTAGTGAAGAGCCTCCCCTCCTATCAACAGAGAATACTTGGAAGACAGGAATCCTCTACTTGGCAGTACTGAGGCAAAATCATTCCATATTCCATCTCTTCCTTTATCTGGCAAAACAAACTGGCCAAGAACATTGAAATAAGATCCAGAGTCACATAAAAATAATAAAAGAATGTCAAGTTTTTATTTGAAAATCACGTTCATACCAAGAATCAGAAACATCTCAAAATAATTTTTAAAAATGCAATACATACCAGCACTAAGATGATGGATAATTATCTGACAAAGATGATAAAGCAGTAAGAGTAAGAATGCATCAGCAAACTATTATGAACACGCTTGAGACAAATGAAATGAAAAGAACCGAAAGCCTCAGCAAAGGAATAGAAAGTTTCAGCACGAAATAAAATAGAAATGTTATAAATAAAAAATACAACAACCCAAATAAAGGCTCTGTATTTGGACTCTTCGGCAGACTAGAGAGGACATCATCAGAGAACGTAGGAAATAATTAGTAAACTCAAAAAAAAAATATTTAATCTGAACAACAGAGAGAAAATAAAAACAAAAAAACAAATGAAAGAGAGCCTCAGACCCTGTGGGTCTGTGAAAATAATTTTTTTTTTTTTTTTTTTTGAGACGGAGTCTTGCTCTTTCGCCCAGGCTGGACTGCAGTGGCGCTATCTCGGCTCACTGCACGCTCCGCCTCCCGGGTTCACGCCGTTCTCCTGCCTCAGCCTCCTGAGTAGCTGGGACCACAGGCGCCCGCCACCACGCCCGGCTAATTTTTTGTGTTTTTAGTAGACACGGGGTTTCACCGTGTTAGCTAGGATGGTCTCGATCTCCTGACCTCGTGATCCGCCCACCTCGGCCTCCCAAAGTGTTGGGATTACAGGCGTGAGCCACCGCGCTCAGCCGGTTCAATGAAAATAATTCTAACATTTGTGTTATTGAAGTATGAGTGGATAAGGAAAACAGGGCAAAAAAGTACTTAAAGATATAGTGACTAAATATGTTCTAATTTCAGCAAGAAATATAACTCCACTGATTGAAAGAACTAAGAAAATTCCTTAAAAGATTAACCCAAGTAAAATCCTTTTAATATACATCATAATTAAATTTCTAAAAACTAAAGATGAAAAAAATATCCTGAAAGCAATCATAGAAATATTACCCTTTGACTATAGGGGCAAAACAAAATGAATAATAGTGGATATGGAGGCCAGAAGGAAATAGCATAATATTTCTCAAATGTTGAAATAAAAAAGAACTGCCAATCTAGAATCTTATAGTCAGTGAAAATATCCCTCAGAAGTGAAAGAAGCCCAAAGATACTCTCAGATAAAAGAAACCTAGGATTATTAGTCACAGTAAATGCTCCATAGAAGAATGAGTAAAGCACTTTTTATAAACAGAAAGGAAACAATAGAATGAACCTTTGAACATCAGAAAGAACATAGTAAAAATATGGCAAATATAATAGGTCTTTCTTCCCATCTTCACTTATCTAAATTGTTAGTGTGCTTAATATGTGAGGCAAAAATTATCACATTTTTAGACGTGGCTCTAAATATACATGGAGAAAATATTTAAGACAATTATAACTTGGGGAGGATAAAGGAATAAAGAAATGCAAGGAAAGATAAGATTTCTACCCCCACTCAAAGGAGTATGCCCAAAATCACCATAGAAAAATCAAAATTGAATTATTTTTAAAAATGATAAGGCAGGAAAAAAAGAAAACAGATAAATGAAAAACAAAACAGATAATTTTTTTAAATGTTAAGCACTAATATATTGCCAAAAACTTTAAATATAAATGGTCTAACCACAACAATTAAATAATGGAAATTGGTAGTGAATTTTAAAAAATGATGAAACTGTATGCTGCCTATAAGAAACTCACTTCAAATATAATAATCTAGGCAGGTTAGAGTAAAATAAACGGAGAAAGATATATCACACAAACATTAATCAAAGGAAAGCAGATGTCTCCATGCTAATATTAAAAAAACTAGATTTCAGAACATTAAAAATTATCAGAGATAGAGAGAGACATTGTGTGATAATAAAATGATGTCAATCTACCAAGAACATACAGCAGTTTTACATGGTTATAAATCAAACATCAGTGCTGCAATATGTGTAAGACAAAAACAGACAGAATTAAGAAAGAACGTAGATAAATAAATCTACAATTATAGGTGGACATTTTAAAACCCACATGTCAGCTGGGAACAGTGGCTCACGCCTGTAACCCCGGCACTTTGGGAGGCCCAGAGAGGTGTATCACTTGAGGTCAGGAGTTCAAGACCAGCCTGGCCAACATGGCGAAACCGTCTCTACTAAAAATACAAAAAAATAGCCAGGCATGGTGGTGCGTGCCTGTAGTCCCAGCTACTCGGGAGGCTGAGGCAGGAGAATCGCATGAACCCGAGAGGCAGAGGTTGCAGTTGAGCCGAGATGGCACAACTACACTCCAGCCTGGATGACAGAGCGATACTCTGTCACAAAACAACAACTACAACAACAACAACAACAAAAACCCCACATGTCAACAAATGATAAAACAACCAGACAGAAAGTCAGAGAGGATACAGAAGATCTTAACAATATCATCAGTCAACAGGCTGTAGTCAACATTTATAAAATACTCTCCCAAACAACATTGGAATACACATTTTTTGAAGGGTTCATAAAGGATTTATCAATATAGATTATATTATGGCCCATAAAACAAACATTAACAAGTTTCAAGGAATTAAAATCATACATAGAGTGTTCTTCAACCATGATGGAATTAAAAAGAGTTAGTACTACCAGTGAGCATCATTGTTAGTATATGAAATGCACTAATCAGTAACACAAAGGGAGCAAAAAAAGAAAAATCTGAACACTTGGAAACTAAGTAACACACTTACAAATAACCCAAAGTTCAAAAGAAATGAAAATTAAAATACACATTGAACTGAATGAGAATATAAAGAGGATAACTCATAACACTAAATTTATTAATTAGAAAAGTGAAAGTCTTAAATCAATAATCAAAACCCCAAGCTCAAGAATCTAGACAATAAGAAAATTAGAAACCAAAAGCAAGAAGAAAATAATACAAGCGCAAAATGAAATGAAATTTTAATAAAAAAGAAGACAAATTATTTAAAATCGTGATTTCTTAAATCATTCATAATACTTTAATCTTTGAGTAATATTGGCAAAGAAATAAAAAAGAGAAAACACAAAGCAATAATATCAGGAATGAGACAGGAGATTTTACTACACATCCTATAAGCATAAAAAAAAAGAAAACCCTACAACTTTTGGACTTATAATTTTGATAAGGTACATAAAAGGAACTATTTTTAAAAATCTACCATATGTTATGCAATATGAAATAGATAACTTGAATATCTGTATAATTCTGAAGAAAACTAAGTTTATAATATAAAAATCTCCCAAATAATCCATCTTGAAGATGGCCTAATAGAATCCCCTAGTGATCACCACCACCCTAAGAGGGATATCAAATTGAACAACTATCCATGCCCTCAAGCTCCTTCACAAGAATTAAAAAACCAGGTGAGAGGTTACAGTACTTTGTTTTAACAGAATAATCATAAAAGACCTATTGAAGAGGCTAAGAAGGACAGTCTTGCATTGCTTGCACCACCGTTCCCTCAACCCCAGGCAGTGCAATGCAGAGAGAGGATCTGTCTGTGTGATGGAGGGAGAGGGAAGCGTGCAGGTAGTGTTACCTTGGAACCCTGTACTAGACCCATCACAGTAAAACAGCACTGGACAGACCTCCATGGCCCCTGAACAGAGCTCCTAGACCTGCGCTGGTCCAGAAGGGAATCTGCTGCCCCAGCAGGGTAAACTCAAGTCCTGGCCTACTTCATCGCCAGCTGACTAATGTAGTCTTGGGCCCTAAATAAGTTTGAGTGGCAACGAGCTTGTAACAGCTGAGTAACAGCTGATTTCCTTGGTGAACCACAGTGCTGCACTGGTCTCAGAGGCTGTGGGCTCAGGATGCACACCAGCACAACATCAGCCATGGCAGCCACGAGGCTGCCTGTGTCACCTCTCCTACAGCTCCAGGCAGTGCAGTTTGCAGAAAATCTTCTTCCTGGGGGAAGGAGAGGAAAGCGAATAGAGGAACTTGTCTTGCAATCTGGTACCAGCCTTACCACAGTAAAACAGCACTAGGCAAAATCCCAAAGCCTCTGATTCCAGGCCATTGCTCCCAAATAGCACTTCTAGACCCACTCTGGGCCAGAAGGGAATTTCCCACCCTGGTGGGATAGACCCAAGTTATGGCTGGCTTCACCACCTGCTAACTCTAGTGGTCTTGAGCCTTGAATAAACATCAGCAGCAGTCAGGCAGTAGCAGTCACAGGTCTTGGGTGTAACCCCCGTACTGGGGTGGTCTAAAAGGCAATAGGTTTGGAGATCATTCTGTCAAACCATCTGCTTAAACATGATGGTGGCCATGGTTAGACCAAGGAATTACATGAGCATTGGCCCACTGGAACACTTCACTTGTGAAGTCAGTTCTTTAATTGCAAACAATGCTGTGGGGAATTCCACGAAAATGGATAAGGCATTCTGTAACTGTACAGATGGTAGTTTTGGCAGAAACATTGCATGCAGAGACTCCAAATACATATTTGACTGTCTATTCCAGTAAGAATAAAACATTTCCCCTTCCATGATGGAAGTGTTCCAATGTAATCAACCTGCCAAGAGGTAGCTAACGTATCGCCCAAGGGAATGGTGCCATATCAGGGACTCAGTGCTGGTCTCTGCTGCTGACAGATGTGACATGCATCACTGGCTATTGCCAAATTGCCCGTGATGAGTGGATGTCCATGTACTTGAGCCCATGCATAATCTCCACCCCTGTTACCATGGCCATTTTTTAATGAACCTATGGCACAATGACGGCAATTAGTGGGAAAGGGAATGACTGGTCTCCACAGAACAGGTCATTCTATTCACTTGCTTGTTTACATCTTCTTCTTCTAGATCACCCTTCAGCAAGCATTCACATAGGACACAAATATCTACATTTTTTATCCACTCATATAAGAGTATCCACATACCTTGTTCCCAGAACTCCTTGTCTCCAATTTTCAACCATGTTCCTTACTATTCAGTGGTAATCCAGCCAAATCATTGGTCACAGCCACTGAATTGCTTTTTTTAAAAATTAACTTTTACTTTAGATAGTTGGGACACACATGCAGATTTGTTGCATGTGATGCTGGGGTGAATTGCTATAGATTTTTACTTCTGGCCATTTCTCCTCCCAGGCAAAATGAACAACCAGGTGCACTGCTAAAATTTCTGCCAACTGGATGAATTTTGTTTGCCATTGTTCATTAGGAATGTTCCAGAAAGACATTGTAGTGCTGGAGCACTTTCTGGTGTCGCTCTAATATCACACAGAATCATCTGTAAACTAGGCCTAATTTTTCTCTTCCTCAGTTAATGGATGGCAGAGAAGCTTGCACAGCAGCAGAACTGCAAAGCATTCTGTTGTTTTGGGTTCCACTCAAGCTAGTATCTTTATAGGTCACTCCGATAATGGGCCCTAGTATCATACCCAAATAAGGAATATGTTGCTTCCAAAATCCAAAGAGGACCACTAATCCTTCTACCTCTTTATTGGTGATGTGAGGGGCTAAAAGCAGTAACTTATTCCTTACCTTTGAAGGGACATTTCAACATGCCACATATGACCAAAATTCCACTGATATGAAAGGTCCCTGAATTTTTGTCAGATTTATTTTCCACCCTCTGACATGCAAATGTCTTGCCAGTATTTCTAGAATAGTTGTAACTTTCTTCTCACCAGGTCTAATCAGCACAATATCATCAATGTAATGAACCGTCATAATGTTTTATGGAGGAGAAAGGCAATCAAGGTCCCTATGAACTAAATTATGGAAAAGAGAGTTGACATACTCCTAAGATAAGACAGTGAATGTGTATTTCTGACCTTGCCAGCTGAAAACAAACTGCCTCTGTTGGTCATTACTAAGAAGTATAGATTTTAAAAAGCCAAATTAATAGCTCCATACCAGTTCCTAGGGCATGTGTTAATTTTCTCAAGCAATGAAACTACATATGACAGTGCATCTGGAATGGGATAAACTGCCTGATTAAGTTGACAACGTTTCAGTGCCATTTTCCAAGATCCATTTGTTTCTGCACAGGCTAAACAGAGAAGTCGAAAGGACATGTGGTGGGAATCATTAGTGTGCATCTCTTCAGCCCTTGCTGGTGGCACTCATCTCTGCAGTCCCTCCGAGAATGCTTTACTGCTTTTGACTTACTATTTTTCTAGCCACGGCAGTTCTAGTGTCTTCCACTTGGCTTTTATTGATGATAGCCATAGTGATGTTTGTAAAATGATGATAACAGAGGAATAGCAAGTTTTAGACCATGCAACCCGTTTCTTTCTGAAGGTACCTCACCTTCCTTCATTTCAAGACTCTGGTATTGTAAACTAGCACTGAGAATTTTTGTGGGACTATGCGTGACTCTCTGTTTTGGAGATTCAACTTAGAATTCTGTTCAATAGACCTAAGACTCTTCTGCTTGTACCAATGAATTAAGAACTTAGTAACCTGCCTATCTATTTCTTTTCCTGAAATATCATGATGAACTAGCCAAAGCCATAGACCTCTGCAAGTCAGACTATTCTAGTCACCACTTTGGCTCTTACACAAGTAACAGGAACCATAGCAATTTTGTCTTCGGTGATCAAGTGCTGTCATTTATTCCCTGTCACCAGAGATTCCATTATCCCCATTAACATTTAGTTTCATGGTAGCAGTTCCCACTGCAAAGTCTGAACTACAGAGAAGAGGGACCACAGAACTCTTTAAGGATGCTGGGGGCTCTCCACAGAAATCTGTTTATCTCAGTTGTGATAAAACCTGTCTTTTCTGGACCTTCCCAGGGTGTGTGAGCACATCCTACATGGTAACCCACTCTAATATTCCAACTGCCCTAAGCCAATAGATACCTTCCTAGACAGTATTCCAAGGTATTTCTGGCATTTGAACTTCATTTAGTATAGACCATCCTTCAGCCCATGTCAACCAACCAAACACCCAAATCCTTGCTAACCCCTTAAGCTAAAATAAAGAATCTTTGCCTAGTGGGCCTATCTCAATACATTTGCTCTGATCTAACTTTATGTTCCTTTCATCATTTTCTCACTCCCTTAATATCCATTCCCACATATATTCTTCATATTTATACCTATATACATTGGAAACAAATAGGCAGTACTTTTGGTGTGTTGCATACTTCCTCATCAGTCACTCTTTGCTGATAAAAGAGGTCAAAGAAAATCTAAATAAAAGGAGATACATACTATTTTATGAATTAAAAGACTCAACACGGTAGAGGTGTCAATTATCCCCTAATTGATAAACAAGTTTAACAAAATTCCTACTAAATTCTCTGTAAGATTTTTTTTGTATTTATTCATTATTATTTTAAACTTTATAGGACAAATGCTTTTTCATATAACTAATACCTAAAATAATCTTGTAAAAAGAAGAATAAAGTAGAATGAATCAGGGTACCAAATTTCAAAGCTGAATATATAGCTATAATAATCAACAGTGTGTGGTAATGGCAGAAATATAGGCAAATAGATCAATGGGATGGCATACAGAACCTGGAAATAAATCCACACAAATAAGCCAAACAGAGTTTTGCCACACGTGTAAAAGCAATTCAATGGAGAAAAGGTAGCCTTTTCAACAAATAAATCTGGGGCAATTGGACATCAGTAAGTAAAAACAAACAAAAAATGACCTGTCTCACACCCTACAGAAAAGTTAACTCAAAATGGATTGTGAATTTAAATTTGAAATATAAATCATAAAAATCTTTAATAAAACAGGATAACATCTTCAGAATCTTAGGTGAGGCAAAAAGTTCTTAGACTTAAAACCAACAGCATGTGGTATAGCCATACAAAATAATATTATTCAGCCATTAAAAGAAACAAGTACTTTGGGGATGAATTTTAAAACATGTTAAGTGAAAGAAGCCAGACAGAAAAGGCCACATATTGCATTATTCTGCTTATATGACATATTCAGAATAGGTAAATCTATAGTCAGAATGTGAATTGGTGTTTGCCTGAAAATGTAGGGAGAGGTAATGAGGACTGAGCACTTAAGGTGTATGGGGTTTGCTTTTGGAGTGGTAAAATTATTTTCAAACAGATAAAGTTGGAGGTCGTACAACATTGTAAATGTACTAAATGCCACTGATGTTTACACGTTAAAGTGGCTAACTTTATCTAATATTAATTCTACCTCAATAAAAATAAAAAGACCCATCTGTACATGAATATGTATAGCAGATTTTTTCATAATAGCACCAAACTGGAAACAACCTAGATGTCCTTCAGAAGGTGAATGTGTAAACAAACTGTGGTATATCCATACCATGAAACACTTCTCAGTAATACAAAGAAGCAACTGACACATACAAAAACTGAAGTGAGCCTCCAGAGAACTATGCTAATTGAAAAAAAAAAATCCAGAAAGTTACATACTATACTATTGCAATTTAATAACATTCTTCAATGAGTAAATTATGGAAATGGAGAACAGATTAATGAATGTTAGGGGCCAAGGAGTGAATGGAAGTGGAAGGTAAGTGAGTGTGGCTCATGTAAATATTCCATATCTTAACTCTATAGTTCTTAATATCTTAGTTGTAATATTGTACTATAATTTTGCAAGATGTTTCCATTGAAGGAATTTAAATATAGAGTACATGGAACTTTTCTGTATTATTTTTCACAGCTGCAATTACCTCTCAATCAACAATTCAATTAATAAATATGATGGAAATCAGGCGCGGTGGCTTACGCCTGTAATCCCAGCACTTTGGGAGGCCAAGGCGGGCAGATCACGTGAGGTCAGGAGTTCAAGACCAGCCTGGCCAATATGGTGAAACACCGTCTCTACTAAAAATACAAAAATTAGCCAGCCGCGGTGCCGGGCACCTGTAATCCCAGCCACTCGGGAGGCTGAGGGAAGAGAACTGCTTGAACCCAGGAGGTGGAGGATGCAGTGAGTTGAGATCATACCACTGCACCCCAGCCTGGGCGACAGAGTGAGCTCCATCTCAAAAAAAAAAAAAAAAAAAAGGTAGAAAAAGTGTGCCCAAAAAGAAATTTAAGCCCACGTATTTAACTACATAGTACAAATGTATGTGAAACATACACTTATATTGAAATGACAAATACAGGATATTTAAATAAGTATGATTATTACAATGAAAAGTTTGTAGTCCATTTTTTCAAAAACAACTACATATTTTATATCTTAAAGACTGTCTCCTTTTTTCAAAAATATAACAATGGCCTATTTTACACTATTTTACATTACTTGCTGGCAACCACGCCTGTTCTTTCTACCTTGTGTCCTGCCCTGCTAAAGTCCATCATTTTTATTTGGAGGTCTCTGCTCTACTACCACCTTGTCAGTAAGAACTTTTATAATTCTTTCTAGATCGGATCCTTTCTTACATTCTGTGCTTTTTGATTCCCCTTTTCCCACATTATTTTTCTTCATAACTGTCAGCAAATACTGAAGGATATCTTTACTTGCCTTCTCCAACTAAGATGTAAACTACAGGAGATACATGACTTTGTTCATTGATTCATCCCTCTGGATTGTAGAATGTGCTTGGCATGTAATAGATGCTCAGCCCATGCTCCCTGAATGAATGCCACTCAGAAGCGGAGTTGCTTACTGCAGGTTTTCAGCTCTGCTAACAAAACTTGAGTGGCTCCACAGCTTCTGATAAAAAAGGAGCATGATACTAAAAACTCACATGCAGAACCTGGCTTGCAAATAGAATCTCCTGAAGTTCAAGAAAAATGATAGCCTATTCTGTTAATTAGACTATTTTAAACTTATTTCTAGACTAACAGAAACAATAACAACCTTTTTAAAATTAGTTCACCATATTTAATTGTTATTGTTTTAAATTTTTATTTGGTCGTACTGATTTGTAAATGTTTGGTAAATGAGTTTTTTTGTGAATCTCAAAAAATAAAAATAAAAAAAACAGCTGTTGCTTGTTTTTGCTACTAATAATATTTACTTGTCTCCAAGAATCTTAGCTTTTAAGAAAGATAGAGGAATAAAGGGCACTGAATTGAGAGAACTCTCTACAGAAGATAAGTTGAATGTTTGTATCTTCTTAATATCTAACATTATTGTGTATTTTTACACATATACATATGTATGTCTTGTAAATATATTAGTTATAATAAAGTATCATAAAATAATTAGAAGCAGAGTTGATGCATTTGTCTAACAGATTTATAATGAAAAAAAAAACAAGTGTCTTTATTTTACTTCTTACTGTCTTCAAACATTAGGTCAAAAAGTAGCACTCATTCTAACAAGTGCACATTCTCTGATCCATAGTGATAAAATAAACAAAACTATATTTTACATTTGTCTTATCATATCTTAATATTTATATAAATATAGGAATGGGAAGTATGAACAGTACTAAAAACATTTTGCTGTCATATTATTTTATCTATTTAGATGAGTTTTTAAAGATATAAAAATCAAATGAATTATTTACCCTGCAAACTATGATAATTCATCAACAAAAATTATTTTGTTGCTGATGTCTTCCCCACCAGTCTCTCCCTCTGCTTAAAGGACTTTATTGCTTTCCAATTGCTACAGAGATGAAAACAACAACAATAACAAAATACTTAGATTATGACAACCCTTGTGTCACCAAAGGTCTTGCCTACCCTCCAGTTTAAACTTTTGTTCTTAATTTTTCACCATGGTGAAGGCAAATCTGCCTTTCCTTCATTTCATAAAGGTATATTTGTATGCTTTTCCCTGCTATTCTAACTCCAAATTAAGACTTGACAAATAACAACATGGATATCTGGTGCAAGAATACAGTACCATGGAAAAAAAAAAAAAAAGACTAGATGTCTTAATTCATTCTTGCTGCGATAGCAAAATGCTTTAGACTGGGTAGTTAATAAATCACAGAAATTTACTGCTGACAGTTGTGGATACTGGGGTGTTCCAGACAAACATGCCGGCAGTTTTGATCTGGTGAGGGCCCATTCTTTACCGATGGCACCATGTAGCTGTGTATTCATGTGGCAGAAGAGACAAGCATGATTCATTTAGCCACTTTTATAAAGATGCCCATCTCATTAATAAGAGTAGAATCCTTATGACTTAATCACTTCCCAAAAGATCCACTTCGTAATAACACCAAGTTGTGAATTCTGTTTCAATATATGAATTTTGGGGCTACACAAACGTTCAACCATAGCACTAAAATGGACTGAATTGACAATGAACTTGATTGACTTCACTATACCTTAGTTTCTCATCAAATCATATATATTTCTAAAGATACTGAAGTTAAAATGTACAAAAGTGCTATATAAATATACAGACGAGACTACATTACAATGGTTTGAAATCAAATCCATCCAAATTGTTTACTGAAAATTATATTTTTATAATAATCTAATAATAAATTCAGCTGTTTTAGAATTTCAATTGTGTCTATAAAATGAGAACAAAAATTGTTAAAGCTCATATCTTCTTAACCATTGTAGCAGAATGCTTTAGTCTTAGGGGAAACTTCTTCAGTAGAAGGAAGCACAGCAAATTTGCCTTTATAGAGATTCAACTCTTGGTGCTTGGGCAAAGAATAAGAATTACATTAAGCAGGCCGGGCACGGTGGCTCACACCTGTAAAACCAGCACTTTGGGAGGCCGAGGCAGGCAGATCATGAGGTCAGGAGATCGAGACCATCCTGGACAACATAGTGAAACCCCATCTCTACTAAAAATACAAAAATTAGCCGGGCATGGTGGTGCATGCCTGTAATCCCAGCTACTCAGGAGGCGGAGGCAGGAGAATCCCTTGAACCAGGGAGTTGGAGGTTGCAGTGAGCCGAGATCACGCCACAGCACTCTAGCCTGGCGACAGAGTGAGACTCCATCTCAAAAAAAAAAAGAAAAAAAAAAATTACAGTAAGCAGCAGCAGCAGCAGTGAGAGAGGGAAGAATGAAAGAAGAAATTTCTAGAATAAGATTGATCTCCAGCACCATGCCAATCATGGACTGGATAAAATTCATGCATATCTTTTGTGAGAGAGGTGAGAGATGTGAATCCCTTTCTCATTTGGTCCCAGTCTGCAATTGTGAACAAGAGCCAACTTATTAATCTGATCTCAGGGAAACAGGGACCAGGAAGTAAATCTAGACATATCAGACACATTGAGAGACAGTGTTTTGAGAAACTGGGGCTCAATGAATTATTTCCCTGCTTGTTCTCTGCCTGAGATTGGAACAATTGAGAGACAAATTAGTCACCGAGCTACAAGCAGCACTGAAAATGCCATCATCCCATGGTTTATCCCTGGAAGACTTTTGGTGTGGAGATCCCATTTATTTATTCCTTCTGGTGTGGAGAAGCCTATTTATTTCCTTCAAACAGCTGTCATCCAAGACAAGGAAAAGTTGAGAAACTCAAGCCAGCTTTTTTTTTTTTTTTAATTTTAAAGTCACCATACCAGTCCTCTAGAGAAATGGAAGAGATTACAAATAGCAGAAGGATTATTGTAATAGCGAGTTCTCCATGTGGAACTCTGTATCAGAAATAGGAATTTAATTCCTTCCTAAATTATATGTCTCTTTCTCAAAATAATTCATCGAAATGTTATATATTTTGCCATATATTCAGAAATTAAACTCTAAGTGCATTTTCTCCTTATTGAGATGTAATATAAGAGGCATAGTCTTTCACACACTTCTATCCTCTTAGTGGCAGCTTTAAATTCTGGACTTTGAGCTTCTTTTGTAGTCAGAAACTATGTGTTTATCATTTTTGTTTGTATTGTGGCTTAACATAGAATAAATATTTCATATATTCTTATTAAGCTAATGATTAAATACAAAGTAAATTTGTAAAGAGAATATTATTTCTGTGTTCACCAAATCCTATGTATTGGGTGACATTCTGTAACAAACACATTTGGCGAAAATATACTAATAAATTCACCTATGAGGCTTTATAAACTGCAAAAAATATATACACATAAATCTAGTATCAACTTGTGCCATGTGTGTTATTTTACACTAATCTAAAAACCACTGTATCCCTGTAAGAACCAACAAGACAGCACAATGTTTGAAGCATTCTGGAAGTGTAAGATTTATGCAGTAGAGTGTTTCATAATCTTTTCTCCCCTGTCCTTGTTATAAACAAAATTTAATAATTCAGTGTTTTCCATAATGATGTTACCTACTAATTGGCTAAATTGTACAGCCACCACATACTTCATTTAGCTACATGAATTAAGCTGACTTTGCTTACTAAAAACCTATAATGCTTTCAGCAAATAATTTCTTATCAGCAGAACATGAACAATACATTCTGCATCTTCAGGTAAACTTTACAGAGTTTAGTAACTTATTTTAATGGTGAAGAAATGAAATACAGTCACATAACACTTAATGATGAGCATACATTCCAATTAATTAATCTAGCTGATTTTTGTCATTGTGCAAACATCACGGTGTGTACTTATGTAAACCTACATGGTATATATAGCCTACTACACATCTAAGCTACATGATGTTGCCTATTAATTCTAGGCTACAAATCTGTACAGCATATTAGTCTCATGAATACTAAAGGCCATTGTAACACAATGGTAACTATTTGTGTATATAAACACATCTAAATAGAAAAGACGCAACACAAATGTGGTGCAAAAGAAAAAAAAAGTGGTATACTTGTCTGGTCACTTGCCAGGAATAGAGCTTGCAGGACTGGAAGTTTCTCTGGGTGGGTCAGTGAGTGGGTGACAAGTCAATCTGAGGGCCTAGGACATTACTATACACCACTGTAGGCTTTATAAACAATGTACACTTACACTACACCAAACTTATTTCAAAAGTTTTCTTTCTTCAATAATAAATTAATCTATGTTACTATAACCTTTTTACTTTATAAACTTTAATTTTTTAAACTTTTGACTCATAATAACATTTAGCTAAAATGCAAAAACATTGTAAGCTGTACAAATATATTTTTAAAACATTTTTATTCTATATGTTTTTTCTTATTTTTAAATTCTCTCTTTATTTTACTTCTTTAACTCTTTATTTAAAAAACTAAGACACAAGCACACACATTATCATAGGCTTACCCGGGGTCAAGATCATCAATATCACTGTCTTCCACCTCCACGTTTTGTGTCACTGGAAGGTCTTCAGGGACAATAAAAGCTCCATTATAATCTTATGTCTTATGGGACCACCGTTGCATATGCAGACTGTCATTATGTGGTCTATGACTGTATTTCCAAACACTTCAAATGCAAAAGGAAAGGCAAAGTGGGTAATATCTGAAAGTAAGGGAAAGTTTTTTTTTTTCTAGTGAGTAGTAGAAGAAAGCTGTTTCACAGAAAAAGTCTTGAGATTCACACAAAATTAAGCTTGTTTGACATGCTTTCTCTGAATATATGCCAAGCACATATTAAGATGTGCTTTTCTCCCTTGGCACTCTAAGATAGCATTAGGCAAGGGTTTCACATCTCTAAACTGTTTCTGAATAATTTCTTCTGGTGGTGGCCTTATCATAAAGAATTTTAAGATATCCTAGTAGAAAGTCTCTAAAAGGATGCTTTCCCAAAATAGAAATGCAGTGGGTCATATGTTAATAATGTAATCTAAGTAAAGCTGAAAGAAACCCTGTAGGTTAAAAACAGATTAGAATAGAATGTTAAGAAAAAATATAACATTTTCAGAATATTAGACAATTCATAACTATTTCAGAAAAAGTATTAATTGGAATGCACAGCAGACAAAATATAATCAGTTAAGAGACTTGGAGAACAACATTCAAACAACATGTATTTTATTAGGTCATTTTTATTGTTTCTGCTGGATATTTTTTCCCCATTTCATGAGCTTTTGATTTTTCTTGACTTACAAAATTAATATTTAAATTCTTTTAATAATAACTACCTCTAGCCCTTGAAGCCAAATTAATCATTTGTTTATATATAGTTAAGTGGATCTTTGAGAAAAAGTAGAAGAATACAAAATGGCCAATGTCTGGGTAAATACAAATTTTATCTGTTTGCCTCTTATTCAAAGTGCATGTGATAATTCAAAACAAAAATTCTGGTACAGTCATGTGCCATGTAACATTTCACTGTCAATCTCAGACCGCATATATAACTGGGCTCTCATACGATTATAATACAGTATTTGTAATGTACATTTTCTCTGTTTAGATATATAAATACTTATGACTGTGTTACAATGGACTATAGTATTCAATATAGTAAAAATCTGTATAGGTTTGCAGCCCAGGAGCCATAGGCTATACTACATAGTGTAGGTGTATAGTAGGTGATACTGTCTAGGTTTTTGTAAGTACATTCTATGGTGTTTGCACAATGACTTGCCTAACAATGCACTTCTCAGAGTGCATCCACCTCGTTAAATAATGCATGACTGTATTGGGACTTGAGGTTTCAGCGGTGATATGTAAAGCGCCTAGAAGTTGTCACTCATCCTTACAACAAGAGAAAGCTGGACAAACTGAAAACAGTATTTTTAAACGTTGAGTTTAATTAATTTTGAAATTAATTTTTATTTAAAATTGACACATAATTGTACATATTCATGGGGTACAGTGTGATGTTTCAATGCATTTACACATTGTGTAATAATCAAATCAGGGTAATTACCATATCCATCACCTTAAACATTTATCATTTCTTTGAAGTGATACAAAAATCTTTTCCTCTAGCTATCTCGAAATATACACTACATTGTTATTAGCTATAGTCACACTACTGTATAATAAAATACCAGAGTTTATTGTTCTTGTCTATCTGTAACTTTGTACTCATGGACCAATTTCTCCCAGTTCCTCCTTCCCCCTACCCTCCCCAGTCTCTTGTAACCACTCTTCTACTCTCTACTTCTATGAAATCAACTTTTGTTTAGATTCCACATACGAGTGAGATCACACAGTGTTTGTACTTCTGTGATTGGCTTATTTCACCTAATGTGATGTCCTTCAGCCTCACCACCTATAGAATAATAACAATGGACTACAATCATAAGACCTGTGAGACACAACTCTTTTTAAGGAGGCTTACTTCTAAAGGCTCAGAATGAAGAGGAAAGTCAAAGTAAGAACACTAGTAGAGTTGGAAGTCTCTGGCATAAATGACTACAGAAGACATTCACAAAGAGTACCACATATTGAAATGCAAAGAGAACAAATAATAAGTTCTTTAAAAAGTATACAAGAACCATGGCAAAATACCAAAAATTTGTGTTATAGGAATAACAAAAGGAGAAGAGAAAATGGGGATTTACGTACCAGATTTTGTGTGGACATATATTTTCATTTCTCTTGAATATTATGAGATATAAATTATTCCTCAATTAACATTTAAAATTTCAAAAAGCAAACTCAAAAGGCCATAATAATAAAACGACAATACTACTAATTGCTAGTAAGTATACAGATCAACAGGAATTCTCACTCTTTGTTAGTGAGAATGCAAACTGGTACAGCCACGCTGCAGGTGGTTGGTAATTTCCTACAAAAGTAGACATGGCTTCATCATAGCATCTACTAGTAATATAATTAGGTATCTATCCAACTGACTTGAAAACGTATGTCCACACAAAAACCTGCATGTGACTGTTTATTGAAGTAGTGTTCAGAATAGCCAAAAACTGGAAGTAATCACGATATCATTTATTTTTATTTTTATTTTTATTTTTTGGAGATGGAGTCTCGCTCTGTCACCCAGGCTGGAGTGCAGTGGTGCAATCCCGGCTCACTGCAACCTCCGCCTCCTGGGTTCAAGTGATTCTCCTGCCTCAGTTTCCCGAGTAGCTGGGATTACAGGCACACACCACCATGCTCAGTTAACTTTTGTAATTTTAGTAGAGATAGGGTTTCACCGTGTTGGCCTGCCTGGTCTCGAACTTCTGACCTCAAGTGATACGCCTGCCTTTGCCTCCCAAAGTGCTGGGATTGCAGGCGCTAGTCACTGCGCCTGGCCAAGGTATCATTTAATAGGTGAATTTTTTTTTTAAGTGTGGTATATCATGCAGTGGAATGCTATTCAGAGATAAAGAAGGAACTATCTATCAAACAATGAAAATTATGGTTGAATGTTAATGCATATGGCTAAGGGAAAGAAGCCAGCCTGAAAAGGTTGCACACTGTATATTTCCATTTATATGATATTTTAGAAAGGTAAAAGCCATAGAGACAGCAAACAAATTAGTGTTTGCCACGGTTTATTGGAGAGGAGAGTTGAATAGGTGAAACAGGGGATATTTCGGGGTAACAAAACTATTTTATGTGATATTGTAGTGGTGGATACCTGACACTATGCAAATGTCAAAACTCATTAAACTTTATAGTTGCAAGTGTAAATTATATAATTTGCAATAAAAAAAGAGAGGTCAAGGAAATTCGTGAATGGAGTGTTGACTGTAACAAAGAATAAGTTAATTTTACAGAAAATGTGTGAACAACCTTACTGAATGGTATGCTAAACTGTGGATGACCTAAGTAACTTTGAAAATTAGCAGTGTCTCTAAGACTAAAGCAAATGGGACACTACATACTCTACTTGTTAAAGTTGTTTCCCACTGGGTACTGTTTAACAATACTGACGCTGCTGAACAGGTTTACTGAAATGAATAATTAAGGAAATGAATGGCAGATTCTGAATGAACTTCAGAGCCAACTGAGAGAGCTTCCAATGGCCAAAGCGGAAATAATTTGAAAAAGAAAATAAATAATTATTGGATAATAACACGAGGTATAAAATAAATATCCATAGTTTTACATTAACATAAAGAAAGACTAAACTAATAAATGGCAAAAGATAAATACCAGGCACAGTGGCTCACACCTGTAATCCAGCACTTCGGGTGGCTGAGGCGAGCAGATCACCTGAGGCCAGGAGTTTCAGGCCAGCCTGGCCAACATGGTGAGACCCCATCACTACTAAAAAAAAAAAAAAAAAAGAAAAAAAATAGAAAAAATAGCCGGGAATGGTCACGAGAGCATATTCCCAGCCACTCAGGAAGCTGAGGCAGGAGAGTCGCTTGAACCCAGAAGGTGGAGGCTGAAGTGAGCCAAAATCGTGCCACTGCACTCCAGCTTGGGAGACAGAGCAGGACTCTATCTCAAAAAAAAAAAAAAATTATGCAAAAGAATTCCAAATAATTTACATAAACACCCCAGCCTTAAGGAAGTGGAGCATCAATCAAGGGATACAGTATAAAAAATGGGGCAAAAGTACCTTCTAAAGGGAGAAATTTAACTTTACTGACATTCTTCAATTGTCCACCAAATGGTATCTATTAATAAAAACTTCCTATGCCCTTGAACATAATGTGATTTTCTCCTGCTATGGAGAGCAAAAGTCAATTAAATTAATAATTTGGTTAATAATATTATAAAAGGCTTTGATATGTTTACAGATATTTTCATTTAATTTCTCTACAAATTCTAAAGTACAAAAATTTAAATTTACAATTAAAATTACAGATTATATTCCTACTTTCAGTTTTTTCTTTCAGTTTCTATTTCATGCATTTTAAAGTTATGCTATTACATTTATTTTTGTTTAACTATTTTGTCTCTTCTTGATTTATTGACATTTTAATATAATAAATAACCCATTTAGTGCTGAAAATATTGCTTATATACAAATCTACCTTGTCAGAAATTATATATCCACTAGAGCTTTCTTATTATCTGTTTTGGCATTGTATGCATAATTTTAATATTTTTATTTTATATGTAATACATGGTTCTTGTATACAACATACTATTGCATCTTGATCTTTCATCAAATCTATCAATATCTGCCTTTTAAGTGGAACATTTTGGCCATTTACATTCAATTTAATTATCAATATGATTGAGTTTAAGCCCATCCTCTCATTTTTACTTTTCTATTTATTTCACGTTTTTTGTATTTTTTCTATTTTTCTATCTTAAATTAGATTCAGTATTTTCAAATACTTCGCTTTTATATCATGTCTAAACTTATTCCAAGGTATTCTTTATTCCAGATATTATATTTTTCAGTTCTAGAATTTATACTCAGTTCTTTTTCATAAAATCTATTTTTCTCTTGTAGTAACCCTTCTTGAGATATGTTAACATTTTAGTCATTATGTGTGTGTGATTTTATATATATATATATGTGTGTGTATATGTATGTATATAGATTAACATATTTTAATATATATTATAAAGCCCTTTCTTAGCATTTACAATATCTAATTGTATGTGCTTCTATATATGATTTTATCTTTTCATTATGGGTGACATTTTCCTTTTTACATTTTAAACCTTTTTGAAAAATATTTTGTTAGCTGTTGGGCATAATAGTACAGCGAGTACTGAATTAGACAATGTTTTCTCACAAAGAACTTGCTGTTTTCTGTCCTGAAGTTAAAATGAGAGTTTGATGTCTTTAACTTGAGAGGTTAAGTCAGGATTTTTGTTTACTAATTTAATCAACAGCAGTTACACTTCATTTCAAATGTGTTGAGAGCAAATCTTTCTCTTGATTTGATCATGACGTTGTGAATCTTATCATGAAACATCCGAGTAATTTATTTCTGCTCTTCAGCCCAGTTCCCAGATGTATCTAGTCCCACTTATTCACCAAATCCTGTGGGGAATAATTGATGAGCAAAAAGTCCTATAGGGAAAAACTAGACTAGTTCTGTTTTGTTTCCTTTCAGATTTGAATTTGTCATGCCAAGAAAAATGTCACCAGAATTTGGTTCATTTCTTGTCATCTCAGCAAAGTTCCTGCCTCTATGACAAATCTGTTACTCTGTCAACCCATCTGAGGCAACTCTCTATCCTTCAGCGATAAAGATAGGTAGTAGCATCTGACAAACTAAGAAAGGTTGGCCCTTTAGTGAAATTGAATTCATGTTAACTTCCCTGTTTCCACAGACGTGTATTTTTCTTGGAAATCTTTCTTAATTTTCTTCTTTTTATGGTAAAATTATAAATTTAAAAAAATCTACATCCAATTAAGCAGTGGGATGCCAATTAACTTATTTTGGACCATTATAAAATATCTTAAATTAAATTCAACCCTTTTAAAAATTGTGGAAATTGTACTTTTATTAATACTTTAGATATTTAAATAATTTGAGTTATTTCAGATAACAGAATTTAATTAAGTAAACATCTGCCCATACAAAATGAGTAAAACAGAATTTGAGATAAATATCTTGACTACTTTTTTATTTTTATTTAGATATGTTAGAATTCTAAGGTAAATTGTAGGCTTTTTTTCTGTCTACAGATTTGCCTTTAATTAATGGCTAAAATTGTTATATTTAAAATATTATAATCCACATATATGTATAAATTAACATTTACATTTAAGTTTTACTGGTGATTTAATACATAAATATGAATGAATTTAATAATATATTAAAGGACTACCCAAATGTGCTTTGCTATTAATTTATGAAAAAGCAATAATTATATTTAAAATGTAATAAAATGCTTTAACATATTGGTTTTGAATATATTATTATTAGAAATGATTCAAATTTTCGAAGCATACAGGTTTTGAAAGATTTCAAGTGCCATGCAATATTACCACCTTTATTTTATAGTTTATAAATAATATTGTCAATTTTCCAATTTCTCTGGCTAGAGTTTACCAATTTAAATTTTAATTTAGAATTCAGATTTAGAAATCTATTGATAAATCCATTTTTATTAGAGAAAAAATGCTATGGCAACTTTTATAAAAACAAATAACAAATTAAGATACATAAAAGCCAATTTAACTATTTAAATGAGAACTTAGCCAACTAAGATGCTTGGGTTGAATTTGATCTACCTCCGGTTTGCAAGTACATTTTTGTTAGAGCGCAGCCACACTCATACATGTATGTTTTATAGGGTTCCCTTTCTGCTATTACGGCAAAGCTGAGTAGTTGCAACAGAGCTCAAGTGACCTACAAAGACTAAAATATTTTCTAACTTGCCCTTTTTAGAAAAAATGTTTATTGACCCCTGATTTGAGCTCAGCATTTTCTTTTTATATATATATTTGAAACATTTTTTTCATCTCCCAACATATGTACTCATGCTTTTGTCGAAATTTCTCTACCACAGAGAATATGCTTACTTAATAATAGGGTGATAAGTGAATCCTCTATATTGCAGAAAGTATAAAAGTAGTTATAATCTAGAAATGTGGGATTATTCCTAGCACTAAAATTTTCCGTTTTGTTTTTTTACTTGTTCAGTAACACAAAAAATATTTTATTAAAGATATTAAATTTTAAAGAAATGCTAGATACATTGTATAGATTATGTCCTTGACCAATCTACATGTTGAGATATTCAAATAGTTTGTGTTATATTTCTGAAGCTATAAAATATTTATTTAATATGATGTATAATAAATATATCTAGTAGTATTATTGTCTCACTCCTTTGAACTTCCTTCATCATCCTATGTGTGTCTGACTTAGTATCAAAACTGGATTTACCACAAGATTTTGGCACAACTCAATTCTCCATATTAAATTTTAATCATTCCAGTTCTGAAGATATTTTGATTGGTCCTTACCATTAATGATAAAGCAAAAACAAACAAAAGGAGATAGAAAATGAACTATAAAAGATACTATTACAGGATTTAGAAATTTTCCAGAATATTCTTGTGTGTGTGTGTGTATATATATATATACACACACAAACACATTCTATTTTCTACAACCTAATCAACAAACAATGTAGAATAATAGAAAAATATAACTATAATCTTGTCTATGAATAAATCTATTCCAAATAGAGCTGTATTTCTGGGGAACAAAATTCATTCAGGTAAAAATTTGATTGTTTATTCATATGGAATACCAAGCATGAAATACAACACTAAGATAATATTTTTGAGGATGACAAATTCTATAAATTATTGCATTAATAAAAAAGTATATATAAATTCGGTTTACATAATATACTGTTAATTTTAGTATATTCTACTCATTTAGGAATTCATAACTTGTGGATATTATTTATTGTTTTTAATGTACTAAAATTATTTCCTGATAATAAAATAACATTCTTTTAGAGTGTGGACAAATAAAACTTCCGTAGATTCATCAGTGCTCCTGTAATAACTCTAGTCTTCTGAGACCCTTCACCTACCATGAGAATTATATTTGTATCCATTTATGTAGCTAAATGTTTAATCCCCCCAAAATATGAAAACATCACATCTTATAGCTCACCAAGACGGCCCAATGTTTAGGACACAACAAGGGCTAGGTCTCCAGGTTATGCTCCCAAGGTAGCCGAGAGGCCGGTGCTTCATCTTCCTAGGTAGTTAATTTCAACGAAGAATGAAACCCAAGGACCCTGCAGACTGTCTGGCTCATGGAGAGATTCTATTTGCCTGCCAAAGGGTTGGAAGAAGGAGACCTTCTGAGAAAGGGCAGGGACAGATGCCCCCTTCTCCTTAATGAACAGAAAAAAATAAATACATTTGTTTTGGCTCTCTCACATGTGACATCCAAGATACTCATGTAGAAAAACAAAATCCCATTGGCTCTTATCACATCATATCATATCAGGGGTAAGGCCTGGGACAAAGAGAAATGCTAATTATTTACTGTAATATAATTAATAAGAAATCAGTCCAGAGCATATTGTGTGCACATTTAGAATAAAATTCATAAAGATGAATATTACAAATGCAATGTAGAGGTTGTTGAAATTTTTAAGAAATTTCATTCTTTTTATAAGAGACGGATACATTAAAAAGTGTACAAATGTATTCATAAGTAGAATATTTTAAAATTTAGCTCCTAGAGGCTGGGCGCGGTGGCTCACGCCTGTAATCCCAGCACTTTGGGAGGCCGAGATGGGTGGATCACGAGGTCAGGAGATCAAGACCTTCCTGGCTAACACGATGAAACCGTCTCTACTAAAAAAAATACAAAAAAATTGGCCGGGCGTGATAGCAGGCACCTGTAGTCCCAGCTACTCGGGAGGCTGAGGCAGGAGAATGGCCTGAACCCGGGAGTTTGTGGTGAGCAGAGATCACGCCACTGCACTCCAGCCTGGGCGACAGAGCGAGACTCCGTCTCAAAAAAAAAAAAAAAAAAATTAGCTCCTAGAGATCGAGACCATCCTGGCTAAAACAGTGAAACCCCGTCTCTATCAAAAATACAAAAAATTAGCCGGGCGTGGTGGCGGTTGCCTGTAGTCCCAGCTACTCGGGAGGCTGAGGCAGGAGAGTGGCATAAACCCGGGAGGCGGAGCTTGCCGTGAGCCGAGATGGCGCCACTGCACTCCAGCCTGGGTGACAGAGCGAGACTCTGTCTCGAACAAATAAATAAATAAATAAATAAATAAATAAATAAATAAATAAATAATTTAGCTCCTAGGGGAAAAAAAGTTACTATATTTTATTTTCTACTTTAGATATTTATATACAACTAATTTAAAGAAGGGTAAATTGTTTATTTTGTTTGCCAAATATTACTGTTTCCAGTGACCTGCATTCTATTCTTTAGATAGTGGTCTTGTATGCCATATTTTCCTTCAGCCTGAAGAACTTTTAAAATTTATTTTAGTAGTACGCTGCTGTGGAAACTTCTCTGAACTTTTGTTATCTGAAAACATCTTTATTTTACCTTCATTTTGAAGTAGAATTTATATAGAGTTTTGGATCATATCGTTTCTTTAATATCCTTCTAAAGTTGTTAATATTGTAGAATGCACTGGTAACAGCAGATCAGTAAACAGACAATTACAGTATATTTAGTAAGTTAAATATACACACGTTAACTTTCCTTATATGGGCAATACACCATGTAGTCTTCTAAATAGCATTAGGAGCCCCTGGAATATCTTTCCTGATAGATTAATAACTAAATAAACTTCAAGGGAAAAACCTGACCAGAAATGGAAGTCTCCAACAGATATTTTTACATAAGTAGCAAAGATTTCCAAGGCACTTAAGTGAAGGGCACTTAAGTGAACAACAAGAATAACATGGTCAGAGAAATGCTCAGTTTGGCTGCAGTATAAAGTTCAAGAGGAACAACAGCAAGAGATGTGTCTGTTATGTATGCTAAAGACTTTAAATTCTCACCTAAGTACCGACAGCATTCATTAAAGAATTTTAAGCATGGGGTTTGAATACATTATGTTTACATTTTGAAAAGATTTTGTGAGTGGCTGACTAAAACACAAATTTAAGGCAGCCAAACTCAAGAAAGGGATTGCACTGAGGAAAATTGGAGTAATCTGAGCAGAAGTGATGAAAGTTTGAAACACAACACAAATTGTGAGGATTGTGGATAAACTTGGAGATGTAAAATTCATTTAACATCGTCATTGACTGGATATAGGGATCAGTGAGAGAGATAGAGGGAGATAAGTCTAGAATGGTGCCCACTTTTGTAGCCTTTAGCACTGGCCATGCGGAAGGGCGAATAGATGAAATGCACCAAGGGCAGGAGAAGAAGGACAATGAGTTCAGTTAGGGCCAATGCAACCTGAGTTTCCTGTTCATTAGGCAGTTTTATATGCAGGTACGAAGATCAGGAAAGCCATCTGGATAGCAGAAATCTATGTCGGAGCCTATATCATGGCAACAAAGGTCTTTGGAATGATGAGATTCCTTAGGGGGATTGCGAGAAGCCTGCCAAGGAAAAGATGCTAAGGAATACCAGGATTTCAGATATGCTCACAAAATTAGAAGACTTGAAAAGGACTCTGAGAAAGAGCAGTCACAGAGGCAGAGAAAGATTAGGGGAGTGCAATATCATGAAAGAAAAAGAAATGTTTCCGTGGAAAAAAACTCAGCATCGACAGAAGGAAGAGCACAATCAAGAAAGAGCATTGAATCTTCCAAGATTGCTTTTAAAGATGGCAAGTGAGAATTGTAGGACATCTTGCTAACCACAGACAAGTTCTTTTTGATCTGGGAAAATTATTTGTGTTTCAGATTCATCGTTTGTGAAATTAGCATAAAAATAGTTCACCTACTGAATGGATTCTTTTTAGTCAGAAACTAAATAGTGTATATAAATAACAGTATTCACAGCAATACCTAGTCAATAATAGATGTTATGTATTTGCTGTTATCTAAATTTATTGCTTTGTTTTTGTTCTTTGGATCTATTGCTGAGATTGGATAATTTTTATTTCTATTTTTTGCTGGTAATGTGAACGTATTACTTTGTATGACTCGTAATTTGAGGACACACAATAAAATATGCATTGTATTGTTAAATGTTAATACTGTTGAGTCCTATCATAGCACACCAGAACACACTGGAAGGAATACAATGACCAGAGGTGACTGAAGTTTATTACTGCCAGAGACTTTGCCAGATTTCCCCATATCTTTCCAAACCATGTTCCCAAAGGTACAGCCAGAATTAAGAGGTTAATCGTTATGTCAGAGATAATAAAAAGATAGATGTTGTTATGGTAATTGAGGGGAGTAGTACTGGACCACTTCACATTTGGTAAAGCTGTTTTCTCTGAGCCACACATGGGAAGATATGTGTGATATCCCTCTAAGTGTTTCTCAGTTTGACTAATTCCACCTTTACTACATTATACCAATGACAAAGTGGACCATAATTGTTGGATGGCTATGTTGAATATTATGGCAACTTTACTTATCAAGAGTTTCTTGATGACAGTATGAGAGTAATTTTAATAAAGTAGTTGGATAAAAAGGAAAATTGAAGTGACTTTGGAAAGCTAGGATGTAAAAAGTATACATGCAAACTGTTGGTGAAGGAAATAACAACAAGTAGGAAACTGGAAAGTGATGCGTGATTGAGACTTTTTTTTTAGTAATGAAAGGACCTGTATAACAGAGGAATTTCAACTCTGATGAGAAAATATAAAGAGAGAAAGGAAAGATAATAAAAGGGAGAAAGTATAATTTATACAGATTTCTAGGAATGAAACTATAGATTGAGATACAGATTAAAACATAAGGGATGCTCTCATACAAAATAATAGTACAGGACTCAATCATAGTAAGAAAAAGAAAATATTGATATAGCTCTTACTGTTTATGGAAAGTGTCCCAACTCCAGCTTAGCTGTATTAATTTGCTGCTTATATTAACATTATCCTATTTTTATTTTATAAATGAAGAAACTAAGGTGTGTGTGTTAGGGTTCTCTAAGGGACAGAACTAATAGAATAGAATATATATATATATATATATGGAGGGAGAGAGAGAGAGAGAGTTTAAGTACACACTTTTCTGCCTGCTTTATATTCGCTGGCAGTTTATTAGATGGTGCTCACCCAGATTAAGGGTGGGTCTGCCTTTCCTAGTAGACTGACTGAAATGTTAATCTCTTTTGGCAACATCCCCACAGACACATCCAGGATTAATACTTTGCATCCTTCAATCCAATCAAGTTGACACTGAGTATTAACCATCACAATACGGAAAAACAGTATAATGGTAAGGTAGCAGGTGTGAGGTGGAGTCACTTTTTATATGTAGACAGATTGGTTCAAAACTTCTGCCTTTTGCTTGTCTGCTAGGTGATAACTGTGATGAATATAAGGAGATGAAGAGTAGAAGAGAACAATATGAATGCATACTAAATATTGGCAAGAAATTGAACGAATGGAAATCTCTCTCCAGTCTTCTCACTCTCCCTTTTGTGTGTGTCTCTCATTGTGCATTTTCTGTTAAACATGAGGCACTGTTTTCTGAGTTTATAGCAAGAAGCTAAAATAAGTGATTTTAGGGTGGATATTCATATTGATACAAAGATACAATGTTATTACTAGTGCAAAGAAAAATAAAAACAATGTTAAGAGGTTTGAAGATATTGGCCAAGGATCCTTAAAATACTGGACTAAAAGATGCAGCCTGAAAGGAAATTGAAAGGAAACAACTGATAGAGCCAAGAGATGAATTGATACAGTACTTAATGTTAAGACACCTATTTGGCTGAAATGAAGCAGTGATAAAGTGGATAAAAAAGGATTGTGTTCGAACAAAAGCCTCTCCTGAGAATGTGGCCACAGGCGCGCAGACAAAGAAGTGAAGAGGAGATGAAAGTCTTAGGATGAAAGGAAGTCATGTCTAATATAGGTGTGGTAAAAATCATCCCACAGTCTTCCATATCTTTTTATTTCACATATGGTGTTTTCGACCATATGTATTTGCAAATCTTAATGTATTCAAATTTACTGGTTGATTGATTTTTGTTTCTGTAAGAAAATGCCACTCCTCTAAGATAATAGAAATATTATTCATTTCTTTTAATGTACAATTTTCTTTTACATATTTAGTCTTTACGACATATGAAGTTGAAGTTTATTTTTTAATTCACTTAAGGTATAATCTGTCTTTTTCCATAAATAGTCAATTTTCTTTTTTTTCTTTTTGGAGACAGAGTCTCGCACCGTCGCCTAGGCTGGAGTGCAGTGGCATGATCTCAGCTCACTGCAACCTTCGCCTCTCAGGTTCAAGAGATTCTCCTGCCTCAGCTTCCTGTGTAGCTGGGACTACAGGCATGCACCACCACATCCAGCTAATTTTTGTATTTTTAGTAGAGACGGGGTTTCACAATGTTGGCCAGGATAGTCTCGATCTCTTGACTCTGTGATCCACCCAACTCGGCCTCCCAAAGCGCTGGGATTACAGGCGTGAGCCAATGGCGCCCAAACATAAATAGTCAATTTTCTAAGCCTAATTTATCCAATTATTTAATTACCACCCCCTCTCCACACGCATGCACACATATGTGCATACACACACACATTTGTAAAGATGCATTTGTCACATACCTAAGTCCCATATCTTTTCATTTTCACTGCTCTACTCCCACTCTGGGGAGTAGAATTGTTCATTAGGATTCAGTGTTTCACTCCTTCCTCCATCTGTGGCTTCATCACGGGCTCAATATACTTCCTTTTGCTTGACTTTAGGCCCTGCCATGTAATTTGTTTTGGCCAACATCACATGCACAGAAATTACAACAGCATGACAATACTAAATATTAGCCTATAAGAAGGCATATGCACGTTTACTATTTTTGTCTCTGTCATAACCATAACAGAAACGTGCCACACATCTCCACCTGTTCCACAAGAAGGATTAGAAGCACATGGCCCAGAGACACTCCAGCTTCTGGCTTCTGAAGCAGAGCCAACTAGATTACCCATGAACTGACCGTGGGTAACAGATCCATGCAACCTACCAGGGTGGAGGTCAGCTCAACCTACCAATGTACACATGCACAAATTAGAATGTAATATGATTGTTGTTGGAAACCATTGAGTGTTGCGGTGAGGTGTTGCTATTTTTTATGCAGGACTGCTGAAGAAAGCTAAATAATACAGAATTTGCTACCAAGAGGCATACGTGCTAAAAAGAAAAAACAATAATAAGAAAACCGAAAAATGAGACATTTACTTTGGGACAGGATTTCAGAAGGTGAAGAAACTAATAGAGGAGGCTGAAAAAATGGCCTTTTGATTTGTCCATTACACTGTTAGACATACCTAATAAATTCTCAATTTCAGATACTTTATTTTGCAGTCCTAGATTATCAATTTAATGTTTACATTCATATTCCGTTATTTGTTAAAACTCTCCATCTTTTATGTGTTCTCTACCTTTTTTCTATTTTCTTCAACATATTAAGTATGTTAAGATTTAAAATCTTGACTGTTTAACTGCATCTGCTGTTTATTTTTATCTATCATAGTAGTTCTTTGTGTATGTCATATATAAATATGCACATAAATGACATACAAAAATATATGATTATATTTAAGCTATTTAGGCTGATGTTCCTTTAATCTTTGAAATTGCTGTCTTATAAATGGTGCTATTGCTTTTATATTCTTTGATAACCTTGAAAGTTTGACTGTCATATATGTTGGGTTTATTCAACTGGCTTCAATTCTGCATGATTTCAGGGGGCCAAGGCTCAACTCAGCACTCCTGGGCTGCATGCTCTAACCCTGTGGGAAGGCTCCAGGCTCACAGCTTTGTTCTCTGGCTCCTCGAAGTTAAGACCTCTTGTGCTGCAAGGGCCAAGGTGTTCCCAGTCCACTGGAAACAACACTCTGTTGGGGAATGCTGGCAAAAGCCCTTCATCAGGGTAGTGGTAGTTGGGTTTGTTCTCTGTCACATGCTCCAGTGGAGGTGGAGTGGTGGAGTCTGCGCACTCACAAAGCGGTAGGTAGAAACTGCAGGTGAGTGCATACCAGCAAAGTGGTAGAGGGAGGCTGGGGCATGTTCATGCTGGCCAGGGCATATTTGCAAAAGCTCTCTGATTATTACATGGAGTTTGCCAATAAGCTATGGTAGTGACCACTCTGAAGTGACTTGGTTAGGCATCTGAGGCTGCACTCTAAGCCAGTATAGCCAGGCAGGGATCCTGGGAGAGGCTGGCAGAGAGAGAGGTGTTCAGATCAGACTGGCTCCATCCCATGGGCAAGATAGCCCTGGTCTGTACAGGTCTGACTGTCAACAAAAGCCAAAGGCACCTAGAGGAGCATGGTGAGCCTCGGAGTCTGAGAGTACTCAGCAATGCTCCACTGTAGCTGTTCCCACACCAAACCCTTTGGCTCTGCACAGGCTGGAGTCCAGTTCCTGCTAAAACTCCAAGCGGCTCTCCCTGCCAGCTCAAATGTCTATGGGGTTATGCTGTCTCCTGCAGCTAGGATTCCAGAGGTTCATGATGATAGTGGATCACTCCACACCTTTTTAACTCACCCCTTCCCCGGGAGCCACTCAGGAACAGGAATGAGTCCTGGTGCTCAGCAACCCCGTGCAAGGTTCTCAGGTTACTGACTCAGAGTCTGTGTCCTCCCTCTATCCACTCTTCATCCACCCTCCTTCTGTAGATCTGCTCAGAGCTCAGAGTTTACTGATACAGTTGATGGTCTGGTCTCTCAGTGGTAGAAGGTCTTTCTGACAGAATCTAGTCAGCAATATGGGCTCCCCCTCCCCACAATTTATTTTTATTTATGTATTTATTTTTAATTAGTTATTATATATATTTAAGGTATACAAAATAACATTAAGAGACAAAAATGTAAATTGGGT
The DNA here is from genome assembly GCF_000001405.40 of Homo sapiens. NCBI lineage: Eukaryota > Metazoa > Chordata > Mammalia > Primates > Hominidae > Homo > Homo sapiens. The sequence continues at coordinate 66,194,497 of NC_000018.10, forward strand.
AGTAGAGTGAAGTATAACATACCCATTGTCCCACAGAATTACCCACTCACTCATTGTTTTTGGCAATAGCAGCTAAAATGCAGTCATTTACCAAAAATCCTGAATGCAATCGGAATAACATGTTCAAAAACAGATCAATTAAGGGAATATCTTCAAAACTTGCTATTACTAAGGAAATAAAGAGCATAAAATAATAATAATATTGTGGGTATAGGTTATATGCATTTTTATATATGTCTAAGTTTCTAAAAAATTAGAATAATTAATTGGAAAATAACATCATTTCAAATTGAAGAATTAATAGGTAAGAAAATTTCAGAAAGTGGAAGCCTTGGGGAGAAATTTGTAATATAATTAAAATTCATTTTTAAATTGGATTTGTTAAAATATTACACTAGGACAAAGTAAATGGATCTGAGTAGATAAACTTGAAGGGAAAAATATAGAAGAAAATCATGGAAGATTCCAAGTTTTATTTTCTCAATAAAATCATTGTAATATTTGGTAAAATATTTATAAGTACAATTGTTTTATTTTAGCCAATAATATATTGAAATAAATATTACTTAAAGTCAGCCGGGCACGGTGGCTCACACCTGTAATATAAGCATTTTAGGAGGTCAAGTCGGGCGGATCACGAGGTCAAGAAATCAAGACCATCCTGGCCAACACGGTGAAACCCCGTCTCACTAAAAATAGAAAAATTAGCTGGGCGTGGTGGCATGTGCCCGCAGTCCTAGCTACTTGGGAGGCCGAGGCAGGAGAATCGCTTGAACCCAGGAGGTGGAAGTTGCAGTGAGCCGAGATGGCGCAACTCCACTCCAGCCTAGGCGACAGAACAAGACTCTGTCTCAAAAAAAAAAAAACTACTTAAAGTCATAATTATATAAAATGAAGTCATAATTTTGTAGACAGCATATTGATAATTATTCCTTGGATAGAGAAGATTTTTATGTGCAACTGCAATAAGATCACTAAGATTAGCTTTATAATTGGATCAATAGAAACATCTTTATGTCAAATTAATAAGCATATTATAAAATGTAACACGAGTTAGAAAAACTTTACTAAGATTTGAGATTTGAAAATTTGACATTCTATCTTCTTTATTTTGCTTATAGTCTTTTTCTAACTTTTTTTTTTTTTTGAGATAGGGTCTTGTTCGATCACTTGGACTGAGTGTAGTGGCACGATCATGGCTTACTGCAGCTTTGGCCTCCTGGTCTCAAGTAATCCTCTCACCTCAGCCTCCCGAGTAGCTGGGAATACAGGCGTGTGCCACCATACTCAGATATTTTTTTAAAAATATATATTTCGAAGAGACAGGTTCTCACAATGTTGTTCAGGCTGGTCTCAAACTCCTGGCCTCCAGCAATCCTCCTGCTTCAGCCTCTCAAAGTGCAGGGATTACAGGCATGAGCCACCACACCTGGCCTTGACATTCTAAATGTAAAATTATTTTTTACAAATCAAAATAAGTGTTATGAAAGTTATACTTAAAAATGAGTTATGTTTGTGGGTAATTAACTTCAAAAAGCAAGTGACTCATGAATGTATTTATAACCTCACTAGTAAACCAAGAAATGAAGATTAAATTAAAAATATACCATAAACAATATTCTGCTTTGGGAAATGTTTTGAAAAAGATAATATATAGATATAAATTTTCTGGAAAAAATCTCGATTTGGTCATATCTATTAAGTACTTTGGACAAGAGGATCATCAGGAAATCCCCTCTTAAATTATCCTCTACTAACATAGTTATAGATTATTTTAAAACTTCCTGTGCCATGATGTTCACTAATTACAATGTATTGTATAAAAATTAATGAATAAAATAATATAAATAGAAGAAGAGCAACTCAATAATTTATTTAGATTATATTATTCATTAACTTTTTTATACAAAATATTGTAACTTCACTAGAAAGCAGTTTTATTTCCATGATAGGTAGAACATACTGAATAGAAAATAATATTAAGGTATTAACTATACAAAAAGTGTGTGTGGGTCGGGCGTGGTGGCTCACGCCTGTAATTCCAGCACTTTGGGAGGCCAAGGCAGGTGGCAGGAGTTCAAGACCAGCCTGGCCAACATGGTGAAACCCCATATCTACTAAAAATACAAAAATTAGCTGGGTGTAGTGGTGGGCCACTGTAATTCCAGCTACTTGGGAGGCTGAGGTAGGAGAATCACTTGAACCCAGGAGGCAGAGTTTGCAGTGAGCCGAGATCCTGCCATTGCACTCCAGCCTGGGTGACAAGAGCAAAACTCTGTCTCAAGAAAAAAGAAAAAAAAATGTGTGTGTGTGTGTGAGTGTAGATAAAGAAACTAGAAAAAATTATAAAAGTGTACACATGTTTAGTTGGGATTTAAATCTCTTTACAGTCAAAAATAATATTTTTTCTATAATAAAGGTATTCTACTTTCATAACTGCAGTATCCTTACAAAAGAACCTCACGAATTTAAATGCAGCAGCCAGCCTAAAACAAACCAGCAGTCAGTGGTCAGGAAGTATGCAAATTTAACTATCAAAATAGAGCAATGAGGCCAAATCAGGTGCAAAGTAGTTTAAAAAAATCAAGAAAATGGAGGTCATAGCTATTAATCAAAAATCAAGAAAACTGAGTAGAACAGATAAAATACACCAAAAAGGAACTGAATTTTCTCATGAGACTGCTGTTGTTTTAAACAGAAGGCTTATTTTTATTTCTTCCACATGTGGAAAATACTGAGTCAAATTAAGAAGTTATAATTAGCCCAGTGTGTTTGAAGTGTGCTTCATGTAGAAAACAACAAATTAGTTAGATATTGTAAAATAATTTTTAATTTTGAAAAATGTTAGATTGTTTGACTAAAATAAATTCAAGCATAATATGCTTATTCATTTCTATATTGAAAAAATACATATATTCTAAAAAGAATTATAGGAAGAATAAAATTACACAAATTTACAACACTCTACTCTGAACTATTTTAGTAATTTTAAAGTATTTCTTTACACCCTTTTGAAATGATGTTTACATCAGTTTCAAATTAATTTTATTTGTCCAGTTACTGAAGGTTCATATTCTGTTTCTTTTCAAACTTAGTATTACAATATTTATTTAATATATATGACATTTTGTAGCCTTGATAACCATCATATGGAATAGTGGTGAATAATCTTCCAAATGATTTATTATTCTATATTTCTTATTGTATCTACTATGCAGTATTTATGTTATAAATGGAACATATATGTTTATATCTGCCAAGATATTTATATTTATAATTAGGTATATGCTTTCATATATTTATATTTATAATTTATAATTAGGTATATGCTTTTTAGATACCAGATTTTATTTTAGATACCAGATATAGATACCAAATATAAGTATTTATATTTAAAATATTTAAATATTTATAAATAAATACATAATTTTTATTTTTAATTGTTTCTAGCTTTACTGGGGTATAATTGATAAGTAAGATTTCTATAAATTCAATGTTTACAACATGATAATAGACATATGTATTATAAAATGATTGCCCCAATTAATTTAATTAACACATCCATAGCTCCCACACCTATTTCCATTTTCTGTGAAGGTGTATGGTTAGGATACTTATGATCTACTCCCTTAACAAATTCCAAGTAGACAAATGCAGCATTATTAACTACAGTCACCATGTTCTGCATTAGATCTCCAGAACTCACTCATAACTGAATATTTGTACCTTTGACCAACATCTCTCTATTTCCCCCATCTCCTAGCTCCTGGTAATCAGTATACTACTCTCTACTTCTATGAATTTGTGTCTGATAAGAGATTCATATATAAAATGTATAGGGAACTCTCAATAGCAAAAATCAAATAACATAGTTAAAAGAATTAATTAAATAGGTTGAACACATATGGCAATTTTTTTTCTGAGAGATTGGTGCAATTTATAAAAGTAGCATTAGTATTTGAACAACCATTTTACTGCAGCTTTACAAAATATTTATATCTATTTTTCACTCAATAGAATCACTGAAAGTAATCTGATGTTCAGTTGAATATTTCTCATGTAAAGTGAAGGTGACCTATACATAATTAATTCACCTAAGTATCAAATATTTGTGCTAGTCAGATGGGCACAGGTTATAAGTCTTGAACATAGTATTGTTTCTCATGAAAATTATTATCTTATAATTCTAACTATAGTGACACCATCTAACATTTATTGACTTATTAAATGAGCCAAACAATGATTTAACCTCTTTACCTACATTAATCCATTTCCCTTCAAAGGTATTTTCAGAAACAAATAATATTTATTTCTCACTTTTCTGATGAAGGCTGTGGCACAGGTAGGTTAAATAATTTACTCAAGGTCATAATTCACATAAATAGCAAAATGAAATTCAAAAGTAATCAGGAAGAAAGGAATAAACATATTCACTAGAGCTGATATAAGCCATGTAGAAATCATCAGAATTCTATAAGAGAGACTCTCAGGGAAAAAGCACTGTGTGATCAGTGAGGGTTTGCATATTAATGATATGTAACCTCAGAACTGATATATGAGAAGAAGCCATTCTTATCATGAGTAAAGGAGAGATGAGCAGACCCCAAGTGAAGGCCTTGAGAGATGAAAACAAAACAAAACAAAACAAACTTGGCCTATTTTGCTTTGCATAATCTCTCTCAAGTGGCTTGATCATTGAAATATACTTTCAAATACTTTTCATTTTTATACTAACCCAGAAAATCATTTCTTGTATTTTAATACGAAATAAGAAGCAGAAGAATAAGTGATTATCAAAATAAAAATCAGCAAGGAACTATTAACAAACTCCTATTTTTTAAATTTTGTATAATGCCTTTTTCCAATAAATTTGAGTATTTTCAACAATTTTAAATGAGGACTTGAATTCAGAACTTGAGGAATTTTGAATTTCCTATATTAAATAATTATGTCTTCTCAATTGTTGCATATTTTCCTCTCTACAAAATTAGTAGATATTAAATATGAAGCTGCATGGCAGAGTATATCTTCATAATATTTATTTAGAAATCCCCGGGGAAGAGAGTGAAGAATAGTATTTAAACCTTTTAAGCTTATTTTTATTGGTTAATATTTTATACTTCTGAAATATTTAATCAATATAAATTTCTTATCTTTTAATTTATGTTAGCAGCTTTATTGAGATATAGTTCACATACCTTACAATTAATTCATTTAAAATCTACAATTCAATAGTTTTGCTGTGATCACAGATATGTGTAACCATCACCACAGACAATTTTTGAACATTTTCTTCACCTTCTCACCCAAACTAATGCTAATCTACATTCTGCCTCTATAGATTTCCCTGTTCTGGACTTTCACATGAACAGAATGATGTGGTAGAACTGGCTTCTTTCACTTAGCATCAGGCTTTCAATGTTTATCCACGTGTAGCATGTATCAATACTTCATTTATTTTTTATGGTCAAATACTTTTCCAGGGTGTGTTTATAGCACACTTCGTTTATCCATTTGTCTACAGACAATCATCTGGGTTTAATATACCTTTTGGCTATTATGAATAATGCTACCATAAACATTCATGTACAAGTTTTTGTGTGAGCAGAGTTGTCATTTCTCTTGTATATATCTATATATATATACATACACATACATATATATACATACGCATATACATATATACATATGTATATATGTTTATGTATATAAGCTTATATACATAAACATATATACATATGCATATAACATATACATGTATATATGTTATATGTATATGTATATATACACATACATACATACATATGTATATACACACATATATATATATGAATGAAAATGTGGGGTCACATGGTACTCTGTTTGCTAGTTTAAGGAACTCACATTGTTTTACAAAGCAGTTGCACTGTTTTCAACACTTGCTTTCCGACTTTGATTCCAGTCACCCTAATGCTTATAAAACAGCATCTCATTGTGATCTTAAGTGGCATTCCCCTGCTGACTAATGAATATTAACATCTTTTTTTTTTTTTTTTTTTTTTGAGACGGAGTTTCGCTCTTGTTGCCCAGGCTGGAGTGCAATGGCACGATCTCGGCTCACTGCAACCTCCGTCCCCTGGGTTCAAGCGATTCTCCTGCCTCAGCCTCCCAAGTAGCTGGGATTACAGTCATGCACCACCACACCCGACTAATTTTGTATTTTTTTAGTAGAGACGGTTTCTCCATGTCTGTCAGGCTAGTCCCGAACTCCTGACCTCAGGTAATCCACCTGCCTAGGCCTCCCAAGTGCTGGGATTACAGGCTTGAGCCACCACGCCCGGCCGAATACTAACATCTTTTTATATACTTTTTGACAGTTTTATCTCTTCCTTACGGAATTATCTATTCAGATACGTTGTCCATTTTTTTCCTTATATTATTGAGTTGAAATATGTTTTTAAAATATATTCTAGATACAGTTCCCTTATTAGATATAGGTTTGCAAGTCTTTTCTCCCATTCTATAAGCTGTCTTTTCATTATCTTGGTGAGATCTTTTGAAACACTAAAGCTTTTAATTTAAATGATGTCCAATTTATGGTTTTTTCTTTTATTTTTTTTCTTGCTCAATCTTTTGGTGTCATGTTGAAGAATTCTTTGTCAAATCCAATGTCATCAAAATTTACAGTAATGGTTTCTCCTAAAAGTTTTACAGTTTTTGCTCTGATATTTAGGTCTTTATTCCAATTTGAGTTAATTATGAGTTAATATAGAATAAAGTAAGCATCCACCTTTATTCGTTTACATATAGCTTTCCAATTGTCAGCACCATTTACTGAAAAGGTTATTCCTGGCACCCTGAATGGTCTTAGTACTCTTTGGACATAAATACTTACGTTTAAGCATAAACGTAATTTTGTTTATTTCCAGGCTCTTCATTTTTACCCCACTGATCTGCAAGGCTAATCTTGTGTCAATTCTGTTTCTTTGTGGTAAGTTTTGACATCAGGAATTGTGAGACTTCCTTCTTACCTCTTCTTTTTAGATTGTTTTGGCTATTCTGGGTCCCTTTCCATTCCATACAAATTTTAGAATTAGCTTTTAGTTACACTTCAGTTTGGATTCTGATAGTGTTTGTGCCAAGTTTATTAAATATAATCAGTTTGCAGAATATTGCCATCTTAACAACTTTAAGTTTGATTTATAGAAGCATGACTTTTAAAAATGTATTTAGATATTTTTAAATTTATTTCTATCTTCTTTAATTTATTTCAACAATTTTTGATAGTTTTCAGTGCATCTTTACACTTCACTTGTTAAATTTATTCCTATATACTTTATTGTTTTTGATGCTATTGTAAAATAAAAGTATTTACTTACGTTTTTAGATTATATGTCTATTTTTGAAGCATTCTTATAACTACCTCATTCTTCTAATTTTATTGTCTTAAAAATAATTTTTCATATTTTCAACTGCATAGTTTTCACATTAAAGGATTGCATGTAGAAGATATAAGATAAATATTTAAATAATAAAAAGAAAGCAGAGAAAAAATAATTTATAAGCAATTTAAACAAAGAAAACACAATTTATAAAATATCTTCTGTATGTTAAACATAGGTATATGAAAAAAAAATTCTTGACCTCAATGAGTTCACAAAATTTGTTTACCTAGAAGACACCTACATTTATTCAAATTAGAGAAAAGTTTATAGAATTGCGTTAAATTATTTTTATAGCACAAATATCACTTTAAAAAGTGCAGAGAAGAGACCAATTAATGTGGTATAAAATATATATAAGACTTTGGAGGAAAATAAAACCAGAAGCAGCAGTGAAAACAACAGGGATGCTAATCTGTTGAATGAAATAGATGAGGGCATAGATGCAAGAACTGTTACATGCTATTTCTGCAAACTGTATGTTTCACCATTTGACAGGAGCAGCAGTAGTGAATAATTAAACAAAGACCTGATAACGTATAGAGCTTAAGCACTGTGACTAAGCAAGATCATTAAAATATAATAATGGCAGTGTTCAGTATGAGTAAAAGACACTTGTGTCCAGAAGAGATTAAATTAATAAAACAAAAAGGTGGCACGAAAATAGATAGGATAGAATTGAGGGGCCAAATGAGTTTCATTAGAACATCAGAGATACGGCATTAGGAGGTAGCAGTGGAAATAAGAAAGTGTTGTATAAAACACGGAGACTTTGAGCTTAATAAAACTCTTTCAGAATGACACATTAAACTACTTATGAATTAATTCGTTGTTCAGAACTTATAAATAATTAACATATTTATTAAAATACTGCTCATTCCATTTCAGAGTTAAGACAGAAATGGCATAAAAGTATTTCAGCATTAAGTTCTAAGAGGTGTCTTATGCTGCTCATCGCCTTTCTATCACCTCCGTTTCTGGTACTCTGACAGGGTGAAATGTTGTATGAGTAGCTGTGACATCTTTTCTTCCAACTAAAAGTTTCATTGAAGTTTTTTTCTTACTTTTTAGCAATGAAATTACTTTTTAAAATTGTAAGAAAATAAGTCCATTCTCAGGATAATTCAGGTATTCTTTTTTCATAGTAATGGACTTCTAGTTTCTGAAGGAAGAGTTTTCAATTTCTATTTTTCTATGTTGTCATTTGATTAAAAAGTTGTTAAATGTTTTCTTCAGAATTCTATTTCTAAGCTTAGCAAAGACTTTTTTTGTAAAATGATCCTCACTCATTGACAGCATAAATCTGAAATTTATGTTGTTGAAAGCTAGTATTAACACCATTAAGTTTAACATACCCGATTGTTTCTATTTTCATTTTGTTAATAAAGTCTTACATGGAAAAAAAGGGGGGGATTATAAAAAAAATTAAAATCAAATTTATTGATTTTCTCTTATGCTGTGTGCTTTTTGTTTCCTCTCTGTTAAATCTTTGTCTAATTCAGATTACAAATATACATAAAGAAATTCAGGTCTGTGATCCATATAACATTGATTTTTGAACATGATTAGAGGTAAGAGTTGATATTCACATTTTTTTCCAAATTATATTCAATCGTTCCAACATGATTTCTTGAAAAAAAAAGGTTTTTACTTCATCAAATTCTCTTAATTCTGCCACTAGACACTATTACACATTTAATACAGTCTCTAAGTTTCTTACGTTATACTTCCATTTTAGCTCTCTCGTTTTTTCTGTTAATATTGTTACATAGTTTACTTCTACATACTTAACAAATTTTCAAAGTTATTATTTTTACTTTAAAAAATTAATGATCATTTAAAAGTTTAAACATAACAAAAAATGTACTTTACATTTGTCAGCATATGTTTCGTTCGTGGCCCTCTCTGTTTCTATCTGATATCAGATAGAAGTCCTAATTTCTATCTGATATCATTTTCCTTCTGCCTATGAAAATTTCCTTAATATTTCTTATAATAAAGTTTAAATAAAATTAATTATCTCATGATTTGTCTGTGAGATAATGCCTTTATTTTGCCTATGTTTCTGGAAGATATATGCAGATAGTATAAAATTCTGGATTTATAGGGTTTTTTTACTTTAATTTAAAGTTGTCCCTCATTGACTTGGTAGTGGGGTATGCACAAAGAACTCTGCTACCACTCTTTTCATTATTCCTCAGTATATAATGTTTCTTTTTTATCCAACATCCTTTAATATATATTTTTTTAATTTTGGTTTTCAGAGCTTTGGCTCTCTCATGCCATTTTATTTAATCATTCATTCATTCACTCATTCATTCATTATATTGTTTGGAGTTCCTCTGATCTTATTGGAATTGTGGGGTTTTTTTTAAGTCTTTTATTGTTTTTGGAAAATTATTGAGAACATGGGGATAGCCAAAGATTTCTTAAGTAGGATACATAAAGCATGAACACAATGAAAAAAATTAGAAATTGACAAATTTGTTAAAAGTAACAAACACTGGCCTTTGGAAAAACACTACTAAGTGAGGCAAAACCTAAGCCATGAACGGGGAACAGTCTTGTACTGTAATTTGAAAATGGTATAAACTTTCCCAAAAAAGATAATATAAATGACTGAGAGCACATAAAATGTTGCTCAGCCTCATTTATTATAGAAGGATAAATTAAAACCACAATACAGTATCACACTCACTAGAATGAATGAAATTTTAAAAGCTTAGAAGTAAAGATATGAACTGGACCTTTCATATATTTCTGTCAATATAAAATTGAATACTTTATCAAAGATTATTGCCATATTCTAAAAGTTCAATATACACAGGCCACTCAGTAATTCCACTCCTTGGTATGTATGAAAGAGAAATGAAAACAGACCTCCATTCAACATAGAATTTCATATAATCTTATTAATGGCCCCTAATTGGAAACAACCCAAATATCTACCAATTAGCAAATACTTAAACAAAATGTGATATTCATAAAATTGATTACTACTCATTAATAAACAGCATGAAACTACTAATACATGTAACAACTAGATGAATTTTAAACATATTATGCTGATTGGAAGAAGCCAGACACGAAAGAGTATATATGCTATGAATCACTTTATATGTATCTCCAGAAAAGACAAATCTAACTGATGATGACAAAAATAGATCAGTTTTTGCTGAGGCCAGAAATGGAATAGAACTAACTTAAAACATTTAATTTACTTAAATGTAACTAACAAAACAAACATTTTATGTTGATGAAGCTGCTCAATATCTTGATTATGTATATGGGTGTATATATTTGTATATATACGGGTGTATATATTTGTCAAAACTCATTAAATGTGCAAGTAAACGGTTATTGTTATGTAACATAACATGATTATTATGTAAATTGTACCTAAATGAAGTAATTTAACAAAATCTGTGTACACATTTTGATATTCTATACTGATTTTATATTTATATATATATATACACACACACACATACATATGTATATACACATAAACACACCCACACACAATGTTGACTATTTCAGTCAGAACCAATTAATGTATTCTATTGATTATTCTATGACTATGAAAACCAAATGGGTTATCATTCAAAAGCTGATCCCTTTTCAACCAATTTCTGCTTTTCCTCACACTGGTGACATTCTCTTTCACTCTAAATTTCACTGCTTCTAAAACTAATGGATGATGGATGCTTTCTCTGGGCTTCATTCTTTTAAAAAAAAATCTATAAAAATTTGTTTACTAATTTTCCTATTTATTGAGGGAAAAGTAGATATGGAAAATGTCAAAGGAAATATTAAACAAGTAGGTAGGATTTAAAAAAAGATTGAGGAAAGGGAGGGGAAATTATTGGCTATTTCACAAACAAAAAAATTAAGTTATGTTCTTATCTAGACAAGATGTACAGGAAAGAGGAAACTAGGTAAAGAATACCAACCGAGTGACAAAAAGATAGATACTCTACAGCAGTAATAAAGGGTGAATATATTTTTAAAAATTGAAAGAACGTAATTAATATAAATAAATTTTCTTTTCAGAAAATCCTGAGGCTTCCATACGACCTACAGACAAACAGCAATAAGACGTGGGGCATTCACTCAGAAACTTCTACTGAAGTTGTGCTGACTGTATTGTAAGGGCCCTGATCTGACCTACCACCAGTCACTTGTGTCTCCTTGGTCAAGTTGCCTACCCTGTCTGGGATAATGTTATTTCGTCTTCCATTGAAGGGGAGAGATGTTTTCTTTGAGTCAGGTAAAAATGTTAAAATAAATGTTATGTGAAGAAAAACTTCATAAATTATGGGAAAATAAATCAAAATTTCTACAAATCTTACCTTTCTTTTTCTACAGTAAATTTAGTTGCTGTAGGGGGTAGTCAAATATAACATATAGCTTTGCTCAGAAAGACACTTTATTTTTAAAGTTTGATTATTAACAGATGCATTTTATTTGCCTTATTAAATATTTAAGATTCGTTCTTGGCCGGGCGCAGTGGCTCACGCCTGTAATCCCAGCACTTTGGGAGGCCAAGGCGGGCAGATCACGAGGTCGGGAGATCGAGACCATCCTGGCTAACACGGTGAAACCCCGTCTCTACTAAAAATACAAAAAATTAGCCAGGCGTGGTGGCGGGTGCCTGTAGTCCCAGCTACTTGGGAGGCTGAGGCAGGAGAATGGCGTGAACCCGGGAGGCGGAGCTTGCAGTGAGCTGAGATCACGCCACTACACTCCAGCCTGGGCAACAGAGCAAGACTCTGTCTCAAAAAAAAAAAAAAAAAAAAGTTTCGTTCTTGTAAATTGTTAAATTAAAATTTGTATAGGTCCAGTTTTTAATAGAGTTTTATTCTTTAAGATGATAGTTGCCTTTTTATGTATTTGCATGCAGTATTATAATAAAAAGTTGGTCGCTTTTGCTGTAGGCACTTTTATGTGTTCTGAATGTTCAGTAATGTATAAATATAATAGCTAAAATATTCTGTATTCTTAACTACTAATGGATAAAATGACTGCAAATTTAGAACCTTTCCTGTAGGAGCTTCTAAATCTTGGATATTTAGGTCTAGCCACTACTAGGATGATATCTTAATCTGTAGCTTGTCTAGATTGACATTGTAATGGGATTTCACCAAGAAATCCAAAGTGCCACCTAACAGGTCAACATTTAATTTTCAAGTTCATTTTCAATAATGCAGTTGCTGTACTTCATAGAGGAATTGACCACAATATTGGCATATATACTAGAATAGGGAGTAGATTTAGCACAGCTTGTGTGGAGGTTATGAACAGCCTTACTTTTCTCACTGATGTCCTTTTTAACCTTATGATTTCATTTTGCAATATTTTTTAATCCTTTTATTGTCAAATTCATATTTTTCTTGATATTTATTCTTAGATTTAGGCTCAAATTAAAAAATTATTTCTCCAATAGTAAAGACACAATATATCAAAAACACCTCCTCATAGGTCAAATACAGTTCATTTGTCTCCAACATTCTTAGTCAAACCCAAAATAATAGCAAAAGAATATGGCTCATTTGTGATTCTTAGTACATGATTCCAAAATTTTTGTGGTGATTTTAGCAATGATTCCAACAATGTTTTTGGGCTCAATGCTGCTAATTATTAAAACAAGTTGCTACTGTGTCAATAGCATTGTTGATTGTCTTCCATAGTTAGGTAGTTTCAATTATTTTCATACTCTTAGAAGATAATGAAAAATATACATGTATGTATTTTTCTCCTTGTACTTTCTCTGGATCTATAACCTCTCTGAGTTATTTACCAGCATGAAAGACTTCACATTTGGCTTGACTACTACATTTTCAAATGTGTATAAAGTGTAATGTTTGCATCAAAATGTATTCGTGGTGGCTGGGTGCGGTGGCTCACGCCTGTAATCTCAGCACTTTGGGCGGCCGAGGTGGGTGGATTACATGAGGTCAGGAATTCGAGACCAGCGTGACCAACATGGTGAAAGCCCGTCTTAACTAAAAATACAAAAATTAGCTGGGCATGGTGGCGTGCGCCTGTAGTCCCAGCTACTCAGGAGGCTGAGGCAGGAGAATTGCTAGAACCCGGGAGGTGGAGGTTGCAGTGAGCCGAGATTGCACCACTGGACTCCAGCCTGGGCAACAGAGTGAGACTCTGACCAAAAAAAAAAAAAAAAAGTATTGGAGGAGTTCATTGTAATATTAACCTTTATAATAATCAATGTGTCTGTGTCATTGGTAAAGACAAGGTAGCTTGGGATGATCCTATTTCCCAGATTATTGGTAATGACTTTGACTTTCCTGTTCTAGAATATATTTACAGTGTGTTAGTGTCAAGAACAACTCTAACTCTAGTTTTATTTAATATAGTTGCTAGGAAAATTTATTATAGCATATTGGAAAAAATGGTAGATACCAGGATGACACTGAATTCAATAAGAATATAAATTGAATTTTAGAAGCCTTCATTTATCCAAAAAATTTCTCTTTCATGCTTAGAGATCATTTAATTCAAGATTCTTATTTTAAAGATAAGCAAAATGAAGCCCTTAATTATATAATTGAGTTTGTAAAAGCCAAGCCAATTAGTCATTGGTAGGGTAGCATTTTGGACAATTGTATCTTGGTTCTAACTCCAAGGTTACTAGTAATTATGTGCAAAACACAACTTTGGAACTCTGTAAAAAAGAGTACTACTTTTCTTCAAAAATATAATTTTAAATTCAAAGTTGAATTACTTGAAGACAAATGCTGAAAAGTACAAAAGGATGGCAAATATTTTGAAATAATTTCTAGAAAGTCCATATGAATTTGAAAAACTTGTGATCATCTATGGCTAAGAGTTAAAATACATCAAAAGAGAATTTGAATTATAACTAATGTATGCTTTAACTACACTACTTTGTAGAAAAATTTTCGAACATTAAATTGACTTTCAGTGGAGAGAGAATTCAATTCAGTGCCTACTGCTATTTACTCTAATGAATCAGCAGTACTACAGCAAATTTACAAATCTATTTTTTTGCCACAGAAATCAACAATTAAAAACACCTTCTATAATGTTTTATTTTATTTACTTACATAAAAGGAAAATTTGTTTTAAAAACTGGGTGAATAATTTATCTAATATTAATGCACAATATAAGGTTAATAAATTATAAGCTCCATGGTGATGCTGTTTATGTGTGTTTTGCTATTTTATCTGTGATGTCTAGTACTGAATAACTACCTGCTGAACAAATGGATGAATTAATTTATCCAATAAGCACTAAGTGTTTCCCTAATATATTCCAATTTCAGCCAGAGCAATGCTACCAATCCTAACAGAACACATTCCTTACCTCATAATTCTTCTAGTAGTCTCAGAAGTCAAAGGAAAACAGAAGTGTACAGAGGCAGGTATATCTAGCAAATATGTCCCCCCAATTTTAGGTGACATGCATTTTTGAAAACTATACTTGTGAGTAACAAATCTGAGCTACACAAGAACAAAAGAAGACTTCTGTTTTGACTTTTTCTCTATTATTTCCAGCAGTAGACTTTACTAGGGAATAAAATATATTTAATGACTATTAAATCTGCTTAATTGTATCACAGTATAAGTAAAGAAAGATGGTTTGGGGTTTATGTGGGAAGGTGGGAAAGATATTTGTTGCCTATTGGTGTTCTAAAAAATTGCCACAAGCTTTGCAGCTTAAACAACAGAGATGTACAGTTCAGTGGGCAGGAGCTCTGACAGGACTATCACTGGACTAATGTCAAGGTACCAGCAAGGCTGTGTTCATTCTGGAGGTTTCAGAGGAACATATGTTTCCTTGTCTTTTTTTCCAGCTTCTAGAAGCTGTCTAATACTTAGCTCATGGCATCGCACATTACATCACCTTTTCTGACTGATACTCTTGACTTAACTTTTATAAAGCTGCTTTTAGTTACAATGGGTTCCAGGATAATCTTATCTTAAAATATCCAACTTAATCTCACCCGTAAAGTTCCATTTACCATGTAAGATAATATACTCACAACTCTTGGGATTAGGGGAGGGACATCTGTGGAATGCCATTGCTTTGCCTACCACAGAAATAAAATAATCCACCACGAAACTATGAATAAGAAAGTCTGAAAAATGATCCGTTTGGCCTCTCTCTGCCAGCAATCATAGCCATGTCTATGCATGTGTGGGACACAGCTATGTAACTGAATTTATTTGGCCTCTTAAGATCTCAGTTTATTCGTGGTAAAATTTTGGATGACAATTGAATTTTATAATTAGGAGCATACAACTTGTGAGTGAGTTATCTGTCACTGAGTTAACTGTCACTGAAAGTGTTTTCACAAATATTTAAAGAAGATTTATACCTAGGTGGGAGGGGTAGACTACAAGATCTATATAAAATGTTACATCCAGTGATTTCTGAGATTTATTATTAATTTCTATTATACAATTTGTGGATATCAACTGGTTTGATGAAAAACATTACTTTGTAAAACTTATTTAAATGGTTACTACCATACGATTTATTTTTTATGATGTGATTAGTTGTTAAAATACACCACTTGGGGCCAGCCACAGTGGCTTATGCTTGTAATTGCAGCACTTTGGGAGGCCAAGGCGGGCAGATCGTGTGAGGTCAGGAGTTCGAGACTAGCCTAGCCAACATAGCGAAATCGCGTCTCTACTAAAAGTACAAAAATTAGCTGGGCATGGTGGCAGGCGCCTGTAATCCCAGCTACTCAGTAGGCTGAGGCAGGATAATAGCTTGAACCCAGGAGGCGGAGGTTGCAGTAAGCCGAGGTTGCGTCACTGCACTCCATCCTGGGCGACAAGAGTGAGATTCCGTCTCTAAGTAAATAAATAAATACATACAACACTTGGAAAAGTAGATATGGCAATATTGCTTTTTAAATTTGTTAATGCTAAAAGTACCCATTCTAATGAATGAGCTATCAATAATCACAGAAAGTATGACTTTTTCCCTTTATTTTCTATCTTTATTCCCTTTATTTTCTACTTTTCTTCCCTTTATCTTTCTAAATTTATCTACCTTTACATTTAATGTGATTTAACTGAATATCTGCGTAGCATATTATGTGCAAAGCCTTGTTGTAAGCATTGTGAGGAAGCGTCGAAATGAAAATACAAGGTGATTCATATACCAAAAGATTAGAATCATATTTTGCATGCTTATTCATAAAACAGAAACTCAATCCCCTCCTTCTTCTGATTAATCAGGCAAAATGCAGTAACTATCCAAAGCCAAAAATGCAGTAACTATCAGAATTGCTTTAGCTACTTCTTAGATTGTTGTGAGGCAATTTCATGTTATCTGTCTCATTTTTAGAAATGGAATTTATATTAACAAAGTTTACAGTTTAACATTATTATCTACACTTCTATTAAAATATATAACCATACTGATTTTGTCAGATTCAAGAAGGATGTTTTGTGGAACCCATAAATGGGAAAATAGGTATAAATACAAAATTAGAGTTAATGCTATACTTTATATGAGTTCATTCTAGTAGAAAAGCTTAATACTTGTTACAAAGTATTATATCTTCAGGATTCTAACAATTATATCAATAACTCTTTGTGAAACATTTCTCTAGTGACTCTTACAATAAAATTTAACACAATTTTTAATTAATTTGTACATGTTTAAAAATATGTTTATCTTTAAACATTTTTATTTTTTTAACTTGAAGGGGTGTAAATCAAGTTTAATTATTAACGTTTTATATTTCCTTTTGTTTTTTCTGCATTAGAAAATCCTTGCTTCCAAGGAAAACAAATAATAAAGAATAACATTTTTAAAAAATACGCATTTAAAACATCAAAACTGATCGTTGGTTCCTCTGCATGCTGCTGTTGATTCTCTGGAGGCTGAAGACTTAAATGACACTGATTATACCTGTTACTCTAATGCATTATTCATGAAATTGGTGATGGAACATCTTGAAACAGCCTGTCATTTTCCATTACATTCCATCAAAGAACCATATGCTGCTCTCACAGTATATTGATAGTGAGGCATACATAACATACTCAGAAAAGCATATGGGGGCATTATAGGCTTTCTGATGAGCCTTTGAAAATACTTATTCAGTGCTTTGAATGGCTTATGTGATTATGCAGTGCTTTGACCACCAAATTTCAACAAAGGAGGCAATAGATAGCCATCTATCTCCTCAGCAACATTCTGGCTTATTACTAGCTATGAACCTTAAGGCTTCAGACCACTGAAGCTTTATTGACCTTTTTCTCCAGCTTTCAAATGGGGTTAACAAGGTGGTTGTGAAAATGAAATATAATAAAACTATGTAAATCCTATCACTGTCTATCAGAATAATGATGGTCAATACATGCTAATTGTATTTGCTAGATTTCTAGCCTGCAGACATTAAGAACAGAGGCATAAAATAATGTTCAAAGAGGTAAAATATGCTTTACAATTATAATTAACAGAAACTATGCATGTTGGTTTTATTGGGGAGCAATCAACATTAACTTATTTCTTTTCCATAACTTAGAATATTAGCCAATAGACCATTTATTTAATATATAAAGTATCTTCATGGACATAAGCTTTTGACAATTTTTTAAACCTAGCGTCTTTCAGCTATACTGGAGACTTTCTTCTGGTTTGTCAGTGCCATGTGCTATTGGATGATAACATTTAGTTCTATGACTGTATTACCCTGAAAAATGTGATGCTACATTTTTATCGGCAGGAAACACAGAGCAGGTTTTGATTATTAAAAAAGAAAACTTATTTCTCTTCACCCTTCTTTTGATGATGAGTTAATAATGGTTGCAAATAATTCATATGCAGCTGGCCCTCTACCTAAGCACATTAAAGATTTACTGGTTTAAGATTAAGGATATAATCAATATCTTCAGACATGCAATATCCTTAAAACTTAACAGAGTTATCACAACTTTGCATTTTGGGGATATTCTCATTTCTTTTGTAGGAAAAATTGAATAAAATCTCACCATATGGGAAACATAAAATCTAAAAATAAACAGACGAATTTCTTTAGTGACAATGTGGAAAGACAACTTATCTGCTAATAATGCAAAGCTCAAATGGTGGATTTGCAAAGACTTAATAGGTTAAAATCAGAGGATAAGTATTGATTTTGGAGAAAATACTTGGATTTTGAGTTTAAGACCAGCCTGGCTTCTAATAGAAAAAACTTTTGAAAAAATAAATTTTAAAATCAGAAAGGTAACATTAATGAAATTACAAATAGTATTTACAGCACTTTTTCACTAAAAACTGTTACTCCGAATGAATCACTGGCATTTAGCAGACAGATTAGGGAGTTATGGCTCAACTTGAGATAAAGACAATGGATTGTTTACCAATCTTTGACAATGCAATTGACCCCAAAGAATCTATATATATTGAAATATATTTTATTTAAAAAGTGATTTTAAAGTTATTATATTCAATTACCAAAAAGTGAAAGAAAATATTGTATTTTAACGTCATGATGCATAGTAAGAATAACATAACTAGAGGAAAGAATCAACGAATGTATATGTCTATGTATACATGTGTGTATACACACATATTACATTATATATAGTAATATATATTATAATACATAACACATCACAATATATAACACATTATAATATATAACATGTGCAATACATATGTGTTATATTATATGTGCTGAATATATTATAACTGAATATATATTAGGTCATTGCAAAAATGGCAAAAACCACAATTAGTTTTGCACCAACCTAATATACACACAGCAACTTTTTCTGAAAATAAAGCAAGAGATAAGGGAGCTCAACTTGTTTTAAGAAATAAGCATCACCCTTCCTCCCATATATGTGTGTGTGTGTGAATGTGTGTGTATATGCATGTATACATTTACCTTGTATATTTGTTCATAACATGTTTTACAGTACAGAAATTTGTAATTATTTTATACTTGGAGCAGTCTTTTATTTTTTCATTTTAGCCTGCAGAATAATCCTTAGGAAGTCCAACTCAATATTTGCAATTCTATTAAAAATTGATCACATGTACCCTAAAACTTAAAGTATAATAATAATAAATAAATAAATAAATAAATAAAAATTGATCTGTGTAATATTACTGAAATGTTTCAATTTTTTTAGTTTAACCTGTATATTAACTGGATATTATTTTTTAGAAAACACAGGTGAACTAATCAAAGTTAATTTTTCTTCATAGTCACTTTGTGGACTTTGAGTTCTGTTTAACAAATTAATGTTTCATCATAATAAGTTGCATTTAACATAAAGTATAATGTTATTATCTACTTGATCAGTACTCTCTGAGAGATCACAATTCATATATTTTCAAATTAATCCTAATATGCATTAGAAAAACAAATTTATTTTTATATAAATTTATATTTTATATAAAGTAAGAAAAACAATTCAGAAGCATTTTGACAAATTGCATTGCATAAGACAGTAATTAGAAAAAAATTGCATTGCATAAGACAGTAATTAGAATGTTTTTAAGCAATCTTTAATTTAATTTTATTTTTTTCAGCTTTGACTTGTAGTTTTTGCACGTGGCCACTTCCTTTATGATATTCTTCTCAAATGCTGGTGATTGTTATGCTGTTCATTTTATTTGGCTGTTCTGTGTAAGGTAACATGCTTCTAATGATTGTGTAGAAAGACAGAGAGATATGGACCCTTGATTTATTTCTCAGAAGATTTTTTATATGATAGTGATAGCCCCTATATGGTTTGGCTATGTCTCCACCCAAATCTCAACTTGAATAGTATCTAGCAGAATTCCCACGTGTTGTGGGAGGGACCCAGGGGGAGTTAATTGAATCATGGGGCTGATCTTTCCTGTGCTATTCTCGATAGTAAATAAGTCTCATGAGATCTGATGGGTTTATCAAGCGTTTCTGCTTTTGCTTCTTCCTCATTTTTCTCTTGCTGCCACCATGTAAGAAGTGCCTTTCACCTCCCACCATGTTTCTGAGGCTTCCCCAGCCATGTGGAACTGTAAGTCCAATTAAACCTCTTTTTCTTCCCAGTCTCAGGTATGTCTTTATCAGCAGTGTGAAAACAAATGAATACAGCCCCCATTCATTTTGGCAGCCAGTGGCTACCTTCTGACATTGTCCTGCCTTTTTGACTGCTGAGTATAAAGTCACTGCTATATTTTGAGGTCAAACATTAAAGTTGCCTATATTACAGCCTTATTTTCATGACGAATGTTGGGTATTTCCATATGCCTCTCTCTGCAATTATTTAGGTTATTAAATTTTTTTTCTCTTGTATTTAACATGAGGATCTTCATTGAATAATTTAAGAATATTAAGCTAACCTCATAATCTCAAGATAAGATCAACATGGTCATAACATATTATTCTTTGCATATATTGTTGTATTTATTTTGACAATATTTTCTTAATAATTTTTAGATCTACATTCATGAAGAATGTTAGTATATAATATCTTTTGTATTGCTATATCAGTGATCAGTATGAGGATTAAGTTGACATCTTAAAACAAGTTAGACTATTTCCCTACTCCATATTGTCTGAAAAACTTAATATTTTTGTTTAATTTCCTTAAATATTTAATAAAATTTACCAGAAAAAAATAGAAATTTGGATTTTAAGTCAGAATTTAATTTAATACATGTTGGGTTATTTAAATTTGATTTATATTGTGTCTTTTTGAAAAATGGTTATGAAAAAAGACATAAAACACACAGTTTTCCATATTACCATATTTCCATACTACAATTTTAAAGTGTATGAATCAGTAGAATGCGGTGTATTCACAATGTTGTTCCATAATATTTTCAACACTCCAAAAGGGAACCTCATATCCACGAACCACTCACTCCCCACTCTCCCCTCAACCCAGCCCCAGACAAACTTTCACTTGGTTGCTGTAGCCTTTGGTCATCTGCCAGAGTCTGGCAACATTGATTCTGAAAATTTTGCTTGATTCTTTGATGTTAAGGACAGGCTTATGTTTCCATTTTTCCATAACTATTTCTTGACTTTAATTTCAATGACAATAATACCTCACATTTCAGAAATCATTAGAATTTAGAATATAATTTTATTTTATTTTTTATTTTAATTCTTATATATTACTCACAGTTACTACAAAATTCAATGAAATCCAATAAAAATTAATGAAACCCATTCTGTGAGATTGAGATTTGTCTGCAGAGACAAATGAAAGAGGAAAACGAATAACATTTATTGGGTACCTTCTATGTTCCAAAGAGTATACTAGGAGATGTACCCTGTTTCTTTCTTTATCACATGGAATTTAAATGGATTTCAATCTCAGAATTTTCATACAATTTTAACACAACTTCCTCCTAAACAACAAATTTCACTTAAGCAATACCTAGTTTTCAACTTGTTTTCATGAAATAGGTATAACTTGCATTGTATAGTTAAGAAACTAATGTACACATATTTGGAAGGTTATGTCTTGATCACGAGGGGAAGATGAAAACTTAGTGAAGTTAAAGTTTAAAGGTACATCTTCTGAATTCTACAAAAAAATGCAGTTTCTACTTCACCATCATGATTTTCTGTGCACTTTTGCAAAGGTACACATGTATGTATCCCCCTAACATATCTACACACCACTTACACCCTAAGCCTTACAAAGAACGTTCATGTACATTCATTTAATCAGTTGACTGACTAAGATGCAATCGGGTCTTCTGGCTTTAAGGGGGCTTTATTTTTAAAACAAAATCCAAAAAAAAAAAAAAGGAGTGCCTGCTATGTTCTGCACTTCTTCCTTCATTCTATACATCATTACTTAGAAGAGTAAAAATGGCTGAATCTGCCATTAAGCAATGAGTGGTGATGGACCAACAGTATTGTTAGGCTAACAACATTTCTTTGCTTTGTGATAACAAGATGATTTGTCCAAGAGTTGTGTGTATAAGTTTAAGAGTAGCTAATTATCACTGAATTTTCAGGGAATTTATGTCACTGAATATTTAATAATTTCTAAGAAAAAAAAAAGCAGCATACAACTTGAAATATACTTATTTGATATTTGATAGTCTTTATAGGGTACTATTTTTTCAAACCAAAGTGGGGAAGAAAAGCTTTTGATTTCTAATTTGATTTTGAAGTGGTAATGCCTCAGCCAGTAAAAGTGTCAGCTTCATGGTGTGTAATGCAGTGATGAACATGAAATGTAATAGTGAAAAGATGTTTCTTGGGCTCTTCATTATAAATATTGTATAAATGTTGACCTCTACCCAGCCCCTTGGAGATTTACGTGTCTGTTTGAATATCCTAGACAGATTTTGTCATATCACTATATTCTCATATGTGCCTTTTGAAATTGTGCTCTTAAAAATGACACCATTTATGAGACTCATAAAGAATGTGAGTTCTCTGGAGTTTTAGGTGATTCTAGTGAAATATTGAAAAGCATGCCACATTAAATATACTAGCACTAGAACTTTCCTCGAGGCAGTTAGATAAGAGGTTTAAGAAGTATTTAAACATCAAATCAGCTAGCCTTCTAAGTACCTCTTAAATATAGAAAAAGGAATACATGGAGATTTAGTATTTAACTAACTTGCATTCACATGATTGTGTTTCTACTTCAAATAGCTTTTAAGATATTTTCCCTAACTTTTTCATAAAGCTTCATCATTTAATAAAATTAAGCAATGGATAACATTTATGAAACTAGTCTTTTCCCCTTCCATGTATTATCCCTTCTTTTGCTCTTATGTTAAGCTTATTAATGCCATAAGAAGTGGAACAATGGGAGATATTATAGAAATCTTTCAAACCAGAAAGCTACTTAAACACTATTATTTATTGAAATGATACTGTGTCAAGTGGTGTCAGCACTTTTGAGGTCAGAAGCAGAGGTAATAGACAAATAACCTCATCTTAATCATAAGGTATTTTGGATACATATCTTAGCATCTAGCATTTCCTTATCCTTTCTAATTCTTTAGCTTAATTTTCTAGTGTTCCAATAAATCCTGTGAGGTACCCAGTCCCCTTCTAATAAATGTTTTCTATAATTAAGTAGAGTTTCTATTTAGAAACAAGAAACCTGATTAGTCAGGATATTTTATTATAAATGAGGTTCAGAGAAATAGGTAAAATTAGAAAATGAATCCTTGATCCAATTGGGGCTGAAGGCAAATGCAAACCAGCTAAGAATCAAAATCTGGAATATTGCACACTTGGTATGCAATAGCATGATGACTAACTATATTATTTCTTAGAGTCACCTGTGTAAATTCTCCACTGAAGGCAAAGCTTTGAGAATCCATCAAGAATTACTTATCTGTGGATGAGGTGGTTGAATAACCATAAATAAAAGAAATAATAAACTTAAATTACAAAATTCTTAATACAAGAAATAGTAGAAACCACAGAGGATTTCTATAACTATTCTAAAACAGTTTATTCTGTATAACATTTTCAGTGCTCTAATATTGTAGGTAAATACTGTACCTGCATCAATTTATATCTACAGGATGCAGAAATTCTAAATAATTCTAAATATTAAAGGATGCAGAAAATTTACAACTTCATCAGGTCTCCTACATGAAAGCTTTGGTATTTATCAGATAAGAGACTATGATAATAACAAAAGACATATTTTTGAGGACCTGAAGTTATCCTGGGTCCAAAATCCAGCGAAGTTTTCTTGGCAACCGAAGAAGTCCTATATTTTTCGAGTGACAACTCTGTTCTTGTCTTAATTGAATATTACCACCCAAATGGGTTCTTCAAAATAGAAAACTATTTGCCATCCTGAAAGCTTCTCTATTGTGTATAGTTCTATAGACTCAGATTTGGTTTAGATAAAAAAAATCTTGAAGAGGCAATTCCAAATTCAATCTTTGTAGAAGTCTTTCATCCCATAAGAGCTGCAGAAATTTACTAATTTAAATTGCAAACAATTTAAGAAAAATGTGTGATTTTAAAGAGAAGAGAAGAGTTGAGTCCAGATAGGGATAAAATTGTCCCCACGGTTTTACTAATTAGAGGAAATGCATTGAACCTTCTAGCTTAACAAGCTAGTACTGGTTTTACATTATTTAATTTCTTTTTCTTAAAAGTGTTTTTTGTCTTATGAATCATGAAATTATTTATGTATATATTAAGAATAAATGCTAAATAATATCATGATGTCA
The DNA here is from genome assembly GCF_000001405.40 of Homo sapiens. NCBI lineage: Eukaryota > Metazoa > Chordata > Mammalia > Primates > Hominidae > Homo > Homo sapiens. The sequence continues at coordinate 66,219,100 of NC_000018.10, forward strand.
AAAAAATCTTTGGTATACAATAAAGAAAGTAATCTAATAATCCATGGAGGCAGATTTATGGTTTTGATGTATTAAGAGCTACTCATACAAGGATTCATAAATACCAGTGAAATTTCTTAGGGGCTTTTCTCAAATACATTGGGTAGGGAAAGACCACCCTATCTGAGATAACTTTGTTGAGGTTTTTGTTTTCTGATTGTTTGTTCTGTCCTGATATTGGGTGGCGGTGTTGCAGTTTCATGGACTTTACCATTTCAGTGGGGATGAGAGGTACTTCTTCATCACAGTTCACGTAACAGTTCGGGGTTCCTCTTTTTAATGGATCAATCAACAACACAAAGATCTGTGTCAGTGAAGTGGTTAACCATATCAATAAAAAGGAAATACCCATATACTAGTAAAAGTATAATGAGTAGAATCTAGATATTTAACTGGAATGCCTGCTTGTATAATAGAACCCAATGTTAAATGTCAATGAAAAAAATTTTGAGACTATTTTAATGTAGTCCACGGACTAACTGGTTAAAATACATTGACTGGGTTAGATGCTAAATAAAGACAAAAGGACAAAGTAAAGAAGGGTAGTAAGAGAAACACAAAAGACAGCAAATGCCGGGTGTGGTGGCCCACACCTGTAGTCCCAGCACTTTGGGAGGCTGAGGTGGGCAGATCACTTGAGGCCAGGAGTTCAAGACCAACCTGATCAACATGGTGAAACCTCGTCTCTACTAAAAATACAAAAATTAGCTGGGTGTAGTGGCAGGCACCTGTAATCCCAACTACTTGGGAAGCTGAGGAAGGAGAATCACTTCCACCTGGGAGGTGGAGGTTGCAGTGAGCCACGATGGCACCACTGCACTCCAGCCTGGGCAACAGAGAAAGATTCCATCTCTAAAATTAAATAAATAAATAAATAAATAAATAAATAAATAAAAGACAGCACACTCTCATGACCAATAACAAAAATTGCAATTTCTACAGGTTTATGGTTGAGCCCCTATAACAAAAGACAAATGGACAAGAGAAAAACATATAAATTTACTTAATATAGTTTTAGTGTGACAAGGGAACTGTGGAAATGAAGACTAAAAAATATGTAAACCTATGCATTTTAAGGCTAGTTCTGATGGAGAAGTGGGTAGTGATGGAGAAATATGATTGGATAAAAATGTATCATCTAATAATAAACTGGAGAGAAGTTAGCAAGGCCTGTTTTTCAGCTATTATTGTGTTTCCCAATGTCTTCAGAGATAAGAATATTCCTTTCTTCCAGGCATAGGGAGGGATATCTCCAGTGAAAGTCTTCTGACCTGTTTTAGGGGAGGAGAGTGGGAGAAAGTTAGAGAGTGACCTTCCTAGGTTTTATGACCTGCTTCAGTGAAAGGTGGGAGAGACCTTCCTGCTTCTGCTATTTTCTCATACGTCAAGGTGCCATAGTTTGGAGTTTCATGTCCTGAACCTTATGACTGTATATGGGCTTTGTGGGACTAAGTAACTATCATTTAATGTACGGATTGCAGAGATGCATCATAAGAGAAAGACAGGAGGAATAGATACCACTCAGAGATCCTTGGCTAGGAGGTGGATGAGCTTAGTGATGAAACTAGGCACTGTCTAAAGGGAACATTTATTTTCAATAGTTCAAAAAATTTGAGTTATATTATGTGAATTATTTATATACAGAGCTATATATATGGGGAAAAAGGATATGCGTTTATGTTTTAGCTAAAGTTGCAGATTGATTTGACATTTATCATGTCTGGCTTTTTAGTATCTAAAATCTTTCAGTTTAGAGACCCTGTATTGTGCATAGCCTTGGCAAATGCTCCCATCTAGTGAATTAAAAAGACCAGATACATTTGATCTTCGAGTTTTGAGAATTAGGTAACCAAAGACACCTATACATAATAAAGGTTACCATATTTCAGACCCTAATCTAAACACATACATAGCATAGCCATGTAAACTTATTAAAACTCAAGGTGAATACAAAGATAAATAAGACAAAATACTTAAACTTCAGACACTAAGTATAATGGAAAATATATAAATATCGAATTAATTTTAAGGCAAGACAATTGTCTATATGATATTAATAACATGTAGAGGATGAAGTTGTGGAGTGATAAGCATATTTGGAAAGTTCTATTAATGGACCAAAGAAGAACTTCCAAAATCAGAAAAAGAAATCTGGTATATAATGTATCAATAAGTAGGTACTGATGATTTTCTAGGAGACAAGAACATTTCCTGCTGGCAGCAGAGAACTTCACTGTTTGAAGGGAGGAGATTAAAGGGATGAAGAATAAATTATAAGGCTATGATGCTCAGCATGGATTTAGGTAGGAAGGACCTAAGCAGCTAATGTGATGGGTGTGGAAAGTATTTCACAGGCAGAGAAGTCATGTGCAGACAAACAATCAAGGCAAATTGCCAAAGTAGATGGGGGTGGGGAAATGGGTAGGATCCTAAGAACAGTTAAAGAAATAATTTAAAGATTACAGAAATAGTTCGAAGTTTAAAGCTGATTGGGTTTTTAGATGAAATTGCTATAAGTTATACTATCGTATAATAAGAAGTTTAGAACAAAATATTGCCAAACAGGAAAGTTCCCCTAAGCTTTGGAGTCCAGAGCTTTTACTGGAGTTTAATGACATAGGCATGATTGAATACGTGATTGGCCATGAGACTGAACTCAATCCAGTCCCTCTTTCCCTCTTCAGAGGTTAGGTTCATGTCATGTGACTTGAGCTCCCAATCCTCTAATCACATGGTTAGTCTTTCTGACATCACTAGCCTCCATACTGAAATATCTCCTTAGCTTAAATTATCTAGAAGCCCATCATGAGTCAGTTTATTAGCATAAACTACCAGGGCTCAACATGAATAACAAAGACACAACTTTTAGGGAATTACAGATTTAGAAGCTATTTTGAAGGAACTGGGAACGAAGTCCAGCCAAATTTTTTATTCTAGGCTACCTCTAAGGATCAACAAAGACCAGCTAAATTTCTTATTATCCAATAGTACAACTTATAGCAATTCCATCTAAAAGCCCAATCAGCCTTAAACTTTCAACTATTTCAACTGAAATCAGAATCAGCCAAAAGGAGAGTTGCATAATGTGGGATCTGGATTTACTGAATTTTATCAGTAAGTCAGTCACAGTATCCTTTCTGTGACAATAAAATTATAATCAAAAGTACAGAGCTTTCCTGAGCTCTGTGAGTCATGCTAGTGAATTATGAAACCCAAGAGACCAGTGTGAACCTTTGACTTTATAGTCAGTTGGTCAGAAGTGAGGATGACCCTGGGAACCCCAAGTTTGTGGCTAGTGTCTGCAGTGAGAACAGTCCTGTAGAGCACTGTACCCTTAACCTGTGAAGTTTGGCCTCACCCGAGGTAGTTAAATCAGAAGTCACTGTAAGACAGCAATAATATAGGGTGGTTGCAGGAGAATAGGAAATTCCAAGCAGCAGTTTCACATGACTGAGAAAAGGTAACTGTTGAATTAGTCACATAAGCTAGGGGCTGGTTATGACTCTGAAAAACCAGGGCATGGGCCAAGCTGGCTAAGACCAACTGGACCCAACATGCTGCTGGATTTGACCTAGGTTTCTCCTCGGACTTCATTATACACTCATTAATACTAAATCACACACCGACCAGCACCATAACAGTTCCAGGAGGATCCATATTTGATGTAAAAATGAATGGCACCACAGGTCTGAGAACTCTGCCTTTTTTCAGGAATCTTCATAAATATTTCATAGCTTGCTTTAAAAAAAAAAAACAAAACAGAAATGTAGCAGCCCCACTGCTACTCACACCCTCTTTTCTTGAGTGTGTACATTTCCCTTTGCAATAAATCTCCATACTTTAACTGTTTTTGGACTCATCCTTGATTTCCTTCTTAGTGATGGTGTCAAGACCCTGGACAACGACTGGGGTCGAGGTGCTACCGAGAGACAGGACTAGCTGGATTTCCTAGGCCGACTAAGAATCCCTAAGCCTAGCTGGGAAGGTGGCGGCATCCACCTTTAAACATGGGGCTTGCAACTTAGCTCACAGTCGACCAATCAGATAGGAAAGAGAGCTCACTAAAATGCTAATTAGGCAAAAACAGGAGGTAAAGAAATAGCCAATCATCTATTGCCTGAGAGCACAGCAGGAGGGACAATGATTGGGATATAAATCCAGGCATTCAAGCCAGCAACAGCTACCCTCTTTGGGTCCCCTCCGTCTGTACCAGAGCTCTGTCTTCACTCTATTAAATCTTGCAACTGCACTCTCTTTGGTCCGTGTTTGTTATGGCTGGAGCTGAGCTTTTGCTTGCAGTCCACCACTGCTGTTTGCCGCCATCGCAGACCTGCCGCTGACTTCCATCCCTCCAGAACCGGCAGGGTGTCCGCTGTGCTCCTGATCCAGTGAGGCGCCCATTGCCACTCCTGATCGGGCTAGCGGCTTGCCATTGTTCCTGCATGGCTAAGTGCCCAGGTTCGTCCTAATCGAGCTGAACACTAGTCACTGGGTTCCATGGTTCTCTTCCATGACCCACAGCTTCTAACAGAGCTATAACACTCACCACATGGCCCAAGATTCCATTCCTTGGAATCCCTGAGGCCAAGAACCCCAGGTCAGAGAACACGAGGCCTGCCACCGTCTTGAAATTGGCCTGCCGCCATCTTCGAAGCGGCCTGCCACCATCTTGGGACCTCTGGGAGCAAGGATTCCCCAGTAACACTACTGGCATTTGGGGACCTCTCCCAGCTTACTGATATCAGTTGCAAATACGAAATTGAGAAGTGTTTTTGTTTTTAGTTTTGTAAGAATGCCCAAAGAGAATGAGTGTAAATTGGGCTGGATTCTGCAGTATTCATGTGAAAACTAAGTAGATAAATCTAAGAATATTTAAATTTTTATTCTGAGTAATTTTTAATCTGTACTTGAGTAACGATCACAGCTTTTCCAGGAAATTTACTACAAATAAATAGATTATATTCCTTGTTTCAAAAATAAATTGGGCTTTCCGATGTCAAATCCATTCTATTTTTAAGACTACTTATTATCTGAAATATAAACTCATTCTAAGAAGCCAGTGCATTCTGCTCTTTGTTTATAAGACATTCTCAAGAATTAATTGCATTAGTGAGTATATAACAAGCATACCTCTATCCAGCAGGGAAGTGAAGATAAATGATAAATTGGCTTACCATTTATAGTGCACTCCTCTATGATAACTGTGTTCCCATGAAGCAAATACTGTTTTGTTCTTTATTCCTAATCCAAATAGTCTGGGAAAACTGGATACGTCAATATTGTTTATTTGTTTTTATTTACACTTAAAACTTAAGTGAAACTAAATGCTGAAAATTGTGAACAAATTGTAAACATGTTTTGGATTCATCTGTTGTTCTTCATTGTAATCTCATTGGCTAGCAAGTGATTGCCACATAATAGAAGCTCAATAAATATATGATCAATTAAATTGACAATGGCTTTCAATAACCAATAATAATATACATATGATTAGCACCTGGGTTAGTCGCATGAATACAGGATACTTCTTTAAATGTCATTTAAAGTTTAAATTAAATAATTAAATTAATATCTTTCAGAATATAAAAATAATGCTATCTAATAAAAGTTCTATCAATTGACACATGTATTCTTCTATTATTCATTTTAAGAGGTAACACAAAAGTAATATTCAAATCCATCAAAGTAATGTGTTAAATAAGTCAAGTGGAAAAAATATTTATTTTATTTATGTCTTCATCAAACAATACTATATATAGTAAGTGTTTATTTTAAAGAATAAGATCTTTAAAGAGTTAAAGATTAATATATTTATTCTAAAGAGTAAGAATATTTTATTATAAAAATTTCTCTTGGCTGAAAGTAAGATAGGCCAGACGCGGTGGCTCACACCTGTAATCCCAGCATGTTGGGAGGCCAAGGCAGGCGGATCACAAGGTCAGGTGTTCGAGACCAGCCTGGCCGACATGGTGAAACCCCATCTCTACTAAAGATACAAAAAATTAGCTGGACATGGTGGCACGCACCTGTAATCCCAGCTACTCGGGAGGCTGGGCAGGAGAATCGCTTGAACCCAGGAGGTGGAGGTTGCAGTGAGCTGAGGTTCCACCACTGCACTCCAGCCTGGGCAACAGGGTGAGACACCGTCTCAAAAAGAAAAAAAACTAAGATTAAAAAACAAATCTCAGTTAAACACTAGATCAGGATGCAGATAGTTTGCTACATTATTTTCGTAATAAAAGAACAAGAATCTACTCCATACCAAATATGAATTGGTTTACAACTTCAAATCTGTGTATGAGTATGAGTGAATGTGTATACATTTTTTCATAGTTTTTGTAAAAAAGTCTGTGGTTTGAATAATTTATAAACACACACACACACACACACACACGCATATACACATACACACATATATGCTATTTTCCCAGGAAAAAAGAAGAAAATTTTCAAAATATTTTATAAATATAAATTTTCTCAATATAGTCGACATTTCAACAGCTTTGCAACTGAGTTTTTAATAATCAAATAACTTAGTCTGCTAAAAATGAAATATGGCAAATAGTTAAACACAGACTGCCAATATTGAGAACAATGTTTACCTTAAAATACAATAAATTTTAGGGTTTTTTTATTATTATACTTTAAGTTATGGGGTATCTATGCAGAACATGCAGGTTTGTTACATAGTTATACATTTTTAAGGCTCAAGAAAATCAATATCAGAAGTTTCTAGGAGTCTTTTTTTTTTTTTTACTTATGCTTTTTAAAGCAGTTGTTTATTTATATTTTAATCCTTAATTATTTTTAAAAAATGCTCTAAATTCTATTAGGAAGAAGCCATTGCCAAAAACAAATTAAATATTTTATTTATCTATTTATAATTCTATATCATTAATTATATTAATAATTCTATTAATTATATACTATTAACTCATTTTATAAGCATATAGTTAATGTTATATACTCATAGAATCTATTTAATTTGAAAAAGTTATCTAAAAATATTCTGATAAGAAGAAAAATAAGATGTTGAATTCTATATACTATTTGTTAAATTATTCCATAAATCTAAACCTGTGCTAAAAAATAGTTCATTAATTCACAAAAAAGAACAAAAAAAGAGGTTGAAAAAGAAGGCATCATCTCAAAGGATGTTAAAATAATCAATTGATGGAAAAGACAGAAAATTTTCGTTAAGTGTTTTATGTTACTGCTTCTCACTTTTCACTTTTTCTATCAGTTGACATATACTCTTTTTTTCTAAGTTTCCTAGTGGTTAACATTTTTCTCATTGGTTTTCCCTCATATACTTTTTGGGTGTAATTAAAAAAAAATGTGAGAATGACAGAGCAAAGTGAAGGAAGAGAACTGGCATCTCTTCCATATTGGGTGAAGCCCTAAATCACCCAACCCGGAAGCTTTTTATCATTTTAGAGTATTTTTACCATGGCTTGATTTGAGGCTTCCATTAATTCCCAATAACAACGTCTTATCTGATATACCAGTAGCTGCTTTATTCTCTTCATTTGCAAAATCTTGAATCCTCAAAATCTGCCTTTGCAAAAGAGATGCCAATCAGAAGCAACCAAAAGGAGAGTTGCATAGTGTGAGGTCTTGGGAGGTCCCAGATGTGAAGCTTCCTTTATCTTTGTCCCATTAGGTCAGAACACCTGTCACCCTCCGAGCAGTTTGATATTTAGTTATATACACAAAGTATTGCCTATCAGGAAAGCTCTCCTAAGCCTTGGTGTCAAGAGCTGTTACTGAAGTTTCATTATGTAGTCATGATTGATTACATCATCCCCTTTACATGAGGACAAAATATCAGAACAGAGGCCAGGAAGCTTGCTCAAGAACACAAGTGCCTGGTATTCAAAACCTGCTAGACCAATTCCAGAACCTGTTGGTTTTGTCGTGACATTAGCCTGCCCTCCTTCATTTGTCCTTACTCACTGCACCTTCACCACATTATGTGCTCAACTCTTGTGCTAGTTTGAAATAATATGGCATATGGTGCTTAAAGATTATTAAATCCAAATTTGTTTCTAGGACAAAGATATCACACTTGATATGGCGACTGGTGTTTGACCCATGTGCGTGAGTGTGGCAGGGGAGGGGAGCAGTGTGGGAAATTCCTTCTCATTTAAGATGGCATTTTATATAGCATGCAAATGATTCCTCCAAGAAAACTACCTACTCAACGGTTTTTTTAATGTGGTTTTTTAGAAATATTTCCTAGTGTTTCTATCTAAACATATGTTCCTACATTTTGCCAAAGTTGGAAATAAACTTTCTTAAAGTTCATTTAAATTTTTTATTTACCTTACATGGAAAAAACAGTTGGAATAATAGAAAAGTAAATGATTCAGTGATAAGCTACATGAAACATGTTTATATTGCTCTAGTGATAAAATGAAGGATTTATAAATAAGATTTGAAATATTTGCACACACACATACACACACACAAACACACAGATGCTCTTCTGTCTATGGTAGGGGTTATGTCTGCATAAATTCATCCCAAATTGAAAATATCCTGAGTCAAAATGGGCGTTTTGTAGACATAATGGAATGCAAAAACACAAACCACAATATCCAAAAAAAAACCTGGAAAGGAGTGTTTACCTTCGTGGTGGTGTGGCTTACTGGGAGCTGTGGCTCAGTGCTACTGTCCAGCATGAACGGCGAGTATTATACTGATCTTGCTAGCTCAGGGAAAGATCAAAATTCAAAGTATGAATTCTACTGAATTCATATCACATTTGTAGCATTAAAAAGCCAAAAAAATTTTAAGTTAACCATTGTAAGTCAAGGACTATGTGTATTTAGATTCATTCATTGCTAAGTTAATAAAAGATAACAATGACTTCTTGCTGCCTTGATTAACATGCAACATATAGCATAGTGTTTGCTAAAGCTGCCTTCAAAGATAGATGCATTGTATCTGAATCTGTGATGCACAGAATATCATCTGATTATACAGCCCTTTTCAACAATCTTACACAAAAAGAATAATGGATCACTGAAGCCTTGAGTAGAATTAGCTGCTGAACAAAGCACCACATGATTCAATTCAACTTCTTTCTGGAAATGTGATCTAGGTCTTGGAATTGGCCATTAAGAGCAACTGGATGCCTGATACAGATACAGGTTCTCTACAGCAACCTGTATAGCACTTTCACTTTTCCTAATTTGGAACATTATACGCCTTACAGATAAACTGCAAGTTGGAAAATATACAATTCAAATTTACTATCTGAAAAGCATGTGTCCTTGCAATGATTTATTTTGATGCTGCATAAACCCTATATTACTTGGTATATCTGTAGTTTATAAGACATATAAACATGGCAGATTACATAAATTGATGCAATGCTGAAAGGTGTGGATAGTTTATAAGAGATATAAACATGGCAGATTAAATAAATTGATGCAATTCTGAAAGGTGTGGATAACACCTGGATTAACAGGTTTCAGATATACTCAGTGATCCCCATGTGGTAGACACATTGTCACAATAAACAAAACAGAGGTCTTCCCCAGGCTTCCAGAAGGATGCTTTTTATTTATTTTATAGTTCAATGAGATGGATGTAAGGAGCATCATATCAGGAAGTTAGACATGAAATTATAAAGTGCATCATATCAGGAAGTTAGACATGAAATTATTAAGTATGTGAAGCTAATGGGAACAAATGTTCATTTACGGGTTTTATAAAAGCTTATATCAGAGCAAAGAGATTTTAGTTGATGGAAACTTTATAGCATAAGTTTCAACTGAATTACCATTCTGTTTGGTTTTATTTGAATGACAGGATGACTAAGTTAGATAATGGACAATGCAAGACAGTTTAAAATGATTATATTGGCCACATATTAGCAATCGTTTTATACATATATAATAAACTTTGGCATATAGCTTTCATAAAGCTAATAATAAATATGAACCTAAGCCTAGTCTTTCCCTTGTGAAGTAATTGACTACATTTAAAAATTAATTAATAATTATCTACTATTTGAGGTGTTTACAGGGTAGATAGGTATAAATAGAGACAGAAGCATGACTATAAGCAGCATTACTACAAAATTTTTTTCATAAGAAATTTAATAAGCGATTAACCTAAATATGATTATGTTGTATCTTCAGTACATTTAAAAGGTTTACCCAACATATTTAATAGAATTTCATTTAAAAAGTCCATTTTAAGTAGCATTTTTCACTTTTTATAATGCAGTTGAACTCTTCTATACAAAAAAAATTTTATAATGTCTCACATAAGTTAAAACTGCTATTTAAACGATATAAAATGATTTTATAAATTAGGTGTGAGTTTAAAATCATTTGGAATAATAAAATGATTTTGATAAATAGTTTTGGTGATTAGTTTGATGATTTAACAGAAATAATATATTTGATGATTCATTTAATGATGAATGAGGATTGCTTTCTGCTTTAAAACCCAGCATACAATATATCTATTTTTGTTATGCACCATTGAGGAAAACCTGGCAAACTCTTGTGAATGGTAACTATTTCTAAAGACATTAAGTGTTAATCACAAAGTATCCTTAAACACACTATTACAGATCTTCCAAGAGGAGAGATGGAACTTTTTTCTAATTTGAATTACTAGCAATTTTTAATTACTAGTGTTTTAAAATGAGACATAATATTTCTGTTACCAACACTATTGTTTCTACTACTATTACTATTGATACTTTCACAATTAATGACAAGAGTGAAGGATGTTTCAAAATCTAGTAACAATGATGCTTTTACAAGTATTCTTATGTATTTTTGTGCATAATTCATATTTGGAAAAAGACTGTTCTCTCATTTGACAAAATAATTTAATGGACACTTTCATTATGCAAAGCTAAGTCCCAGAATAAAGCCTGCAAGCAGAAGGTTTTGACAAAAATATAGTTGCCAGATTTAACAAATAAAAATACAAGATGCCAAGTTAAATTTAAATTTCTGAAAATCACAATCTCTTTTTAGAATATGTATGTCCTAAATATTGTATAGGGTATACTTATACTAAAATATTATTCATCATTTATTTGAAATTAAATTTAACTCGGCACCCTATAATTTATCAAACAAACTTAGACACAAAGGAAACAAATTGCTCCCAATAATAATACAATGAAGTCTTCATTAAAGACATGGCAGCATCACCACAAATCTATTTTAGGTGACTTTTTTCTTTCCTCTGGATGGTTATGCAGAAATATGTGATGTTTTGAGGGCTAACATCATGGTGTTTGCAGGGCCACTTTTTCTTATGAATGCTCTAGGAGAGAATCCATTTTCTTGCCTATTCCAGTTTCTAGAGGTTGTCTGTATTCCTCATGTGGCCCCTTCCTCTATCTCCAAAACCACCTTACCTCACTCTGATTTTTTTTTTTTTTTTGAGATGGAGTCTCACTCTGTTGCCAAGGCTGGAGTGCAGTGGCATAATTTCGGCTCACTTCAACCTCTGCCTCCCGGGTTCAAGCAATTCTGCCTCAGCCTCCGGAGGAGCTAGGACTACAGGCATGCACCACCATGCCCAACTAATTTTTGTATTTTTAGTAGAGATGGAGTTTCACCATATTGACCAGGCTAGGCTGGTCTTGAACTCCTAGCCTCAGGTGATCTGCCCACCTCAGCCCCCCAAAGTACTGGGATTACAGGCGTGAGCCACCATGCCCAGCCTTCATTCTGATTTTTGCTTCTATCATCACATCTCTTTTTCTGACTCTCCTTCCTTCCTCTTTCTTTTTTTAGGGCATATGTGATTACGCTGAGTCTACCTGGATCATCCAGCATACTGTTTTCTGAATAAGGACCCTTGGATTACATTGGATCCACCTGGAAAATCCAAGATGACTTCATTGTAAGATTCTTAATTGCATTTACAAAGTGTTTACCTTATAAGAAACTATATTTACAAATTCTGGGTGTTAGAACATAAGAATCTTGGAGGGGGGACATTGTTCTGCTTACTATACTTTCATATTTGTAAGAATTTAAACCAAATATATAATAGAAGAAGCATGTCCTTAATCAGGTATTTGAGTGGTAAATTTATAGTATATACCAAGAAACTGCCTGCATTAGTCTGTTCTCATGCTGCTGATAAAGACATACCCAAGCCTGGGTGGTTTATAAAGGAAAGAGGTTTAATGGACTCACAGTTCCACATGCCTCACAATCATGTCAGAAGATTAAGAATGAACAAAAAGACGTCTTACATGGCTGGCAAGACAGAGCTTGTGTAGGGAAACTACCATTTATAAAACTATCAGATCTCAGATCTTGTAAGACTTATTTACTATCACATGAACAGTATGAGGAAACCTCACCCCGTGATTCAATTACCTCCACCTGGCCCTGCCCTTGACATGTGGGGATTATTACAATTCAAGGTGAGATTTGGTGGAGACACAACTAAACCATATCACCTCCTAATATGTTATCTTATTTAATCATCACATTTATTGATCCCATTTTTCAGAGTAAGTAATTTAGGGTTCCAGAGGTTAATCAACTTACTCAAAGTTTCACAGCTAGTAAACCCCCCAGCTACACTTACATGTTGGTTAATTTTTAGTTGTCAATGTGACTGAATTAAGGGATGCTTAAACGGCTGGTGAAGCATTATTTCTGAGCATGCCTGTGAGGGTATTTCCAGAGAAGACTAACGTGTGAGTTAGTGGACTGAGAGAGGAAGACTTGCTCTTGATAAGGGCAGGCACTGATCAGTTGGTTGGGGACCTGGCTGAAACAAACCGATAGGAAAACAGAAAATTTCTTACTCTCTGCTCTGTCTCTCTCCCTCCCAGAGTGGGATGCCTTTTTTTCCTCCTGCCTTTAGACATCAAACTCCAGGCTCTTTGCCTTTTGGACTCTGGGACTTGCACCAGCAGCCTCCTGGGGACTCTCGGGCTTTTAGTCTCAGGTTGGAGGCTTCACTAGCTTCCTTGATTCTGAGGCTTCTGGGCTGAGCCAGGCTACTGTCTTCTCTTGTTATCCAACTTGCAGAGGGCCTATTGTGGGTCTGCTCTGACTCTGTGATTGTGTGAGCCAATTCAAGCTAATAAATCCTTTCCTACAGATCCTATTTGGGTATGAGGAGTAGTTCTAGAATTTTAAGAATAAATTTTCTTAGCTGGTTTTGGCATATCTTTGGCTTTCTAATCTGATTCTTCCTAAAAATGCTAAGGACTCTACTTCTAATTGTATAGAGAACACTGATAATCCATGGCATTAACTGTTTCTAGAGATACACAAAATAAATTCACCTGATACTCCTAATTCACCACTTACGAGACACAAGGAACTTGATGATTCTGCATGATTCTTTCGAACATTTGTGGAAAACCAAGGGATATAATGACATTGGTTGGTTGCTCCTAACATTGCTGGAGAATGTGGTGAAAGAAATGGATGAGCTCAGGAATTGGAATCCTCAGCTCCAGACGCACATAAATATCCTAGAAGATTCTAATGTGCCCTGAAGGAGAATATTCTCTCCTGTAGCCACAGGGTTGAAATTGCTTAAAATCAAATACAAGTCCTCACCTTGCAATTGGCTGATTTACAATAAAATGTGAACTCTCAGCCTTGCAGGGTGTGTACTGTTGAAGTGGGGGGCATCGATTGGGAAAGAATGGGATCCTGTGAGCTGGAATGGTGATGTGTCAGGGGGGACTTGACTCGAGGAAGCTGGGGACATTGAGCTCCTGAATTCTGATGAGTTTTGTCAGGGGAAGTGGTCTTAGTAGCAGCAGTGCCCTCACCCTCAGCCCCAGTGGTATTGGCTTTTCCACCTCTGAGTGAGTTAAGCCTGCATTGCCTGATGAAAGAGTAATGGTCTCCCCTGAAGCAGCTGTCAGGAAAGACAATGCTTATTCTCCTTAGGACATACCCCACCCACAACTCCCTTGACTTCTGCACATATAACTAGACTGAGTCCCAGCAGATTCCTAAATGTGAGGTACAAAATGTGACCCATGAAGAGGTGCACTAAGTTTCAAAAGAACTACTTGATCTTCTTAATGTATATAAACAGGAATCTAGGGAACACTTGCAGAAACGGATATTAAGGGTATGGGATAATGGTGGAAAAAAAAACCATAAAAGTTGGATTACGTCAAATTTATTGATATGGGCCTGCTAAGCATTTAATGTTGCAGCTCAGGGAGTTAAGAAAAAAAAGCACCAATAGTTTGGTTGGTTGGATGAAACACAGATGAAAAGATGGCTCGTTGGGAGTGGGTTGGAGATGTCTGATCTCCCTTGGTTTAATTTAAGGGTAGGGATTCAAAGGCTTAGGAAAATCGGAATGCTAGAGTGGATTTGCCATGTAAAACCTACTCACACTGCAAGGGTTCAGAAGATAACATCTTTCAGTAGCACTTTGAGAAATGGATTTGTGAGAGGAGCACCAGCATTCCAGAAGAGTTTTGTAATTGCTCTTCTCTGTATGCCAGATCTTACAGAAGAAACTTCAGTAACTCATTTGGAAAATTTAAATGCAATAGAAATAATTGTACCCCAAAGTAGAAGTCGCCAACTGGCAGACTCAATTACCAAAGGCAAGGCAGACATTGTTACTGTAATGGGCAACAGAGACAAAGCAACAATCAGAATAGCCTGACTTGTGTAAACCTATGTTGTTGATGAAATAATCCTGGTGTTCCTAGAAGTAAAACAGATGAGAAGCCTATTACATTCTAACTTGATCTGTATAAGCAGAAAACTTCCAGGTCTAGGGAATAAAAATCTAAGTCAACCCATAAAAACAGAATCGCAGCCTCTTAATTTCCAGACTTGAGCCAGTTTATAGACCGTGAACTCCTTGAATGAAGGGGAGGATGGGTCCCTTTAAGGAAGGACTGTAATACACTAGTGAGATTTTATGCTGTTAGTCTCTCCCCATCCTTCCCCAAAGGAACCTCTGGCCTTTTACCTTGGTAACTGTGCAGTGGGGAAGGGAAAATAATAAGACCTTTCAGGGATTACTGGACGCTGGGTCTGAACTATCATTGATTCCAGGAGAACGGAAACATCACTGTGGCCCTCCACAGAGAGTGGGGCTTATGAAGGTCATATGATCAGAGAAGTTTTAGCTCGGTCCCAACTTACAGTGTGTCTAGTGGGTCCCTGGACCCATCTTGTGGTTATTTCCTAAGTTCCAGACGCATAATTGAAATAGGCATACCTAGAAGCTAGCAGAATCCCCACATTGGCCTCCTAACCTGTGAAGTGAGGGTTATCATGGTAGGAAATGACAAATAAAAGCCCTTAGAGCTACCTCTACCTAGGAAAATAGTAAATCAAAAACAATATTGTATCCCTGGAAAGATTTCAGAAATTAGACATTATCAAGGGCTTGAAAGTTGCAGGGGTGGTGATTGAGAACACATTGCCATTCTACTCTCCTATTAGGCCTATGCAGAAGAAAAATGGATCTTGGAGAATGACAGTGGATTATCCTAAGTTTAACCAAGTGGTGACTCCAATTTCGGTGGGTGTACCAGATGTGGTTTCGTCGCTTCAGCAAATTAACACATCCTGTGGTACCTGCTATGCAGCTATTGATCTGGCAAATGCTTTCTTCTCCATACATGTTCATAAAGCCCACCTGAAGCAATTTGCTTTCAGCTGGCAAGGCCAGCCATACACTTCACTGACCTATACTTCATGGTGTACTAAATGTTCGGCCCTGTGTCACAGTTTACTCTGTCCCTGTGAACTAAATTTTTAATCTTGATTCTGCAAATTCTTGACCATTTTTTTTTTTTACAAGGTATCATACTGGTCTATTATGTGGCTAATATTATGCTGGTTAGACCTAGAGTGCAAGAAATAGCAACCACTTTGAACTTATTAGTAAAACATTTGCATGTCAGAAGGTGAGAAATAAATCAGACTAAAATTCAGGAACTTTCTACCTAAGTAAAATGTCTAGGGGTCCCGTGGTGCGGTGCCTGTGGCGATATCACTTTTATGGTGAAAGACATGTTGTTGCATCTGTCATCGCCTACAACCAAGAAAGAAGCATAATGTCTATTGGGCCTACTTGGATTTTGGAGGCAACACATTCCTAATTCGAGTGTATTACTACTGCCAATTTACTGAATGACCCAAAAAGCTGCTAGTTTTGAGTGGAGCCAGAACAGGAGAAAGCTATGCAACAGGTCCAGGCTGCTGTGCAAGCTGCTATGCCCTTGGGCCATATGATCCAGCAGTTCTAACGGTATTTGAGATGTCATTCATAGGTTGGAATGCTGTTTGGAGCCTTTGGCAGGCCCCTATAGGTCAATCACAATGGAGCTCTTTAGGATTTTGAAGCAAGGCCCTGCCAGCATTCACAGATAACTGTTCTCCTGTTGAGAAACAGCTCTTGGCCTGCTACTGAGCCTTAGTAGAAACTGAATTCTTGATTGTGGGTCACCAAGTTACCATGCAACCTGAGCTGCCTATCATGAACTGAAAGTTATCTAACCCACCAAACCATAAAGTTGGGCGTGCACAGCAGCATTCTGTCATCACATAGAAGTGGTATATATGTGATCGGGCCTGATCAGGTCTGGAAAGCACAGGTAAATTACATGAAGAAGTGACCTGAATGCCCAGTTTCTATTCCTGCTATATTGCCTTTTTTTCTCCCAGTGACTTCATGGAGAGTTCCTGAATAATCAGTTGACAGAGGAAGAAAAGACAAAGGCCTGGTTTACAGATGATTCTGCATGATATGCAGAGACCTAAGAGTGAACAATCAGAGAACTACAGTCTCTCTCTGGGACATCTTTGAAGGACAGCAGTGAAGAGAAATCTTCCCAATGGGCAGGACCTCATAGCACATTTTACTTGGAAGGAAAAATGGCCAGAAATGTGATTATATTGATTTATTGTCTGTAGACAATGGTTTGGCTAGATGATCAAAGACTAAGAAGGAACAAGATTGGAAAATTTGTGACAAAGAAATTTGAGGAAGAGGTATGTGGATAGACCTCTCTCAGTGGGCAAAATATGTAAAGATATTTGTGTCTCATGTGATTGCTCCCCAAAGGGTGACCATAGTAGAGGAGGATTTTGATAATCAGTTTCCTAAACTAACACTTTTTGTGGGTACAACTCAGCCTCCTTCCCCAGCCACCCTTGTAATCACCCAATAGGCTTATGAACAAAGTGGCCATTGTAGCAGGAATACAGATTATGCGTGGGCTCAGCAACATGGACTTCCACTCACCAAAGCTGACCTGGCTATGGCCACTTCTGAGTGCCTAATCTCCCAGCAGTAGAGACCAACATTGAATTTTGATATGGCTCCATTCCTTAGAGTGATCGCCACCTACCTGATGGCAGATTTATTGTATTGGACTGCTTCCATCATTGAAGGGGCAGTGTTTTGTCCTTACTGGCAGAGACACACTGAATGTGAATTTGCCTTCTCTCCACACAATGCTTCTGCAAAAATTACCATCATAGACTTATGGAAGCCTTATCCACTATCATGGTATCCCACATTTAATGGCCAAAGAATTGTGGCAGTGGGCTTATATTCACGCAATTCACTGTTCTTACCATGCTCCCCATCATCCTGATGCAGCTGGCTTGATGGAATCAAAGAATTATCCTTTTAAGTTACAATTATAGCACCTCCTAGGTGACAATATTTTGCAGGCCTGGTGCAAGATTCTCTTTCATATACAACCTTTAAATAGTCTTCATAAACAGAAGGCAGTATAAGCTCTACATCAGTATCCAATATATGATACTATTTCTCCCATATCCAGAAATCTTGGGTCCAGGAATCAAGGAGTTGAAATGTGAGTAACACTACTCACATTATCCCTAGTGATCCACTAGCAAAATGTTTGCTTCCTGTTACATTATTATGTTCTGTTGGCTTAGAGGTCTCAGTTCCAGAGGGAGAAATGCTTCTACTAGGAGACACAACAATGATTCCATTGCACTGGAACCTACAACTAGCACTTGGGCACTTAAGGCTTTTCATGCCTCTGAGACAATAGGCTAAGAAGGGAACTATGATGTTGGCAGGGGAGATTGATTCACAATACCAAGGGGACATTGGACTATTACTCCACAATAAAGGTGAGTAAGAGTATATCTGGAATACAGGAAATCCCGTAGGGTATCACTTAATGTTACCACACATTATGATTAAAGTCAATGGGAGAACTACAACAATTCAATCAAGACAGAACTAGGAAAGGTCCAGCATTTCAGGAATGAAGGTTTGGGCTACCAAGACAAGTAAAGAACCAAGTGCTTGCTCAAGGCAAATGGAATGCAGAATGGGTAGTATAAGAAGGTAGTTATCAATAGCAGCTATGACCATGTGATTAGTTACATAACTGAGGACTGTAATTGTCATGAGTATTTCCTCCCTATTTTGCTAAGAATGTATTTGTGCATATATACACATATATTAAGCAAATATTTTTGGTTTTCTCCTATCTTATTACTTTATCTTGTAACATAAGATCTATTGGCTTTATATAAGTTAAGTATTGTTAATTTAAACTAATAAATCCCTTCTCATATATTCTGTTGGTTCTATCTTTCTGGAAAACCCTAATACACCTTATGATCACCAATGGTATTCCTAATCTCTGTTGCCTCCCAATAATACAAACATTGGAGATGAACTGCACAAGATGTACAAGTAAAAAAAAACCTCAAAATTAATATTATAGTGTTTAAAATACCATAACAAACATGTTTTTACATAACTGACCATTAAGCTAAAACAAATAATGCACATTAAAAAAAGATGTGTCTGAGATTAGCTAGTATTTAATTGAGAATGTCTCCAAGGAAACTCAATTTGCCAGAGAACAACATTTGATAATCATTAATATAAATAATTTTGTGTGAGGATTTTCTTAATGAATTCCCATGTATCTAGGTCATTATGCATGGCTTTTAAAGGGCAGTTTAAAATTTTTCCTATTTACTTTGACTACACTGCCATTCAAATTCCTGAAAAAGATTACACTGTAGCATGGAGAAATTATTTTACTGCTTATTTTACTGATAAAGTTCTAATATGAATTATCTTAGTTAAACTTAATATGTAAATATCCCCCTTTTAGGCAATAGTCCTTGTTTAAAGATATTAAAATAAGTTATTAAAAATTTGTTTCCCACCTGAACCTTCTATAGATTTTAATATATAAATAGAAAGAAATAACTCAAATAATTTTGAAGATAATCACTGTTTATGATGGCAAAGTAAAGGATAAATTTGAAACCAGATCTTAGAATTGATTAACTGTAAGACCTTGAGAATATCATTTAGCATTTTTAATCCTAATTTTCAATTTGTAAAATGATATTTAAAAGATGATCCTTTTAGCAATGTACCTGTCACGTTGTAATAATTGTAATGAGTAATATCTAATAATTGTTCACTATTTTGCAGTCATTTATTTAAGTTCCTTATTCTTATTAATTTGTGTATATATTATAGAAATTCTTTAAGGTGGATACTAGTATTATCTCCATTTTACAGATAAGAAAACTGAATCATGTGTTTCTAATTAGCTTCCCAATATCACCAGGCACTAAGTAAAAGTGTCAAAAATCTGGACAAGGAAAGATGGCTGTGGAGCAGTAAAATTCAATAACGTAAAGTTAGCCATTTCTATTATCAGAAAGTCAAAAATAACAGATGTTGGTGAAGTTATGGAGAAAAGGGAACATTTATACACTGCTGATGGGAGTGGAAATTAGTCCAACCATTGTGGAAAGCAGGATGGTGATTCCTCAAAGAGCTCAAAAATGATCTATCATTTGACCCAGCAACCCCATTATTGGGTATATACCGACAGGACTAGAAATCACTCTACCATAAAGACATATGCACATGAATGTTCACTGCAGCACTATTCACAATGGCAAAGACATGGGATAAACCTAAATGACCATCAATGACAGATCGGATAAAGAAAATGTGGTACACACACCGGGGACTACTATGCAGCCATAACAGAGAAAAAGACCATGTCTTTGTCGGAACATGGATGGACCTGGAAGCCATTATCCTTAGCAAACTAACACAGGAACAGAAAACCAAATACTGCATGTCCTCACCTATAAGTGGGAGCTAAATGATGAGAACACATGAACACAAAGAAGAGAACAACAGACACTGGAGATAACTTGAGGGTGGAAGGTAGGAGGAGGGAGATGAGCAGAAAAAATAACCATTAGGTACTAGGCTTAGTACCTGGATGATGAAATAATCCGTACGGCAAACCCCCATGACCCAAGTTCACCTATATAACAAACCTGCACATGTACTCCAGAACCTAAAATAAACTTTAAAAAAATACAAATAAAACAAAAAATAAAATTAGTCATTTTATTAGAATTTTTAAATAAATATATAAAGGTCTTGTTGTTTTCTGTTTTAATGCATCCTGAAGGGCATGTTTGAAAACAGTTATCCGCCACTTAAAAGTCAGGAGTCATTAAATTGAAAAAAAGTTGGAATAATTATAAAAGAGAGCAACTTTAGTTTGAAATTGTCATGTAGCCGGGTGCGGTGGCTCACGCCTGTAATCTCAGCACTTTGGGAGGCCAAGGCGGGCGGATCACGAGGTCAGGAGTTCGAGACCAGCCTGGCCAGCATGGTGAAACCACATCTCTACTAAAAAATACAAAAAAAAAAAAAAAATTAGCCAGGCATGGTGGCACACGCCTGTAGTCCCAGCTACTCGGGAGGCTGAGGCAGGAGAATTGTTTGAACCTGGCAGGCAGAGACTGCAGCGAGCCGAGATTGCGCCACTGTACTCCAGCCTGGGCAACAGAGCAAGACTCCGTCTCAAAAAAAAAAAAAAAAAAAAAAAAAAAAAAGACTGTTTGAAATCGTCAAGTAAAATTAACTTGTGATTAAAATTTAAATGAATACATTCCAAAATAAGTATCAGACTTTAAAGATATTTTTAATTGAAAATAATCTGATAGATTAGTGACACACAGATTCCTAAAATATTCCATTACTTTTTCTGTTTCAATTTGCTGACAGAGTGAAACCAAAGCAATAACAGAATAAAAACAGAATGAAACATAAACATTCAGAAGTAGGAATTAGAGTCATGTGCATGCTCTAATTTTTTTGTACTGTGAAAGAAAATATAAGAAAGTTTGGAAGTTGAATTGTTATTAAACAAGAGAGATTCATGAAGTAATGGTGGAAAATAATTATGTGTTGTAATGGAGCTACTTAAAAGTATAGTTTATTTCTTCCTATCATTGTTTTGAAAATAATGACCAACATGACCATTATATTTATGACTGAAAAACCATAATTGAGTAGAAAAGATGTTATCATTTCATTTAACCTACACACCACCTAACTTGTAATTAATATATGTATGTGTGTATATATATATATATATATATATATATATATATATATGAACTTTTATTGAATTTTAAGTGCCAGGTATTGTATAGATTGCTTTAATTGAGTTAGCTTATTTTCTCCTTATGCAGTTCTATCAGGTAAATGGTGCTAGGAAAACTTGTTATTTTTCCTTATGAGGAAAAAGATTTATACTGGTTGTTTCTTGCCCAAGTTAACAACATGAGAAAGTGGTAAAACTAGAATTTGTTCCATAGCAATCTAGTTACTAAGTCAGCACACCTAACCACTGTAATACCAATTTATCTCCATCCATCTGTTGTGTGTCAATTCCTTTTTACTTCAGTTACTGAGCACTGATGAACCAAATCAAATATATTCTATCTGTGCCAGGATCCCATCTTAATAATGGACTTACCAGTGTTGGTGTGTGGATTCCTTTGTAGGCAACGTAGCAGAGTTGGCAGTGATAATGTGAACCTCTCAGTACATCTGAGTCAACAGTACTTGCAATTTTTATGACACTTACAGATTTCAAGTTTCCTCTGTTGCCTGCAAGGTGACAATCATATCAATTTCTTATTTTGGCCATTGCAATCTAAAAACGAAGACCCATATATTTTGGGCTCAAAAGAGCAAGGAGCAGACAAAATTGTTCTTACATCCATTGGTTCTGCATGCTTGCAGTTTTTTTGATGTGAGAAATAATGGCTTTTCTTGGGAATGATCTAAATTTTCTGACCCCCTTTAGGGACATACATTTGTTTGTCTTGAAGTTAACACCTAAGAGCTCAATCAGTTGCTATTGGTATGGCCTAAAGACTGATTGTTAGCTTTCATTGCAAATTTACTTTATACTGTCAAACTTTCCCTTCTTGACAGACAAAATGGAAGACAGTATCTTCCACCATCAGTAAAAAATGTCATAGCTATGTCAAAGATCCATTAATACTGTGATTCTAACATTCAAGTACTCAACATATTTTTCTCATATTTTCTATTAAATCAATTTGTTCGGCTTCATATTTACTCAACCATGGACATTTGTCATTGCTGTGTCTTCATTACATGCATATTTTCAAACTATAATCACACTTTACTTTTGTCATATATTTTGTCTGCCGAGGCACTCATGAATATTTATTGATATCTAGCTCTTCACACTTCCACTGCCACAGGGGAGTGCAAGGCATAAATATATAGCGGCCTTTACATCTGATAAACATTGCCCTAAACTTGGTGATATTTTAAAACATGTTGCAATTCCAGGTAGCAACATAGAAGCATAGGAATACATAAAACAAGCAGCAAAGGACATCTATTAGGAGCTGGTGACAATATCAGAAAAAAACTCTTTTTGCTGAAGATATTATCTATTGAAGCAAAAATGCCAGCTACCAATCCTTCCCACCTCCATGATCTTGTCCTCTTTATTTCTTTTTTCCCCCAAAAGCAATAAAAATTATACATCTGGGAACATATCCAAATGAAAGAAACACTATTTCTTGACTTCCCTTATCAGCAGATATGGCAATTAAGTTATAATGGATGGTTGAGAGTTGGACGCCTTGTGCGTTATTTCTCGAAAGGGCTTCAAAGAGAACAATGCCCCTTCCATGTCTTTCCATTGTTGCATAGGCAGTCCCGTGATTCTAACTGGCTGTAGCCAGAGCAGCTGACTTCAACCCTGAGACGGACACTAAGTTTAGGCCAGAAACACCTAGGCATAGAGGCAAGCAACCTTCTACCTACTTCAATCTACTGAAATTTTGGATTTCATGTCATTTACAAGTAAGGTTAACTTTTAATCATACAGAATTTGAAACTTGGAGGCAGAATGCTACTCATGACAAAAACTAAACTTGGTGTCATGAGCACTAAACTTAGTGTTATGTGGCACTAACTTAGTAGAGAAGAGGCAGAGCTAACTTAGGTATCACCGGTTGTAAGTTTCATGACTCTTTGCAGGCCCAAAATGTTCAACTAATGTCCACCTTACTTTGAAAGCAGTATGTATGGCAACAAAGACAACCACAGGAAAGTGAAGAAAAAAATTCCACTGTTGATTAATTTGGCCAATTCTAGCCACTTTCTGGAAACAAACTTATGGAGAGATAAATCCAGGTTACAGCTCGCTGGTCTGCATGCATTAATGAAATGTGAGTGCAGTCCTGCTCTGAGTGTGATGTACAGCTCATGATCGTCATGAGTCCAATAATTTAGAGCTTTGCAAGATTGAAAATGCAAACTGCACCTTCAGAAGCTTTCATTTCTTTAAAATTTATAGTAAACAATGTTTTTCAAGCTTCACTCAGAGTCAGAGATGAGATTGTGGCTACAAACTGTGCCAAAAATGTCACCCAGCAAAAAAAGATCACATTAACATTACTGGGTTCCTACCCAAGCCTTTTGGGTAGGAACGTAGGTTGAGACGAGGATGATAAGAAAAAGACTTGAGTGTGGTATTCATTGCCTAGAATACTCCACAACAAATGACCACAACTTCAGTGGTTTGAAATCACAGAAACTAATTCTCTCACAGTCTTAGAGGCCTTAAGTCCAAAATTTAGAGGTTGGCAGGAACCTGCTCCCTGTGGAAGGTTCTGAGGGAGAAACCATTGCTTGCATCTTCTGAATTATAGGGACTGCCTGGCACTTCTTGGCATTCCTTGGCCTGTGGCCACATCACTTTAATTCCTGCCTTCAATGTGCAATCACCCTCTCCTCTGTGTACCTTCTACTTTCTGTTTGCATCTAATCTCCCTCTGCCATGCTGTTATAAGAATGCACATGATTACATTTGGGGCATATGTGAATTATATAGGATAATGTTCTCCTTTCAAGATCCTTAATCACATGTTTTGTCATATAGAGTAATTTCACTCTTTGTCATATAAAGTACATTTATAGGTTCCAGGGGTTGGGATGCAGACATACATGTGGGGTCACACTCAGCCTAATATACACTCATAAGCTATTAAGGAAATGACCAAAGACTTTTATACGTCTAGTTTTCCTATACATTACATTCACAGTACATCAAAAGCCTGACAAGTTTTGGATGACATATGATGCCAAAGAAGCTACAAGCCTATTCTCTACATTTTCATAATCTTCAACCTCCAAGCACAGAAGGAAGCCAACTACAAGACCCACAGCTTCCAGGGACTGCACAGCCCCGTGTCCGCTTAAGTCGTGCCAATGGGAGATCATGGAAAAGGCCAAACCTTCAAGAAAGCAAAGCAGAGTCACCCAGTGTGAGGAGCTTAGAGAGGGGAAGAGAAAGAAGTGCTCTCAATCCCTCCCGAGAGTTGATCATGCCTGTGCTCCAGTGACTCATTTGTCTTCTAATCCCCCTCCTTTATTTTCCCCCACTGATAGTAGTTTTTGCCTTACACATGCTGTGCTACCTTTACTATAACATCCTGAGCATTTTACAGTCAGATAATTCACCTTTTAGAATATGAAGAACTATATCTTTATCAAATGATGTACAGATCACCATGCTATGAAGTGCCACTCTCTACCTAGAGTTTCAGCTTTATAAAACAGCTAAATGCGACTTTGGTGTTGTCTCTCTGAGGAAATACTGAATGCATTTTAAGTGTACCAAGAAGAGTGTGTGTGGATATATAATAGACCAAAGGGGTATGCTCTAGAAAGATGAAAATCTATCCCCCAATATTTTATCTTCCCATATTCTCTACTAATACAATATCTAATTTGTGACTAAGTACATGTGACTAAGTACATGGTTAGTATTCTTTACTAACACAATATCTAATTTGTGACTAAGTTCATACCATGGCCTATGGTATGAAAGCTATGTTTCTTAGCCTCCCTTGAAGATAGGTGTAATTGTCTGATCAAGTTATGCCTAATGAGATAGTTAGACGTCTGTATGTGTGCTTTTTTTTTCAAATTCCACAAAGCACCTCAAAATTTCTCTTTCTCAATATTTTTTCTTTTTTTAGGTTGAATAAAAAAGTTGTTGGGTTGGTATAGTGGCTCACACTTATAATCCCACCCCTCTGGGGCCAAGGCAGGAGGATCACTTGAGCTCAAGAGTTTGACACCAGCCTTGGCAACACAGCAAGACCCTATCCCTGTAACAATAAAAATACAATAAAATAAAAATATGTTTCTGGAGATTAAACAGTCATCTTAGACAACAGATGAATATGGTGTAGTTAAAATGTCTTATTTTGAACATATATCAATTATTACTGATCTAAAAACTTGGTAATTTTATATAGTTTTTAAGTATACATGCATGTATATTTGTGTTAAATTATATTATGGTTCCACAAAAGAATTCTCCTTCAGAAGTATGTCTGTATCTAGGAATATACTCTCACTTGAGTATTACAAGATAGTTCCTATTCACCCTGTATTCGTCAGGGTTCTCCAGAGGAAAAAAAAACAATAGGATAGATAGGTAGGTAGGTAGGTAGGTAGGTAGGTAGGTAGGTAGGTAGATAGATAGATAGATAGATAGATAGATAGATAGATAGATAGATAGATAGACAGACAGACAGACAGACAGACAGACAGACAGACAGATGGATAGATAGATAAGAGGGAATTTATCATGGGAATTGGCTCACCCAATTATGGAGGCTGAGAAGTCTACAATCTGCCACCTGCAAGCCAAGGACCCAGAAAAACCAGTGGTGTAATTTGTCTGAGTTCAGTGGCCTGAGAACAGGGAGCTGATGGTTTAAGTCCCAGAGTCTGAAGGCCACAGGACATGCCCCAGTGTCTCAGCGCAGAAGAAGACACATATCCCAGCTTTAGAATAGTGAGTGAATTCTCCTTTCCTTATTAATGAGGGCAGATCTTTATTCAGTCCAGTGATTATAATGCTAATGTCGTCTGTCCCTCCCAGACATGCCTAGAAATACAGTTTCACCACCTGTCTGGGCACCCCTTAACCTAGTCAAGTTTATATATCAAAGTAACCATCACATCCACACACTCTTCACAACTTAGTATTGCTCATACCTTTAAATTCAGTCATTCTGTGATTCTAATTTTGCCTTTTATAAATGACATTGGACAATTTCAATGTCTTCTTCAGTAAAGCTGATGATTCAAGTTGCTTGCTCATTTTTTCTGTTGGGTTGAGTGTCTTTCTCACAATAATTTGCAGGAGTCTTTATATGCTTTGGATAAATGAACTTGTTAAATACATGTATTAAAATATATTCTTCCATTCCATTCCACAGCTTGTTTTATTTTTCGTGATGAAGAAAGTTCTTATTTTTAAAGTATTCAAATTTACTGATATTTTTCTTTGTGATAAACTATTTTGTTTGTCCAATTTAAAAATTATTTTCCTGTCCTGAAAATTTTTATGGATTATTCTAACTTACAACATCTGTAAGATTTATTATTTTTCCTTTCACACGTAGATCTACTTTCCACCTGGAACAGATTTTGGTAGATTGCCTTAAGTACTGGGCTTTTTTGTATATGAGTACCCAGTTGTCCTAGAAGTATTTATTGAAAGTTATTTCTTTTTCATATTGATCTGAAATGTCATTACTTTTTGGACATAAATATAATTGTCCTATGAGGGTAGGTCTGCTTTTGGGCTCTCGATTCTTTTCAAAGATTCCATTGGTTTATTTTTGCCCCAGTGTCCCAATGATAGAACCATGGCCCTAATATCCCTCTTAGTATCTTACCTTGTTCTTTCTTTGTAATATCTTAGCTATCCTCGGCCTTTTGCATTTCAATATAAATTATGAATCAGCTTGTCAATTCCTACTCTCCGAAAATGTTGGAGTTTTCACTGGAGTTTCATAGATCAATTTAAAAAGAACATAAACTTCTAGTCTTTCAATCTATAAACAAAAAATATTCTCCATTTATTTAGCTTCCTTTAAATTTTCTTCAATAAAGTTTTATATTTTCTGTGTAGAGTTACTGTACATTTTTGTTTATACCAGGCTATTGATATGCACACTAAGGAAAGTTAGTTTGAGATATGGTATCAAGCCCCTCTCAGCTGAGAGTTCAATGATAGTATCATAATGTGAATGATAACATTCATGGACCAGTCTGTCCTGGAAGTGTTTCTGATGAAGTCTAACCTTTTCCTTATTTTATTTTATTTTATTTTATTTTGAGATGGAGTTTCGCCCTTGTCGCCCAGTTTGGAGTGCAATGGTGTGATTTCAGCTCTCTGCAACCTCCACCTCCTGGGTTCAAGCAATTATCCTGCCTCAGCCTTCCAAGTAGCTGGGATTATAGGCGTGTGCCACTACGCCTGACTAATTTTGTATTTTTAGTAGAGACGGGGTTTCTCCATGTTGGTCAGGCTGGTCTTGAACTCCGGACCTCAGGTGATCCGCCCACCTCGGCCTCCCAAAGTGCTGGGATTACAAGTGTGAGCCACTGCGCCCAGCAATGTCTAACCTTTTCAATGTATGCTTTAAGGAATCATACAGGTAGGTTAATAAAAATTTGAATGATATTACTAAAAATTGCTAAAGTTACTTCAGGTGAAAAGATACACTATGGTCTTTGGGGCCTACATAAAATGTTGCTTTGCTTATAAAACCATTTATTCTGTCAGCTAGTTAGTGAATGTTAATCCTCCTTCATATTTAGAGTCAGATCTTATCTCTTCAAGAAAGAATTTCTCTATTAGTCCAGCCCAGGCAAGCTCTATCACTTTCTCATGGTTTTAGCACTCATTGCATAAAGGTACTAGTGGAATTGGAGGTATGTGTGCCATATCCTTAATATGTTATTTAGATACATAGTAGATAACTGTGAAACTAAAAACGTTTTTACTCCTATTCTTATCCTGGCTTCTGATAGAATTATCAGCACGCAACTGGCACTTAATGAATATATGTTGAACTCAATTGACCTCAACTTCTCATTGTGCATGGGCCATACTAAAACATATAAAGCTCCTGGAACACACTGGGTCTTTTCATACCTATTTCCTGCTTATGGATTTTTAAAATTCTTTAGATGAGAAAAAAGCATTCTTTACACTCTGCAAGATAAATTAATATTAGAAAAACTAATTTTCACAAGGCAAACGAGAAAATAAGTCGTAGTCACATACTTTATGAAAGGCAATGTGGAAAAATCTGTTGTTATTTTAGCAGCTTTATTCAGGTATAATTAACATACAATAACTGAACACATTTAAATTGTACAATTGGATGAGTTTGGACATGTTGACGTATATATATATCCTTGAGATTATTACCATCATCAAGGTAACATTCATGCCCCCCACCCCAACAAATTTCCTGTTGCTCTTTTGTAATATTTCCCTGCAGCTGCCTAGGAAATATTACCTGTTCCCCAATTCCCAGTACAGTCTCCAATAACTGATAGTTAATATTTTCCTTTTATTGATTAAAAGTATTTGTTTTGTTGTTGTTGTTGTTTCGAGAGGGAGTCTCGCCCTGTCACCCAGGCTGGAGTGCAGTGGCACGATCTCAGCTCACTGCAACCTCTGCCTCCTGGGTTCAAGCAATTCTCATGCCTCAGCCTCCCGAGTAGCTGGGATTACAGGCACTTGCTACCAAGCCCATCAAATTTTTGTATTTTTAGTAGAGACAGGGTTTCACCCTGTTGACCAAGCTGGTCTTGAACTCCTGACCTCAGGTGATCCACCCCACCTTGGCCTCCCAAAGTGCAGGGATTATAGGCATGAGCCACAACGCCTGACCAAAGTATTTGGTTTTAAAGCAGCTTTACAAATTGTTAGTCTGTACTCCCTGGGATGGACATTGGATTTCCCCCCAGGTTTTCACTAATACAAGTAAAGCTACTTATAACATTTGTTTTGGGTAAATACCTAGGAGTGAAATAGCTGGGATATGGAGTAGGTGTTTAACTTTAAAAAAAACTATGAAACTGTATCCAAATTTGTTGTGTGCACTAGCAGTAAATGAAAGTTCAATTTGTATCACATCTTTATAAACATTTGGTAGGGTCAATCTTTCAAATTTCAGCCGTGCTGGTGGGTGTGTAGTTGTTTTGCTTGCCTTACCTTAATGACTAGAGATATTAAGTATTGATTTATATATATATTTGCTCTCTTTACATCCTCTTTGAACAGTGTCTATTTACATCTTTTGCCTATTTTTCATTAAGTTATTAAACTTCTTATCAATGGGTTCTCAGAGCTCTTTATATTTTCTAGATAAAGTCCTTTGTTCGATATATGCTTTTCAAATGCATTCTCCCAGTCTGCAGCTTGCCTTTTCAGTTTCATAACAGTGTTTTTTGAAGAATATTTGCTTTTTATTTTGATGGAACATAATTTATTGACATTTGATTAACAGTTTATGGTTTTTGTGTCCTACTTAAAAGGTCTTTGCCAAACACAAGATCACTAAAAAATTATCATTTACTTCAATCAGTTTTATAATTTTAGCTATATACTTAAGTATGTGACCATTTTTGATTGAACTGTATATAATATACACAATTATGTGGTGTGAGGTAGAGGTTGAAGTTTGTTTTATTTAGTTAGTTATTCATTCATTAATTTGCATATGACTATTCAATTGTTTCAGCAATATTTGTTGAAAACGAAATTATTTTTCCCTTGAGTTTCATTTGAACATTTGTTAAAATTCAATTGCCCACTGTTATATTTCTAGACTTTCTATTTTGTTGCAATTCTCTATATAGATTTTACTCTAATATCACAGTGACTTGTACTATAGCTTTATAATCAGTTTTAAAATAATCTAGTATAATTCTTCCAACTTTCATAGTTTTATTCATAGTCATATGAATAGTCATAACTATTTCATAGTTATTATTCATAGTTTCTTTTTGGCTATTCTGATTCCTCTTCCTTTCCACATACATTTAAAAATGAACTCATCTGTTTCTTCAGGCCATCTGGTGCCTGGTTGTTTTCCTGGTAGTGGCAATAGATAGCCCAGCATAGATGAACAGGAGCCCCTGCTGTTGGGTCCATTTACAGCCACTCAGCTTACTTGTGGCCTCTGGAACTGCTTGCATCTAATTCCAGATGCATCACTTCCATTTTCCAGTGGGTCATGGTTGGGCTTGTTCAACCTTATGATTTAGTTCATGATAGGCCGTTTAGGCTGTATGATCACCTGATGCCCCATGGCTTAGCATTCCATCTCTACAGTGCCAGAATTTGCTTTTTGAAAGTTGAATAATTCTCTTCTGCAAGGTAAGATATTTTAGTTGAACCCTACTGTTGTTGAACCTTAATTCTTCCAGTGGGACTTTCTGTAAACTCTGTATGACATCTTTTCCCACCATAGACAATTATACCATAGAGTAAGCTGGGTCTCATGGCCCAAGTGGTAGGGCTGCTTGCTTCATAGCCTGGACCATTGTAGTGTCCATTTCTGCTATGCCTTTGGAAATATATCACTTAATTCAGTAAATTCAGAATCATATTCTCAAGTGTGGAATATTCTGCCTCATGAGACTGGAGAAGTATCCCAAGCATTGTCCTTCCTTCTTCGTGTTGGAGGTGTGGGTGGCATAATTTTTCCTTTACCTTATAGATGACTTTCTGGAATGCCTCAGACTATTCTAATCCTAAAAACTTCACCAATGAGACATACCTTATGTCTTCATACAGTTTTTAATGCCCTCTCTCTGGACTGTGTGTGTCTTAACAGTCATTCAACACACTTGACATATCTTGTTCATCCAGTATCATTACAATGATGTTATCAATATGCCTAGTGTCCCATGTCACTTTGGACTGGAATTATGACAAATAATAGGAAAAGTAGTATAGCCCAGTGGTAAGACCATAAATATATGCTATTGTCTACCCCAGGTAAAGACAAACTATTTCTGAAAAATGTATCCACTAGCTTAGTATCCTGTCCATCTGATGCAGCATAAATCTGCTGGAGCAAAATACTCCATCAGGTAACACAGCTGTAACTGGGGTTACCAGAATACAGAGTTTGCAGTTGAACATAGCATCTTTCATCATCTTTTTACCTCATCCTTTAGGTCTTTAAGTATGTGGCACTAACATATGTCATTCTACATAAAATGCATTATTTTTTAAAATTTACTGTATTGGCTGTGGTATTGGCAGTTTTAGAAGCGTCTCCTTGGACTTCTTAACCACAGGCTAAGGAACAGCATGGAGATTTACCAATTACCAAGTTACCCCATTATAAGTACTAATTCATGTACCAGAGAAATGGCCACTGGATGGGTGTGTGCACCTATGGAACTTACTATGAGATGAACCTGTGCCAGAATTCCATATATTATCCTTACTACATGCGCATTCTCACAGAGGCCATATGGCCTTTCGGGTCTCTAGTTATCAATGTCTACTTGGGCACCATATTCAGTAGCCCCTGAGACATCTGTGTGCACTCCTTTTCCTCATGTATGGATCCAGGTAAATGTTTCTAGGTCCTTTGTGGGAAGGACTGAGTGGCATTGCAATTTCTTTCTTCTCATGATCAAGATTTTCTTTCATTCGGTGGCCTCTGTTTCTGAGCACTAGCTCAGATCTGGAAACTTGGCAAGGTATAAGGATTTCTACTGGGATTTCCACCCTTGATTTCTTCTGATTAGTTAAGACTGAGAAATTCTCATTGATTGCATCTCTATCTTATTCCTAGGAAAGCCAAGGGACCTTCTCCATGATTCTTTCTATGTGGGCCACATCCTTCCCCCATTACCTGCAACTCTGACTTGTCCCTTTAATACGTATTGTTTCTGCCTGGCTTCTGATAGTTTAATTCCACTATATCTGCCTTCAACAGTTTTGAGGTCCTATTGTTGTCATTAATAGACAATCTAGTTTTTAAGCACATCTCCTATCAACAATTGTAGCTTATAGAAGATAGTCAGCATTGGGATTCTCAACAACACTAGTGCATCTCTCACTAGTGTGCTGCCCAGAAATCTGATAAGTGGCTCTCCACATAACAGGTTCTGTGGGCCTTCCACAGAATAAAATTGGTTACTAGTGTTTCTAACTTATATCATGTATTCACTCTAACATGTTACCTTCTGTGAGAATTTTGACCTTTTTTTTTTCACTGTCTGCTATGGAAATCATAGCATTTATTTTTCAATCTCCAGTTGCAATCACTTCCCCAAGTTTCTAAGAGCCATCCTAATGACATGTTAGAACCATCTGTCAGTCTCCTTGTCAGAAGATTACATTCTATTACATTCTACTTCAAATTCAGGTGAACATTTTCATATCAATAAACTCTGCTTTACCTAACTTTATGTTTGATTACCCCTTCTCCCAATCCAGTACCCTAAGGTTCAGCCCTGTACATTCTCCTTTGTCTCCTGTTGATACACATTGTGTAACTTCTGCAGCTATTCCCAGCAGTATTTTCTTTCTTCCCTTGAGGATCCAGCATCCAGCACATTTATGGTGGTATCTATTGTAGTTTAACAGTGGCTATTGGTCTTGTGATTAGAATAAGATATGGGACTATTGCCTGAGGCAGGTAAATGCTTTCTTGCAAGGCAAAAATATTTACATCGTCCTTCAACAAAGGGAAAACAATAGACTTTTTCAAGAAGTGGACTACCTTTGTAGGCCACAGAGCTTCAGAATATTTGAGGGGAGAGGTCAAGATTTTTAAGTGTCTTGAAATTGGTGACCTATTTCTTGTCCCAGAATCCCAGTATGTCTCAATCATAGCCCTGACCTTGAAATAACAGGCTTGTCAAAGTGGAGAAGCCAATATTTTCTAGAGCTCTGACACCTATTATTATGTTCCAGGCCTGATCTTCATCTTTTTCTTCCCAACAACTGCAGGATATTAGCATCGTTTTATATGCTAGTAAGGATCCCTCCTAACTTTGCCTTATATTGTTGATTAATGCTCCTTGTCTTCTCAACTTTTTTGTAATTAATAAATATTGTATAACACCAGTCATTCAATTCAATTTTCTCTTTTCTCAAATATTTCAAAACCCTGATATATGACCTCACCAACGCATGAGCTTCTTTAGAATCTGTTCTGAGGACTGCCCTTGGTAGTAGAGTGTTACTGGGCACATTGCCTAGGAAACATTCTCTGAAGCAGAGGTTTGCATGGTGGTGGTGATCAGACATTGTTCTCAGGAAAAAAAAAAATGCTTTATGAGTGAAGAAAGAAGAATTGGATATTAAAAAAAATCCCTCATGATATAATAACAACTGAAGGCTCAGTTGACTCAGTGTGAAGTTTTTAGCCTGGAAGTCCCTTTAGATATATGCCAAATTGAGGTGAGAGTCTTACATACACATCAAAGATGTGAATGTGGGAAGTTCTTGCTTGGAGAGTGGGTAAAGCCTTGAGCAAAAGAGCTTCTTTAAAAGGAAAGCAATTCCTGGGGATGTACTCAGCTCTAAGTCATGATAATGCAACACTTCTGACAGTCTGGAGAAAAGTTCTGGAATCTTAAAAAAGGTATCTGACCAAGATGCCAGAGGATCTAATCCATCATGTTTTCAACAAATGATAAGGCACATCAATAGTATTAACGAAATGACTTCATCATGTATATGTGTTTTTGCTTAGGTTGTTTATGAAATAATGTTCACTAACACGTTAGTATGAGTTATTTCAAGGCAAGAAAAAAGTCTGACACTGTTTATGTATGCTTTTCCTTATACTGTGTATGTTCCTTCAATTTCTTTAAAAAGAAATGCCATGTGCCTATTTTTATTGTTAAAATATTTTTTAAAAAATTAAAAACATCATCAAGAAATAACTTAGGTTCTGTCTTCCTTGAAATCCTGGCATGCTTTTACATTTTTAGTTTCTGAATCACAGAAAAGACCAATGAGTTTATGTTTATTCAACAAATCTTTATAATTCAAATCAGACTTATTTTTATCTTGTTTCTGTTTCAAAAAGTTTAAATTAAATATTTGTAATCACTCTCCTGTTTCTTTGTTAATGTATATTAAATCTCTCATATCTTCTATAAACACCATTTAAATGAACTGAGTCCCTCTTTAACTGTTTATATTTCTTGTTTCTGTTTTATAGCTTTTGCAACTACAGTACACTTTGGTGTCATTTTAATTTCTAGGTGAAATTTGTGTTATCTTTGGTGACATTTTTCAAGAAATTGTTTATAGGTCAATCTCTTCATGTTCTCTGTGGATACTGTCATTTTCCTCAATAAGGCCTTTAACAGGCTCTTTCTCCCTGAACTGCAGCTTGCAGTGAGACTAACAGGCTTTTGAAGTTGCTTGTTAGATTTTCTTTGATGTTCTTCTGAAGATTGTAGAGAACACAATCAACCCCTGGTGTGTTCATATATGTTTTTGATGTCTTTTCAAATCCAATTTTTGTTCTAAAGTGAAGTTCACAACCATATTTCTAACAGTTTTTGTTCTTCTGAACTAACATCTTTCAGCCTTTCTCAATCACTGTGATAACACTAAAATTTCTGCTTTCATTGTAGTCCTTAAAATTGAAAATATAAAAATTAAGGTATTTATATATGTTTGTGAGAGAACTAGTTGTAAGTTAGAACATGTCATGATTCTTTAAAATTTTACAATTTAATTGGAATTTATATTTATTTTATTAAGGGATATTTTGGATAAAATCAAAGTAGCAGGAAGAGATGGAGTAACAAGCAGACTCACAGAACATAGTTTATCTTTCTTGAGTCATTTTTACTAAAAATGAGAGGCTATTTCTCACTAATTACTCTAAAAGGAAGCTTTGTAATTAACTGGGTGACTGATTAGCAGCTTTTACTTAGGGAATATAATGCGCCATTATTGCTAATGAGATTCCCCAAATCATAGCCTCAACGCTAATAGTCAGGCATTCTAGTAGCAAAAATGTGAATTCTTCTGCTCCTTCTTCTTTCATGTATTACCCTGCTATCAGTTAAATGCCAGTGAAAATTCATTATGGCTACCTCTTAATTAGGGACTGAGCAATGCAAACAATTATATGTACAACGGGCGTATGCTCCAGCGAAAGTCAAACTGAATAGGATTTGTAAAAGTCTGTACAACTACCTCAGTAATAGTTTCTAATGGCTATAATAAATGGATAAACAAGGATTTAGAAATTAAGTGATTCTTATTTGCCCTAATGCTATTTCTATTGAATCTTAGTACACTTAGACTAATTATATCTATTGAAAACTTATGTATTCTTAATAGAAATTAAAAGAATCATGCCTAATATTTGATGTTCCAGGGCTCAGTTTTCTGCACCTGCCTTGGTATTTGACAACTCCAGCCAATTTTCCACTTGCTTCCTCACCAATGCTTCTTCAGCTTGAAGACTAACATCTAGAAGAGTCATGAAGTCTAAAGTCAAGAGGAGTCTTATCTTCTAGAAAGTTTTTCAAACATCCCAACCTCAAAAAGTTTGGCTAAATGGTGTTCTTCTACAGCCCCACACATGCAAACATCTTTATTGCACTTGTGTCATTATTTTTTCTTCGTATATGTGTTTTTCTATAAGTACATTTATATGAAGGTATATTTTGAAATAAAGACACTTCCTCAACATTTATTCCTGAACCTGGTACAGAATAGATGAACAATCCATGTTAATTTTCTAAAATGAATGTTATTTTTTTCAATTTTCTACCAAGATAGCAAATTCCTAAGGCTGCATTATTCTTTCCTCAAAATATCATAGAAGAAACTATAAAGGGAAAACTAAAATCCAAGAAATAAAACAACAATAAAACACCATGAATAATGCCTTAGATGCAGGTGCAGAAAGGAAAAGAGACAGAAAATAATACATGCAGATTTTGGCAAAAGGCCCAATATAAAAAAGAAAATATTGATAAGTTATATGACATTAAAATTATAAACTTCTGTTCACCAAAAGACTCCAATAGGAAGTGAAAACTGCAAAGCAGAGAGAGTGAGAGTCAATTTTTGCCATTCATATAGTAGACAAGAGACAAATCTAGAATACACTGAAAATATCACTAAGTCAATAGAATAAAATGCAAATAACCACACACCACAGGATAGGCATATACTTGAATGCTCACTTCACTAAAGAAATAACAAAATCTTTATTAAGAAGGTAAGAAGATTCTCAGTTTCAGGCCTGGCGCAGTGGCTCACACCTGTAATCCCAACACTTTGGAAGGCTGAGGCAAACTGATTGCTTAAGCCCAGGAGTTTGAGACCAGCCTAGGCAACATAGTAGGACCCGTCTCTATAACAACAACAATAATAATACAATAAAATAATAAAAATCATGCTGAGCTTCATCAGTACACAAGCACAACTTTGATTAGGTACCACTGCACCAGAGGGATCAAATTTAAAAGTCTATTTATAGTGTGTTGTAAAAAAAAAAAAAAACTAGTAGAATAACTGCAATGCTTGTACCTACTTGTAGGAATGTAGAAATTGCCTCAATTTGTCTAGGAAATAATTGAGCATATACTAATTCAGACCACATATCTATAATATATGCAAAAATTCCACTATTGGGTATGTTTCCAGTAGAATTGTGCATGTCTGTGCACCCTATTTGCAAAACCAATAGCAACAAAATAATTAAAAGCAACCTAAATGTTGATTAATAACAGATTGCATAAATAAATTATGATTTATTCAAACAGTAGAATATTATGCAGTAATGAAAATAAGCAAACTGCTCCTATATGAAACATCATAGATGTGTCTCCTAAACACAATGAGAAAAAAAAAAAACAGTGATAAACGAGGACATATTACATGGTTTCAGAAATCCAGAGAGAAAACAACAGCATCAGCAGAATAAAAATAATTCCTGACCTATGAGACCCATTTCACCAAGCAAACGGAACAAATTCCTAGCTGGTACGTATTCTGAGAAAAGGTAAGGTAGAAACTTATCTGGAATTTGAGTAATTACTTTATAACCAGAAATAAATAGATGAAGTTACATCACAGAGCTTTTAAGATGAATTTCTTATACACTTTACAAGTGAATAAATGATACTTAGGGACATGAATGTCATCGTGTGTGTCATTGTCTATCAGTTACTTTGAACAACTGCATGAATCAAATGGAAAATTTCCCTTCTCCCCCCCAAGGGAAAACTAAAATCCAAGAAATAAAACAACATTAAAACACCATGAATAATGCCTTAGATGCTGGTGCAGAAAGAAAAAGAGACATGCATTCTGCATGCAAGAATGTTTGGTTATAACTTGACAACTTTACTCAATGTTCATGATTCCTTTTTGCATGATATATGCGACAAGTTTGAATGGCTATTGATGCTTAGATTTTACATTTATCTAAGAATATTCACATGCATTCAAGCTGTATGCTTTTTAAGTCAAAGCTAAAATACACTCTCTTCTAAGAAGCATTTTTAGTACATTACAGGTCAAAATAATTTATTTTTCTGCTAGAGTAATAGCCATTACTGTCTCTAAAACTTAATCAAAAATTAATGACTTAATTGCTAAACAAAGCTATTGCATTAAGTTCTTTTATTCATTTTATTGCTAAATAGTTCACGTGCTTTTACTATTTTATGTTCAGAGAAAAAGTAAGCTTCTTAAAAGTGTTATATTTGTACTTATAAATAAATAAGTCTTAGAGTATCTATTGAAATGCACATATTGGTATCAAAACACTTATATACACATTGATATTCTCCTGTGTAAACATACAATAAAATTAACTTGAGTCAAACTAGGTGTAAAATTTTGCAGTTCTTACAAGAAGTTTTCTGTAGGTGCTAGACATCATTTATTACTGTTCAATATTTAGATTTTGGTGACTACAAAGTGTTGTTTACCAATAAATAATAATTTTTTAAAAAAGATTGACCATTATAGAAGAATAATTCATTCTGTAAAGTAGTAGAAAATTTAATATTTTCATAATGATTGAGTATATACACATATGCTTATAGAACCATATTATATAGTTAATATTTATAACTATTAAAATGTGAAACTTTTATTATCATAATTTCAATGTAAATAGTATTATTATCATAGAAATTTTTCTCCCACATCCATGAAGCTCTAATCACTTATTCTATATTCATTCAAATTATCTTTTAAACATGATCATATCTTAATTACTAAAAACACATATCTTTACTCTTGCACCGGTATTATGTTTATAAAATATCATTTTTAACATTTTAAAGCTGCTTAGACCTTTAATAAAATAAATTTTGAGGGATAAGGAAGCCATAAGGAATAGACAGCTTTAAAGACCTGTGATAGCTCATTTTCCCAGAAGACTTTGAAGCAAGAGATGTAATTTTCACTATTACAGTCATCCATTTACTCTAAAAACAGAAACACAGTATCTATCATTTGGATATCTTTAAATAGCCTACTATAACACATTCCTGATAATTGAACTTTCGGGCTGTTAGGCCATAAGAGAGTAACTTAAAACACAGTAATCCTTGAGTTATTCTCCATCCGTGGTAAGGAGTACATTTCCCATATCATGAATTAGGGTTTTTTGTTTGTTTGTTTGTTTGTTTTGTTTTGTTTGTGTATTTGTGTGTGTGAGTGTGTGTGTGTGTATTAGTCCATTTCCATGCCACTGATAAAGACATACCCGAGACTGGGCATTTTACAAAAGAAAGAGGTTTAATGGACTTACTGTTCCATGTGGCTGGGGAGGCCTTAAAATCATGGCGGAAGGCAAGGAGGATCAAGTCACGTTTACTACGCGGATGGCGGCAGGCAAAGAGAGACAGCTTGTGCAGAGAAACTCCCCCTTATAAAACCAACACATCAGGCCGAGGCGGGCGGATCACGAGGTCAGGAGATCGAGACCATCCTGGCTAACACGGTGAAACCCCGTCTCTACTAAAAATACAAAAAACTAGCCGGGCGAGGTGGTGGGCGCCTGTAGTCCCAGCTACTCGGGAAGCTGAGGCAGGAGAATGGCGTGAACCCCGGGGGGCGGAGCCTGCAGTGAGCCGAGATCGCGCCACTGCACTCCAGCCTGGGCAACAGCGAGACAATGTCTCAAAAAAAAAAAAAAAAAAAAAAAAAAAAAACTAACACATCTCAAAAAACTTATTCACTATCACGAGAACAGCATGGGAAAGACCTGCCCCCATGATTCAATTACCTCCCACTGGGTCCCTCGGACAACACGTGGCAATTTAAAATGAAATTTGGATGAGACACAGTGAAACTATATCCGCTTGTTTTTGGAAACTCAGTGCCCCTTACTTATAATGTCAAAAGTTACTGATGAATTCTTTTATCTCTGAAGTTACTGGTAAAATTTATCAGAAGACTTGGTCTTGCCCTTTTAGTTGTATTTATTTGTTTTTTGAGTGTTTACCGTTGATGATGAATTAGCTCCAAGCATTCAGGATGAGCCTGTGCCTTAGTTTTATATAACAGTTCTTATTGCAATGTCAAAACAGTGATAGTCATCAAAAATGTTTCCTCTGATAGCACGTTATTCAAGTACTTCACCTCTTAACTAATGTGATAATGTAGTAAATAAAATATCTATTTTTTAAAATGAGAACTACAAGGCTGAATGTACCCTTTTCGATATAATGAATGTATCATTTTAGAAGATTATAAGTGACCCTATGAAATGTTGCTTTACTTATACCTTCTCTATGCAAAATCAACAGGTACTATCTGATGTGCTTGGTTATGACTTTTCCGGATCAAACAGATTAGGAAAGGCAATATTTTTTGCACATGTGAAAAGTTATAAAAAGGGAAAAATAGTTTGTTTGTATATAAGAAGTTTTGAAATTGCCTTATCAGAAGAGAGGGAAGGGTATTTAAGCATTCAAATAGCATGGATACTGGGGCAGACAATATAGAGATAAGTCATTTACAGATATTTTTATTATATCATACTGATGAACAACAATACATTCTTGTGTTTCCTCCCCTTAAAATATCCTTTGTCTACCTTTTTATTTGAAACTATTTTCTCAGAAGCTCGGGGATTTAAGAAATTATCTGTTTAAATAAAATGTATTTTTCCTAAATATATTTTTTCCTCAAGATTTAGCAATTTATATTTTTAAAAATGAAAATGGGCTTAATTTTATATGGGAAGCAGATAGATATGTTGTTACTTTGGGAGTAGCTTTAATATTTCACATAAATATACTTCTCTTCCAAATATATGCAGGATCAGACAGATACTTTTCATAGACTATTAGAGTCCAGCCCAAAATGGTTTTTTCCTGTTTCTTAAAACATGGGAACTCATTATAGGAGTCCAGGAATAAGAGAGGTAATATAAAATTTATTAAATATGGGATTTAGGTAAGTTGATCAAATCTGAATCTTACAACTGAAGAACATTATCAAGCTTCATAAATGAAATAGGTGTGCATGTGTATGTGTGTGGTGTGTACATATATGTATATATGGCATTCTTGTTTTCTACATGGCATGATAATGTAAAATATAACAAATTAATACATTAT
Source organism: Homo sapiens (assembly GCF_000001405.40). NCBI lineage: Eukaryota > Metazoa > Chordata > Mammalia > Primates > Hominidae > Homo > Homo sapiens. The sequence continues at coordinate 66,259,942 of NC_000018.10, forward strand.
GAGATCACTAAACATGCAATGGTCTTAGAATGATAAATCAGAGGTAAATTACCTTTTAAATATATGTCTGCATAGAATTCAGCAAGAAAATTTTGTATCTTAATTTGCATTCTTCCTTTGATAACTACTCAACTCCATTAAATGGGGCAATCGGGAAAGGGATTAAGAAATTGGCCACATGGGGCAAAGAAAAAGAAAAGAAAAGAAAAAGAAAGAAAATGGGGAAAGGAAAGAAAAAAGGAAAGAAAGAAAGGAAGGAAGAAAGGAAAGAAAGAGAAGAAAGAGAAAGAAGAAAGAGAGAAGGAAAGAGAGAAAAAGAAAGACAGAGAGAAGAAAGAAAGAAAGAAAAAGAGAAAAAAAGAAAGAAAGAAAAAGAAAGAAAAAAGAGGGAGTACAAAATGAAGACACATTTTTTTTCTTTGCTGGGGCTCAAAAAAGGATACCCTTTGAAATGCTGAGTTCTTTGAACTGAAAGACTGGAAGGCCTCAGAAGCACCCTCAGAGGGAAATTGTCTCTGACATTCTACTGTCTTCTGTCTCTTCCCTCTTTCTCCTGTGAAGCAAATCACAGAAACCAGAATTCCTCTTCCCCATGGTAGGTCACAGAAACTAGAACCTATCCCCTCTACTACAAAGCCAGCCATAGAACCTGTAATCATCACTCTAACCTCCCGCCATCTTTCTGTATAAGAGCTGGCCATAAAGAAATTCACTGACCTATCTTGTCTGATGGTAGGTCCTATGACCCTCATTTATAAAGGATATTCTAAAACCTCATAAATGTCCTGACCCATACCTAAAATTTTAAAAACTGCACAGACAGGCCAAGAAGAATCTGAACAGAGAGGCCCTGCTGGACATTCCCCCTCATTCTGTTACCATTAGGTCATAACTTTTTTTGTCCAATCCCATTTATACACAGCTGTATGTTTTTCATTAAAACTAAGCATAAAAATAGATTGTTTTCACTGGTCCTTTGGATCTTCATACCTGAAGGCTCCCACGTCACCTAAAACTTTGATTAAATCAATTTGTTATGTTTTCTTTTGCTAACCTGTCTTTTGAATAGCAGTGTCAGCCATGATCTTTATGATGAGTGAGGAAAGGTATAACACCTGTCTGCACCTATACCTTCTTTAGCATGTTGCTTATAATTGCTTGTTGTAATCAATCCAAAGAGTTTGCTTGCAGGAAATTAAGATTTAAATATAGAAGACAGGCAAGGTGTCAGAGAACCTAATGGGCCTCCAAATCTTTTATTAGTAAATACATTTATGTTAGCTACCATACTAACTCTAGAAATAGCTATTTATTCCATGATAGCAATTTGTTTACTCATTAATTTCAATATAGCCTAAATATTATCTCATATTCTTTTAATTAAATATTTTTGTATTAAATATAATTAACTTACATTCTAGTGCTAAAGACAACAGGTTTCTCACTCTCACCTTTTACTGGCTTTGGAGTTTAGATTGAATTCAGCAGATAGCTAAGTGACAGTGATTCAATTAACTTGAAATCACAGGGACGAGTCAAAAAGAAACGTTTTTTGTTAAGGGAGTAAATTTCAAATGTCTCACCACAAAAAGTTAGGTGATTGATATGTTAATTAGCTTAAATTAATTATTCCACATTACATAACTATATATGTGTGTGTATGTGTGTGTGTATAGTGAAACATCACATTGTACCCAATAAATATATACAATTATTATTTACCAATACAAAATAATTAAAAAGAAGAAAGGTCTTAATCGATGATGTGCTGAAGCCTAACACTCATTTTCAGTAAAAAAAAAACCCCAGATAATTGAAATTTAAATGTTTTTATTTTATATGTTTAACAAGGTTGTCATTAGAAGCATGAGAATTGCCTAAACTTGGTAATAATAATCCACAGTGACATGTTTTATTATTTTATTGTTTATAAAATATAGTGTTAATACAGCTCAAGATACTTGGATTACCAGTGCTACTAATTTTAAAGATACAAATACTTATATGCATCTGTAAAGAAGTAAGCCTGGTCAAGGTGTGATAGAAGCAAATTGTTGACCTGCGGGGATTGTACACATTTTACCACTGAGGGTGTAAATGTTATAAACAGCAAAACTTAGCTGTGAGTTTCACAAGTACAGTATTTGTTTTCAGGGTCACAAAGTTGGTGGGAAACTATATTTGTACTGCATGTTCCTAACCCACATCAACCCTTGGGCAAATTGTTATCATAATCATATTTGAGATGTGGTATAAATTAAATATAGATTTAAGCAATATATAGAAATCCATGGATTTATTTGTTCAATAAATAAATGAAAGTAGTATATTTTACTCATTAGTGTTAAAAGACAATATTTTAAAAATTAATTCACATGAAGATATAGAAATAAACATGTGTTGAATATTTTATTTAACTCGAGGTGGAGGTGGATGTTATAATTGGTTCAAATAAGAATCTAAATAAAAGGCACATTTATAGAGCACAAGTATTAAAATGGTGTATATATGGAGGCAAAATTAGCTTCTTCTCCAATTGAGGAATGATGGCTTTTGAACCTGTATTGGGCAGGGCAGAATTTTCATGTCTATAGACAAGAACTGTTTTGTATTGCTAAAAGTTTTCTACAGTAATTTGCAGAGTTATAGAGTAATTCATTTAATTAGAACTACAAACTGCAGGACTGACCTCTAGACACTCCTTTTCAGAGTTGTAGAATAAGTCATAGAATCAGATAAACTGCAAGAGTGTCCTATAGACAATGTGCTTCTACTGTAGCACAATTTTTTTTTCTGCAATACTAGATTTTGGATAATTTAACATATAGTTTAAAGACAACTGTGATACTTTGGAAATAAAATGAACTCTGCTGTCAAATGGAAGCTAGTATTGCCTTCATTTGTATCCTTTTTCAATATTTGTTCAAATCTTGTTTTTTGCCATCTAGTATCTGCATGGAGTCATCAGTCACCTACCGCTTCTGTGGCTCAGTTTCCTCCTTTGTAAAACAAATAATATAAATGCATGTAATGCAAGCCCTTTAGGAGGAGGAGCAAGGGACTACATGGCACAACATATGGAAAATACCCTAAATGAATATTATAAAAGTATGCTACATCATTCTTACAATAAATATTTCAGTTAGATATTGTTATGATTCTTAAAGTTCTTTGCTCAAAGTTGCATGCCCATATCACACCTAGAATTGACTCTTTAGTAATTTCTTAGAGCTGTATTTAGTATTCCACATTTTGCATATCAGCAAACCCATTTTATTCTCTCTGAAACTGGATCACTTCTAAAATTGTTAATGCCTAACAATTCCTCTTGCTCAGGGGGCTGTCTCAGGTGTAGTTCCCATTGATTGCATGTGCCCAAATCTGGTCTTTGTCGTTCACATTGTCGACAAATCAATTAAATTATGTGCTTTATTTAAATTAGTTATGTTGAAGTGTATGTTGAAGTAATTTGTCATTGAAATTGCCTTTAAAATAGTTTGTTATGCTTTACATTGAAACAAAAAAAATCTCAGTGTATTCAGAAAATTATAGAAACAAAAAATAATATATTCATTTTTAGAGGATTTATTAAAACTATTTAGTCTAAAAGAGTTTTTCATATATAAAATAAAAATTCAAAGCTATAAGGAAATCTTTCTTCATATTTTATGGGACACATTTTCTTTCTTAGTAAACATAAATGATAGTCCCTAATTACAATTGACAGTGTCCTAGATCCATTGAATTACAGCATACTAATTTATTTAATTTTTCAAAACAACACGGATAGATAGGTAGCTTTTATCATATTATGCAAATGAGAAACCTGGCATTCAGAAAATACTTAAACCTCAAAATCCTTACACCCAATCTAGTGACCTTTCTACTACCCTACCAATAATACTCAGAACACTTTCATTCTATAAAGATTTTGCTCACAGCATTAAGTAAACACATAATCTTTGAAGCAGCAATTTCTTGATCCATTATTTAATTCTTTAGAGATATGGCAGCTCAATTGTGCTCACAAAGAGGTGTTAAATTAAAACAAGTAAAATGTGACTTGTTTTAAACCAATCATAAAGGGAATATATTTATTTTTCCTTGTAAACACATGGTGCTGTGTTATTTCAGAAGATAATAAATGTTTCGTTCTATGTGTGATATTTGCTTTATAGCTGTTGTCACCTTTATGTGATAAGTCAGATGTATCAAATATATTACACTAATGTTTCATTATACATTCTGGAGAGCGTGTGATAATAAAGGTCTTACATAAACTCTGATTAGGCAATCACCCACGTATTGATCTCTTCCAAGAAATAGTCTTTCCACTCTAACTATATGTCTCCATATCAAGTTACATTTATACAGGGGTGTGTGTGTGTGTGTGTGTGTGTGTGTGTGTGTATTGCATAACTCACAGTTATTACACATCTGGAAAATTACTTAATCACATTACTTATCAAGAAACTACTAAAAAAAAGACAAACAATAATTAATGTCTACAGAGTAGTAAATTAGAGAAATGTAGCCCCATAAAATGTATTTCCTTAAGAATTGTGGCAGATAAAGGTCATTACAATGAATCTTTTGATTCCCTCAAGAAAAGATTAAGTTCTTAGGGATGCTTAGAAATGAAAAAGGCAAATAATGAAAGACACGGTATTAGGAAAACACATATTTACATCCATGCCTTTTTTTTCTGGTTATACATAAAAGGTTATTTTTTCTTTCTCACTGTTACTTAAGAATTTAAGTTGCAGACTATGTGAATAGGAATGAGAAGGCTTTATGATATCTCCCAGAGTCTTTTCTTTCATAGAATGTGGCAATAATGAATTTCAGCTGAGCCTGTATTTCCGGAAAACAAGAATCGTTAGGAAATCCCAAATTTTCCTAAGGCCCTATCTCTCCACCTCTTTTGTGTTCCAGAAATGGCTTGCTGTAAAGAACCATTCATCCCATATGACTTAGAATACACTCAACCTCCATTGTCCACTCTTCCACTCCTCAAAACTCACAGATGACTCCTTCAAAGCTTTCCTGTGATGAGACCAAACACAGTCAGCCCTTTTCCCTTCTCCTAAACCAGATGATAAGGTCAAGCACAGACCCTACAACTTTTCATTCTTTGTCTCATGCTTGATCAGCTGAGATTGGGACAAGTTATCCTAACTAGACACAGAGATAAGCATTGAAACTGACTAGACACAGAAATAAACATTTCCTCTTCAGCTGATAGAGTGAGATGATTTTCCTCATTGTCAAACAATCTCAACTCAAAATTGCCTTACCTATAACTTGTCTTCTCCTTCCCAGAAAAATCTAAAGCAAAACCACTCTGCAAACTCCTGCTGTTCTTCAGATCTAGGGTCCCCTTCCTACTTCAGTAGGCCAAACAAAATCAATTTTATTACTTGTTTGGCTTTAGTCTTTCACAAATGTGTAGTTAATCTGATTTAATTTTGTCATGGAAGTAAATGTACAACAGTGAGAACATTTAAACACAACATACAGCCATATCCAAAAAATAATGCACTTGATATTATTGTTATTAATTTACTTGTTGTTTTTATGTACTATCATATATCATTATGTATGTTAATAGCTGTAAAACTGTTTTGACATACCTATTGCCTTCTTTTGCATAAAAATTCCCCTCTTTTGTTTCACAAACAGGTTATTCTTCCCTAGAATGTACAGAAAACTTACTAAGCATGAAGATTTTTACAAGCTATAGAAAATATGATCCCTTCACAAGGAATGGGGAATCTAGCTACGAAGAACATAAAATAGAAAGAAAAATGAGAACACATGATATGACTTAAGGCATCTTTTCACATAACCAATTTAACTGTAATTTTTCTTTGGAGTTTTCTAGATTTCTTGTAAGAAAATATTCACATTTGAAAAACGTACATGTTATCTCCTAGATTGCCTTCTATTTTTTAATGATTTAATTCCTTAATTTTTTTACACTTAATCTTCTAACCCATCTTGAGTATTTTTTTGTTTGATGCGTAGTGGTGGTACATCTTTATTTTTTTTCTTGAGTCATAGTTTCAAACAATTTATAAAATGTCATATTTAGCTTCCACTACATTAGTATACATGTTTTTGTCATGTATTTCACACTTGCATACAGTTGAATCTATTTATAAATTGTCCATTTTGTCCAGATATCCATTTGCCTATTTATTTAAATCTATGCCAAAACATAGTACTTTACAGCCTATTTTCATTTCAGGCAAATTAAATTCTCCAATCACCACACTTTTTTTAAAACTCTCTGCATTTATTTTATTATTTTCTTGTGGACTTTAGAATGTACAAGATAGTTCCATCAGACTCACAGGATCCACAACACCCAACTCAAGCTTTCCTAGTCTTTTTGAGGATAAAGAGAAAAAGTGAGGAGATCTGAGCCTCATTGTCCCTCCCCACCCCCTCTGGTAGGTGTCCTCTGGCTCAATATGTCAGGGGAGAGAAAGTTCCAAGTGAGGTTTAATGAGGTAAGGGTACACAAGACAGGAATTTTATGAAACATTTCCATTTGGTACCCTGGAAATGTATACAGCTTATACAACATTTTGAAGGATGTTGTGCCTCTTAAGTCCATAGAGTATGGATATAATATGAGTAATGTTATAGCCAGGGCCACCTAACAGTGTACATTTTGTATTTATGATCTCTGCACTTTAGCAAATGTTATTTATCTATTTACCCAGAGATCCGCTTAAAAAAGGGCTTCTATAGGATCACCTGAATTCTTTCTAATTTTTTCTTTCCCCTATAAAGTGAATGGATTCCACAAAAAAAAAAAAAAAAAAAAAAAGCCACAGTGGAAAACTAAACAATCAATTTAGATATGTGATTCGCAGAACTACAAATATGGAATTGAGATGTAAAAAGTAATTCAACAACCCAGTAATACACTATATATATGTGTGTGTGTGTGTGTGTGTGTGTGTGTATATATATATATAGTATATATATTACAATATATAGCGAGAATGTACTCTATATATAGTGTATATACATACATATATATACACATACACATATATATAGATATCTTTACACACATATAAATTATTTCAGTAAGTATACGTTTTACAATCATAGTATTAGGAAGATAGGAAGCAGAACAGTGATTACAGATAGATCACTACCAATCTAATAACCCTCCTAATATTGAGGTAAATGTCAATGTGTGTACATTTTAAGAAGTAAAAATTCCTTTGCCAAATTATAATAGTGAGAGAAATCTAACACTGCTGATTCTGTCTTGCTTCTCACCTCACCAGCTAACTCCCCTGTGGATAAACCAACCTAACCGTGAGAGGAATTTAGTTTCTGCTTTAACCTTAAAGCGAGAATGATAATACTGTCTTCCCAAAACTATCCCCTCTCCTCATTTAGGGACAAAAACCATCTTTGTAAAACTAATGAAAGGCTACATGGTTTGAATTTCAGGAGGGGCCTGAATTCTACTAAGACCTATGCATAGTTAAGTGATAACCAGCCATTATTCCCTACCTTGCTTACATCTCAGGAGTCATGTAGCCAGAAGTCACAAGATTTGAAACGTTGTCATTATGCCTATAGATAACACAACCATTGTAGAACCTAAGATTTGTCTTTTGAGATGTTTTTCAAACTTGCATTCTGGCAACCAACTGACTCCATCTGAACCCATGACTCCTTACTCAACCAGTCCTGTGGCCCCCACACAGACTCTAACTCAGCACATAGAGATAGTTGTGACATTCTTATAATTTTATCCCCAACCAATCAGCAGCACCCATTTTCTAGCCCCCTGCCTGCCAAATTATCCTTTACAAACTTTAGCCTCTGAGTTTTGGGAGAAGTGGATTTGAGAAATATCTCTCATCCTTCCACTTGGCCACCTTGTGATAATTCAGCCCTTTCTCTGCTGCGAAACCACTGTCTCAGTGTTTTGACTTTTCTGTGCAGCAGGCAAGACGAACCCATTGGAATGTAATAGAGGGAGCCATAAAAGGAAAAATAATAAATGTGCGTTTTACTACCTACTCAGGGTTAATATTTTATACAATATTTTGAAAATATATTTTTCTCATCAGCTAAGCAAATCTTTTCCAAGACTTTGCAGGCAATTGCAAAATGACTATTTTAAAAATGGTTTAGTGTAATCCCAGCACTTTGGGAGGCTGAGGCGGGTGGATCACAAGGTCAGGAGATCAAGACCATCCTGGCTAACACAGTGAAACCCCACCTCTACTAAAAATACAAAAAAAAATTAGCTGGGTATGGTGGCGGGCACCTGTAGTCCCAGCTACTCGGGAGGCTGAGGCAGGAGAATAACTTGAACCCGGGAGGTAAAGCTTGCAGTGAGCCGAGATCGCACCACTGCACTCCCGTCTGGGTGACAAAGCGAGACTCCATCTCAAAAAGAAAAAAAAAGATTAGAATTTAAAATATTACAAATGTTTTCAATTCCAAGTTAAACTATTTTGCTTTCTTTCATTTAATCAATCAAGATCCTAATTGTAAAATTGTGACAAATAATCTCATAAGTGGGTTTAGATTTTCTAGGGAATTAAAGTGTTGTGGACCTGAAAAGAAAGCAGTAGGAGGCAAATTGCCACATATTCTGGTAAAAGACTATGAAAAACTAGTTATTTCACCAAGTCATTGGTTTTGAAGATCTCTGGCCTATCATAATGAATGAACATGCTCCCTCTAAATAAATTTAATTGAATTGAAAGATTTTGGAAAAAAATCATTCCTGTTTGGCTCTTGCTGCTTCAATGCTAGTAAATGTTAGAAAAATAGTATGAATTGCCAAAATAAACCATCAGCTGAATAGCCCATTGAAATTGACAGCAACCCAGCACTTTGGGAGGCCAAGGTGGGTAGATTGCATGAGCTCAGAAGTTCGAGACCAGCCTGGGCAACATAGTGAAATCCTGCCTCTAAAAAAAAAAAAAAAAAATTCACTGGACATGATAGCATGTGCCTGTAGTCCCAACTACACAGCAGGCTGAGGTGGGAGAATCGCTTGAGCCTGCAGGGTGGAGGTTGCAGTGAGCTGAGATCACACTGCTGCACTCCAGCCTAGGTAACAGAGCCAGTTCCTGTCTCAAAAAAAAAAAAAAAAAAAAAATTCATAGCAAAAGTGGTATGGAATGAGGGCAATATCTTTGTAAGACATTGTGTGGGTGCATTTATTTGTGTATGGGTAGTCTGTATGCATTAAATAGGAAGCATTTATAAATGGGGATTTAATTAATGACCATAGTAACTAGAAGTTCCTCATATAATTTGAACTTAAAATATTTTTTTGTGTGACTTTGAATATTGATTCTATTTGATGTTATTTTGCATATTGGTTTTAATTTGAAAAGGAGATCTTTTATTTGTGAATTTAGCTGTTTTACATAGCAATTATATAATCTAGTGGTGAGTGTATCATCCAATACTAAGTGGAAGACATGAGGTCCTATGTTGTTATGCCACTCCAGGAAGACATAACGCATATAATAAGGTAAGAACACGTCTATGTTTTGTGATGTACACTAAATAAAGTCCCTTTAAAATGATCGTTCAGCCAATATTCTGTGGTGCCTACTCATTAATGTTATTTTCTTAGATCATCCAACAGTCTTTCCATGACACAATTTAATTTCTGGAAGAAATTACCAACTTTGAAAATAAGAAGATAGGCAGTAAAAATGTTACCTTAAAAAAATAAGAAAACATTGAAAATAAATTATAAAGACATGAAATCAAAACTAATTTGTGAAGGAGTTGAAACAGTTTTATATTTTGTCCTGAGTTTTAAGATCAGGCAGTCCTAATGTACAAATCACAAGTCCTGACATGATCAGTAAAGCAATGCATGTTAAAAAAAAAAAAAAAAAAAAGATCTTTCTTTTCCCCCTACACATTTCTGGGACAACTCTTGATTTAATGTATCACAGCAAAACACATCAGATTATGAATATACTCTTTGTATAGTGTGTGAATCTAATTTGGCAATCTGAAACTGTTCCAGCTCATGATTTTATTTTAAATATATATTTAAAATATCATTGCATTAGCTCATTGACTTTTTTCTGTGTTTCAGATATATGGGTCTTTGAAACTGTCCTTGCTAGTGTTACTGGGGTGGAGGGGTCCTTGCTCCCAGAGCTCCCAATATGGTGGTGGCTGCTTCCAAGATGGCAGCAGGCCACTTCCAAGATGGTGGCAAGCCTCGTGTTCTCTGACCTGGGGTTCTTGGCCTCACGGATTCCAAGGAATGGAATTTTGGACCATGTGGTGAGTGTTACAGCTCTATTAGAAGGCGTGGGTCACGGAAGAGAACCATGGAACCCAGTGACTAGTGTTCAGCTTGATTAGGACAAACCCAGGCACTTAGCAGTGCAGGAACAATGGCAAGCCTTTAGCCCGATCGGGAGCAGCAATGGGCGCCTCACTGGATCAGGAGCACAGCGGACACCCTGTTGGATCTGGAGGGATGGAAGTCAGTGGCGGGTCTGCGACGGCAGCCAGCAGCAGTGGTGGACAGATGGCAAGTGAAAGCCCAGCTTGAGCCATAACAAACACAGACCAGAAGAGTGCAGTTGCAAGATTTAATAGAGTGAAAACAGAGCTCCCATACAAAGGGAGGCAACCCAAAGGGGGTTGCCCTTGCTGGCTCAAATGCCTGGGTTTATATGCTGATCCTTGTCCCTCCCACTGTGCTCTCAGGAAATAGATGATTGGCTATTTCTTTACCTCCTGCTTTTGCCTAATTAGCATTTTAGTGAGCTCTCTTTACTATCTGATTGGTCAGATGTGAGATAAATTGCAAGCCCCGTGTTTAAAGGTGGAAGCGGTCACCTTCCCAGCTAGGCTTAGGGATTCTTAGTCGGCCTAGGAAATCCAGCTAGTCCTGTCTCTCACTAGCATAAGAGGTAAAACAAAGGGTTCAATTTAAAAATAAAAGCAGCTATTTATTTGAATAAGGAAAGGGACTATTGAAGAATCTCATGATTTGGAGCAAAAGTTCTAATTTCTTTCAGGTGGACTTGAGAAGAGTCACTTATTATCTGTGTTATCTTATTTTTCTACTCACAGCTTTGTTTTAAAGAGGTAACTAAGTGTACGTGTATACAACTAGTCTGCTTTTGACAGCAGTATTGCAGAGTATCTATCACTTTTTACTTATTCTTTCTCTCAGGAATGCTTGCTTAAATTGCACCCACAAACTCCCAGCTGCTACAAACACTACTTCTGGGAACAGCCTCATCCATGCCCTCTTATGAACCCAAGTGAAACCTCACAGGTTTCCCTCAGTTGGGTCATTGCACATGTCAATGTTTAATTTGAATAAGCATTGTCAGATACTTTCAAAATGGCTGCACAAGTTCTAATTTCCAGCACCTGTCATATTCTACACTTCCACTTTCTTTCTACACTAAGGTACATAAATATATGCCAGGCCTTCACCTAATTTCTTGACATTTACTTTGTTTCTCATGATATTCCTTCTGTGGAAGATATAAAAATCAGTCTTTTATAATTATACCATCACTTGTTAGCTTTGCTAATATGTGTGTGTGTGTATTTCACTTAATATCTTTATATATATATATATATACACACACGCATATATTTCACTAATGGCCACTGATCATGCACTATTAATGTTTAATCTCATAATGCAGGAATACATAAGCATGTAAGCAGTTATAGTTTCAGAAAGCAGATGAAATGTTTATCTGAATGATACTACTATTTAATGGTTCGATTTTGGGCAGGTTACTTTCCAAAACCACTTTGTTTCCCTATTATTTAAGAGGTGCCAATTTGATAAAATGGCTTTAAAAATTAAATGAGATATTACACATCAAATTAGTAACAGTAGGCCCCAAATATATGTGTGGGAAAATAAATCTTTCCTAGATTTCTTAATGTTCTAGTAAAAAAGACTCAGCCTTCTGAGTCTTGGAAATAGAGACTCTTTGGTTTCTTCACCCTCATGAACCTTTTACTTTGCTGATACCATGAGGATTAGAACTACAGTCCTTTGTTTTTCTACTGGTGAAACTAATTGCTTCCATTCAAAAGGTTAATCAACTTTCCTCTATCTACCCAAGAGTCAAATGTTACTTTGTAGGACACATACCTAGGCTGAATAAACCGGAGACCCCCAGGGCGAGATGATTGCATTTCAAGGGACTAAGATCCAGGAAAGAGGAGAAATCCCTGGGGCTATAAAGCTGAAGAGGATGGGTCTTTTCTTTTTACTGAAGAGATTTATTTACATTCCGAAGGACTTAGAGTGAAAACTCAGGATCCTACCCATCCATCCCTTCTTTAAGGAGACTCTCAGAAAGGGAGGGAGACAAGAGTCTCTTTTCTACACAAATTCCCAGATTCGTGGTTTTGGCATTTCTTGCTTCTGATATTATGTGTAGCATCATAGGCTCTCATCATATTGTCCCAGAGGTAAGATTTAGGCATGGGGGAACCATACAGTTATGATTGGCTTGTAAGTATTTACTTTTAAATTGCAAAAACCACAATTACTTTTGCACCAACCTAATATGTACATTCAGGATACTATTAGTAAATATGGATATTACAAACCATAGAAGGAAGAATGAAGACAATAGTTTGAATTTAATGCTAGAAAAGGCATCTTTATATTGGGTTTTGAATACAAAGTACGGTACAGGAAGACATCCAATAGGTAAATGGGCTCAGATAAATGTAAGGAAATCTATTATTAGATCATTACCTTTCAGATATTCTTTTTCAAAAATTAGTCTACCCAGGAAGTTACCTGTGTTCTGCTAGTTCTTTATTTCTATGGCCTCTCCTTTCAATGTATTTTTAATTTTTTTCAATTTTTAAATTTTTATGGGTACATAATTGTTGTATATATTTATAGGGTACATGTGATGTTTTGATATAGGAACACAATGTGTAACAATCAAATCGGGGTAATTAGGATATCCATCACTTGAAATCTTTATTAATTCCTTGTGTTAGAAACATTCCAATTCTACTGTTTTAGTTTGTTTTCAATACATAATAAATTATTGTTAACTATAGTCACCCTATTATTGTGCTACTGAATGCCAGGACTTATTCATTTGACCTGTTAAAGCAAACACAGTATGGCCTGAGAAGGACTCCGTACTTCTTTATTCGAGTCCTTGAGGATGAACTGCAAGCTGATTTAATAGGCAGACGAGACTGAAAACCTAACTTAGGAGTATGCGCCTGTAACAATAGCTGAGTCTTGGCCAATCCCAGCAGTCATACTTCAATCACTCATAGATTGCTAAAGTGTTCAAACTGTGTTCAAATAAGGCAAAGGCCAACCTGTAACCAATCCAACTCTTTCTGTACCTCACTTCTGATTTCTGTATGTCACTTCCCTTTTTTTGTCTGTAAATTTATTCTGACCAGGAGGCATCCCTGGAGTCTCTCAAATCTGATGTGATTCTGGGGGTGTCCAATTTGTGAATCGTTCATTTCTCAGTTAAACTCCTTTAAGTTTAATTCAGCTGAAGGTTTTCTTTTAACAGATCTAACTGTATTTTTGTAGCCATTAGACAAACCTTTTTTATCTCATCTCCCCAGTACCATTCTTAGCCTCTGGCAACCATCATTCTATTCTCTATCTCTCTGAAGCTTGCTACCTGGAGGCTACAACTCCATGATAAAACCTTGGTCTCCACAACCCCTTATCATAACCAAGATATTTCTTTCTACTGATACCAAGTCTTTAGATAATAACTCTTTCAACAAAGTGCTAATCAGAACATTTGAATCTGCCTATAACCTGGTAACTGCTGCTTCTAGTTGTGCAGACTTTCCAGTCTGAACTAATGGACATCTGACATGTATTGATTGATGTCTTATGTCTCCCTAAAATGTATAAAACTAAGCTGTATTCCGACCACCATGGGTGCATGTTCTGTTGCGGGAAGTCAGGGACCCTGAAGGGAGGGACCAGCTGAAGCCATGGCAGAAGAACATAAATTGTGACGATTTCATGGACGTTTATTAGTTCCCCAAATTAATACTTTTATAATTTCTTACGTCTGTATTTACTGCAATCTCTGAACATAAATTGTGAAGATTTGATGGACATTTATCACTTCCCCAATCAATACTCTTGTGATTTCCTATGCCTGTCTTTACTTTAATCTCTTAATCCCGTCATCCTCCTAAGCTGAGGATGAATGTCACCTCAGGACCCTGTGGTGAATGTGTTAACTGTACAAATTGTTTAAACAACATGAAATCTGGGCACCTTGAAAAAAGAACAGGATAACAGCGATGTTCAGGGAACAAGGGAGATAACCTTAAAGTCTGGCTGCCAGTGGTCCAGGCAGAACAGAGCCATATGTCTCTTCTTTCAAAAGCAAATAGGAGAAATATTGCTGAATTCTTTTTCTCAGCAAGGAACAGCCCTGAGAAAGAGAATGTGTTCCCAAGGGGAGGCCTCTGAAATGGCCGCTTTGGGAACGTCTGTCTTTTACAGTTGTAGATTAGGGATGGAATAAGCCCCGGTCTCCCGTAGAGCTCCCAGGCTTATTAGGAAGAGGAAATTCCCACCTAATAAATTTTAGTCAGACCGGTTGTCTGCTCTCAAACCCTGTCTCCTGATAAGTTGTTATCTGTGACAATGTGTGCCCAAAACTTCACTAGCAATTTTAATTTCGCCCTGGTCCTGTGATCTTGCCCTGCCTCCATTTGCCTTGTGATATTTTATTACCTTGTGAAGCATGTGATCTCTGTGACCCACACCCTATTTGTACACTCCCTCCCCTTTTGAAAATCACTAATAAAAACTTTCTGGCTTTGTGGTTTGGGGGCATCATGGAACCTGCAGACATGTGATGTCTCCCCCGAACAACCAGCTTTAAAATTTCTCTCTTTTGTACTCTTTCCTTTTATTTCTCAGACCAGCCAACACTTAGGGAAAATAGAAAAGGATCCACGTGAAATATTGGGGGCTGAATTTCCCCCGATATGTTCTCAGGATCTCCAGAGGGCTGTGTCAGGGGTCATTGGTTCAGAAAATTTCTTCAAATATTTTACTGAGTTCAACTCTTTATGTTGACACATAGCTTTGCTATTGTATCTCTTCAATATATTGATTTCCTTTCTATATATCCAGTGGTAGGGTTGCTCAAGCATATAGTAGCTCTAAAGGAACCTCCATGCTGTTCTTAATAAAGGTTGTATTAATTTACATTCCTGCCAACAGTGTGTGAGCGTTCCTCTTTCCCCACATCCTCACCAATGCTTGTTATTGCTCATCTTTTGAATAAAAGCCATTTTGAATGAGATGAGATGACATGTCATAATTTTGATGTAATTTTCTTTCAATATATCTGTCTCTCACCTCATAAAAGAAAGGCATAATGTCCTTCATGGGATATTTTACAATGGTCCTTACATCCCTAGGAATAAAACCTTATGAATGAACACAAAAAAAGGGCTGAATCAATTGTGAATATGTAAACCCTGATGACAAGTTACATACAGCATAAAAAGAAAAAAAGAAAAAAGGTTTGTGTCATTAATATTACAAAGCAGGCTTGTTTTTCCCTCCAAGTGACAAACTTATGACATAGTCTTTTCCTTCCCTCCTCCCTTCTTTCCTTCTTTTCACTATGTTAGAATTAAGAGATGAGATAATTGTCATGAGAACACCTATTAATATATTTATTTGAATGTAAAATTTAATTTCTGTCTTAAGTTTGATTGATTGATCATATTTTACAATTGGGACTGGCTTTGCTGACTAGATAAACTTGTAGACAATTTTCTCAAATGAAATAAAATAAATATGCAGAACCAATATTTATATCAATATTTTAGTAATATTGTTTATGCCTATACAGTTTTAAAACTGGAAGAAACTATTTTGTTTTCAACTGTTAAAACTTTTAAATGTTTTAGATATTAATCTGACAATATACAGGAGGGCAAAGAGGTTTTCAAAATTATTTCAGAAAATGTGGTCCAAATGTTTGTAAAATAGGTTAAGATCTTTCCATTTCCCTAATTTACTAGAGATTAAACTCAGGCCCATAGATATTGAATCTGTTTTTCAGTATCAGAGAAAAACACTCGACAAGTTTTTTTTTTATTGGCTATAATTAAATATATTTCACATCATATGCTTATGCAACTGCATTTAAAATGATTAGAATATGTTCAAATTATTTTGTTCATGTTTTTCCCCCTCCCCAACACTTCGTATATTGAAGCCCTAACCCCTAATGTGACTATATCTGGAGATTGTGTTTTTAGGAGGTAATTAAGTGAGGTCAAGGAGAGAATGGAGTCCTAAGTCCATAGGACTATGCCTTGTAGAAGGGGAAGATTGATTCTCTCTTCTCTTCTCCTCTTTTTCTTTCTTTTCATGGTGAGAAGGTGACTGTCTGCAAGAGCCAGGAAGAGAGCTCTCCTGGAACTCAGTCTTTGACTATACAGCCTCCAGATTTGCGAAAAGCAAATTTTGGTTGTTTATAAGTTATCTAGTCTCAGGTATTTTGTTACAGAACAGGAATAAACTAAAACAGTCTCCATGTGACAAATTATATTAGGGTTCTTCAGAGAAACGAAAAATAGGATATAGATTTGGATATAGATTTAGATATATGAGGACATTTATTCTGGGAATGGCTCATGTCATTATGAAAGCCGAAAAAAAAAAAAATCCCACAAAATGCCATCTGCAAGCTGAAGCACCTGAAAGTCTAAGAAACAGGGGAGCCAATGATATAACTTCCAGTCCAAGGCCAAAGAGAGAGATAGAGGTGCTCATGCTGTCCTGAAGTACAAAGGCCCTTGAAAGGAGCTCCAGTGTCTGAGAGGAAGAGAAGATGAAAGTCCCAGCTTAAGAAGAGAGACAGCAAACTCGCTCTTTTTTTGCCTATGATAATGGCCACCCACATAGGTGAAGACCGATATTCTGATTCTCCTTTATTCAGTTACTAATTCAAAAGCTACTCTCTTTTAGAAACCACCACAGGCCTACCCAGAAATAGTGCTTTATCACCTATCCAGGCATCCCTTAACCCAGTCATTTGACACAAAATTAACCACTACACAAATACTATTAATGTGAGTACAACTTGAGGAAATAGCAGCTATTTAAATGCTACTTAATAAAAATCAAGGCAGAGTTTAGATAAAATTATTTGTTAAAATGCTAACATTTATCCACTAAGATAAACTTTAATACTGTATCCATTTTATGTCACTTTCTGCCACCCTATATGAATTTAACCATAGTATATATTAGCATCATCAACAAATTAAATATTTCTAAATAATACACTTCAGTTACGTGTTTCAGACACATGTAAATATCAGGAGGAAAAAATTATATAACATATGAAAGAATTTTAAACATTATTCAAGTGTTACTTGAAGACATTTGGAAAACATTCTGAAAGCAGTCATTAAGTTTATGTATCTTCATATAATTCATTAAAAGTATAATTATTCTATTAAAAAACTTGTAAAATATATTTTTTTAACATGTAATTGCCTTAAAATATCAAACACAAACTGAGTCTATGTCTAAACATATCTCTTAAAATATGGCATGAGTCTAGCCTAGAAAAACTCTGCACAAAGTCTGATGGTGGTGAAGCCAAGGTCAGATTTTAATTGTTGCATGTAATGTAGTTCTGTGTTCAGAAATGTTACTCAGAGAGTTTTATGTAATAATCATAAAGGTATCCAGGTGACAATATAAGATCAATAAGTTCATTTTCTTCATATTAAGGAAACAATTCAAAGGATGTGCTAATGATGAAGAATTAACTAAGCTCTTAAATTAATTATCCTCAAATATAATTCTCAGTTTAAAGTTATAGTGCCTGTCACTTGGAAGTCATTAAGACATAGTAATTGGTATAATATTTTGAAAAAAAACTGAAATGAGAAACACTCATTTTTTTAAATTCATGATATTGTTTGGCTGTTCAGCCACTAAATCAATGAGACTTAGTACATCAGATAAAGAGCAATAATGGCTACAATAATAAATTTGTTTCTCAGTTTTAACTGTCAATCTATTTCTGATTTTACACTATGACTCTTGTCTTACCAGGAAGGCTTTGACAAAACATAAATGGGATTTATCTACTTTGAAGACATTATGTTTACATATCAAGAGATAAACCCAGTGAACTCAGAATGGAATTTTTTGCTGATTCAGACCCTACATAACAGACCCTCACTCGTTAATTCTTTTTTTTTTTTTTTTTGAGACGGTGTCTCACTCTATTGCCCAGGCTGGAGTGCAATGGCATGATCTTCGCTCACTGTAACCTCTGCCTCCTGGGTTCAAGTGATTCCCCTGCCTTAGCCTCCTGAGTAGCTGGGATTACAGGCCCCCACCACCATACCCAGCTAATTTTTGTATTTTTAGTAGAGCCAGGGTTTCACCAATGTTGGCCAGGCTGGTCTCGAACTTCTGACCTAGTAATCCACCCACCTCAGCCTCCCAAAGTTCTGGGATTACAGGTGTGAGCCACCGCACCTGGCTCACTCTTTGTTTCTTAGTAACAATATTCCAGATATTTAGGCTAGCCTTTAACCCTGTCTTAGGCAGTAAATTACCTTTAGTCTTGGCCAGTCATGACAACTGCTTTCCTTTTGCCAGGTACTCATTCCACCAGTTCCCCTCCCCTGTAGAAAGAACAGTATAATTGTGACTTTTAAGTGATGTGACTTAAGCAATTGATATGTAAGAGGTAATCTTTTGGGGGCTTCTGGGAACAATTTTAGTTGTATCTAGGTAAAAATAAGTATTTCTGTCTCATACACCTCAATTTCCTGTTTTGGAATGTGATCATGTGTGTCAATTTTCACAATAAAGCAATACTCTTTTTTTTTTTTTTTTTTTCTAGAGACAAGGTCTCATTCTGTCACCCAGGCTAGAGTGTGGTGGTGTGATCATAGCTGACTGCAGCCCTGAACCCTTGATTTCAAGCAATGCTCCCACTTCAGCCTCTTGAAGAGCTAGGACTACAGGCTTGCAACACCATACCCCCCTAATTAAAATAAAGTTTTTTTTTTTCTAGAGATGGGGTCTTGCTATGTTGCCCAGGCTGATCTCAAACTCCTGACCTCAAGTGATCCTCCTGCCTGGGCCTCCAGTGCTGGAATTACAGGCTTGAGGCACTGCACCTGGCTAAGGCAATGCTGTTAAGGTAAAATGTCAACATGTATATTGAGACATACCTGAAGGATGGGGTACAATCCAGCTAGGACCAACCTACACAATTATCAGGTAGGAAAAATAAATTTTTCCTTGTTTGTTTAAATCACTATTACCTTGATTTCCATTAGTAACAGCTGATAATATTCCTAAAGGGAAAGATCCAAACATATGGAACTCAATGTCGTAGAGAAAAGCAATCAAAAGCCACATTTTATATCCCAAATTTTGGTTTGTTCTAGGGGAGACCATATTATAAAATTATCTTTACCAAAAAAAAAATATTGATAGGATTTGAGTTCTACTTTTCTCCCATGCTACTTGCTAATTATTCTCTTCCAAACAGAGAATGTAAGAAGGCTGGCAAAGTCTATATTAAGAATAGTTTCTCCTTACCTGGGACAATTCCTTGAATTGCCTTGGTCACAACCTATTAAGCTGAGGGCTAGAGGAAAGACAGAGCACAGAACCTGTTGGGTAAAATAAAAGGAAAATTATCACATTTGTAGACTGTAATTAGTCAAGAAACTTGGCTTTATATTTTAAAACTGACGAGATATAAATATTTCAAAATCTCAATAAATGATTGAAAAAAAAATATTAGCCAGAAACTTCAAATCTTGAAAACAAACAAATGTGAATAGTCACCCGCTAAAATGACCCCAAGCTTCCAAATCTTCACTATTAGGCAATGAAAACTGGACATGATTTATGTTAAGTCCTATCCAATTCCCAATTCATGTGTAACCACGGAAGACAATGGACAAAGAATCTTCTGCTTCCCTTAAAGTGATTCTTTTATATAGAAAACCTATTATCAGACTCTCAGGAATAAAGCTCTAGGCCACCCCACAAGGCAAGCAACTCAGACCAGCTGAAGGGGGTGTAGAAAAAAAAGACAGGATAAGAATTAAACATAGTCTCTGCTCTAGTTGCAGTAATGGGGGGCAATGGCTTAGTTTGCTAACCCCTTTTACAGTGTTTTAGAAAAGGGGTTGGCAAACTTATTTTGTAAACAGATATAGAGTATTTTCAGTTTTATAGGAAACCTAGCATATATATATCACAGATTTTTCTCTTGTTTTCTTCAATTTTTAAGTACATAAATGGTATCTAGAAACATACAAAACAGACTCATGGGCTGGACTAGGCCATGGGCCTAGTTTGCTGGCCCTTGATTGCAACTAGCAACAACATGTAAGAACTGGATCTTTCTTCCCTTCTCAGGGAAAACTTCAGGGCATCTTATTTTCTAGTAAAACTTTAATATCCTGAATGTAAAAGTGGATTTGATGTATACAAATAGTAATTTGAGCCATATTCAGTTTATGTATCAGTCCAGATTTTTGCATCTTTGTTTTCTGGCCAGAGAAGGCTTATGAAGGGTAAATCCAACTTGTGTTGGCACAGAGCTGGGTTGCTATTTTTCCTGTATCTGTTGCTACTGATGAGAACGCTGGTGCTATTGCTGTTCTTACTCTCTTGTGTCACCCACTGGCAAAAATAAACAATGCTTCATCTGATGTGCAGTCAGCTACACTCTTGTCACATCTCACTGAGTACCTTCTTGTAGTCTCTCTGTAGAAGGCTGGCAATAACAGATCGTTTGTGTTGATGCTGTGGCTAGTTCTGTAACAAACTCTCTTATAAGATCCCCTTTTTCCCTATCTCACTTTTTTTTTTTTTTTTTTTTTAGACAGAGTCTTACACTGTCACATAGGCTGGAGTGCAGTGACTTGATCTCGGCTCACTGCAACCACCACCTCCCAGGCTCAAGCAATTCTCCTGCCTCAGCCCCCCGAGTAGCTGGGACTACAGGCACACACCACCTTGCCTGGCTCACTTTTGTATTTTAATTAGAGATAGGGTCTCGCCATGTTGGCCAGGCTGGTCTCAAACTCCTGGCCTTAAGTGTTCCACCTGCCTTGGCTTTCCAAAGTGCTGGGATTATAGGTGTGAGCCACCGAGCCCTCCCCCTACCTCACTTCTTTGTTCTCTCTTTCCTGCTTCTCTGGGCTTTAATCTTATGATCCCATTATCAGTGCTACTTATAATTTTGAATTCTGAAAGAAAATCTGCTTAGCAGATTTCCTTGTGTCATGATGTAGAAATCAAAGCATGATATATTTGGGGAAATAGAAAAGCCTTGAGGTTGACCAGTCTTCCTCACTTCTTCCATTGCGTCTTGCCTTATAAAGTATAGTGAGACATTTCCGCATGCTCATCATAAAAAGCTGAGAGAACAACATCGGTGATCCTCCTACAGGGCAAGTAGGGTAAGGGGCAATGAGTGCCTTAGTAGAAGTTGCCAGGAAGCGTCAACCAAGACATTCACAAAAATAAGTGAATGTTTACACAATGTGGCCAATGCTTCTCCAACACAGCGAGATTACAAATGCTTTTTTCTTAAGTCTATATTTCAATTTGGATTATGTGATACACATTTAGACAGACAGTGAGAATGTTTTTGGAGGATCTACAATTTAAAATGTTCCCCAATGTTGGAAAAAATGTCAATGTTTCATATAAAATTTTATGTATATAAATTTGCAACTCTAGCACCTTTCTATTTCTTACAATTAAGAACACATTTCAAAAAATTCCAAAATAATTTTATTTCTAATACTATGTTTTTATATAAAAAGAATCTGTTCCATTCTTCTTAGTAGTCTCTCAACACCATTATGTTACATTTAGACAAAATGCATTGAGTTATCAGAGGAACGTACAATAGAACAAAACCTCCCAAAGTTGGTGAGAGACAAGTACACATTTCTGAGTTACTCTTAACACCAGACAGTTTTAAAACACATAGAAGTGAAGAATGAATAAAGTATGACCTAGTAGGTATAATAATTTTTGTAAAGTGCAGCCAGGAATGTCTCTTTCTATAATAGCTATTGAATTTACAAACACAATTAAGGAGAGCTACTAGGCTCATGCATCAATTGGACCTGAAGTCTTTACTGAAAACTCCCATTAGTGTCAAAAGCAAGAAATAGGAGCAAGTTTTACTAACACTGTTAGTTTTTCTAATGTAAGGGGAGATAGCAGGGAAATCTGTTGAATGCATGTACATGGTAGTTTTAAACAAATTATTATAGACACAGCATATCTGTAATGTTCATTTATTTGGATGTTCACTTATTCATAAGAATATACCACACCAAAGAAGAAAAAATGAAACCTGCCACCTGTTGACAAAATTTTAAATGTCAGTAATGTTTATTTTATTTGTTTACTAATTCCTTTTTGATTTTCATACACAAAAATATCCATTTAAAGTTTTATTACCCTTTTATTGAATCATTGGTAAAACCTGAAGAGGAATTTTACATAGAATGGGGTAGGAGCTAAGGAAACAGAAAAATAAATAATAAGAAAGTCATATAGTCTTAATATTTAAAGCTAACAGAGGGAAATAAATAATTGGAAATATAAGAAAGATAAATTGTACAATATGTAACATATAATGAGAGTATCACCTTTGATTTTTCATAAATATATATAGTAATTTAATGTGAGAGCTAAAAGATGTCAGATACCTTCCCTGTATTATCTGACTTAAATTTATTTATATCAACTTAAATTAACAGTTTGTGTGTGTGTGTGTTTTGTTAAAGGATTTCTTATTTTCTTGTTTAAAAAAATAGTGGCTTGAGGAAGCTTCAATGTCTCCCTTAAAATAGTCTTGTTATTGAATAACTTAGCATTGAACATTTGTAAAATTAAGAAAAATGTACCTTCCTGCTCTAAGACTGCTTTCCTCGTTTTTGCAAAATTCATATTGAAAAAGTTTGCTCCTTTGAATATTAGGCTGTTATCATTAATTCTTCCCTTTTATGTTATTTACCTTAGCAAACTTTGTATCCAATACATACATTTTATATCATTTTATGACTGGATGAAAAACAATACTGAATATGAAGAATCTCAAGATGAATCTCAACATTTTATAGTAAGGAGATAAAAAAGAAGGCATGGTTTTTAAAGGTATATCAAGTCTCTGAAAATAAAGACTCAGAAGAAAATATTTATTCTGGCGTCTTTGTCAGAGATAAGTTTGTGATATATCTCCAGCGAATTGTTTCATTTATGGAGCTGACAAGTTTATAAGTTAAGGTGATGATGAACACATAGTACTTATATATACATTTATACGCATTTGCATAACCTCCTTCTTTTAATTTTCCAAACTATATAAGTGCCCTTGTACAAAATAAAATTACATACGTGCTCAGGACCTGTGTCTGAAATTGTAGGATCAAAAAGCTTCCACCAGTGCTCTCTCTCCTACCACATCTAGCCTAATGTGTCTGCTGTCTTTCTAGGACCTCATAACCTGGTCTCATCTTCCGTCCATTATGATTCCCTTCTAAACCTCCGTGATAATCAGGCTGGACTTCCTGTTTAGCTTTCAGTTTTGCTGGCATCCTCTCTTACTGTCTAACTGTCACCCCAGAAACACACTCGTATTTAAGGAACCACACTAAATAAAGGATAGCTGTGACACCATGTGTCATTTTATGGATGAATCTTTCCCCAAATGTTTCTCACTATCTCAGTTTGGAATAATTTTCCTTCCTGTGCATATTTTACCTCTATTCTTGAACATAGAAAGGTGTATTCGAATCAACCATATAAAACTGTCAACATCCTCTCATTTTTAACTTACAAAAATGGCAATTTTATACAAAACGCAGGTTATTAAATTGTATTTAATATGAATAATATCTGGTCATGATGGCAATTTTTACTAAACAAATAATTTTTATATTTGGAGATAGAAACTAGAAAACGTGTTCTTTTGAAACTGTACAGTAATCTTCGATGTACTTTGAAATATGCAGGTAAGAGGAATCAGTGCTTGGCTTTTTCAATACTTCATGACGTGTTAGTTGTTTGCTCCATGTATTGTTGTATGCTTCTCTAGTCAATGCTCTGAAAAAGTGTTTCTACCCTTTTTAAAAATAGCACTGGAATTTTTTCTTTGTGTACAACCTTATGTAAAAAGCTAATGTATAGAAAAATGATGGTGGATATTTTCTTGTGGAAAAAGGTTAACTAGGAGCTTCATTTCCTCAGCGTGTCCATTGCACCCCAACCCAGGATCACCTGGGTAACTCAGGTACCCTGTAGTGCAAGATTCTCAACTCATTCGACTGCAGTAGTAAGGACCAGTTTTAGCATCTGAAGGATACTGGTTAACGTACAGCGGGAAACCAGAGTAAGAATTCTTTCAGAATATTCACATGAATAATGCACCAGGGCACCAAGTCAGTGCTTGCTGATTCTGTTTGTAGTATGGCGTTTACTAGGGTAGAGGTCCGAAATCCTAAAACACACTTGAGATTGTTCCTCTCTGAATAGACTAGTATACACGATCTGTCAAATGTATCGTTTAGTTTGGAGCCCAAAGACAAATCACTCCCTAAAGCGCACCTGTGGTACAGCATTTTAGTAGTGCTCTTTATGACCCTTTACAGTCACTTTACAATTACTTTTTAAAGTCAATCTATTTTTTTCACTCCCCCCACACACAGTTTAAAGAAAGGTAAAGGCAATCAGTATATTCACAATTATGATGCCTTAACATCACAAACTATTGATATTATATTGTTTTTAAATTATGCAAATTACATGTCAATATTAGCCCCTAGGGATATTGGAATCATAAAGGGGAGATACAGCATTAATTGAGCTTTTAGTTCAAGGAAGTACACTAAATTCTGTGACACTGATAAAATGAATTCTCAGATAGTTCCAAATAATTCCATTTTTATCTAGACTCTACAGAAAATTAATTTTATCACTTAAATTATCATGTACTTTGACAAACTTGAAACGATAAATAGAATAGCAATGTAATGATAATTTTTATTCCAAAATTCATGTCTCCATACAACACAACAACATAGAAGGGTTAGCATTAAATTATATCTTTTCTACCTATTAACCTTGAGATATTGCACCAGTCAAAACCAAATTTGTACTCTCAGTGGTGTTCAGAGATTTATTCCTTCCATTAGGTACATACTCAGCAGTGAACTTAGGCTAATGTACTTTCAATAAAAAGGTGGCAAATGTAAAGCATTTTGTATTAGCTTAAGAAAATATGTTTCAATCATTAAAAATTAAAATTTCCCTTCTTAACACATATCTCTTTTTCCCCTTTAGCCATATAATCACCTCTTTATTTAAGTAATGGTGACCTAGCGTTGGTTATTTCCTGGCAGAAAAAAAAAATAATCACATTATTACCTGCTGGGAATACCCTATCCAGGAGTCACTAAAACTATTATAAACCATAAATATACAAAGAGAACTAAAATGAAAAAAACGTAACCATTATACATTAATAAATCCCAAGATTTTTAAAGCAAGAAAGGGAAGATGGTAAAGATTTTTTGAAGTTGAATAAAATACAGTATTGTATAATAACCATTTATTATATTAACACCATTTTATAATACCGTTTAATCTTATTATCTTTCTGTTAATTTATTACTAGAAGAAAAATGTTAACATTCTAATTCTGTCTCAGGTATTTTTTCAGTTGAAAAGAATTATTTATAATATTATTTTGTCTTACAAAGAAGGGTTTTTAAAATTGGTCACAAATTAAATTAACAACATATTTTTCTGAAAGACTAGCATTTGATTTTGAGCGTGTTATTTTTCATAAGAATCAAAGAAATAGATGTATTTGTGTGTAGGTGTGCCTAGATGTTAAGTTTGACATATGCAAACCTAATCTATAACCCTAAAGTTGATTTTAGTAAACTGCTTTTAATTTCTAATATGATACTTTTTATCTCTAAATTATCTGCCTCTATCTGTGCACCCATAGAAACAAATTATAAAAATGTTAAGCAATTAAATAAATCAATCAGTAAGTATCAAAACAACCTCAAGAAACAATACTACCTCATAAAAATTTCAAAAATAATTATAAGAAAACTTTAAAATACTCATAAAAATGTAACTAGTAGCAGTGGTTCCTTTTTGTATTTCTCTTACTATACTTTACATTTATTAATAATATTAATTTAGAGGCTGAGTGAGGCTCATATTTGTCCCCTCACTTTGGCAGGCTAAGGTGGGAGGACTACTTGAAGCTAGGAGTTCAAGGTCAGCCTGGGCAATATAGTGACACTCTATACAAATATTGAAAAATAATCATATTAGTTTAGAGTATTTTTTAACTCTGAACATTCAGAGTTTTGAAAGCATGCATATTTTGGTATTTTTTATTAAGATTTTCCTTTTGGATTACTTTGACGGACACCTTTATATCTTGAATCGATGTAGAATTTAAAATGAAATCTGTCTACCTGACAGAGTTGTGAGGATTACAGGTGAAGAAAAATCTTGTAATAAGGAGAGATAAAGATTCTCAAGAAGAACACAAAGGGAACTAATTGTAAAGACAAATATTCATAAACTGAATTTTATCTACATATCTAGGGTTGGTTATTTCCTGGCAGAAAAGAAATCACATTATTACCTGCTGAGAAAAAAATTTTATCTACATATCTAGATAGAATTCAGTTTATGAATATTTATTTCATACACCCAGGTAATTTTTGTATTTTTTTATAGAGATTAGGTCTCACTATGTTGCCCAGCTGGTCTCAAACTCCTGGGCTCAAGCCAACCTCCCTTCTCAGCCTCTCAAAGTGCTGGGATTACAGATGTGAGCCACTGCGTCCAGCCTTAAATGAAAACTTTTTCTCATCAAAGACATTGCTAAAAAAATGAAGCCGCAAGACACAACCTGGAGACACATGTGCAATACATATATCTGATAAAGGTCTCACATCCAGAAGATGTGCAGAACACCTATCAGATTTAAAATGAGTTAATATCTGAACAAATATTTCAAATAAATGATACATGAATGACCACTAAGCTCTCCCACTCTTCAAAAATGTTGCACAGAGTCACTCACAGGAAGCTGCAAGGAAATACCAATATATCTTTATTAGAATAGCTAAAATTAAATGGCTGAAAATACCAGGTCTTAGGAAGAGTGTGAAGCAAACATACATCTCTTACATTGCTGCCTGCAGTGTAACCCTTTAAAGTTTTCTTGGGGAAAATATTAGGAGTTCTTTTAAATTTAAACACACACACATACCATATAGCCCAGCAATTCTTAAAGCTAGGTACATATCCAAGGAAAGAAAATCACAGATTCACAAGAAAATCTTGTGTTGGAATGTTTATAGTAACTTTATTACAATAGCTTCAAACTGGAAGCCAACCAAATGTCCATCAGCTGGAAAATGAATAAACATATTTTTCCATATTTATCTATTAGAGTTCTACATAGCAAAAAAACAAAAAAACTGGTGGGGGCAGGGGGCAAACTCTGAATATATGCTGCAACATGAATAAATTCATAGAAAAGGAAATTAAAGAGTTTTCTGGGGTAATAGAATTACTAATGCTCTTCAAACTGTACACTTAATGTCTGTACTCTTTATGTAAAACATCTTGCCTATCAAATATTGAAGGCTGGTATAATAAAAAATGAGAGTTTAGCATAATATACGGACAATAACAGGTGAAAAGTATATATAAAATATACACACATACACAAAAAAGAATTAGGACCCCTTCATCAAGTAGGAGCATAACAAATAAGGAAGGTAAGATGATATTTCTGAGAAGATAATGAATAGGTAATGGAAAAACTAGAATAAAGACTTTGGTGACTAAAGCAGAGTAAGCTTTGCTCTAGTCTTCTCTTGCCTTCCCGTGGGAAAACATCAGGCCACTTCAGAAAATATCTGCGCTCACCTGACTATGCAGTCCAAATGCATCAAATTGTGTACATGAAAGATGTGCAGTTGACCGGGCGTGGTGACTCATGCCTATAATCCCAGCACTTTGGGAGGCAGAGGCAGGCAGATCACCTGAGGTCAGGAATTCAAGACCAGCCTGGCCAACATGGTGAAACCCCATCTCTACTAAAAATGCAAAAATTTGCTGGGCATGGTGGCACGCACCTGTAGTCTCAGCTACTCGGGAGGCTTAGGCAGGAGAATCGCTTGAACCCAGAGGTTGCAGTGAGCCAAGATTGCGCCACTGCACTCCAGCCTGGTGACAGAGCGAGACTCCATCTCAAAAAAAAAAAAAAAAAAAAGAAAAAAAGAAAAAGAAATATGTGGAGTTTTAAAATGACACTTAGACTTCGATAGAACTATTTATTAAAAATAAAAATAGTTCATGGAGGACCTTTTAGTCAAAGAAAGCAAGCATTCCCTGCCATCTCTACTGAAATTCCAGGTAGCAGGAAGGGCATTCCTTCAGGGATTTCTGTGAACTCTCCCTGGGTGATCTAGAACACCCAGTGGTGATAACTGGTAGGTTTTCCATGGAACTGCCATATGTGATATAATACAATGCTTTGGATGAGGCTGCAGAGGATGGTGACATTGCTAACTACAACGAGAGGCGAAGTACAGCCATGATAGTACTGGAAGTTTCATAGACTGCCACGGAATTTGAGAGAGCTGACCTAATTTTTCCCAGCCAAGGACTTGATAACACAAGTCAGAGCAGAGTCAGTAACCATGCAGGGTGTAGTACACCAATACTACCTTTGACTTCCAAATCCTTATGGACTGGCCTGTCAATTAGTAATTAAACCTTGTTGTCAGTGATTTGTTAAAATGAATGTTTAACCTTTGTTATAATTACATTGATGTACAAAGAGAAAACATTTTGCCATATATGGCTACCTCAGTTGATTCTCCTAATATTTTAGACCTTTGGAATTTGCCAGACTCATTCTATGGAATGATATAGGTCAATATATTGTCAGAAATGAGACATTTTGTGTCATATTCACATGAAGACGTTTAGAAAATAAGCTGGAAATATTGTTTGAGGACAGATTATTAGTGAAAATAATAGTAGGGGGAGGGAAGGGAATGGAACCAACATTTATTGGGTGCTTACTACATGCTAGAAATTATAAGGCACTTTCCATTTTATTTTCCCTGCTATATTCCACAGATAATTTAAAGTTGTTTAAAGGACAGCAAACAATAAAATAAATACGTGTGAACAAAATAATAAAATAGCAGAGTAACAGCATGTAAAATTAAAATGGAAAGTCAATAATAAGAGTGTTACAACAAGATGCTGGAAATTGTTCCTACTAAGTGATGATTCCAATAGAAACAAAGTGTTCACATGGTGAATGATAATATTGTCATTATCCCTAAGGAGAAAAATCACAAGTTCCCTGGGGAAATCATAGATTTAATTTTCAACCTGAGACGTAATATTTTCCTGTATGTCAGCTTAAACAATGTCCTAAACATTAAACTGAGTAGGGAATTATAAGGCCATATATTGAATAATCACTCAATGGGAACTGAGGGAAGACTTTGAACCTACAAAGTGAAAACAAATACATAGATTCACACAGATAATGATGTTCAAGGAGATTCTACATAGCAGGGGAGCCACAGATTTAAGGCTGCCCATGACAAAATTACCAAGCACTACCATTTATCGCATGCATTCAACGATTCATTTCTTCAGTCTCTATTACTTGTCAAACACTGTAAAATGCACTAAGGATACAATAATATATAGAAAATTTAGAATCATTCTTTCTTTCACTGAGCTTCAAAACCAGTTGTGTGCAATAGATAACAACTAACCAGTGGATTGGAGTTGATTACATAGGACCCGCTCTTCTAGAAGAGAAAATTAGGAATGAGAAGGTACAGTGTCAGGATCCCAGCCTCATGAACTTAGATTTAGTTCCTTAAGGGCTTCATAGGAGGGAAACTGAGAGAGAAGCTGAGTGGAATAGACCCACAAAAACACATTGGAGACAGAGCATCTAGCACACATTCAAGGCAGAGATCTCTTCAATATATCTTCTTATTTTTATGATGTTTAAGGTAGTTATAACCCTGACTTACCTAAAAGAGCTCTGTCCTAGTAATTAATAGGGTTGCTGTCACTCTCAAAATGTTTGGGAAAAAAATTATATAGTTATATAATCAACCTAGTTGTATTAGATTTTTTTTTTTAAATATCGTTCCTGAAAAACACATCCCTCTGTACTACAATGTATTGAAAGTCTGGATTTCAGCACATATAAGGTAAAAAATAAATAAGGAGTTTTTAAACAACTGCAATTGCCTCCAGAGACTCTTGATGGCTGTTGTTTCAAGCTTGGAATTAGAATCTTAAACTCCTGAGACAGCTTGTAAGCATTCCTGTTGTTCTAGAATAAATATACATTATGTTTGAATTCTCTAATTTTCATGGTAAAAGTTATCTCAGGGACTTTGTCTAAATGGTTGCTGGCTGAGGAGTGCTTGTCAGAAGAACGTGGCCACACTTGTATAAGTTCAACTTTATTCTGCCTCTGTAAAGGAGTCCTGCGAGTCCTGGGAGTTGGTGGACTGTACCGTTGGCCATCATCTGCTTCTAAACTGGGCGTGAGGTCAGGGCTTATATGGGACATCGGGGCATATCACTCATATGCTCCAACCTTTCTGATTTTAACCATCCTTCTCTCCACTAATCAGTGCACAGCTCATGAAATGAGTCTAACTACATTTCAGAAGTGGTAGCTATTCTTTCTGGGACAATTTCTTCAAATCCTTGTGTTTTTAAAGAACCTTCACATCCTACCAGAAATACCATTTGACCCAGAAATCCCATTACTGGATATATACCCAAAGGATTATAAATCATTCTACTATAAAGACACATGCACACATATGTTTATTGCAGCACTGTTCACAATAGCAAAGACATGGAACCAACCCAAATGCTGATCAATGATAGACTGGATAAAGAAAATGTGGCACGTATACACCATGGAATACTATGCAGCCATAAAAAGGATGAGTTCATGTCCTCTGCAGGTACATGGATGAAGCTGGAACCATCATTCTCAGCAAACTAACCCAGGAACAGAAAACCAAACAGCACATGTTCTCATTCATAAATGGGAGTCGAACAATGAGAACACATCAGCACAGGGAGGGAAACATCACACACTGGGGCCTGCTGGGGGGTGCGGGGCTAGGGGAGGAATAGCATTAGGAGAAATTCCTAATGTAGATGAGAGGTTGATTGGTGAGGCAAACCACCATGCCACGCGTATACTGTTTAACAAACCTGCACGTTCTGCATGTGTATCCCAGAACTTAAAATATAATTAAAAAAAAAAAAAGAATCTCCACATCCTAACAAGCTGGTTTTGTTGGTTCTTTTTTTTTTTCTTTCACCTTTGCCTTTTTTGCTGGTCTTACCCATTTCTATTGTCAGAAAGCAGCACTTTGGCAAAAACTAAATTCTTTCCCCATGAGAACTGGTATCATGTCTTCATATAACTGCCAGCATATATGTCAGGAGGTTCCTTGAAAGGTTATCTTACACATTGTCACACGTTATTTGTTTTTGGAAGAATACTGCTAATGAGTGGGCACCTATTCCTAAATGTCTTCTTTAGGAGATGGAGAATAATGCACATCCCTCTTTGTAGTTTATAGTGGGAACTGCAACAAATATTGATTGAATTAAGCAAAAACTCCCCATCTTATCTTTAATTTAATAGATCTAATAATTTAATTTAATAATACTTTTGGCATTTGATCAGTATTAATTTTATACGGGGTCCTGTGATATGCCCCTTATGAGACAGGCACTGCTATCACCATCACTGTGCAGGTGAGGAATCAGGCTCAGGAGCCAGGGCAGTCAATGCCTTCTAAGCAAAAAATGTGATCCTTTCTGTGTTGACTCTTGACCTCCAAAAACAATAACTTCATAGCAGAATCTAAACCAATAGCAGTAATTACTACTAATTTCAGTGAAGAATTGAGGCAGATAGTGTCACAGAGAAATGGTCTCAGATTCAGAGACAATCTTTTTTTTTTTGCTTTATTATGTATATATATATTTATTATACATTAAGTTCTGGGATACATGTGCAGAATGTGCAGGTTTGTTACATAGGAATAAAAATGCCATGGTGGTTTGCTGCACCCATCAACCCATCGTCTACATTAGGTATTTCTCCTAATGCTATTCCTGCCCTAGCCCTACACCCCCTGACAGGCACCCGTGTATGATGTTCCCCTCCCTGTGTCCTTGTGTTCTCATTGTTCAGCTCCCACTTATGAGTGAGAACATGTGGTGTTTGGTTTTCTGTTCCTGTGTTAGTTTGCTGAGAATGATGGTTCCAGCTTCATCCATGTCCCTACAAAGGACATGAACTCATCCTTTTTTATGGCTTCATAGTATTCCATGGTATATAGGTGCCACATTTTCTTTATCCAGTCTATCACTGATGGGCATTTTGGTTGGTTCCAAGTCTTTGCTATTGTGAATAGTGCCACAATAAACATACGTGCGCATATGTCTTTATAGTAGAATAATTTATAATCCTTTTGGTATGTACCCAGTAATGGGATTGCTGGATTAAATGGTATTTCCGGTTCTAGATCCCTGAGGAATTGCCACACTCTCTTCCACAATGGTTGAACTAATTTACACTCCCACCAACAGTGTAAAAGCATTCCTATTTCTCCACCTCCTCTCCAGCATCTGTTGTTTCCTAACTTTTTAATGATCACCATTCTAACTGGTGTGAGATGGTATCTCATTGAGGTTTTGATTTGCATTTCTCTAATGACCAGTGATAATGAGCTTTTTTTCATATGTTTGTTGGCTGAATAACTGTCTTCTTTTGAGAAGTGTCTGTTCATATACTTCACTCACTTTTTGATTGGGTTGTTTGTTTTTTACTTGTACATTTGTTTAAGTTCCTTGTAGATTTTGGATATTAGCCTTTTGTCAGATGGATAGATTGCAAAAATTTTCTGCCATTCTGTAGGTTGCCAGTTCATGCTGATGATAGTTTCTT
Organism: Homo sapiens; assembly: GCF_000001405.40. NCBI lineage: Eukaryota > Metazoa > Chordata > Mammalia > Primates > Hominidae > Homo > Homo sapiens. The sequence continues at coordinate 66,293,094 of NC_000018.10, forward strand.
TTGCTGAGCAGAAGCTCCTTAGTTCAATTATGTCCCATTTGTCAATTTTGGCTTTTGTTGCCATTGCTTTTGGCGTTTTAGTCATGAAGTCTTTGCCCATGCCTATGTCCTGAATTGTATTGCCTAGATTTTCTTCTAGAGTTTTTATGATTTTAGGTCTAACGTTTAAGTCTTTAATCCATCTTGATATAGGACTATGTGAAAAGACCAAACCAATGTTTGATTGATTTAACTGAAAGTGACAGGGAGAATGGAACCAAGTTGGAAAACACTTTTCAGGATATTATCCAGGAAAATTTCCTCCAACCTAGCAAGACAGGTCAACATTCAAATTCAGGAAATACAGAGAACATCACAAAGATACTCCTCGAGAAGAGGAACCCCAAGGCACATAATTGTCAGATTCACCAAGGTTGAAATGAGGGAAAAAATATTAAGGACAACGAGAGAGAAAGGTCAGGTTACCCACATAGAGAAGCCCATCACACTAACAGTGGAGCTCTCTGCAGAAACACTATGAGCCAGAAGAGAGTGGGGGGCCAAATTTCAACATTCTTAAAAAAAAATTTCAACCCAGAATTTCATATCCTGCCAAACTAAGCTGCATAAGCAAAGGAGAAATAAAATCCTTTACAGACAAGCAAATGCTGAGAGATTTTGTCACCACCATGCCTGCCTTATAAGAGCTTCTGAAGGAAGCACTAAGTATGGAAAGGAAAAACCAGTACCCGCCACTGTAAAAATATACCAAATTGTAAAGATCATCAACACTATGAAGAAACTGCATCAACTAATGGGCAAAATAACCAGCTAGCATCATAATGACAGGATCAGATTTGCACATAGCGATATTAACCTCAAATGTAACCAGGCTAAATGCCCCAATTAAAAGACACAGACTAGTAAATTGGATAGAGTCGAGACCCATTGGTGTGCCATATTTAGGAGACCCATCTCAAGTGCAAAGACACACATAGGCTCAAATAAAGGGATGGGGGAATATTTACCAAGCTAATAGAAAGCCAAAAAAGAAAAAAAAAAAAGCAGGGGTTGCAATCCTAGTCTCTGATAAAACAGACTTTACACCAACAAAGATAAAAAAAGACAAGGGCATGATGTAATGATAAAGGGATCAATGCAACAAGAAGAGCTAACTATCCTAAATATATATGCACCTAATACAGGAGCACTCAGATTCATAAAACTAGTTCTTAGAGACTTACAAAGAGACTTAGACTCCCAAACTGTAACAGTGGGAGTCTTTAACACCCCACTGTCAATATTAGACAAATCAATGAGACAGAAAATTAACAAGAAAATTCAGGACTTAAATTCAGCTCTGGGCCAAGGGGACCTGATAGACATCTACAGAACTCTCCACCCCAAATCAACAGAATATACATTCTTCTCAGTATCACAACACACTTGTTCTATAATTGACCATATAATTGGAAGTAAAACACTCATCAGCAAATGTAAAAGAATGGAAATCATAACAAACAGTCTCTCAGACCACAGTGCAATCAAATCAGAACTCACGATTAAGAAACTGACTCGAAACCGCCCAACTCCATGGAAACTGAACAACCTGCTCTTGAATGACTACTGGGTAAATAACAAAACTAAGGCAGAAATAAATAAGCTCTTTGAAACCAATGAGAACAAAGACACAATGTACCAAAATCTCTTGGTCACAGCTGAAGCAGTGTTTAGAGGGAAATTTATAGCATTAAATGCCCACAGGAGAAAGCGGGAAAGATATAAAATCAATACCCTAACATCACCATTAAAAGAACTAGAGAAGCAAAAGCAGACAAATTCAAAAGATAGCAGAAGACCAGAAATAACTAAAATCAGAGCAGAACTGAAGGAGATAGAGACACAAAAAAAAGCCTTCAAAAAAAATCAATGAATCCAGGAGCTGGTTTTTTGAAAAGATTAGCAAAATAGATAGACTGCTAGCCAGACTAAGGAAGAAGAAAAGAGACAGGAATGAAATAGATACAATAAAAAATGATAAAGGGGATATCACCACTGATCCCACAGGAATACAAGCTACCATCAGAAAATACTATAAACACCTCTATGCAAGTAAATTAGAAAATCTAGAAGAAATGGATAAATTCCTGGACACATACATCCTCCCAAGACTAAACGAGGAAGAAGTCAAATCTCTGTATAGACCAATAACAAGTTCTGAAATTGAGGCGGTAATTAATACCCTACCAACCAAAAAAAGCCCAGGACCAGACGGATTCACAGCCAAATTCTACCAGAGGTACAAAGAGGAGCTGGTATCATTTCTTCTGAAACTACTCCAAACAATAGAAAAAGAGAGACTCCTCCCTAACTCATTTTATGAGGCCAGCATCATCCTAATACCAAAACCTGGCAGCGACACAACAAAAAAAGAAAATTTCAGGCCAATAACCCTGATGAACATCAATGCAAAAATCCTCAATTAAATACTGGCAAACTGAATCCAGCAGCACATCAAAAAGCTTATCCACCATGATCAAGTCGGCTTCATCACTGGGATGCCAGGCTGGTTCAACATACGCAAATCAATAAACGTAATCCATCACATAAACAAAACCAATGACAAAAACCACATGTTTATCTCAATAGATGCAGAAAAGGCCTTTGATAAAATTCAACACCCCTTCATGCTAAAAACTCTCAATAAACTAGCTATTGATGGAACGTATCTCAAAATAATAAGAGCTATTTATGACAAACCCACAGCCAATATCATACTGAATGGGCAAAAGCTGGAAGCATTCCCTTTGAAAACTGGCACAAGACAAGGATGCCCTCTCTCACCACTCCTATTCAACACAGTGTTGGAAGTTCTGGAAAGGGCAATCAGGCAAGAGAAAGAAATAAAGGGTATTCAAATAGGAACAGAGGAAGTCAAGTTGTCTCTCTTTGCAGATGACATGATTGTATATTTAGCTAATCCTATCGTCTCAGTCTAAAATCTCCTTAAGCTGATAAGCAACTTCAGCAAAGTCTCAGGATACAAAATCAATGTGCAAAAATAACAAGCATTCCTATGCACCAATAATAGACAAACAGAGATCCAAATCATGAGTGAACTCTTATTCACAATTGCTACGAAGAGAAAAAAAAAATACCTAGGAATAGAACTTAAAAGGGATGTGAAGAACCTCTTCAAGGAGAACTATAAACCACTGCTCAAGGAAATAAGAGAGAACACAAACAAATGGGAAAACATTTCATGCTCATGGATAGGAAGAATCAATATCATGAAAATCGCCATACTGCCCAAAGTAATTTATAGATTCAATGCTATCCCCATCAAGCTACTGTTGACTTTCTTCACAGATTTTTTTTTTTTTTTTTGGAAAATGGAGTCTTGCTCTGCCACCCAGGCTGGAGTGCAGTGGCACGAACTTGGCTCACTGCAACCTCCGCCTCCCAAGTTCAAGCACATCTCCTGCCTCAGACACCAGAGTGGCTGGGACTACAGTTGCATGCTGCCACTCCTGGCTAATTTTTTATATTTTTAGTAGAGATGAGGTTTCACCGTGTTGCCCAGTTGATCTCGAACTCCTGAGCTCAAGCAATCTGCCTGCCTTGGCCTCTCAAAGTGCTAGGATTATAGGCGTGAGCCACCATGCCTGGCCTAGAAAAAACTACTTTAAGTTTCACATGAAACAAAAAAAGGCCCATATAGCCAAGACAATCCTAAGCAAAAAGAATACAACTGGAGGCATCACATTACCTGACTTCAAACTATATTACAAGGCTACAGTAACCGAAACAGCATGGTACTGGTAGCAAAACAGATGTATAGAGCAAAGGAACAGAACAGAGACATCAGAAATAACACCACACATCTACAAAAATATGATCTTTGACAAACCTGACAAAAACAAGCAATGGGGAAAGTATTCCCTATTTAATAAATGGTGTTGAGAAAACTGGCTAGCCATATGCAGAAAACAGAAACTGGACCCTTTCCTTACACCTTATACAAAAATAAACCATAGATGATCCTTTTACCAAATAATTGGAGGGAAAACACTGAGCATTAATTTCAGTTATAAATCAACTAACTGAGGAGAAGTAGAGTATGAAGTAAGGTATCCAGGTGCACAGGTTTATATTTTCCAAACATATGTAATACCATCTGTGCTGAAACAAAACTTGTTTTGGCATCCACCATTCGAGGGAACTCCAGACACTAATGCATCAGTTGGCAGTCAGCACTGATCACTGAATATTTTAAATGAATTTGTGCACTTATTTGAACTGGGACAGCACCTAGAGAATTGAAAATTTATATTTGAAAGATATCAGTGTGTGGCTTACACCTGTAAATCCAGCACTCTGGGAGGCCAAGACAGGTACATCATTTGAGGTCAGGAGTTCGAGACCAGCCTGGCCAATATGGTGAAACACCATCTCTAGTAAAAATAACAAAAAATTTAGCCGGGCCTGGTGGCAGGTGCCTGTAATCCCAGCTACTGATTGTTTGAACCCAGGAGGTAGAGGTTGCAGTGAGGCGAGATAACGCTACTGCACTGTAGCCTGGGGGACAGAGCAAGACTGAGTTTCAAAAAAAAAAAATTGTGTAATATAACAAAACCTTCTATAATAATAAGGGAAAGTTATATAAAGTAAGTGTGTATGAATAAGTTTTATATATACAAGTAGGGTCAGCTCTGCCTATCCTGTAAAACAGGTTAAGCATTGCCACTATAAAATCTATGAATCTTTGTTATCGAAACTTCTCTAGTCTGATGAAAATTCAATCACCTGAATTGATTACAATGACTGATTTTAATAGTCATTGCTGAAACTCTATCAGAGTACAGGCATGCCTCAGTTATATTGTGGGTTTGGTTTCAGACCACTGCAGAAAAGCAAATACTGCAAAGTGAGTTACACAATTTTTTTTTGTCTCGCCATGCATATAAAAGTTATGTTTATACTACATTTTAACTTATTAGGTGTGTAACAGCACTATGTCTAAGAAATATAACTACCTTAATCAAAAATATTTTATTATTTAAAAATGTTAACTATCATCTGAGTCTTCAATGACTCATATCTTTTGACTGGTGAAGAGTCTTGCCTTGATGTTGATGGCTGTTGATGGAATGAGGTGGTGGTTGTTGAATTTTAGGGTGAAGTAGCAATTTCTTAAAATAAGACAACAATGGCTCATTGATTGACTCTTCCTTTCATGAAAGTTTCTCAGTAGCATGCTATGTTGCTTGTTAGCATTTTACCCAAAGTAGAACTTCTTTCAAGATTGGAGTAAATCCACTCAAACCCTACTTTATTAACCAAGTTTATGCACTATTCTAAATTCTTTGCTGTCATTTCAACAATGTTTACAGCATTTCAGCAGGTGTTGATTCCATCTAAAGAAACTACTTTCTTTGCCTATGCATAAGAAGCAACTTGTCATTGTTTCAAGTTTTATCATGAGATTGGAGCAATTCAATCACAATTGCACTTTCCACTTCTGATTCTACTTCTCTTGCTGTTTCTGCCACATTTGCAGTTTCTTCCTTCACTGAAGTCTTGAACCTCTTAAAGTCATCCAAGAGGGTTGGTATGAACTTCTTTTAAATTCTTATTAATGTTGACATTTTGACCTCCTCCCATGAATTATAAATGTTCTTAATTGCATATAGAATAGTGAATCCTTTCTGGAAGAGTTTCAAATTACTTTGCTCAGATCCATCAGAGGAATTAGTATCTATGTCAGCTGTAGCCTTAAAAAAGATATTTCTTTTTTTTTTTTGAGATGCAGTCTCGCTCTCGTCACACAGGCTGGAGTGCAATGGCATGATCTTGGCTCACTGCAACCTTCGCATCCCAGGTTCAAGCAATTCACCTGCCTCAGCTTCCTGAGTAGCTGGGATTACAGGTGCCTGCCACCACACCCGACTAATTTTTGTAGTTTTAGTAGAGACAGGGTTTCACCATATTGGCCAGGCTGTCTCAAACTACTGACATCAGGTGATCTGCCTGCCTCGGCCTCTCAAGATATTTCTTTAATAATAAGACTTGAAAGTCAAAATTACTCTTTAATCTATGGGCTACAAAATGAATGCTATGTTCACAGGCATGAAAACAATATTAATCTCTTCATACATCCTAATCAGAGCTCTTGAATGACCAGATGTATTATTAATCAGCAGTAATATTTTGAAAACAATATGTTTTCTGAGCAGTAGGTCTCAACAGCTAGCTTAAAACATTCAATAAACCATGCTATAAACAGGTGTGCTGTTCTCCAGGCTTTGCCATTCCATTTATAGATCACAGGGAAAGTAGATTTCACATAATTCTTAAGGGTCCTAAGATTTTCACAATGGTAAATGAGCACTGGCTTCAACTTAAAGTCACCAGCTGCATTAGGCCTTAAAAAGAGAGTCAGCCTGTTCTTTAAAACTTTGAAGTCAGGTATATTCTAGCTATGAAAGTCCTAGATAATATCTTCTTCCAATAGAAGGTTGTTTTGTCTACGTTGAAAATCTGTGTAGTATAGCCACCTTCATCCATGATCTTAGCTAGATCTTCTGGATAACTTGCTGCAGCTTCTACAGTAATACTAAGTGCTTCAACTTGTACTTCTATGTTATGGAGATGGCTTCTTTCCTTAAACCTCATGAAACAACCCCTGCTAATTTCAAATTTTCTTTTGCAGCTTACTCACTTCTCTTATCCTTCACAGAAATGAAGATTTGGGGCCTTGCTCTGCCTTACATTTTGGCTTAAGTGAGTGTTATAGATGGTTTTAGCTTCTATCTAGACCCCTAAAGCCTTCTTCATATCAGCAAGAAGCCTGTTTTGCTTTTTATTATCATTTATGAGGTTACTGGAGTAGTGCTTTTAATTTCCTTCAATAACTTTTTCTTTGCATTCACAACTTGGCTATTTGGTCCAAGAGTTCCAGCTTTTGGCCTCTCTCAGCTTTCATCATGACTCACTAAGTACAATAATTTCTAGCTTTTGCTTTAAAGTGAAAGACATGTGAACTTTGTTTCTTTTCAACACTTGGAAGGCATTGTGACATTTTTAATTGGTTTAATTTTAATATCGTTTCTCAGAGAATAGGGAGGCTCTAGGGGAGGGAGAGCAATGGAGAAATAGTCAGTGGAGCAGTCAGAGCACACACAACATTTGTCATTTAAGTTTGCCGTCTTATATGAGTTCAGTTGGCAGCGTTCCCAAACAATTGCAATAGGAACATCAAAGATCACTGATCACAGATCACCACAATATATATAATGATAATAAGAAGATTTGAAGTATTACAAGAAATATCAAAATGTGACACAGAGACACAAAATGAGCACAAGCTGTTGGAAAAATGGAGCCAATAGACTTGCGACACAGCGTTGCACAGTGTTGTCAAAAAATGCAGTATCTGCTAAGTTGCAATAAGCAAAGTGCAATAAAATGAGATATTTCTGTATGTGGGTGAAGAGCTTGAAAATCAGCGTTTTAAACAAGTGTCCAGGTTCTATTTGTGATTAGGCAAGCTTGAAAATTCCTACAGATAGAGAAAGTCTTCTGTATAAAATTCAGTAAAATATTCCTCAACCATTAGAATATTAACAAGCATGAATTAATCCTTCCTAACGTAATAAAAATATGCAATAATAAATAAAGCTTCACTTACACTTGCAGACATTAAACTAATGCATTTTTTTCTAAAATCTACTCCAGAAACTTACATACATAAAAAATCAAATTTAATTTTTTTTGTGTTTATATAAATCCAGCTATAGTAACACCTAAAGCCTTATTGGAATGGCTTATGTGTGCAGCATGTCGGCATACAGAACCTGCAACTTCAGCTTTGAAATTCAACATAGCATTTTCTGGAATCAAGTAATAAGTGACTCTACCTGGTTATCAAGTCACACAATATTCTACAGAGTTTGGATGTAGGCACACCACTTGTTTGGAGCAGAATAAAGTTCATCCTGTGACCTGGGTGATTTTTTAGAAATGGTTTCTTAGGCGTGCTTGGAAAACATCATAAACCCCTAAGGAAGGAATTTTTACCAAAGTCTGTAAACCTCATGGTAATTATGACTGAGTTTGGAAGGAAGTGCATACCATTAGCACAGGTAGTTTAATTTTAAGAAGGACAAATTGGAACAGTGTCAAACTACACATCATCTACTGCTTCCAGATTCATGTTCTGGACATATTATTTTATAGCAACAATTATGTTTTAAAAATGAAAAATAATTAGCCCAAAACTTAATAAAAGGAGGGTGATATAGTTTTGCTCTGTGTCCTCACCCAAATTTCGTCTTGAATTGTACTCCCATAATTCCCATGTGTTGTGGGAGGGACCCAGTGGGAGGTAATTGAATCATGGGGGTGGTTCCCCCCGAAAACTGTTCTCTTGGTATTGAATAAGTCTCATGAGATCTGATGGTTTTATTAGGGTTTCCACTTTTGCGTCTTCCTCACTCTCTGCCTGCTGCCATCCATGTAAGATGGGACTTGCTCCTCCTTGTCTTTTGCCATGATTGTGAGGCTTCCCCAGCCACGTGGAACTGTAAGTCCAATTAAACCTTTTTATTTTATAAATTGTCAAGTCTCAGATATGTCTTTATCAGCAGCATGAAATGGACTAATACAGAGGGATTAATTAGTAGTATTATACAGATAAATATGTTAAAAATATACTTCGGTATTCCCATCTATGCAGTATTGATTACTTTGTTCCTAAGTGCATCTCATTATTCCAGGAGCTAGGAGATAATAGGTTCAATTATTCTTTCTTTAAAAATGATTCCAAAAAACTACTAAAATGGAAGAAATAAATTGAAGGATAGATAGATGTGTAGTTAATTGGGTGGAAGACAGATAGGAAAGTACACAAGATTTAGAATTTGTTGATAAATATATTCTATCCTTCAAGCATCCGATTATTTTTTAGAAATATATGTTTAATTAAGTATCAATTTTTGAATGAAACAAAATATTTTAACAAAAGCTAATTAAGTCTGTAAATACGCATTATGGTTGGTTTAATAAAAAGAGAATGTTGGTTTTCATTTTTTTAGGTCTAGTTAATGGAGGTGCTGCTAACTGAGAAAAAGGACTTTGAGGAGGAAAACTGATGAGTTTAGATTTCAAAGGTATTTTCTATTTTTCTCTCTTTGACATTTATAAGGGAACAAGACCCAGAAATGCATGAGCACTTTAAGTGTGATATATCAAATAATAGAGAATTAATCTCTTTTATTATATTTTGGCATCCTCTGTCCTCCTTTTCCTTCTCAACGCTTTATTTAGAGGGGAAAAAAAATAAAAGTTCATTCATTCTCATTGATGATAAAGTAAACCAGTTCGGAAAAGTTATTTTTCTCATATTCATTGGAAATGAGATTTTATTTGAGGTTGACTGCATTTACATTTATTGTGCCTGTGGAGGATCTGATCTGAAAGATTAAGAAGTGCTTTATGCATCATGCATTATGAATATGCACTAGAAACAACGTTGCCAGGAGAGAATTTAATTCACCTTGGTAGTGACATATGGCAATGAGACTTGTACAAGATGACCCTGTATTATATGAATCAGATATATATATATATCATTTTTAAATATATATATATGATTTCATATAATAGTATTTATATATATATAGTAACAATAAGATAACAAAAAAGATAAAATTCTCCCCTTAGGAAGAGAAAAAACATGTCACATGTTAATCTCTTTTCCCCAATTATAAATTTTTCTAAGGCAAAAAACATGTTACTTTTTGTGACTAATTTCTAATTGTTCAATAAATATTAATTAAATGTCAAGTAAACCAATGTTACTAAAAAGTATGTATGTTCCTTTTTGTGGGGGTTGAAAGAGATGTTCATTTGCGTTATGGTAAGATGTTCTTTTATTTGATTTAGCAGAATGTTTTCTTGAGATTTCAGTGAGTATCACACAAGAGCAATAAAACCATGTATATAGAAAGCATTATGCCTAGGTGCAACTCAGCAACTATGGTACATGCGATATCCCTGAAGGATCGATTTTAAAGTCTTGTTATATTTAAACACCTGTGTAAAATGATCTTGGTTTGCAGTTACAGAGGGCTCATTTACATTTTAATGTGGACAGTACCATTTTGGATGCCATTGGGCCCTGTTTAGAGAAGTTCAAGGACATTCCTCAGGAGTCTTTTGACATATTACAAGTGAGGTTTGTAGTGAATGTAGCAGCACATAAAATGAAGGCACTGTGGTTTACATCCTAAAATGTAAATGTGAAGAAATCCGTGGATCTTATTACTTTATCATAATATCTAAATCTCTGTGTAAAAGGCAGCAGGGTATGAGCCTGAATACAGATTGGTGTGAAGTGCCATTAACCCGATAGGTAAAAAGACAAAGTCTGCGTTTTTCAAATAAGTATTATTTTGCTTTTCCTAGTCAGGGACTCTTTATGATTTCCTTTTCGAATTAGCAAAGCAAACAAATAAGCAAACAAAAATAACCCTGTAAATACAGATATGCACTAGAATAATCTCTGTCTTTTACATGAACTATGGAAAACAAGTTTGGTGTGGTGATGAATACTTTCAATTGCACACTTTATAAAATTTATTGGAATATAATATGCAATTCAAATATTCTCCTTTTGAAATCTTTCCGCTGGTATGCTTTACCTTTATAAGTCAATACTTAGATATAGCGCAATAAATACAAATAAAGATGGTTTTACATTAAAAATTTTAGAAGGAATAAAGTATGCCTAGTAACTTATAAACTATGTCTCCATGATAGCTGTAAATATAAGAAACAACATTATTCCTAGTAGTAGATATGATATATTTAGGTATTCTACTTAAACAAAATGTCCCTGAACTCTTTGCTTTAAGACCATTTATTTTACTCTACTGAGATAAGATTCTTGGATCAAAACATTTCCCTTTTGCATCAACATTACATAGGCTGGCAAAGTTCTGTTTGCTCACCACTGTATCGGAGAGTCACATGTTCTTATTTAAATAAACTGTTCTATCTTCATATATAAAGAGTATAGGAAAAAATTATCCAGGAAGTTATACATTGTATATCAATTCAATTTTAGAAATATTTCCCTAATTTTAAGTAATATTATTCCTTTACAAATAGATTTAAATCATTTTTATCTTTATAAAGTACTCTCCCATTATATTAATATTGTTTCAAAATTTTGCATTAAAATGATACATGAAGATTTGTGTTTTTTTCTATCAATCTGTGTCCTTTCTTTCCTTCATCTCTTTTTGCTCTCTCCTCATCCTTGTTAATGTGTAATAGACCTGTAAATCTATATTCTTATCTTAAAATAGCTGACAACATCCTATGCCTATTATTTATTTATTTTTTACTTCATAACAATGATATATCAGATTGAAATTCCTTCATTCTATGGTTAAATGAGATTTAACAGGGGACAGGTTAAATATGACATTCCCATGACTCTCTCAGGAGTTGCAGCAAATTTTGTCCACACTCCATGTGCAGCAGGATTCTATGTAGGTTCATGTTTTATTTCCATTAACCTTAGTAAAATGTTGAAAAGCCTATTTAATATGACTTAGGAGGACCTCAAGCCTTTCCACCATTCACCACAGGCTGCTCACTCCCTGCACCTGAAAACACATGTACCGGTCATGAAAACACACTTGGCCCATGTGCAGGGCACACCAGAAGAAATGAGAGTTATTCTCATGCCCCAGGAAGAAGACTTCAACCAATAACAGAAGGAAGTTGGTGCATGGACACTCCAGTTTCCCTTTGCTTTGGTAAGAATAAATGCGAGGCTAATTCCAACCTGCCTGACAAAGTTCCTCAGTAGGAACTCTCATGTCAGTAGTCCATGTGGTTGAGAACACAGCTCTTATTGGCTTATCCACCCCGTCCTACCTCCAGCCCTGTTAACAGTTTCCCCTGGAATCATTATCTCGATTAAACCGGGCACCCTGAAAACTTTGTGTGGAAGGACAGCTCTTAGAATAAAATAAACCAAGATATAAAACTTCAAACATCTTCCATCAGGCCAGACTTTATTTTATCTCCTCTGTCTCTTCTTTGGCCTTCCTTATCTTCAGCCATAATAACCTCTCAGTTTATCTAGAACAATACACTTTCCCTTATTTTAGTGTTTGTGCATGCTACCACACCCCCAGAACACTTTGCCATGTTCTCTCCCATTTGCCATTAAATGGGACAATTTTCAATGATCTGCCATTTCTCAGCATAAAAATTATTTCCAATTAATCAGGTAATAAAATGACAATGCATATTAGTATTTATTTGCAGAATACATGAAAGTAAAACACTTACAAATAAAAAATAGCTCAACCAATGATGAAGAAAACATGAAATAAACAGTGAGCAGTGAGGTTTAAGAAATTAATTTTTAAAATGTGGTATTTCTAGTATAAACCTAAGTGTTATATATTATAAACATAATTGGTTATTATCTATTGAGAGTAGAACATGAAATGATATGGACATGTAAATATATAAATTTGTCTTAAAATAACTGACAACATGCTGTGCCTACTTATGCATTTAACTTATCTTTCTAAAAAAATTATAATGATATATTGAAATTCCTGTGTTCCTTATTAACATAATATTGGAGGAGAGTTTGATAATATTTATCATAATATAAAATGTAGATACATTATAATTAGGCAATTTTAATCCTAGAAAATCTGCATATCTGTACTAACAGGCTTTTAAAAAGTAGTCAATAGCTGTTTTGTTTGCAATAATAGAATGGTCAAAAATGTTAAATGCCCATAAATGAGAGTAGCTAAATAAACTATGATACTTTCTTAGTATTATATAATATTTTTAAAAATTCAGAGAACCATGCTTACATACTGACTTGCAAGATCTCCAGATGTTTATGTGGTTGTATTAATCCATTTCCATGCTGCTAAGACAATCCAAGACTGGGTAATTTATGAAGAAAAAGATATTTAATATACTCAAAAAGTTCCACATGGCTGGGGAGGCCTCACAATCATGGCAGAAGGCAAAAGGCATGTCTTACATGGTGGTAAGTAAGAGAGAATGAGAGCCAAGCAAAAGGGGACATCCCTTATAAAACCATCCCATCTCATGAGACTTATTCACTACCATGAAAACAGTAGGGGAAAACCATCCCCATCATTCAATTATCTCCCACCAGCTCCCTCACATTACATGTGGGAAATATGGGAGCTACAATTCAAGATCAGATTTGGTTGACACACAGCCAAACCATATCAGTAGTATACCATTTATGTTAAATCACATAGTATTTCCTTTTCTCATTGGAAAACATCTGTTCATGGAAAAATGACAGGATGAAGGCACACAGAAATGAAAAGAGTGGATTGAGACTGAGGGTAGTCAATAAAATGGAAATTTAGGTTCATCTATAACTCTGAGTCATTTATTAAGTGAGAACATTCAAACAATTATTCTATAATTGGAATTTCATTATTTGGAGACCTAAAAATGAACTGAGTGTGCCCCATACCTCATTTGCCTATATTCATAATACCCCATAATTCCATCTACATTTACTGTTCACATTTTTTACATATTTATTTTATGTCTATTTTTTCCCAAGCTAGATTATAGAATTCATGGGGGTTAGCCTCCTATCAGCTTGTTCACGGCCTCAACCATATGTACTGTGTCTAATATAAAAAGACACTGATATGTGTTGTGTACAAATAAAGAAAAGTATAGCTTTGCCAGTTAGTAAGTGATTCAGACAATAGCTCTGGACAGCGAAAGCAAAATCCTTGCTTCCACCTCTACTCCAGCATTTCCAATCACATAGTATTCTCTTTATGGTCAATTGCTTAGAAACTCATTGTAAATTTCCATTATGCTTACAAGCATTTCAGTACATGTTTAGGTTTACTATATATGAGATAGATCTTAAGACAGTTTGTGTTTATATTATGTACATTAAAACATATTATTGGCATATGTCTGTATGTAAATTCATGCATATATGTGCTATATTTATTTAGAATAAAAATAATTATATATATATTTTAATAGTATGTTCTCATTATACCTTAGCTGCAAAAAATTCCTAATTTTAATCTCCTTAATTTTTAAAACCAGTTGCTAATTCTTTCCTCTCCTCTTTGTATGTAGTTTTAAAATCTCCAGACAAGTGTGTATATATATATAAAATACACAAATCATATATATGTATTTTATATATATATATGATTTTATGATAAGGATTTTAAATGCAGTTTGGGTGTAAATATACTAACTAAAAGTGTATAATAGAGTTAGAAAGAAATTTCTATACATATATATATATATTTGTTCAAAAAGAAAATATAGGCCAGGCACAGTGGCTCACATCTGTAATCCCAGCAATTTGGAAGGCCGAGGCGGGCAGATAACCTGTGGTCAGGAGTTTGAGACCAGACTGGTCAACATGTGAAACCCGTCTCTATTAAAAATACAAAAATTAGTTGGGCATGGTGGTGCATGCATGCAGTCCCAGCTACTGGGGAGCCTGAGGCCTGAGAATCACTTGAACCTGGGAGGTGGATGTTGCAGTGAGCCAATATCACACCACAGAACTTTAGGCTGGGCAACAGAGCAAGACTCTGTCTCAAACAAACAAACAAACAAAACAAAATATATGCCATGCCAATTATATACATTTTTAAAGACATAGTAACTGAAGTCAGCATCACGTGCTAATGTTTATTGAATGTCCAAATCTAGCTAATTATGATACATAAGGTAACATGTCCCTTATATTTTGTTAATATTTTCAATATCACAATATGTGATAATGAAACAGTTTCCCCATTAGGACATACAGTATAAAAATAAGTATCTATTTTTAAAATTAAAATACAATGAAATAACTGATAATTTGTCAGAAAAAATCTAAATAAAGAAAATGCTTTGTTGATATATTTTCTCAATGGGAAACATGAAATATTTTCAATGACACCAGCCTCAAAATCTGTATTGTGTATTGTAAATCCTAGTTGTTTAAAAAAACAAAATTTATTGAAACAAAGAGAAATACACTCTAAAATTAATGGTGGAAATAATTAATGTATTTGGGTATCAAACACAAGAGTAACTTCAGTGGAAATTCATATTCTTTGATTAAAAGTTATTTTCAATACATTTATGCTGATTGTGGCCATTTAAAATAATTTTATAATAAATATACTATATTCGTTATATTTTGCAGTTTATTACTCAAGTCTTGCATATGCTTGCAGAACAAACAATCTTACAATTAACTCTTCCTGGCTACATTTGGAAACATTATGAATAATAACTCAAAATTGTCATAAAATCTATGTAATCTTGAATTATTGATAAGTTTTTATTTAGTAACTGCCAATTAAGAAAATTCACAATAAGATTTTCCGTTTAATTGCTAATTCTCATGTATGCATATGATTTAGTAATTTATGCAAACTATTTTGCTGTTGTTTGTGATAAAATTTTATCAGTCGCACTACAAACAATTGAGGTATGATGCTGGTTCTTTGTTTATTCTTTTCACATAGTTCATGACATTTTATATCTGTCTCCTGTGATCATTACTATGCTAATCCATTATTTTAGCAAGACTTTGAGATAACTGGCACACTTTCTATAAAACATATTTCTAATAAACAAACAACAATAACCCCCAAATTATCATGAATGGTATGCTATGCTGAAGCTGTCAAATTCATCGGCCAGCTTTGTGGAGATATTCTTTGTCCAGTTTTGTAAGTCTACAGACTTAAAATACAACACCAAATTATATGATTTACTTTTTAGAAATAAAAATGATATTTATCATAAAACACAGGAGAACAGTGTTCGATACTATTTAAAATATGAGGATCAGACTATTTATGCCATTCTGTATTTTTGGATAAAGATTATTTTACAAAATAATCATTGAAAAGGAAATTGTACCTTTGTGTCTTGTTTTAAACAATATTCACAATTTGCCTTTTATAATTGGAAATAAATTTGTGGCTAGTAATTTGTGCAGAAAACAGCAAGTTGAGAATATCTTTGCTTCCATAAGTGAACTCTACTAAGAAGAATATTTATGCTAATTATATTTTTAAATAAATAGCATTGCAAATGTGAAAGTTGTAAGAAAATAATTTTAACATATTGAAGGAAAACATAAGCATAAGTTTAAAAAAGACTATATAGAAAATATGTGAGATGTTCTCTCTATATATGTATCAATTGCATCAATTTCTTATCTTAATTACTTTAATTGCCTCATGGTCTCTATTAGTCCGTTTTTACACTGCTGATGAAGACATACCAGAGACTGGGTAATTTATAAAGAAAAAGAGGTTTAATGGACTCACAGTTCCATGTGGCTGGGCAGGCCTCACAATGATGGTGGAAGGTGAAAGTCACATCTTACATGGCAGTAGGCAAAGACAGAATGAGACCCAAGTGAAAGGGGTTTCCCCTTATAAAAACATCAGATTTTGTGAGACTTATTCACTACCATGACAACAGTATGGAGGAAACTACCCCCATGATTCAATTATGTCCCACCAGATCCTTCCCACAACACATGGACATTATGGGAGCTCAATTCAAGATGAGATTTTAGTGGCGACACAGCCAAATCACATCATTCTGTCTCTGGCCCCTCCCAGATTTCATGTCCTCACATTTTAAAGCCAATCATGTCTTCCCAACATTCTCCCTAAATCTTAACTCATTTCAGCATTAACCCAAAAGTCCACAGTCCAAAGTTTCATCTGAGACAAGGCAAGTCCCTTATTCCTATGAGCCTGTAAAATCAAAAGCAAGTTCGTTACTTCCTAGATACAATAGGCATACAGGTATTGGATAAATACACCTGTTCCAAATGGGAGAAATTGCCAAAATGAAGGGGCTAAAGGCCCCATGCAAGTTCAAAATCCAGCAGGGCAGTCAAATCTTAAAGCTCCAAAATGATTTCCTTTGATTCCGTGTCTTCCATCCAGGTCATGCTGATGCAAGTCGTGGGTTCCCATGGTGTTGGTGAGCTCCGCCCCTGTGACTTTGCAGGGTAAAGCCTCTCTCCCAGCTACTTTCACAGGATGGCATTGAGTGTCTGTGGATTTTTCAGGTGCATGGTGCAAGCTGTTGGTGGATCTACCATTCTGGAGTCTGGAGGACAGCAGCCCTCTTCTCACAGCTCCACTAGGCAGTGCCCCAATGGGGACTATGTGTGGGGGCTTCAACCCCACATTTCCCTTCTGCACTGCCCTAGCAGAGATTCTCCATGAGGCCCCGCCCCTGCAGCAAACTTGTGCCTGGACATCCAGGCATTTCCATACTAGTGGAGGTTTCCCAACCTCGATTCTTGATTTCTGTTAACCCACAGGCTCAACATCACATGGAAGTTGCCAAAGCTTGGGGCCTTCATCCTCTGAAACCATAGCCCAAGCTGTACCTTGGCTTCTTTTAGCCGTGGCTAGAGAGGCTGGAATGCAGGACCCCAAGTCTCTAGGTGCACAGAGGAGGGGGATACTGTGCCTGGTCCATGAAACAATATTTTCCTCCTAGGCCTCCGGACCTGGATGTGAGGGGCTTCCATGAAGACCTCTCACATGCCTTGGAGACATTTTCTCCATTGTCTTGGTGATTAACATTTGGCTCCTTGAAACTTATGCAAATTTCTGCAGCTGGCTTGACTTTCTCCTCAGAAAATGGGTTTTTCTTTTCTATCACATCATCAGGCTGCAAATTTTTCAAACCGTTATGCTTTGTTTCCTTTTAAAACTGAATGTTTTTAATAGCATTCAGGCCACCTCTTGAATGCTTTGCTGCTTAGAAATTCTTTTCACCAGATACCCTAAATCATCTCCCTCAAGCTCAAAGTTTCACAAGTCTATAGGGCAGGGGCAAAATGCCTCCAGTCTCCTTTCTAAAACATAGCAAGAGTTATCTTTACTCCAGTTCCCAGCAAGTTCCTTATCTCCATCTGAGACCACCTGAGCCTGAATTTTATTGTCCATATAATTATCAGAATTTTGGTCAACACCATTCAACAAGTCTCTAGGAAGGTCCAAACTTTCCCACATTTTACTGTCTTCTTCTGAGTCCTTCAAACTGTCCCAGCCTCTGCCTTGTTGCCCAGTTCCAAAGTTGTTTCCACAATTTTGGGTAAGTAGCACTCCACTCTACTGGTACCAACTTACTGTATTCATCCATTTTCATGATGCTGATAAAGACATACCCGAGACTGGGTAATTTATAAAGAAAAAGAGGTTTAATGGACTCACAGTTCCACATGGATGGGGACACCTCACAATCATGGTGGAAAGCAAAAGCCATGTCTTACATGATGGCAGGCAAAAGGAGAATGGGAATCAAGCAAAAGAGGTTTCCCCTTATAAAAACATCAGATCTTGTGAGACTTATTCACTACCATGAGAACAGTGTTGGAGAAACCACCCCTATGATTCAATGATCTCCTACTGGATTCCTCCCACAACATGTGAATTATGGGAGATGCAATTCAAGATGAGACTTGGGTGGGGACACAGCCAAACCATATCATGGTGTAAGTCATTTCTCATTGAAATTCACTGGAAGTCTCCTAACTGGTCATTCTGATTCTATGTTTAATTCCCAATAGTATGTTCTTAATATAATATTTCAGATGCTTCTTTCAAATTAAATTATGATTATGCCAATCATTTATTTAAAACATTTCGAATGCTATGCTATGAAGGTTAATGAAAAATTCCTTATAATGCCTTGCAAATTTCCTCAAATCTGACCTTGCTTAATTCTTGTACTCTTCTACCAGGTCACCACACCAGACTCTCTGCAAATCCTCAAATACTTTCACTTTTCTATTGTTGGGTCTTTGAGATCCCTCCTGCCTTTCAATCTGAATGGCTCTTCTGCCAGTTCCTTCAATTTTACCATGTATTCAGAATTGCATCCCATATTCCATGTTTCTATTTTTTCTATATTTTTTCACAGTGTTATTTGCCTTGTAACTTACTACATAATTTACCTTCATAAAGCTTAAGAGAAAGATTTTTGAAAGCAGGGATCTCTATTTGTTTGTCCACTGGTATATTTCAAAAACCTAGATGAGTAACCAGCAAACAGTAAGGAATCAATATTTATTTGTTGAAATATTTAATGAAAAGTGAAAGAAAGAAGAAGGAATGGAGGAAAGAAGGAATGAAGAAAAGATGGAAAGGAAGAAGAAGAGAAGGAAGGGAGGGAGAAAAAAATAGAAAGGAAGCAACACAGAACATATTAGTATATGTTCCATATTGAAAATAGTAACAAAATAGTTTGTTATATAAATAGTAGCAAACAGAATTTATTTAAGACATCTAGTTAAATCTTTGCTATTTGTCCAAGTCTGATTTTCATATGAATTTTTTTCTGAATAAAATTTTATTGTCACAAAAATTAAAAGGAAGAAGATCTTCCAGATAAGGAAAAACCATGAAAAACCTAGAGGAGGAAAAAATCAATGTCAGGGTTGCTGTGAAAACACTAATGAGAATGGTGTGGAGATTATACTAAACATGAGAGAATTGTTGTATGAGAAAAACCTGAGAAGATACACCAGGCCAGCTTATGGATGGTTTAAAGAGTTTTGAGCTTTGTACTGTAGGCAGAAGACAACTGCCTATCAATGAGACAAAGTGAATTTTTGGAGTGGATAGCTATATAGATACCTATGGATAAGTAAACAATATATGTATATATAGAGCAAGACAAAGAGGTAGACTTTCACACTAATGCAAAAGAGAAAATACTTCAAATAAGTCAATTGAAAGAAGTGTATTTTCTTATTTTTACATGAAATATCAAAAACACAACTATTTAATTACCTGTTTGTTCTAATTAATATACACAGACACATCTTTAATATCACTGCCATAGGTAAATAAGGTATCTTCCCATGATGGAAATCCTAAGGCAATTATAGTCAAATATAAAATGGAGAGAGGGATAAAACTATGAATAGTAAACATTTCTATAAAATCATTAAACACAGTAGTTTAGTGTTTGATGTTTCGGCATAACAACTTCCTAGAAATGCTTTTTCACTGTTGGTGTTTTACATATAAATAGTAACAAACAATTTATTCACAGTATCTAATTAAATATTTGCCATTTGTCCAAGTCTAATTTTCACTATTTTTCACCTATGACCAGTATTCATATGATTTGTCTATATCCTACTTCTCATAAGAATTAAATAAACATTTGCTTTTTAGTCCAAGTTTTTTGATGGGTCTAAACAAATAAAAAGATGAATAAAATGAAATAAATAATTGAAATGCAACTCCTAAGGATGGAGTCTTAGGTAAAAAATTACCATCTTCTTTGCTCAGGATACAATGGATTGTATTATGCCACTGTGGTATTTGGCTTAGGGAAATGTACTTGACCTCCTAGCCTATTGTTTTGGACAGGAATTATATCCAATCCATCAATTCTAATGTCAAAATGATAAATTTCTGGCAGCACTAGTTTCTTCTTCTAGGGGAAAATCATTTACTCTTTCCACTGTCAGTTTTTTCTATAATTCTAAATATTTAGATGACATTTCCAAAAACAATACAAATGTGTACTTACTGAGCATGACAACTGCTCGCTAAACCCACTAGAAACTTAGATATACTAGAAGAGGGGAATAGGTCTGTTTGTCTTTAATGTCAACATACTAATGAATTAATTCAAAACTATTTTAGCATTGAATGCTCATATACTTTCATTACTACTTTCAGTGCTAAAATTTCCTTAGGGACATTCAAAATGACAAAAGAGTAACTCTTGTGAAGTCCAGCACCAGTAAACTATTTTTAGTGACATTCTCCTGCTAGTTTTATTAAGTTCATGGATTTATGGATTTCTTTTTTTCAAAGGAGACCACGGCAATGCAATCTGCCTTTGTTTTCTGATAATGTTCCCTCTAACATGCCATATCCAAAATTGTCTAAGCAATCCACTTACTTACTCAATGTATAAAAAGGTATACTCAATACCCCTACTTCCTGCAAATCTTTTATTCACTTTTATCTCAAACTCTTTTCTACTCATTCCTTTAGGACTTTCCTGTGTCAGAATCCTCCCTCCTCACTTTCACCTGTGCCAGCAGCTCAAATCGATTCATTCTTCACATTTCAGCCTGCATGTCATTGCTTGTTTGACATCCAAATTAGACTTCATCCTGTTATTATACTCTCACAACACCAACTACTTTTCATTCATATCACTTTTCATGAGTATAATTATGCACTATTTTTAATGTTATGCTTAATATTCATTTCCCTGTCTGGAATATAAGTTCCAGGCAGGCAAGAATCCTTACTCCCTGATTCCTCCTTCCCTCCATCTCTGACACAACAGCAGCCATACAACAGCAACACAAAAGCTATTAATTTCATGAACAAATAATAAAACCCCTATATTCTCTCTATATGTCATCTCTGAATTGAACATGGGGCGGGGTGGGGAGGGGAAAGTAATTTGTTCTATCTTTAATAGAAAACAAGATAAGCTATTTTGGCATAACTGAGAATTGGAATCTAGCACTCTTAATGAATAACCACTTACAATTAAGTCCAAATGTATGTTACATATAGAAAATTATGGTTGAAGAAGCAGTACCAGCCGTTAACATATATATGATAAAATTAACCCCTAATAATGCACAATTAAAAGAAAATTACCTGTTTGCTAATAGCCTGGATTTTGATAACTTTTTGTGACCATCTAGTTATGCTGCCACAACTACTCTAAATATACTGGTATCCACTATAATGTTCCCTTTTATACTCATAAACACAGATATGCACACACAAACACCATACATATTCTACAGTATTTTTCACTTAGGAGCAGCCTGTTCTGAGTTAATGCGTCATTCTGGGGAAAATGTACCAAACTCTTTTCAGTGGGCAGTATGCATAAACTTCTAAAATAATTAGGAATATTTCTAAATTCTGCATCTGTGCTCTTAATTTATGTTCTCTGAGTTTTTCAAATAATTTGGGCTTATGCTAATGATCTATGATTTAAAATAGGTGTGGGAGATGTTAGTAATACTCTGCCAGAAGAAATGTAATTTTAGGCTGCACGAGCAGCCGCAACAGCATTATGAACACTACCATCTAAAATATGACAGATGTGTGAATTGGCTATGGTACGGACTTCGCACGATGGAGCGTACATACCACAGAACGTTCTTACAGTGCGCCTTCTATTTCAGTGAAAATTAAAGGGGAGGGAAAGTTTTGGGAGGCAAGCAATGTATTATTTGTTCTTTAAGCTTTGACAGTACATTGACTACTGTGCTATCTTTATTAAGTTCCTAAGTGAAAAGTATAATTAATTTAAGAAATTCACCAACAGCATCTGAAGGAAAATATTTTGATTTGTATTGTTGAGTGACTTGTCGCACCCACATACTCACATATTCATTACTCGGGGTAGTATCATATCATCCGTGTGATTATGTTTCTTTGCCGCAATATTTATTAACTTAATGTTTATATTGTTCACATGCCAAGGTCAATGATTTTCAAAAGGTGTATAAAGTGCATTTGAAAATTAAAGGTTTTTGTTTTTAATCTCTGAGGATGCAGGAAATAATTTGAGATGACTTTACAACTCAAAGCTATTTCATCTGTGGGAGTAAAGTAATTTCGATGTATAGAACTTGGTTCTCAGTTACTATGTTGAACACTTTGGCCATAGTTTCTTAATTATAGTGTTTAAATTCTGGGCTTGAATTGCAATTTTGATCTAAAATGAGTTAACCAAGGCCTTCACTTACATTTCACTTACATTTTTCAGACTGGATCTTGGAAGAACCAACAAGCAAGTTTTTCTTAGTTTTGAAGTGCACGTGTATATGTGTGTTTGTACACAAAATATATACAAAAATACATAAAAATATAAACATGTGAATATATGTGTGTGTGTGTGTGATGATGGTGATGCCAAATAACCACAGATTGTTCACATGTATAGCTGCGCTAGCAGCAACACCTTAGCTTTGTATACCATAGTTGAGTGTACACAAATTTTGTTTCTTGCAAAACATTATTTTAAAATCTTGTATAAAATTACCTTCAGTCTGCATGTACATGGTATATATGGCACACGAATGAATTTTATGTTTAGACTTGGGTTCCATCCCTAATATATATCATTGTGTATAGGGAAATATTTTGAAATTTAAAAAAAATCTAAAATCTACAATACTTCTTGTCCCAAGCAATTCATATAAGGGACATTCAAACTGTATTCCCAATACTGACATTTGATTTCATGTGTTGCAGAAAAGTACCTGTTTTTTTCTATGGCTTAATTTTTACATATGACACATTGTTATCTTTCCATTATATTTTTCATCTTTTCCTAAATCAATACAATTTTTGTTTATTCAACCTGCAACCAAGGAGTAATGACCATTTTATTTGAACTTTAGATACTTTATTTTAATGATAGTTCTTTTAAAGTTTCTGCCTCATAGTTGCAATGTCTTGGTTATTTCTGAGTCTGATTTTGTTAGTTGTTTTGTTTCTTGAAAATCAGATTTAGTTTTTTGCTCTGCTTTGCGTTCAACATTTTTTACTGAATGTGTCATTGCTGTAGAATGATAAAAGCTGTAATCACTGTTGAAGCTTGGTAAGGGGCACAGTTATTCTCTCAGGCCCCTGGATTGTGTCGTTAAGTCAATATAGTCTGGAATTGTGATGTTTTTTCTTTGTTTTGTTGTTGTCGTCACTATGGAAACTTTCCAAATGTTACGAATTTCAAATTTCTTTAGTCATGGACTAGTGATTAAAGTTGGGGCTGGAATGCTGGTGTTTGTCTCAGAGTAGGGCTCCATCCCAAGCTTTCAGCCACCCCTGGATGCCTATGCTTCAGAGAAGTCTGTCTTTATGCATTTGCCCTTTCCAGAAATAGATTGTTACACTTGTTATTGGGTAGTGTGCAGGGAAATTCTCTATGTTTTCTCATCCAGTATTCTGTTTTCTCTGTCTCAGAAAAGTCTGTACACGTGTGCCTTGGAGGTGTATCTTTCTTAGCATTTCCACACCTCCAACTCCTTGTCTGTCAATTCAGCCTTATATTAGCAGTTGGTATTGGGCAGGGATTTCTTGTACCTCCTGCAGCTGGGTAGACCACATCAGTGTAGATCATATCATATAAACCATGTCAATAAAGTTAGGTCTGCATTAGATTCTTTCCCATCTATCAGCTGTAGAGAATTTCCTTTAAATTTCCTTTACCCCTAGTCTTTGCCTATGCCTTGCAGATGAGGAGCCCTAGTGGCCCTCCCCAGAAGCTTAAGATTTGCTCTATAAAATATCAGGGTGGAAGGAGGAACTGTCAGACTGCCTTATCTTCTTCACAGGTGCTAGCCCTCTCTTTTGAGTCTTGCTCTTCCTCCTGTATTTTTGGCTATATAGGGATGAAGTATGGGGCTAATTGACAGGGTTTTGTGTCTGCAGCAAGTGATAACATCTTTTGAGCACTGTGCAAGGCAGTGATTTTTTCTTTTTCCCCAGTGATGTAACCACTTGATCTTGGAGAAACAGACAGTATTGCTTTTATCTTGTCTGCAGACTATGATTAGCTTCTTTTCCTTCTCTGGGCAAAAAGAGTTTTCTGTCCTTCCTCCAGAAGAGGATTAAGACATAATCTTGGCATAAAAGAAGGGAGTCTGGAAGCAGGAAATGTTTCATACCGGTCCCCTAATAGCTGTCAGTCACCTTCTACTCATCTGAGTCACTCAGGTTTGCTTTCTTCATTCTTTACCCTGTTCTCAGCTTCTCCTGAGAGCATCAAGTAGGAATGAGATTTTAAATGATTCAGTCTCATAGGATGAAGTGAAGGCAATTACTAAGTGTCCCCAGCAACTTCAGATTTATTAGCTCCCACTTGATTTTCAGTTCAGTCAAATTTTACTTGCTTAGATTATGGCCAGAACAGCTGCAGATTCTCTTGTGTTCTCTTATGGGAGAGAAAATGTGTATGTCTTTTCACCATTTAGAAGAATTTAAACCTTTTGTATTTAAGATTTCTTCATTACCTTCTAACTTCAGCTTTCCAATAAAAATAAACATTATAAAATTAAAGCCGATCTTATTTTTTCCTCTTATTTTTGAGTTAGAGACAACTTTTTAAAAATCGTTCTCTATTTTAAATGGAGGTGGAAGTCCACCCACAATTTGCAATATGTTCTTGTTCATTTTCATTCAACTCGAAATATTTTAAAATTTCCCTTATGATTCCTTTTTTTGTCCCTGGATTATATAGGGGTGTTTTGCTTTATTTACACATATTTGTGTATTTTTTTATATCTTAATATTTTCAATTTCTAATTAATGTAATTATGGTCAGAGAGTGGATTATTTCAAAATTTCAGCATTAAGACTGGTTTGGGGGCCTCCAAATAATTATTTGTTAGTATTTCAAATGCACTTAGCACTTAGCAATGTATGTTGTGTAGTTTCTGGCCTGTTAAAGATGTTAATTAAATCAATTTTGTTGATAGTGTGCAAACCTATACATTTACTGATTGTTTTTCTGCATTTTTTTATAAATTGATAATGAACTTAAAATCTTCAACTATGTAAATTTATCTACTTCTTCTTTTAGTCATGTCAATTTTTAAATGTATTTTGAAATAATACTTTTTAGTCCATAAATATCTAGGTATGTAAACCATTTTCTCTCTTCTTAATTAAAACTTACATATTGCCTTTCTCGATTGTAAGTGATACTGTTTGTCTTGAAGTCCAATTTTTTTGGATACAACACAATCACACCACCTCTCTTAAGGTTTGCAGTATGTATTTTTTTCAAGTATTTTTCTTCAAAGCCATCTACTTCTGTATATTTAAATATTATTTCTTGTAAAAAACATAGTTACTGTAGTTAGTGTTAGTAATTTTATTTTAGCAATTCAGAAATATGTATTGTATAGGTGGATAGTTTTGTTTATTTACATATAAACACACACACACACATATATATTGTATATATGTAGGTGTATCTAGACAGATGTATAGATGGATGTTATAGCTATAGCTGTAGTTGTAGATGTAAATATATTTCCTTCCTGAAATTTCTGATTCCATCTGATATATTAGTTCTGCTTTAAAGAATCCTTTTAGCATTACTTGTAATATGTATTTGCTGGAGACAATGTATCTTAGTTTTTCTCAGTATTAAAACAAGTTTATTTTATATCCATGCTCTCTGTTAGTATTGCCTTATCTTTTTCCTTCATGTTTGGAAATCTTTTGAATCTTTTTACCCATGTCTATATTTTCAGCATTTCTATAGGTCTATTTAAATGTACTTCTTGAAAGATGAAATATTAAGTGTGTTTTTTATTGACAAGATCTATTTACATGTAGTGTGCTATACAATATACTTGATTTAATTTGTTCTGTTTACCTTAACTTTATTTATTTCACTCTGTAACTTCCTTTTTGCTTTATTGTTGCTGATCGAAGCACATTGATATTTGCTAGTTTTTGTTTCATTGTTAATTTTATAATTCTACACTGGTTTTCAATTCTGTCAATGATTACTTTCCCTTTCAATATGCTTATATGTATCCATTATATGAAAACAATTTACTTATTATTTCCCCCACAAAGTTACTCTGTATACATATGTGTATAATATAATCTCTGTCTTCAATTAGATGAATCTTTTAGAATATTAATGACCCTACTGTCCTCCTTAACTCCTCTTCATTTAGACTAAAAGATATAGTTTCTCTTTTTGTAAATTTTCTAGCTGCTCATTGGCCTAGAATACATATTTTAGTAATAAATATCATTAACAAATATCATTAAATAAGTCCCTCTCACCATAGTTGAATATATACTACTCATTTCAGCAGACTACATCCTTTATATCCTTCATATTTATATGTAAATAGAGATGTCTACATGAAAATCCTTCGATTTATGTTTATTTCATATATATGTATGTACATACATACCATTCCTCATTTCTTATGATAATTCATCTTATTCATATTCAAATAAGAGTGACTCTATTTCTCTATGATGTATTTATTTACTTTCACTAAACCTGCCAATCCTACTTTTATGGACCAAAGAGCATAATCTCTTAAGGCACTGGTGAAAACCCAATGTGACTGGGGGAAGGGAACAAATAAAACAAAACAAACAACTATACCCTTGGGTGAGTTGTAGAAATACCTGCTATGCCTAGCATCATATCTGGAGCAAAAGCAGAAAAATATAGCAAGATTGCTCACTCCCCTAGGACCCAGGTGCATGGTAGCTGCTTAAGACAATGCTGTATCTATATCACTGAGAACGATGTCTTCCACCACTCACTATCACCAAGCTCACAAGTGCCAGGTAAAGTCACAGTGAAATATATCAGGGAGAGCTACAAGGGACACAGTCTTTCTGGAGAGCAGCACAAAAAGAAAACCCAAAGCCCATAAGGTTACCAAAACCAAGTGAGGGGCAAGTGTCCTAGAGTAATGTGGAGCTTCTAGTACACTGAGCATAAAAATAGTAACAACGAGCTCCAAATGCAGGCCAGCTCAGGAGTAGAGTAATAAACCCCCCCTGTGCAGGACACATCTATGAATTCCCAAGTATATAAATATTTACTTTAGTATCTACTGTCTACTGTCCAATGCAACATTTTTGGCTTTCAACAACAATTAAATCATAAGCCTTACAGAAAGGTAAGAAAAAACAAAGCTCAAAGAGACAACTCTTTAAATGAAAAGACAATATTTAAAACACTCTTAGATGTGATACAGCTGTTGGAAATACCGGGGGATTTAAAATAATTCTGATTAATACATTAGAGGCTGTAATGGAAAAGGTATAGTATAAGGGAGAATCCATTGCAAATGCTAGAAATAAAAAAAAAAACAGACAAAGTATTTGACAGACTCATCATCGAATTTGACATAGCTGAGGAAAAAAACAGTTAAATTGAAAAAAAAAAGTTAATAAAATCCACCCAAATTGAAACACAAAGGGAAATAATGATGGCAACAAAAACATTTGCTGTGGAAGAGCAAATGATCTAATGCACCTGTAATTGGAATCCCAGGAGTAGAAAAGAGAGAGAGAGAATAGAGCAGACAAATACTTGAAGAGGAAGTGAAGGGATACCTGAGGACTTCTGCACCTGAGAAGCTGATTTAACATGCAGTCACTTGGTGCCACTCAGAAGTTCTGGTTTTATTAGGTTGGAAGCAGTTTGAGAGGAGGAGACCAGGAAATGGGACGCAATTATGAAGCAAATGAAAAGACAACCCTCTAATTGGAGAAAATATTGGCAAATAATATATCTGATAAGAGATTTGTTTCATGGCTCATACCTGTAATTCCAGCACTTCAGGGTGGATCATTGAGCCCAGAAGTTTGAGACCAGCCTGGGATACAAGGCAAAATCCCATCTCTACAAAAAATACAAAAAACTAGCCAGGCATGGTGGTGCATGCCTGCAGTCCCAGCTGCTCAGGAGGCTGAAGTGGGAGGATCAACAAACCCTCAGAGGCTGAGACGGCAGTGAGCTGAGATTGCACCACTGCACTCCAGCCTGGGCAACACAGTGAGACCTTGTCTCAAAAAAAAAAAAAAAAAAAAAAGAGACATAGAGAGTTTTCTTTGAATAATAAAAAAAGACCAATAAAGGAAAAGGATCTGAATTAACAGTTCTCCAAAGATGGTACACAAATGGCCAAAAAGCACATGAAATGTTGTTGAATATCATGAGCCACCAAAGAAAGGCAAATCAAAATCACAATACATTTCATTCCATGGAGACTAGATGGCTATAACGAAAAAGATAATAAGGAATGTTTGCAAGGTCATAAAGACATTGGACTCCTCATATGCTGCTGGTGATAATGTAAAATGGAGCAACTACTTTGAAAATACATCTCAAAAATTAAACATAGAAGTATGATATGACCCACGTTTCCATTTCTTAATATATATCCAAGAGAACTAAAAACATATATTAACACAAACTTGTATGTAAATATTCATATCAACATTATTCGTAATAGCTAAACAGTGGAAACAACCAACATGTTCATCGATTAACAGATGAATAAGAAATGTGGTATATCTAAACCATGAAATTTTATTCAGCAATCAAAGGAAAATAAGTAATGATACATGCTATAACATGCATGATTCTTGAAACACTGTGTTAAGTAGAAGTCAGATATCAATGGCCCCATATTGTACAATTCCATTTACATTAAATGTCTAGGATGGGCAAATTTATAGGCACAGAATTTAAATTAGTGGTTGTCTAGGGTTGAGAGAAATGTGATCCTAGGGGATTGTGGAGTAATGGCTAAACTATATTGGTTTTCCTAAGAGGAAATATAAACTTTTAAAATAGACTACGGTGATGTTTGCACAACTCTGAAATATTTTAAAAACTCTTTGTACACTGTGAATGGATGCGTTGTAAGGTATGATAATTATATGTCAATAAATGTGCTTAAATGTGTGTTCATAAACACTGTATTAGAGTAGTAAGAATAAAAAGGTATAAAAGAGACTTTTTTTGTAGAGACTCAATTTTAAACCCTAAAAATTCATAAAGATATGAAATTCATATGGACTTTCAGATAGGAAATTGGCTAGAAATAAAGGGAGAAAGAAAACTTTATCTTGATAATAAGAAAGAGCTCCTATAACAAAAAGTTTGAATTCTGAGCCACAATAAATTATGGAATAATCAAAACCAAATAAATGCTTGTCATTGTGTTAAAGAAAATAGTCAGTATAATGAGTAAAAGTGTTTCCATTTTAGTTTTTCTTTAAAGCAGGTCAAATGCTCTAGTCTCTCTCTCTCTCTCTCTCCCTTGTTCTCTCTATTATATTGTAACTACATTGGGAGGTAATAATGAGAAAGCAACCAACTAATGAATTAACATTTTAAAGTTGGCAAAATATATCAACAAAGGGAAACAGATAAAAATATATATATATCAAATAAACAGAAGAAGAATTCATGGAAACATTTTTTATAGACTCAGTGAGATCAGAGACAAAGGTATCTAACAAAATAACAGAAAAAGAGAGAAAAAAGAATGTTGGAAAAGATTGTGAGGTATTCTAGGAAATTCCAAGAAAACAGATGTTAAAAAACTTTAAAAACTAATTTGGAAATCTTAGAATAGGATAGGGTAAAAATAAAATGAGAGATGAAAGAAAGCTTTATTAAGAGAAAAAATCATGAATGAAAAAATGAAATCACAGACATGATGAGCATGCTTCCTAAATATCATCCAAATTTTTTTTTATTTCTAGATAAACTGATAGATAATAAGGACAAGAGGAGACGCAGCATAAATATTCGGCTATTACTAAAGTTTTTTTAATAGAGAAATAAAATTTATAAAAAATTGGAGAACATATAAATGAAATATATAATATTTGAGTATGAAGATACAGAAGAGTTTACAATATTAGGTTAATTTGATTAAAAACAATATAATTCTTTGGGAGGCCGAGGCATGTGGATCACCTGAGGTCAGGAGTTTGAAACCAGTGAGGCCAATATGGTGAAACCCCATCTCTACTAAAAATACAAAAATTAGCCAGGCCTGGTAGCCGGCGCCTGTAATCCAAGCTACTCGGGAGGCTGAGGCAGGAGAAGTGCTTGAACCCAGGAAACAGAGGTTGCCATAAGCTGAGATCACACCATTGCAATCTAACCTGAGTGACAGAGCAAGACTCTGTCTCAAAATAATAATAATAATAATAATAATAATAATAAATATAATTATGTATACTCACAAGGTGATTTCTCTTCAAATGTAAAAGCCTCAGCTTCATTTACAAAGTCAAAGCAGCAGAGGCACAGATTTCCTCTTCTCTAGTGGCACGTCATTTTTTTTTGCTTTATCATAAAAGGAACCCAAAGTTTGGGTAAGAGTTTGCTTAGTAAAAAGATTGCTTTTGGAGACTCCCTTGCCACTTTTGAGGCCAATAAAATGTAATAGGTGTGTATTTAATGAGGCACTTTGTGGTGACGGGATTGTGTGTCCCTTTTTATTCTTTCTATACTTTTTCTTTCTAAACAGGCAGACTTGAAGCTGGCACTGGAAAGTCAGCACCCATCTTAGAAAAAGAGGTAACATTCAGGATAGAAGCCACATGCTAATGATAGTAGAAAACATTTGTTCTAGAATGTCTACCTAAGCTGGACTTTTTTTTTTTTTAATGGGAAAGAATTGAGTGTCTATTTAAACCACTTATGGGGGATTTCAATTCTATGTAGCAGAATTTTATTCAAAATTGAGTACCTATTGTAAGTGCATTGCCAATACACAGTAACAGAATCCAAATTATAGAACTGACTAATTAGACATGAAGATATGTATAATAAGGAAAATAATCCCATAGGCTGTAAATCTGGTGACGATCATTTTGCAGTAAACATTAGGTCACACTGTTGCCTTCAGTATTTTGGAAGGCAGAGCTATGAATCCTGAGGCTGTTATATTATAGGACATTTATGAAAAATTCAGAATGTTAGTGTGCATGGGCTCCTTTTGCTTTTCAGCAAAACCCTATCAGTGAGAAATAAATTGAGACTGGAGCTTTCCAATCTACTAACAGAGTTAGAAGGAGAAGCCACTTTGCCAAGAGAGAAGCTCTCTGTCTATGGCTTACAAAATAAGTTGCCAGGGAGTCTGTAATTTGGAACATTTTCAGCAAAATCCAATTGCTTCTATATCTATATTGAATCAGTTATGACCTGCGGACGTGAAACTGCAGATATAGTGGGAAATAATCCTGGTGCCTTGCCATACAGAAGCACTGAACTTTCTGGCAAAGATGACAAATGTTTCAGATTACCTCAAGGTGGTGACTGCTGCATTAAAAGAAAGGGGAATGTCAGAGCTTAAAGTCAAGTTAGCACAAGTTTTAAAACTATGACAGAGTAGGCCTTTAGCTACACTGTTGTCATATAAAATGAATCAAAAACAAGGTAGCATCTGCTCAATGTTTTAATAAATTTATACTTATGAAGGTGTAACACTCCAAAGATTAAAAGAATGTCATTAAGTCATTCATGAAGTATATGCAGATACGGCAGAACCGCAGTGTGCTCCAGTGCCTCCTTTTCTTCTTTAGTGATAAACTTCAGTTTTATTCTGCGTAGCAAGGGATACAGCTAAAGAATGTTATTTCTAATTCTTGCTGGCAGTCACAGGTGATCAGTTAAATATAAGTCAAAGATGTTGGCTGGGCTTCTGGAAAGACTCTGTCGAAATAAAACTGACTTGGCTGGTGGTTACTCTCATTTGCTCTTCTCACACTTCCTCTTCTTCCTGCTATGTTGTGATCTTAAATGTTAGAATTCCAGCAGGCAACTTGGACCACACACTAAAGTTAGTGGCACAGAAGTTTAGATGTTGCTATAACTGCTCTGCACGGCCTGACCCTGTGTGCTGGTCCCGTCTTGCTTTGTTTTGTACTAACATAAGAGAAATATAAACATTAACATTCAGTTGGCATATGGTTGCTTTTGCCTCTGCTCTTCCATACATTTTCTCCTGTATGCAGTTCTAACATAATAGCTGAAGTTTCATTATCCATTCCAAACTATAAGCTAAACTTAAATTTCAAAGTAATGAAACCACATTGGTTATAATAAAGATACAGAAGAAATTTGGGTTCATCATGGCCACAGAGACAGAATATCAACCCTAAATACCTTTTTTCTTTATTTCTGTGTTAGGGATATACACCTCTATCTTATTGAAATTATTTACTTTGGTTTTAGATGATATACATCTAATTTTAATATAAAAATAGAGTAAGTATATACAAAGAGGATAAAATAATTTTAAAACCAGACTTGTTCATAGCAACACTTGATGCTATAACATAGCATGTATTAACTTCAAAGACTCTAGAGAAGTGAAATATGGTTTGAAAAGTATATATAAAAGTTTCTTTTTTAAAAATAATCAAGCAATAGAGTCAATTTTAGTCATAAAATAATCTAGGGATTCCGGCACACACAAGTTTTCTTGAACAAAATTTTAGTTAAAAAAATTGATATGTTTAGAGATGGACATGCAATAAAATGATTGGTAGTTACTATTAACTCTAACCATAAAATTGGAAATTATGTAACAAAATAAGTGATCATATAAAGATGAGTTATTCTCTTATTTGAATTTTAAATTAACAATGAATAGAGCTGGGTGCAGTGGCTCACATCTGTAATCCCAGAACTTTGGGAGGCTGAGGTGGCAGAAAAGCTGGAGCCCAGGAGTTGGAGACCAGCCTGGGTAAGATAGTAAGACCTTGTCTCTACAAAAAACAATAATAATAAAATAATCATTGGTGGCATGGCTGTGGTCCTGAGGATGAGGTAAAAGGAACCCTTGAGCCTGGGAAGTCAAAGCTTTAGTGACTGCACTCCAGCCTGGGCCACAGAGTGAATCCTCATCAAAATAAATAAGTAAATAAATAAATAAATATAAAAATAAATAAATAAATAAATAAATAAATATAAATAAAATAAAAATTGTTTAAGTATGACCCATACAATATTTGAGGACGTTCTTATACTAAAAAATGTATTCATTATTTATCTGAAATTCAAATTTTCCTGGTTGTCATGAATCTCATCTGACAACCCACATATGAGTAATATGGGCAAGGGATCTGACAGTGTTTTGGTGTTGACTGAGAGCTCTCTCTAGCAGCTATTCTGGGTTTCTACCAATGCCCTCAGGCTACAGATTTTCTTTCCCTTGTGCCTGTAGATTAAGGTTTCCATTCTGTAGATTAGACACTGGAGATGGGTCTGGGCGATTTTGGCCGTCTTTGATGCTCCCTTTCTCTAGCCAGCACCAGAGAGGATCATTTTCAGGATTTTCTTCCTTCAGCAATACATGGATTTCCTGGAAGGAAAATCATACAAGGGCTTCAGAATTCCTCTACGCTGCAGCCTCCAGGGGCTTCACCCTTTGCATCCATCCCACACCAGGTCTTTGGCAATTAGGTGCAAATTTCCAGGTGAATTTTTTCCCTGGCTTGATGGCATTCTGTAGCATTTTTCCGAGGTAAACAAACACTAAAGTCCTACTTGTCATGAAAGGTCTCTTTACATTTTTTTTTCAATAGTGTTTGGGGTACAGGTGGGTTTTAGTTACATGGATGACTTCTTTAGTGGTGAATTCTGAGATTTTAGTGCACCAATATGTAGTCTTTTATCCCTCAACCCTCGTCCAACTTACCCCCATCTCTGTCCCCAAAGTCCATTATATCACTCTATGTGTGTCCTCATAGCTTAGTTTCCACTTAAAATTGAGAACATACATAAAGTCTCTTTCTTCAGATTTTAGGATAGTTGTTTGCCCCATATACTCAGTTTTCTAATGGGTTCATTTACAGTTTGTTAATTACAGTTTGTTACATTTTGTTATGTTACAGTTACTTATATTTATTACATTAGTTTGTTAATTTACAGTTTGTCAGTCTTTCTATTTTTGTAAAAATTGGAGAAATGCTTGTTTTAGCTTTCCACATCCCTGAGCTGAAACTTCACTCGGTCTTTAATTCTCTGCCTATTTATTTTACAGCATACATAATTTTATGTAACCCTTCTTTATGATTGTGTCCCTCTTCATTCTACCACTTTCTTAATTTAACCCCTCACCCCTCCATATGATGACAATATCACTCCTGAGTCTTCAGGGATGAAGTTATGCCTCGTGTACTCAAGAATCAGCCAGGTAGCCAATGGTGTTGGAGATAGTAACCTGACTTCACCTCTACTCTTTATGAGGTAACGCTGGTTTATTATTGCTGATGATACATTTGTTCTCTCCCAGCTCTTGTTATAATGTGATATTTCCCATATAACCCCACTATGAATAGAACTATATCCTAAGTATTTCTTCACATTATTTTTCCATTATCTTCAAGAGGTGGAAAAATTGCAGTAAATCGTACCACTCAAGTAGTATGAACAATTTTAGAGAGGTCGACTTTTACTAACACAATTTTAACTAAATAATGAATCCTCAAACACCAAATTACACTGACATTGTCATTTTAGGCTTGATTATCCTAACCTGCTCCACCCGTGTTGTTGACAGCTGTTGTGAAGACTTGGTTATTGTCTTCTTAGTTTAAATAATTTAAACACGAAATACAAAGCAAAGGAGATGCAGCATGGAGCAATTCATTGCGAAGGAGAAAGAATACTCTGAAGGTTAGATGTAGAAGAGACAGCACACTCTGTGAGGCAATTCAGAGTGGGCTGCTCATGAAGACAGGCAACAAAGACTCACACTAGGGAGACTCTTTTATAGGAGTCTTACATGATTATTCCCAAGCGGATGGGAAGAGGTGTTGCCAGTAGGCATGTTCTGGGTGGTCCTCTGGGTGCACATGCAGAGTCATTGTACATGTTAGTTCACACATTTCATGTCTCATTAGCATCTTAAATCTCTACCCAGGGGTGTGTTTTTTACTATTATAATGAGTAAAGGGTCAGTCTGAGGACAGGTACAATCAAAATGTGCATGCTCTTTAAAGGGGAAATTCCCTACTGGAGATAGCTTTGCTTGAATGAACTTGACTACAATGCAAATGCTGGGGCTTATTGTGTTAAAGGTGAGGTCTCAAGTTTGCAGGCTCCAGAGGACACGGTTACTTCTTTGACAACCCATCCTGCCTCAATGTGAACTGAACCTTAACTAATTCTGAACTGAATTTTACCTAATTATATGGAATTAAACTTGCCTGGATGACCTTGACTGTGATATCTTAAACAAGAATGTATTCTCTGCCTGAAAATCTTGTTCTATTAGATGCTATGATGGTACCTAAGTGCTCACTCTTACCATGCACTTTATTCAGTAGATGTGACACTTCGTCAGAGATGAGATGAATTTCCTAATAAGGCCCAACATATGAGTGAAATTTGAGGAATTACAAGAAAGCCTATTGTCTCTGACATCCAATTGCATATACGATTTCCATCTGATTACCTACTGATATGGTTTGGCTCTGTGTCCCCACCCAAATCTCATCTCTAATTGTAATCCCCACATGTCGGGGAGGGACCAGGTGAGAGGGGATTGGATCAAGGGGGCAGGGGCAGGGGGCAATTTCCCCCATGTTGTTTTCATGATAGTCAGGGAGTTCTCATGAGAGCTGATGGTTTGAGAGTATGGTACCTCCTGGTTATTGCACACATTCCCTCCTGCTGCCTTGTGAAGAAAGTGCTTGCTCCCTTTTCACCTTCTTCCATGATTATAAGTTTCCTGAAGCCTCCTGGCCATGCTTCCCTTTAAGCCTGCAGAACTCTGAGTCAATGAAACCTCTTTCCTTTGTAATTACACTGTCTCAGGTAGTATTCTTTTTAGCAGTGTGAGAACAAACTAATACACCTATGTTTAGTTTTGGGTTTGATTTCTTGCTACAATGAAAATGCATTTTTGAAAATGTGAGTTTTCTTAGAAAATTTTCTTTGGAAAATTAAAGTGGAAAACATTTTAATTTGTTATAAATCACTTGGAAATTATTAAAGACCATTGAATAAGTTTTGTTAGGAAATATGGCTGAAATATCATTGCTATGGTTTGAATGTATCCCTCTAAAATTCATGTTGAAATTTAATCTCCATTGTGGTAGTAGTAATACATGGGGCCTCTTGGGAAGTGATTAAATCATGAGTGTTCCACCCTCACAAATAGATTAGTCCCTCACGAAAGGGATAGAGAGGATTAGCTTAAACCCTTTTTCCCTTCTTCCTTTGGCCATGTGAGGACAGCCACAAGAAACCATCTTGGAGGCAGAGAGCAGTCCTTGAGAGATAGCAAATCTGCCCTGATCCTGAACTCCTGAGCCTCCAGAACAATGAGAAATACATTTCTGCTTTTTAAAGATCACCAAGCTTTAGGTATTTTGTTATAGTAACACAAATGGATGAAGACAATCATGAAAGTTAGATGAATAATATTAGAATAATAAAGGATACACTTTTTAAGGAAAAAATAATGAAGATAAATTTTGGCATTTTTACTGGGGTGTAGACCAGACTTATTTGGCCTTAAAATGATTTTGTGGCTCAAAGCTTATAGTAAGGGTTGACCTTTACATTAAGATAGACCTAGATCCAAATTCTACTACAACCTATTTTAGTAACATTTTGACCTATAGCAAATTTATAGCTTATTTAATACTGAATTCTCTAAACTAGGAAATGGAGATAAATACTATTAATATTTATATTTAGACCAATTATTACATGAGCTAACCAAAATAAAACACTTGGCTCATGACTTGACACTAGATAATTGTTGAATAAATATTAGTGAGAATTTTCATAAACATTATTTTCTTTTATTTTTTACATCTTCATCATTATTATGGCTAGAAAAAGGCATTTGTTTGAAATGTTATTGTAAATATACCCTAGTCCAGGCTTTATAGTATTAGGGTAGAATATGGAATTAGACTTACAGTATTACTGAATTGTGAGCTTTATCAAATTAGGATAAAAGAAAGATTGTTCTAATAATGTGGCCCAGTAAAACACATATAGAATATTAGATATTTAGCAAGTTTTGTTTATCACAAGTATAAATATATAATAAAAAAGCCATTTTATATAGTACTGTGCAATGTATTGCCATAAAACAATAAATATGGCTTTCCTATTTATTTAGAACCCAATAACTTAATTGTTTTGAAGGAAAAAGACTTCCCACACAAAAGTAATGAACATGTTTTGGTGATTTTTATAACCTTAGGATCATATTTTAACAAAACTATATAGGCTCTTTTCAAAAACAAACCAATTTTACACTAAAAGTATTCTTTGAAATAATTTAGTTTCTGAAATATTTTCATTTATGTGCTCTTATTTTAATATTAACTTGATTTGTAAAATTCATCTCAACTCAACAAACATGGAGACAGATTTATAAACATTTATGAATATTATATATTAGTAATGTAGCTTCCTTTAAAAGTAATATGCATAGTAGTTGAAATTACATTGTTATACAAGCAAGTACTATAGGTAGACTAAGGAATTCTGAGAAAAGTGAAAAAAGTATAGGTATGAACACAGAAACAAATGTTTATTAAAGAAGTATACTAAACTGTGAGTGTTTACCAAATTAACATAAGGAAGTTATGCATGTAGGAAATTATGCAAGTATGATAATGTCAAACTAGTTAT
Organism: Homo sapiens; assembly: GCF_000001405.40. Lineage (NCBI taxonomy): Eukaryota > Metazoa > Chordata > Mammalia > Primates > Hominidae > Homo > Homo sapiens. The sequence continues at coordinate 66,331,374 of NC_000018.10, forward strand.
TTGTTAGCAAATTATGGAGCAATTTATTGAAAGTAAATTATTATTTACTATTGAAAGTAAATTAGCAGGCCTGGCACAGTGGCTTACGCCTGTAATCCCACCAGTTTGGGAGGCAGAAGAGGCCGGATCACTAAAGGCCAGGAGATTGAGACCAACCTGGAGAACATGATAAAATCCCTTCTCTACTAAAAGATACAAAAATTATCTGGGCCTGGTGGTGCATGCCTATAATCCCAGCTACTCGGGAGGCTGAGGCAGGAGAATGGCTTGAACCTGGGAGGCGGAGGTTGCAGTGAGCCAAGACCATGCAACTGCACTCCAGCCTGGGTGACAGAGCGAGACCATGTCTCAAAGAAAAAAACAAAAAAACAAAAAAACGATTAGCAGTATAAACTGAAAATAAAAATAATAGCAAGACCCTCAGGGGAGTTTGTAATAGGACATGATGAAATTAGTTTTAAATGTTGTAAAGATCAAATGCGGAACAGTTATAAAGAGGAAGCCCAAGGTCATGAAAGCCTGTTGGGAGAGTGTCTCAGTGTGGCCTGCTGAGGTCAGAAACACTGACCAGCGTGGACCACGCAGCAGCCCTGGGCTTGTTTTCAGGCCTACCTGCTGCCTATGTTTTTTAAGCTTTTGGCAAATTATCCTGATTCTATTTCAGAATATACCCATCGTTCATCCTGTCTGTTTTTTAACCCTTCTGACCTCCATATTTTCTTGAGTTCACCTGATTCATATCCTTATTACTAAACCCAGAGGCCTGAGGTTCTTCATTATTTTAACATATATTAAAGATTAAATTACCTCATCAATATATTTCATAAAAAGTAATTTTTAATATGTCTTAGACTTTAACAGCACCTCTACTTTTAAAACAGAAATACATTGGTGGTATTCACAATTATCTATAAAGATTTGCCCTTTTTGAGAATAATGATTTCATCTTCCCTAATGATATGCCAACATTCAGGTCATTCTAACTTATTTTGTGACATGAATCTTCTAGATTCAAATAAACTCCATCCTACACAAAATTCAATATAGTAACATGATTTCTCTCTGGGTGATAGGTTTCTCAGTAAAGAAAACTTTGAAACATCTTTCAAACAATTTTCATTATTTTGTGTGACCCTGCAATTATGAATGCCCATGACAAATGAGAAAGAGCAAACAGCCTAAGCTGGCCAAACTTTAAATGTGAACTTATATAATTCGTCAGATTGTATTTTGTTTCATCTTATTTAAAACATTTTCAAGTTTGCCAACTCATAATTTGAGGATTGTTAATGTGCTGAAGAAAAGTAAGACTCCCCTGGGGGCTAAGCTATGAGTAGCTAGTCTAATGGGACATACTTCTTGTGCCTTTCAAATACAGCTGAAGTCAACTTTGGCCCTAGTGATATCTTTTCGATTTAATATCCATTATAAATTATTCTGGTCTTCCCAGCATTCAGTTCTTACTATGTAATTCCACTGCCTTTTGAAAAAGTCACTGGAAGAAAAACAGTTGAATATGATATAAAACTATATGTTATAAATCTAACTTGAATGTTAACTTGCTATTGAGTTGGATTAGCTTATGTAATTAGGCTACTTTTTCTATTCTCAGGATATACTAAAAATTCAAAAATTATCATACTTAGAAAATATAGGTTGACTTTCATTCTGATAATAGTACAACTTTCTGCAAATTTGTATTTCATGTTCTTTAAAATAATTATTTAAATCTTCTGGTGTATATTAGTATAATGAAAATAATGTTTTATACATAAATATAATTTTTGTTGTTTCGATGCATTTTTACTTTATTTTCTGATTTTTATTAAACATAATTAGTAATATACTGCTGTTACTTTGAGTTATAGTTCTATTAAAGGAAGGCTGTCCATAGGCAAAAAAGAAATTATAAAACTTCATGGGATTTTTCCCCCAGATTATTTGCTTTTTTGTTGTTATTAAATAACCCTTCATCATTTTTCATTTTTTTTTCTCTCTCCATTTTTGCTGGATACTTTGGATGATCTCTTCCAGTACAATGAAGTTAAATGTAATATTTAAGCTTACAACCTCTCACTTTGAACCTTCACCCTGACTTGTATCTCAAACCTGATAACTTGATATAATCATAGAATGTCTAATAGATATTTGAGATTTCTGTTTGAAACAGAAATGCTTCAAACAGATTTCTGTTTGAAATCAAGCTCTCGATTCCTTCTCACAAACTGTTTTTTATGATGTTGTTTGTCATACACAAGTGGTAAATGGTACCACATTCACCTGTTTTCTAAGAGTACAATATTAAAGTCATCCTCAATAACATCACTGTTATATTCCATATTCACATCTTCATAAAATATTACTATATTTAATGTGCCATTTAAATCTCATCAAAATCTTCCTATTATTTTTGTTTTATAATTTTATTTTTAAAAAATTTTGGTGGTTACATAGTTGGTATGTATATTTACGGAGTATATGAGATATTTTGATACAGGCGTACAATGGGTAATAATCACATCAGGGTAAATGCAGTTTCTGTCATTTCAAGCATTTATGTATTTTTTGTGTTACAAAAAATCCCATTATACTCTTTCAGTTATTTAAAATATACAATAAATTATTGTTGGCTTAATCACCCTGTCGTGATATAGATCTTATTCATTCTATCCATTCTTGGACCTACTAACCAGCCCCATTTCCTCCAACACCCACTATACTTCCCACCCTCTGGTAACTATCATTCTCCTCCCTATGTCCAGGAGTTCAATTTTAATATTATTTTAGCTCCCACAAATAAGTGAGAGCATGTGGAACTTGTCTTTCTGTGCCTGGCTTATTTCACTTAACATAATGACCTCCAGTTCCACCCATATTGTTGCAAATGACGGGATCTCAGGTTTTTTTTTATGACTGAATAATATTCCATTGTGTATATTTACCATATTTTCTTTATTCATTCATCTATTGATGGACACTTAGGTTACTTCCAAATCTTGGCTATTGTGAATGGTGCTGCAAGAAACATGGGAGTGTGGATATCTCTTTGACATACTGATTTTCTTTTGAGTATATGCCTAAGAGTGGGATTCCTGGATCTTATGGCAGTTTTATTTTTAGTTTTTTGAGAAATCTCCAAACTGTCCTCCATAGTGGTTATACTAATTTACATTCCCACCAAAAATGTATGAGGGTTCCCTTTTCCCTACTTCCTCACCTGTCTTTTGTATACAAGTCATTTTAACTAGGGTGAGATGATATCTTATTAAATTTTTGATTTGCATTCTCTAATCATCAGTGATGTTGAACACTTTTTATTTACTTGTTTGCAATTTTTATGCCTTCTTTTCAGAAATGTCTATTCAGCTCTTTTGCTCATTTTTTAATCGAATTATTAGTTTTTTTTTCCTATTGACTCATCTGAGCTCCTTATATATAATGGTTACAAATCTTTTGTCAGGTAAATAGCTTGCAAATACTGTCTCTTAACCTCATTATGTAGGTTGTCTGTTCACTTTTTTGATTATTTCTTTTGCTGTGCAGAAGACTTTTTAACTTGATGTGATCCCATTTGTCCGTTTTTGCTTTGGTTGCTTGTGTTTGTGAGGTATTACTTAGGAAATCTTTGACCAGCCCAAAGTCCTGAAAAGTTTCTCCAATTTTTGCTTTCAGTACTTTCATAGTTTGAAGTCCTTGATTTAAATTTTCAATTCATTTTTATTTAATTTTTGTATATGGGTCCTTTATCATTGATCTTTGGGAGTTTGATTATTTTAAGTGTTTTGAGGTAGTCTTATTTGGGTTAAATTTGCTGGTGCTCTATAACTTTCTTGCACTTGAATATTGATATCTTTCTCTGGGTTTGGAATGGTCTCTGATATTATCCCTTTGAATAAACTTTCTGCCTTGAGATCGCTCTCTACCTCCTCTCTAAGGCCAATAACTCTTGGATTTGCCCTTTTGAGGATATTGTCAGGATCCTGTAGGCATGATTTACTGTTTTTTATTATTTTTTATTTTGTCTCCTCTGACTGTGTATTTTCAAATAGCCTGTCTTCAACCCCTCTAATTCTTTCTTCTGTTTAATCAATTCTGATAAGAGGTCTGACACCTTATTTATATGTTTATTTCATTGTTCAGCTCCAGAATTTCTCCCTAATTTTTAAAAATTATTTTTATCTCTTTGTTAAATTTATCTTATAGGATTCTGAATTCCTTCTCTGTATTTTCTTGGATTACACTGAGATTTCTCAAAATAGCTATTTTGAATTCTCTGTCTGAAAGATCATGTATCTCTGTCTCTCCAGGATTGGTCCCTGGTACCTCATTTAGTTCATTTGGTGAGGTAATTTCTTTGTTTTTTATGGATTGTCTTGATGCTTGTGAATGTTTTTAAGTATCTGCACATTGAAGACTTAGGTATTTATTGTAGTCTTTGCAGTCCGGGCTTGTTTGTACTCATCCTTCTTGGGAAGGCCTTCTAGGTACTGGAAAACTTGAGTGTTGTGATCTAAGTCTTGATCACTGAAGCTTTATTTGCTTTATGAGACACTCGAAGCTCAGTAATGCTGTGGCCCTTGTAGACTCGTAGATGTGCTATCTTGGCGGTCTTGTGTAAGATCTGGAAGAATTCCCTAGATTACCAGGCAGGGTCTCATATTCTCTTCCCTTACTTTCCCCCAAAGAAATGGAGTCTCTCTATCTCTTCTGAGCTACTTAAAGCTGGGGTGACACAAGGATTCCCGTGATCAGCACCACTGGGACTGTGCTAGGTAAGATCAGGAGCCAGTGCAGCACTGGGTCTTGCCCGGGGCCTGTAGTGATCACTGCCTGATCACCACCTATGTTCACTCAAGGTCCATGGCTCTACAATCAGCAGGTGGTAAATCCAGCCAGGCTTTTTTCCTTCCATTCGGTGTAGTGAGTTTGCCCCAGCCCAGGGTGGGTCTGGGGATGCCAACTGCGAACGACTGGCTGGAGTCAGGAAACTTAAGAATCTACCTGTTATTCTATTCTACTGTACCTGGGCTGGCACCCAAGTCACATGACAAAGTACTTCTTACTCTTTCCTTCCCCTTCCCCAAGCAGAGGAGTCTTTCTGTGGCTGCCACCTCCCCTGGCCTACAGCTAGTACAGGCCCAAGGGCTCTTCAGTCAGCTTTAGTAAAAGTTGCCAGGCCTGAGTCTCTCCTTTCAGGGCCATGGGCTCCCTTCTGGCCCAGGGCAGGTCCATAAATGTCACAGAGGAATCAAGGCCTGGAATCAGGGATCCCAGGAGCCCCCACCTTGTTCTCTATCAGCTCTCTGTGGCTCAGCTAGTATCCAAGCTGCAAGACAAAGTCTCCTTAACTCTTTCCTTTCCTCAAGCAGAAGGGGTCTCTCCCATAGCCACCACAGCTGAAAATGTACTTAGTCACACCTGGAGCCAGCACAGCTCTGAGTCTCACCCAAGGCCCATGGTGAGTTCTGCCTGGCTACCACTGCTGATTATTCAGGGCCCACAGGATCTTTTGTCAACAGGTGATTAATTCTGCCAGGACTTAGTCCTTCCCTTCAAGGCAATGGGTTCCCTTCTGGCCCAAAGTGTGTCTAGAAATGTCTTCAGGAAGCTAGGGCCTAGAATGGGTGCCTCAGGACTCCGCTTGGTGGCCTTTTCTACTGTGGCTGAGCTGATATCCAAGTTGCAAAAGAAAGTACTCTTTACTGTCCTTTTACCTCTTCTCAATCAGAGGAAAGGAAACTCTCCCAGAGCTGTGAGCTGTGTTGCTGCTGCCTGGGGTTAGGGGTGAGGTGATCCAAGCACTCCATTGCCTGCACCTGCTGGTGTCTCACTGGATCCCGGGCAACTCAAGTCCACCAGCTCCTGGCTCCAATCCAAAAGAGTAACAAGACTTGCCCAGGAATTGTGGTCTATACTGGTCTATACTGTCTATACTATCTTTACTGTCTTTCAAGTTATGGTCTATATGGTTGTGGTCTATACTGTCTTTCAAGTTATTTTGGGCTCCGGAACACTTTAGCCCACAGTGGCAGGGCTTGCTGGAACTCAGGTTCTAACTGCTGAGACAGATGATTTGTCTGGCTAGTTCTGGTCCAAATGCTCCCTCCATGGGTACTGGTTGAGTTCCGCCCCAGGTTGCTTTCTGCTATGATAGAGAAGCACTAAGTTCCAATGCAAAGTCCCACAGTCACTGAGCTCTTCCCTTCTCAAGTGCACAGATTTTCTCTCTATGCCATGCGACCACTGCCAGGGCATGGTGGAAGGGTGGCACAGGCGATTGAAGACCTATCTTTCCTACCCTCTTCTGTGCTTCTTTCCTTAATATGATGATAAAACCAGGTACTGTGATCACTCACCTGATTTTCAGTTCTTATGAAGGTGCTTTTTAGTGAGGATAGTTCAATTTGATTCTCCTTTAGAAGAATGTTTGTTAGAGGCTTCTGTTTAGCCATCTTGCTCTACCTGGAATTCTTATCAAAATCTGATAAAAGTATTGCACACAGAACTGTACAAGACAGGCTACATTTGTAAGCCAGGAGACATCTCACTATAAGTTGATATAACCTGTAATTTATGATTATTTTAAACCACTAAAAGCATACGTCAACAGGTTAGAAGCTTAGCCACAACAAAATTTGTAAAATATTTTATTAAATACTTTAGTGAAAGTAAAATATAAAGATATTCTAGTCTTTCTGAGCTACATAAACCTCTATATAATGCCAATTAGTCATATTTTAAACGTTTTTGTGTTGATTTTACTTATCAGTAACAAATGCTATGTGAATTATATAGCATGCATTATAAAAGTTTTTATTCTACATTTTTAGGTGTAATTTTCTTATGATTTTTCCAAAAATTAGTCACAATTCACTTTTAAGACCACTGTATTTGAACGTTCTTGCATTGCTATAAAGAAACACCTGAGACTGGGTAATTCATAAGAAAAGGTTTAATTGGCTCCTGGTCTTGCAGGCTGTACAGGAATTTTCTTCTGGGGAGGTGTCAGAAGGCTTACAATCATGGCAGAAGGCAAAGAGATCAGGTGTCTCACATGGCAGGAGTAGCAAGAAGGCCAGGGAAGTGCCCACACTTTTAAACAACCAGATCTTGTGAACTCACTCACTACTGCCAGGGCAACACCAAGCCTTGAGGGATTCTGCCACCATGATCCAAACACCTCCCACCAGGCCACACTTGCAACCCTGGGGATTACAACTCAACGTGAGATTTGACAGGGACATATATTCAACTGTATTAGCCATTTATTTATGGATTGTGGAAATTATATGTTCCATCTTTGAAATCCAAGTTCATGGCCACCACTCAAACATGTAATCTGTTTTTTCCTTATTCTTCACTCATAAGCAATTATTACACATTAATAACTATAAGCCCTATCTACATACTTTGTGTGAATTCCTGGTATTACAATGTCACCCTCATTTAAAAAGTGGAAAGATAAAGAGGAAGCAATCTATTTTTTTCCTTTTTTTCTGATAGCACTTGTTTGTGAAGCTCTTACAGATGTTCTTAAGTAAAATCAACTCCTCCATTTTTTTTGTAGCAACTACACATATTTATCAATAATAGTTCACAAATACATTTTCAAATATTATTTGACTTAAGTGTCTCTGTCCACTAAATTACAACCATTCTTAGAGGTAAGTTTGTAAATATACTGCCTATATTAAGGAAGAAAAATGATCTCAAATCAATAATCCAGTCTTTCATGTTAGGTCACTGGAAAAAGAAAAATTGTAATGAAGGCAAGAAGACGGAGGGAAATATATAGATTAAAGTAGAAATGAATAACATTGATAAGTGAAAAATAAAATAGAAAAAAACAGTTAAGCCAAAATCTAGTTCTTTGAAAAGTTAAATATTGAAAACCTTTAGTTAGATTGATTGAGTAAAAAAGAGAGAAGTCTTAAATTAGTAGGTAGAAATGAGAGGGAATATTACTGCCAACCTTACAGAAATAAAAAGGATTATAAAGGAATACTATTCACAATTATACAGCAACAAATTAGATAACTTAGATGAAAGTGAAATATATAGAAAGCAACTATTAAAACTGACTCAAGAAGAAATGGAAAATCTAAATAAACCCATAATTACTGAAGAAATTAAAGTCATAATTCAAAAAAAAACTATTCACAAAGTCCAGGCCTATTTGTCTTCTTCACTCCTAGATTCTACTGAACATTAAAAAAGTAACAATTATCTGCAAAGTATTCCATATAATAAAAGATAGAGCTTATCAATAGGATAAAAAATACAAAAATCACATGATATTCTCAATAGGTACAGGAACAGCATTTGATGAAAATCCTAATCCTTCTAATCCTAATTTGTTAAGTGTTTAACATAAAACACTTAACAAATTTTATGTTAAGTGTTTAACATAAAACACTTAACAAATTATGTGTTTATGTTAAACACTTAACAAATTAGGAATACGAGAAAATTACCACCACATAACAAGAGCTATATATGAAAAACCCACAACTAACCTCACACTGTTATAAAAGGTGAAAGATTCAAAGCTTTTCCTCTGAGATCAGGAATAAAACAAGGATGCTTACTTTTGCTGATTCTATCCATATAGTACTAGAAATCCTACCCAGAGCAATTTGGCAAGAACAAGAAAATATGTTTAAGTTGCAGAGAAATTTGTTCATATAAGCTAATTTAATACTTAATGGTGAAAGACTAGATGATTTTACTCTAAGATCAGGAGCAAGAGAAGTATATGTGCCCTGGTCTCTTGTATTCAACATTGTACTGTGGACATAGAGCAATCAGGGGAAGAAATAAAAGGCATCCAGATTTAAATGGAAGAAGTTAAACTATATCTCTATTCTCAGAGAATAGAAAGTAATCCTAGGGAGTATAAAAATTTAAAGTATTAAGATGAATAAAGTTAACAATCAAGTTCTACAAGGTTGTAGGGTATAAAATCAGTGTACAAACATCAATTGCCTTTCTATACACTTGCAATGAACAATCTAAAAGAAATTAAGAAAGTAATGCCATTTACAAATAGTTTTATGAAGGTACGGCCTGATGTCTGCTATTTCGGTAGGCTAATGCTCCTTTTCTGAACTCTTCATCTGACTGTAATCTTGTGTGACAACCATGCGCTAAACTACTTTCAGTGATAAAGTACTTTTTATGTTAAGTTTTCTGCACTACTCTTAATCCTCTCTGGAACATTCTACCTATCCCTCTTACCCTAGTGTCTTTACTAATTTCTATGCAATGATTTTTCCTGAAACCCTTACCTGATACCCAAATTTGGGTTAGGTTGTCTTTTTCTCTGTTTTCAAAACTTTTACTTTCCAATGTCTTAATTTCATTATCTTTTACCTCTTTACATCTCCAACTTGACAGTGCACTTTATGAGGATCTAAATTCTGTATATTCTTAACATTGGAGCTTTTCTGCCTAATTCATTGTTTGGCTTATACTAAGAATGTGAAAATCATTCTAAAATTATGATATTACATAGCTCTGCACAAATAAATCCAAGCAGTTGTAATGCTTAACTCTATTTATAGAATAATCTATTTTTCTAGAAAACAGTAGTCTCTTTACATGTCATAATCAATTTTGCTTTCAGTGCCTGGTTCTGGCCTGCTATGTAAAATCTTCTCCACAAGTGTTTGAATTCATCAATGAATGGACAAATGTCATTGGTCAGCATGAGGCACAGCTTACCAGTTCAGATTCCAGTAGCTGAGGAACAAATCTTAACTCCAAAAATAAGTAATTGCGTCACTTTGGAGGAATTATTTGACCTTTTCATAACTTTGACATCACAACAATGAGGGTGAAGTTAGTAAAATAAATGATTATTATGAGGATAAAATGAGAAAATGAATTAAGTGCTTAAGACAATGCTTGGTAACTAGTTAATATTCATTAATCATGAAATATTATTAAATGAATTTAATGTTTATATACAACAGTAAGACTAATGGAAGAAGATATCAAGCAACATTTAATAACAGGAAAAATGTTTTTAATTCATGCATAGAAAATGCCTTTTTATTATTTGTGAATTATCTGCTAAGTTTGTATAATACTTGATTGACCCATCCCTACACAGTTTAAATATCTCATTAATACACAAAATAATTTTATTAAGATTAAAATATACAGTTTTAAAAATATGTAACTTGCTATTACTTTCATTCTAAATATGTCAAATAAATAAGAAAAAAGTTTTCTCAAGATTTGTGAGAGGATGTCTGTGATGGAATTTATTATTATTATTATTTTTAGGAAGGAAAGGTGTGATTTGAAAATTTCAACAAGTTAAGAAAATCTATGGCAATTTGAAGAAAATCAACTCAATATTTTAATTTAATGAGTGCAAAATAGTTTTGAATAAGCCCAATTGACAAAGACATATTTTACCAATTAGTACATGTATTACAGGTAGAAATGACTATTCAGCGTAGTTTTGAAGGTGGCCTGAAGCAAATGTTGAGACCACAGTTGAATAGAGAGCAATTGTGGTGTATAGTTGGAATGCTTACATAATTGAGCTTGATTATAATCATCCCTCTAATCACATTTTAAACTTTTCCTAATGAATAGATGAGGATATTAGAAAAATAAAGAATGAAAAAGCAGTCTATTTAAAAATATTTTTAAAATTATTTATAGCCCTCACATTAATGCTTTCTAGTTTAATATTGTGACTCCTTTCCACTCTTAATTCAGGCATCTATTAATATTTTACATTGAGAAATTAATTCATTACAAATAATATTTTGCAGCTGCCTTGTCTAACTCTACCAATTCAAGTGCAATACACTTGCTTTTAGAAGGGATCATGTTATAGAAGTATAAAGAATATGGAAGTAGAGAGTCTAAGAATTAAATACCATCTGCTAAACCTTCTAGGGGCAAGATGCTCGGTGAATTTGTTATTATTTATGAACTGATTATTGTAACAATCTGAATTTCCTTTACATGAAATTGAGGTATTGCTATTATTGTGTGTGATAAGACTTGAATGGTTAAACACATGTAAAAATTCTAGTACATAGAAATGTTTGTTATCTTTGAATTTTTCTTCTGACACAAAACGCTAAAGAATAAATAATCAATCATAGAGGATGAAGTTACATGGGGTAGACCATATGGTGTGGCCCTAAAACCCTTTGATTAGACCTCTGAAGGATAAGGGCAGTGGTCCCCAACCTTTCTGGCACTGGGGACCAGTTTCATGGAAGACAATTTTTCCACAGAATGGTGGGAGTGGTAGTTGGGATGAAACTGTTGCATCTCAGAGCATCAGGCATTAGTTAGATTTCATAAGGAGTATGCAACCTAGATCTCTTAAATCTAATGCCACCACTGATCTGCCAGGAGATGGAGCTCAGGTGGTAATGATCACTGGCCTGCCACTCACCTCCTGCTGTGCAGACCCATTCCTAACAGGCTGCAGACTGGTACCAGTCTGTGGCCCAGGGGTTGGGGACCCTTGATTTAGGGTGTTGCCTAATAAACTTACACAAACATGTTTTCAAATTCTGAAGAGTCTTCTAAAAGCCTGAAGCTTGGCTTTTCTCTTTCCTCCATCCTTGCAATTTTAGATGTTTATACCCTTTTTTTTTCAGAATATTTAATTTGTTTTTTATGTAAATATTGAAAGGCTTAAAGTTTACCATTTTGCTATATATTTTCTATTTCTTCCTATCTATTCCTTGCTTCCTTGTCCCCCCTTTCATGCCTTCTTTTGGGTTAATTGAATGCTTTTTACCATTACATGTTATTCTTACTATTGAAATTTGTGTTATACAATTAAGTAGTTGCTCTATACGAGTTTACATTATGCACTTTTAACTTACAATAGTATGGTGCCAATCATTAAACAATTTTACAAACAATATAAGAAAATTACTTTAAAATTAAAGATCGAATTTAAAGTGAAAATGAAAAAGATATATCATGTTTATGCTTTTCATAGTTACTTGGAGTTCTTATCTACTGACTCCAGTATGTGGGTTCTCTGTTGAACTGCTTCTGCCGCCTGTGATTCTCTTGATTATAGGTCACATATTTCTGCTTATTTTTATGTTTCACATTTTGTTTAGTTTGTTTTTTGTTTTGTTTTTGAGATGGAGTCTCGCTCTGTTACCCAGGCTGGAGTGCAGTGGCGCGATCTCTGCTCACTGCAACCTCCGCCTCCCGGGTTCAAGTGATTCTCCTGCCTCAGCCTCCTGAGTAGCTGGGACTACAGGCGCCTGCCTTTGCGCCCGGCTAATTTTTGTATTTTTAGTAGAAATGGGGTTTCACCATCTTGGCCAGGCTGGTCTGGAACTCCTGACCTCATGATCCACCTGCCTCGGCCTCCCAAAATGCTGGGATTACAGGCGTGAGCCACTGCGCCCGGCCTATGTTTCATATTTTAAAACTATATTCTGAACATGAGGGGTAAAGGAATAGTAGAGTGTGAAATAACCCTTTTTCAGTAAACTACCATACAGATCGGAGGCATTCTTTTCTCTCATTGAAATGGGTCTAGGGTCTGTTGCAGCAAAGTTGGTTGCTAGTGTTTTTCAGTAGCAACAAGTAGGTAGAAAAGTCAGTAAAAATAAAGGTGTTCTTTACTTTTTGACCTACTTCTTATATCAATTACCAGTAGTAAATTGTTGAAGCCTCTAATTGTGGACTTTTTCACTCTACTTTTAATTCTGTCAGTTTTTTCTTTGGCTATTTTAGGATTCTGTTGTTAAGAACACATACATTTGTAATTTTTATATCTAGCTGATACACTGACCCTTTAACATTATAAAGTAGTGCTATTTGATGCTAATGGTATGTCTCCTCTTAAGTCTATTTTGTCTGAAATCAATATAGCTGCTATAGCTGTTTTTTAAATTCAGGCTAGAGTGCAGTGGTGCAATCTCAGCTCACTGCAAATTCCACTTTCTGGGCTCAAGCCATCCTTCCACCTCAGCCTACCAAGTGCCTGGAACTACAGGCACGCACCACACTGCCCAGCTAATTTTTTTGTTTTGTTTTGTTTCGTTTAGTAGAGAATAGGTTTTTGGCATATTGCCCAGACTGTCTACTACTCCTGAACTCAAGTGATCTGCCCACTTCAGCCTACTGAAGTGCTGAGATTACAGGTGTGAGCCATCTCACCTGACTTGCTTTTGTATCTAGTAGTTCTTATATGTTTGATATTTTTCTCCCATTCTTTTACTTTTAACTATCTGTCTTTGAATTTGTATGTCTCCTTTATTTTTAAATTTAATTTTTTCTTTGACACCCAAAAGTTTTATATAGTTAATATATACAAATTGATAATGTTTGGAGGTAAGTAAACACTTGTAAAACTATCACAATAGATTCCCTAAACCTATACATCAAAAAGTTCCCCCCACTCTTTTATTATTATTATTTGTGTGTGTGTGATAGGAACACAAGATATACCCTCAGACAAATTTTAAGTATGCAATACAGTGTTGGTAGTATTTTAGTGTTAGTGGTAGCCTACCATACAGGCACTAGGCTATACAGTGAATTCCTAGGACTTATTTATCTTGTATAATAGACACTTACTACCTTTGGAATAGTGTCACATAATTTCATTTTTACGCTTCTGGAAAATTCCACTCTTTGCTTATATGAGTTTGACTATTGCAGGTTGATTATGTATGTGATATTATATAATAGCATTCTCCTTTTGTTTTTGGCTTATTTCACTTGGTATGATGTCCTTTAAGTTCATCAGTGTTGTCACAAATGGCAGGATTTCCTTCTTTTCAAAGTCTGAATACTATTCTATTTTTTTTATTTTTTGAGACACTCTCATTCTGTCACTCAGGCTGGAGTACAGTGGCATGATCTCGGCTTACTGCAACCTCCATCTCCCGGGTTCAAGAGATTCTCATGCCTCAGCCTCCTGAGTAGCTGGGATTACAGGTGTGCACCAAAACATTGGGCTAATTTTTGTATTTTTAGTAGAGAGGGGGTTCACCCTGTTGGCCAGGCTGGTCTCAAACTCCTGACCTCAAGTTATCCACCTGCCTCGGCCTCCCAAAATGTTGGGATTATGGGCATAAGCCACTGTGCCTGGCCAAAAGGCTGAATAATATTCTCTGGTATTCAGTTATATCTCACATTTTGATTTAGTCTGACAAACTCTATCTATTGATTATTTAGTCTATTAACATTTATTGTAATTATTGATATTGTTGGTTTTTATAGCTGCCATTTTCCTTTTTGTTTTCTACATGTTTCACATCTATTTTCTTGATCTGTGTTCCTTTAGTGCTATTTCTTTGTTAATGTATTTTAGTGAACTATTTGAATTTATTTGTGGACTTTTTAACGGCATAATATTTAGTTCTTTATTTAGTGGTTGATTATGGAATTATTATATACTTTTTAATTTATGCCAATCTACTTTGGGTTAATATTGACTTAATTCCAGCAAAATATAGCGGCTCTGTCCCATTATAACTTCACTTCCACTCACTTCTTTACATTGTTATCTTCATACATATTCTCTCTCTCTCACCTATAATAAAACTTAAAATGTTTTATTGTAATTATACAGTGCAATTTTAATTTTTGAATAAATTAGAGGAAAATATAGCATATGTTTCTTAACATTTATATTTACTAAAATAATTATTATTTCTGCCGCTCTTTATTTCTTTGATGGATTTGAGCTAGTCTCAGGAGCTATTTTATATATTTTGCATAAAATAAGACTTTGATTTTGTCCTTCCATAGGGTGGTACCCTAGCAATGAGTTATTGTTTTTGTTTATCTGTAAATGCCTTATCTCACTTTCATTTTTGATGAGCATAGTATTCTTGGTTGATGTGTTTATTTGTTTTTATCTTTTCCTTTCAGGATTTTCAACATGATATTCCACTGTCTACGACCTACAATGTTTCTAAAGAGAAGAAAGTGGTTAATTGCACCGCTTCCATGTTCTCATAATTCTATTTTTCCCCTTTTCTGTTTTCAAAATTTGTCTTTGTTTTTGGATGTCAGAAGCTCATGATGTGTCTAGGTGTAGTTCTTTTACTATATTCTATTTTTTTTCACCTCTTTGGATCTAAGTATTAAAGTTTCTCATCAAATCTGAGAAGCTTTTAGTTGTTATTTCTTAAATACAGTTATTATTCCTTTTTATCTTTCCTTCCATCTGATGCTTTATTTACATGTATCTGGGAATTCTTTATATTGTCCTATAGGTCTCTCATGCTCTGTTCATTTTTCTTCAATTTTTCCTGTTATTTAAATTAGATAAGTTTTATTATACTACGTGTAAGTTCGCTGTTCTTCCTTCTGCTATTTTAACTCTCTTATAGACAACAGATTTAATTTTAGAATTTTTTAAAAATTATAGTTTCATAATTTTTAGTTCTAGAATGTTCATGTGATTCTTTTAAAAATTTATATTTCTCTATGGATATTTCCTATTTATTGAAATATTTTATTCAAATGTTTCTTACATCTTTAATTATAATGTTATTTAATTCCTTGGGTATGCTAATAACTATTTTGTAGGGTTTTTTTGCTGCTAAATTCAATATCTGGTCCTATTTAGAGTGAACTTATATACACTTACTTTTTATTGAATATGAGCCACTCTTTTGTACATATTTACATATCCCCTAATTTTTATTAGAATTTGTGAATCATAGAATATGTAGTTAGTAACTCCAGATTCTAATGTTGCCCCATGTTGCTTTTTACTTTATTTATTTTTCATGTTTTGCCTGAATTAAAACTTTGGGATTTGTCCTTCCATGATGTGTAGCTACTGATTTCTTTGCCCTTTTCTGTTACTGTTTTTAAAATTTGTTTTTCATTTTTATCCCAGCTTCCTAGGGATGTCTCTATCTCTATATATCTTACTGAGCAGTCAGTGATTAGAAATGAGTCTCTGCTCCATCAGCTCAAGTCTGTAAAGCTTCCACCCTCTGTCAATTAATCTGTCAGTAGGGTGAGAAGGGCATTAAGTGTACAGCCAGTTTTCCAAGCTGGCTCGGCTGTAACTGTCTGGCTTTGTTTCTCCTCTATGCAGATGCATGCTTCACCAGTTGGCCAGACATATGTAGAGAGCTTATCTAACTAAAATCTCTAATTTTTATAATCTTTCAATATGTTTCTGGGTTGTGTGCTATTTAAGTCAACCAGGACCTCAAACTCAGGCTAGAGTTGCAAGTGTTTACTATAGTTTGCTACAATTTAATTTGTTGTTTTTTGTTTGTTTATTTGTTTGTTTGTTTTACTTTTCCTACCAATTATGTTAAGGAAAATTTTTACCTTTGTTTTAAGTTAGCTTAGCCACCCATCTCTGTCCAAAAACTTGCTCATATCCATGGCCATCTCCACTTGGAAAAACTACCTTTCCTGTCTACTTAACTAGAAATTAGGTGGATGGAAGCAGGCCTAAGCAAGAAGGCTAAACATACCCGCAGTACTTAACCAAAGATTCAGACAGTTTTCATGCATAAATGCTTCTCAACTTGTTTTTGTCTAGAGTATTAAAATAAATTTTTTTGCCAATTTTTTACTAGCTCTGGGGAAGATGATTTGTAGATGTCTTTACATCCTCAGAGATGAATCCTCTTATTGTTTTTGCAAACATTTACTTATTATTTTTGTGCACCATATACCAGTATCATAGGGATATATCCCTATGACCATGTATTGCTCTTTCACAAGTTGCTATTTTAAAATAATCTCAGAAATATAAGATAGAGTGATTTACTTGGAATAAGTAGATTTTACATGGCAATGAAAACATCTGGATATCACTACTCCTTGAACAGAGTTAACATTTGTATTTTTAAGAGAGAAAATATATCAAATATATAAAATAAATTATGATTAAAATTTTTACTCTTCCACAGATTTTTCAAGATGATATTAATAAGCATTCTTCATGTTGATAGCTTATAAATAAATAAATACTCAGAGTGATAAAACTAAATTTTCTAGGACCTAAAAATAATTAAATGAGCCATTATGAGTTTCCATGATTTTTCTTTTCTTTCTTTGTTTTTTAAGATGGAGTTTCGCTTTTTCACCCAGGCTGGAATGAAATTGTGCAATCTCGGCTCACTGCAACCTTCGTCCCACTGGGTTCAGTGATTCTCCTGCCTCAGCCTCCCGAGTAGCTGTGATTATAGGTGCACGCCACCAAGCCTGGCTAATTTTTGTATTTTCAATAGTGACAGAGCTTCGCCATGTTGGCCAGGCTGGTTTCAAACTCCTGACCTCAGGTGATCCACCCGCCCCAGCCTCCCAAAGTACTAGGATTACAGGTGCGAGCCACTGTGCCCGGCTGCGTTGCCCTGATTTCTAAGTTCCCTTTCATATATGTTCTTCATGGAAATGTTACTAAAATTAGATTTATAAGCAGTACATTAACAAAATATTAGCATATGATAGAGTTCTCTCATAATGTAAATTTTTGTTTTACCTTTATTGTTTAATTGATGTTAGCTTTGGTTATTTATTGAAGTAGTTCTTTAAATCAAGAAACGTTTGAAATTTGAATCAAAACAAATTAATTTCAGGTTGAAGTTAATATCTGTAGCAAAGCGCTATTCCTTATGTCTGTGTGTACAGCAATTTGTCACTAATAAATCTATTTTTATATTTTCAGAATTAGTTAACACATTCATGTTTTGATACAATATTATATATACCTTTTTATAATTAGATAAGTTTAATAAATATGCCTGTTCATATCATGAAGAATGAAGATATACACTATTCAATATACTTTATGTAAGTCTTATTGATATGTGTGCCCAAACCTGATTCATACCACATATACCATGTCTGACTCTAGGGTGAATAGAATTACTTAAGTGCCACTTTAAAAGCAAGAAAAATCTGGTAACCGTCATGTGAATCGAGTCACCATTCAATTGTATGGAAACTTTAGCATTTATGTTGTTGAGTAGAACTATCTAAATTGTGGCCTGGCAACTCCTGAAAAACAGATTTCAGAGGGACAAAAATGTGTTTCTTTATATACAAAGATATCTAAACTGTTTTGCTATAGTATCAGTAAAAAATAAAAAAAAATCCAATAAAGTATGCCAGAAGTTACTTTGTGTGTCAAATAATTTGTGAAATATTTTGTCAATTGTTACAATTGAAACTTCCCTGGCATTAGGAATGGTGAAGGAAGGATTCTTTGCTTGTTTTGTATAAATTCATACTGCGATGATTAGAAAAAGAATGTGTAATGAGAAGAACACTGCTTCTAGCTTTTAATTTTTAAATGAGGTTTACACCTAGAACTTCATTATACATTTTAAATATAGCACTACGATTGCTTGAATTCATAACTATTCAGAATTCCAACTAATGAAAAATGATTTTACATTAGTTTTGAATTAAGGATATATCAGTTATCTCAAAACATCCTACACAGTTTGTGTCTGTTATGTAAATAAAAAAAAGTATAAAACATACTGAGATTTTTCTACTCAACCTTTATAAAGAATTTGAGAAAATAAAAACTCTTTTTAGTCAATTATCTTACTGATGAAGTCTTGGATATAAATTAGTACCTACCAATTAAATGTACTTACAGAGATTTGAAAAGTGGAATTGAGGTGGGGTGGTGATCAGTCTGGGACTGCTGGTAGTTATAACGGTCTAGCAAGCTCATGAATTTCTTCTAGCAGTTTCTAATGCTCATTCTGTATGAAGTTCCTGTCTTGGATTTGATGAAACAGTGGCTGTAGAGGCAGCCTGTTCATACGGGTCATGAAGCTGAGGATTCTGTCTTTAGGTGAACATTCTTCAGCCTATTAGTGTTCAGAGGCTGCAATGGCAAAGTCTGAAAGATAGCTCCATGTATTTCTAAGAATAATTCTAAGATGCCTGACTTAAAACATGCTTTTCTAACATTGTACAATTTTTATGAACTCCATGCTTCCTATATTCAATTTATTTTTGGACAGAGTCACCTAGCACAATTTTTTGTTTCCTCTATTGAATTCAGATTTACAATATCTATTTGTGAGTTATTGATTTAGCTATTTATTAATAAAAATGCAAATGTAAAAATAAACTATTTTTAGAGTTAGCCACTTAAAGATAATATTGATATAAAAAACATTATTTTTTTCTCTAACGAAACAGCTTCAATTAAACTTTTATGTAAGGATGTTTTAGTAGCCATTATTTCCTAGTGAAAATGTTTCATATTGCCAACATAGGCACCTTTATATAATTACTATCAGGAAGAACTCTTTACAATTGAAAAACTGCAGAAAGATAAAGTTTTGAATTGCACTTACAATGCCTTCAGAGAAGAATACAACAAATTTATGTTGACCATGTACTGCTACTACTAATATCATGATGCTGAGGAAAAATTATTTTATAATCCTAATTCTGAATGTCAAGTAATTTAATATTGATTTATTTGTTACTTCATAATTATACATTATTCATTTTTAAATAAGTATAGAGTATTGATAATATATTGACTTTGAAAATTATATTTAGGAAGGATATGAGCTATAAAAGAAAAAATATGGAATATTTTATTTTCTTTAGCTTTATTATTTTGAAATGTGAAATTTTGTTTTCGAGTATCATTCTGTGCTCAAGTCTACACACTTTTAAGTGAATTCAAGTTTTACTCTCTGTTCACATAGCAGGCATCCTAGAAATAACTGTTTAAGGGCATTTAATTCTTCTCAGTGCTCTCCTTAACAGGAATACAAAAAGGATATTCAGAAGATTGCTAAAATGTAGTATTTTATATTTCTCAATATACACCTTAGTGCCCAGTAGCATTATTATTATAATTATTATTATATTTTGGATGACTTCCAGGATTTTTTTCATCTTCCATCTCAAAAAATGTAATACTAGAATTCTAGGTTTGAATTTCTTTACGAATTACATCTACTGTTTGATTTCTGTAGGCCTTTCCAAATTCCATACCAATGAAAAATGCTAGAAGATTATTCTATAAGTCTCCTTCTACTTTTTCAAGTCAATATATACCAATAAAATTGGACATTAGAATGTACATATTAAAGAAAGGGCACAAAGCATGGCCATGTGAAATAGGGGGTATAATTAGTGATTGAAATATATCTTAGATTTTCTTTACATCAGTAAGGTGACTATGCCTGGTATCTCTAATACTCTAATGTCAAATTGCTTTAAAAAATACAACTTCCTGTTAGAAAGTTAATTGGCATATTGTGTTTTCTTACAAATCCTTAATACTAGACAAGTGAGTAATATATTTGTAAAATTTCTGGCAGTGTATTTAGGTTAACCAATTATATTTACCTTTAATGTTAAGCCAAATTAAATAAAATTCTAGTATTTCACAATTGCTGGCTTATAATGTAGTATTCCTATTGTTAATTATGTGAAGTACAACGTTTAACACTTTACAACCCTAGCCTATTTTTATTTCATTGGTCTTTACGTTTATATAGGTATGGGCAGATGTATGGATGCATATAACAGATATTTTCTGTACTAGCTGAAATATGAGGGCAGAATTTTGATTATATTTACAATAATGTATAGTTTATCATAGTGTCATTCCATAAATAAATGATGAATGAATAAATAATACATATTTGCATCTCCTATATGCAAGATTTCATACTAAATCCTGTGGATTTGACATTAGCAAAATAGAGAATCCCTGATGCCACAAAAGTTGAAACAACTAAGAGTAGAGACCATATTAAATTAATAATCTTCAATTTGTAACATTCTAATAAATTGGAAAGTATAAAATAATGTTTAACAATCATGATTCTGGGAAAGTAGAATAAAGTAGACAAGTATACCCTTCTGCCTAAATTAATAAACCAACCAAAATCCTAAGATTATTTAATCAATATACTGAACAGGCAGTGACTGAGAATCATTCCTGGGATGAGAAACAAGTTGAGTCCTATTATTAACCAAGCATATAGCCTTGAGAGTTTCTAGAGTAGGAGAGGATGTGAAACTGCCAGGGTTGAGGAGAGTAAGGCTGAAAGATTGAGGATGAAAATTTCCTAGGGTTCACAGAACGAATACTAGAAAGGAGAGAGCTGTGTAAAAAGAAAAATCCCAAGAGCTGTGTAGAATCCTCCAGAAGTATTCAGCAGAGGACTGATTGGTGTATTCATGTGGAAAATGCCTCATATGAGGGAAGAAGTACGCAGTCTCACACAGGGCATGGGATAGAACCTGCTCCCACCAACCAGACAAGACTATCTCAGAATTTATAGGACATTGGATATAGTACTCAAAGGGCATTCCTTCAGTAGTGGGGAGTAGTTAGCCCGAACCTGAATGCCGCACTAGTCCAACTTAAAATATCTTGTAAGCAAGATTTAAAAGGATCGAACTTGTTCTAATGACTTAGTTGCATCCCAGGAAAGAGCACAAACAAAGCTATTCAATATCAAAAAAATCAAAATTCACAATGTCTAGCATCTAATCGAGGATTATCAGGCATAAAAATATCAGCAAAATACAATTTATTATGAGTTAAAAAATTAACCAAAATTAAACCACAGCCTACACAGATGTTCAATTAACCAGAATAGGACATGAAAACCCTTATCATAGTAGTATTTCTAATGTTTGAAAAGAAAACTATTGTATGCAATATATAAAACAGAGTCATAATAAAATTCTACAAAGGAAAGATAAAATATTTGTGATTAATGATACAATGTTGGAATTAATGGCAGAATCAATATCGTAGACAGAAAAGATAAGTGAACTTTTAGGCATTGCAATGAAAAAAATATAAAGAGAAAATATAACTTAAGAATATTATTTAACTGTAAGAAATCTTGAGGAAGCATATATGTAAATAGAGTCCATGAAGAAAAGACTAGAGGAGTAGTGGCAGAGAAATATTTTCAGAAATAATGGTCAAATGTCTTTCTAATTTGATGAAAGTTATAACCACAGAGAGTCAAGAAGTTTAACACTTCCCATGCACAATAAGCATGAAGAAAATTAAACTGAGTGGTATCATATTAAGTTGCTCTACTAAGGAGAAAATCTTTAAAGTGACCAGAGAGGAAAGACATGTTTTTTACAGAAAAAAAAGATGAGAATGTCTGTAGATTCTTCATTGGAAAGAATTCAAGAGAGTGGAGGAATATTTTTTAAGATAAAGAAAAAAATTACTAAACTAGAATTTTATATCCAAAAGAAAACAACAATTATGTAAAAAACTTGCAAACACACAAAAAATCCTGTCAGCTGGGAATTTCATATCCAACAAAAAAATCATTCAAATTTGAAGGGGCAATAAAAAATTACACAATTGAAAGAATTCATCTCCAACAGACCACATTATAAGAAATGTTATAGGCCGTCCTTCTGGCAGAATGAAAAAACATGATAAAAAGATGAATTTACATAGCATTGGAAAAAGTAACAGGGTTAAAGACAAAATATTTCCTTCCTACCTAAATACTTTAAAATAATACATGGCTGTGTAAACACAATAATAACAATGTATTGTCAGGTCTATAACATATGTATAAGTAAATTATATGACCATCATGGCATAAATTATAAGAGGAAAGATATAAAAGTAAATATTTTTAAATTCTTATGCTATATGTGAAATGTTGTAATGTCACTTGAAGGTAGACTATTTACTGGTTGTCCATGTCCCCAAGCAATATGTGGCATAAACACTGCAAAGTATGTGACAAATGCTTTCTTTCCTCCTATCATTGGGGATGATTATTGAACAGAACATAGAATATGAATGTCCAGAAATAAGACTGTGAGACCATCCTCTTAAGTTAATTGAAATCATTTGAACATCTAATATGTTACATCACTATGATTAATCAAATTTGTTAAAGCATACATCCCTATAACAACAGAATTGAATAATTTAAGAATCGTATCATGTTCTTGAGTAGCTCTATAAAGTTTTGGCTGTAGTTGAGATGCATTGGTATCATAGAAAAGCATACTGATAGTTGAAAATTCTGTTTTCAATTACACCGATGATATGCCTCAAGCTGTTCTGTAATTGCGTGATTTAAGAATTGTTTTTCACTGATGTGACCAAATTTTTCCAAAGTAATGCTTAATAGAAAGCTGAAAACTGTTGCAGCCCTGCAATAAGATAGTTTACAAGTAATTATCAGAATGAGCCACCCTTCCAAAGGCAGGAGCAACATTGATTTTTACTTCCTTTAAGGATTTAACTTTTTGTTTCTTTTAACTTATCTGAAAACCTTCAAAAATGAAATTATGTTGACTGAACATTTCATCATGAACATGTAAGGTAGTGACATATGGGAAAGATGATTCCCTTACTTCTTTCAAAATATATTTGAAAAATAAGGAGCTGAAGATAAATAATTTGTAATAAACTTTGTTAAGATGTCAAACTTTGTTGGCCTCTTAAACTGTGTCAAGATGCCAACTCTATTTTAGGGTGAAATTGCTTTGTATTATTTTTTAAATTATAGATAAATAGTATATAGACAGATCAATGTCAAAATTAAGATCCAGCTATATGCCTCAGCTTTAACCCATTCTTAATGTTTAATTAATTTTATCGCTAGTTCCAAATAAATGATAAAACCAGGAAACCCACTTCATAGAATCAAAATAAGTTTTTTTCATTGATTGCCTCTAATTTTATTTCATAAATTTACTTCTTATGGTATAATTTTTTTTATGACGAAAGTGTGTCTAGACATAGATGAGGTGTAAGCTAAGTCTGAAAATCATGATAAAAGAGACTATTTTATTCTAATTATTATGTTTAAGATTACATTTAACATTTTCTATAAATGACATGAAATATGTTTTTATTTTGTGTTTTACTCAAAGCAGTAATTTATATTCTATGTATCTGTCTGTCTATCATTAGGCAATAAACAAATACTAAGGCAATTATCTTTCTGGGGGTCCTTGGTACTGTCTCTTTGAAGAAGGCTCTTCTTTAGGCCAACAAACTTGTATCACACAGACCTATATACCAGGCATTAAGTTAGCTATTAGGAATACTGACAATAATTTCAAAGTCATTCATCTAAAGAAATTTGCAGCAAATGTTTTGTGGTAATAATAAAAAAAAACTAACACAATTTTTGTCAGTAATCCTTTTCTAATTCACTTATGGGCCAGTGTTGGTAGCTCTATGGAAGAAATAGTTGTATAAGTAGTACTTATATAATCTCATCATTGTAGCTCTATGGAAGAAATAGTGGTAAGAATAGTACTTATATAGTCTCATAATTGTAATTAAATGTACAGATGATTTAATTGTAGTAATACACTCTTTCTTTTGATTTAGTATTTATGAATGACTTTACTATTTCCTAGCTCTGTGAACTTGTTTATTTTACTTACACTTTCTGGTTTCAATTTCCTTTCCTGAGAAACAAGGATAACAATAACTTATCACAGAATAGTTATGAAAATAAAATAATGTAAATCAGCTTAGAATAATGCCTGATGCATATATCACTAAATGCCAGATATTATTTTTATTTATCATGAAATACTAAGTAAACTATCACTTTTAATTTTTAAAAAATCAAATGTATAGGAAAATAGTAATAGCTATTGAATATTAAAATTGCATTTATATTTATAAAACAAACAAAAAATGAGCACTGTAAATACTCAAACGCCTCTTTCATAGGTTTGCCCCCATACAAAAGCATTTTCTTCTCCTCATCAAAATATCCTTCTGAAATTCTATAACACTACATATCATAAAATTTACTTGGTAATTATCTAATAATTTTATTGTCATCATACCTTTTTTTTCTATGTTCTATTTTTCCTTTTTATGGCAATTCTGCTTTCCCAACTGGATTTTAAGATATTCGGAAGCAAGTAATAGGTCTTATTCTTTTCTATCCTCCTAATATAAATACATTATTAACTACTTAAACATTTCTTGACTTCATTTTTTATAATTTCAAACTGTGAAAAACTGCATGAAAGAGCTGATCTACTATAATGAAAACACAAGAGTCTCATGGAAGATATTAATCCTTGGATTCTATTTGAAAAACAATGAAAAAATAATGCTGGTTCAACGTATGGTTTATCTCATTTTTTTTTCCACAGTGGCTTATGACAGAGTTGCTATTTTCCTTAATTTACTTGTGAAGAGCTTGAGGCTCATAGAGGTGAAGTATTTTGCTCAACATTGCATAGCTAGACAGAGTAAGAGTGCAGGACCAAAAGAAAAAAAAAAGTTTATCTGACTTTAAAGCTTAAAATGTCCGTTAAAAAAAATCTCTAACACTATGTAACTTACACATCTCCATTTTCTTAAGCCTTTCATTTTTTATTTCAATAAATATTCTGGGATATACATACCAATACTCATATTCAAATTTTATAGAAAGTAGCAATGAAACATTTATGCTGTGTCTCTATTTTATAATAAAACAGACCTTCATCTACTCTAGCTGGAGAGAAATGCCTATGTTAAATATTTTTATAATTTTATCAAGAAGACACTGATGCGAACAAACAAGCGACAAGCTTGTTTCTGAAATTCCGCTAGGAAAGGCTTTCAACAATAGGAGATCAGTCAAGTTTATCATTTCATTGTTTTCCATACATCTTCCTTACATTCTATTTCTGATCAAAGGGTCATGTCTCCATCATATGGCTTAAAATTAACCGTGTGAAACCAAGCTCAAGTACTAAAAGTTAAATGTAAAATAAAAAATAAGACATGTATGGAAGAATAAGTTGAAGAATAAACTTCACTTTCATGTACAGAATCTTGTTATCTTCCGCCAGATGAACTGGTGTTAAAACATTTGCCATTTAGCGGAAGGTGTTGCTAATGAAATAATGAAGATAGAAACTCAATAATTTCCCACAGATTTTGTTCTCTCTGACTGTTCTCTAAATTTGAAATGGTTTGGAGCTCTGTATCTTCAACTACATGATGCTCATAAATATTATTTGCATATTTCCAATACATCCCTTAGAACATATCGAATCATATTATGTATTATGAAATCTCATTCTTAAATTACTGAACAATGAAGACTTCTCCAGGCTTAAATAAAGCTGCCACGCCTATATTCTATCTTCTCATCCTGCCATCGCCCCTCAGACAAAGCTGCTTTATTTTCCCCAACTACATCACATTCCTTCATTCTTCTATGCTTTTATATATAGCTTTACTTTCAAAATTTAAATGTCCTCTTTTCTCACTTCCCTTTTCTTTCTAGCAAGATATTTATCCCTCAAGATTAATTTTATATGCTGTAATAGTTATGACTTTATAAACACTCATAGGATTATACCTCTGCCATAACTTTTGACTTATTTTGATGTGGATATTACTAGGTTGGTGAAAAAGTAATTGCGGTTTTTGCAATTACTTAAAAAATGGCAAAAACCACAATTACTTTTGCATAAACGTAATAGCTATGCCTTTTTTTTTCTATTTTTGCCTTTTTCTTTGCCTAGCATCCTGTTTTTCTAATGTGTACCAGTTGCTTTTCCATCCTGACTGGTTGTCTTGGGCCTATCACCATCAATATCCTGTCTTTTTCCCCTTTGTTGAGTCATGTACGTTATTTTCCACTATGGAAAATCATACTCTGTGTAACCTGCAGTGACTGGGACTCTGGAATGTGGTAGCAACAGGATCAATCAGAGACTTCCCTAATATCGATGTAGGACTGCTGGGAAAGAATTAGCTGAACTAGAAGTAATGTTATTCTGGGGCTGTCAGTTGTCTGGCCTTCTGGCTGGTGAGAATCTACAGGAAAACAAAGCCCGGTGAGGTGAAGAGGAGCCTTCATGCCGCTGTTACACTGATAGATCTAGTGTAACAATCTGGAATCCAAATCCACCTCTGGACTTTACAGGTTTGTAAAATACCCCGTTTCCTTTTTGACAAGGTTAACCATAGTTGAATTTCATTAATTTTTACAACCAGTTGTGTCCTGATGAACAGAAATTATTAACAGGAGGGTATTTAAATACGTAGTTAGGGAACAAAAAGTAGCAACAACCATTCTGTCCCTGACATGCAAATTTTCAAATGATTAGAAACTAAAAGTTTGAAAGGTTGTACCTTACTTTGTTTTCCAGGTACTTTACTTTGTTTTCTAGGTAACACACCCAATTGTGTGCCTTTAGGGTATTTGATAGAGAAAAGTGAAGGACAGGTGTATTTGTGTTTCATTATGCAGCATTCAATAGTTTCTGAATGAAGGGGACACACTTTGGCTCAGGCTGGCTCTTCTAACGGTTCTTCATATCTTTATTCAGAGACTTCCTTTTATCTGTTCCAGCTCTCCTAGGTTGGGCTGAAGATCAGACAATCGAATACCCTGTGGGATATACAGCAGTCGTGATGTTTGCCTCAGGTAGTTAGAAATATTTTCCATGCATTTCTGGGTAATGAAGATCCACATGAAAACCAAGGCACAGGTGTATGGAGAATGATACATTTCACCATTTCACACAGAGCTCTTGCACTTGACACACTGGAAGCAGTAACTGATCAAAATGAAATTCGTTTTTTTTTTTTTTCCAGATGATAGTGATTTTGATAGTTCCATGATGTAAAGACAAATTAATTTGGTGATGTTGGAGTTTTATGTATGGAAACATGAGTCTATTTACATTTACTTATTATGGCAGCAAATACAATGGAAAATTATTATTTTCCTAGTACATCTTTTATATCCAGTAGAGAACATCAGGCCCCCATAAAAAGGGCTATGAGGAGATTAGGAGCTGCTGTTGCCTATTTTTATCCAATTACTGCTGAGTCCCAAATGCCTGTTGGCCCTGAGTGGGGTCCTAGTTATCCTAGTTATCCTAGGACATGTCTCTGAATCTTTGGTCTTGACTACATGTTTTTAACAAAGATTGAAGCAAGGACACTGGTAAAGAAATTGTCTCTTTTTTGGGGGGTGGGAGGAAGGGGAGGAAAGTAAGGGGCAGAGCTGTTAGGGCAGGAGAATGTTTAGCTAGTGGGATTGTGGCTACCCTTTTTCTGCAACTTGGAGAAACCATGTCTATGGAATGATTCCAGGTTGTGAAAAGACACAGAAACCAGAGATGAATAGATGGTTTATGATGGCATGCCTTTTATTCCTGTTTAAAACAAACACCCTCCAGCTGTGTTTTAATATACATTCATACTCGAACCTTCTGATTATTATTTTAAATAAATAAATTTGGAATACTATTAGACTAAAAATCTTCTTTGACTAAAAATCATCTATAGGCTTGGAGATGGAAACATGTGTTGCTAATAATTATATCCCCAGCGACTAGCATTATGTCTGACACTAATCAATGCATGGTAAACTAGTGAACAAATGCAAATGCATAAACTATTATTGAACATGCTTAGGTAGGATCACAAAATTAATAAAATTATTGTTCAGATGAAATTTCTATTTCTCACCTTTCTAAAAATAACACTGCTATTTCCCATAGTTACAATCTTATGTGTCTGATAAGTTTTAGTTTCAAATTGTATGTATGTGTCAAAAGGTATAAGGCACATATATTCTTTTTTTCTGTTATAATTTTAAAAATCCGCTTTATAAAATTATAAGTAAGTACAATGAAAGAAAAGAAGGAAAACAGAGGGATAGAATAAAAGGAATGTTAAAAGTCAAAATGTGGTTTCTTGACTTTATATGAGAAAACATTATTAATCATTATTACTGTTTAGTAGAGTTACCAACATTTTTAGAATAATCAGAAATGGGAAAAGAGAAATTATGGCTCCTTTTTAAAAGTTAATTTTTAAAGACTTGTATTTTAGTGGTTTATATTATTTAATTTTGCTTTCATTGAAAACAATTTTAACCTATAAATTGAGAATAATAATCCTCGTCACCCAAATTAATTTAGAAAAAATTATTGGTGAAACAGGTCACTAACATTTTTAGTAAACATAACTATATGAGTAATTGAAAAGTGTTATATTTTGAAAGATGAAATTCCAATATTGGACTACATAGCATGGTGATTGGAGGGTCTAATATGTCTTAGTTATAATGCAAATGTATTTCATGAAAATATATATGGAATATCACTTTAATGTAACCTTTATTCATTAATTAAAAGCTTATTTTGTGCTAACTCATTTGCATTTAAATGTATTTATTATATATTTCTAGGAGAATAAGATAGGCTTAATAATATTAGTTAATGTGGCTGTAATGCAATTACATTACATATAATATTTTTATTAAAAATTTTTATCTTCAAAGAGTTTTTCTTAGAATTTCTGTACTTAGAAGTATTTTCTTTTGTATGCTAAGAAAATGTCACTGATTCTATTTGTTCAACTTTATGATTTGCTATTAAAATATAAGTGCCATAATTAAAATATACTCACTATTTGAATTACAAATATTGCATGATGCAGTGGTTATAAAACAGAATTTAAGGTCACTTTCTCTATATTCAAATTGTCTCCTCTACTTACTACTTGCCTACTATAAGATAATCTTTGTAAACATCATTTTTCTAAAATACAAAGTAGTAATAAAAATACCTGTTAGAATATACTTGTATGAATAAATGATATTATAAATATAAGACATATGGAAGATGTTTTATTGCTCTGATGTCTACATATAAAAGTTGAAGTAAGATGAATGTCTGTATTTCTTGTTTTTCCTTTTTTTAAAATTTCAGAATGAAGTTACAGGACTTCCACTTCCAGGAAAATGGAGTAGATGTACTTTTCCACATTCCTCCCACGACTTACAACTTGCCATCATGGTTATTACATAAATATAAAATAGGCCAGGCGCGGTGGCTCACACCTGTAATCCCAGCACTTTGGGAGGCCGAGGTGGGCAGATCGCAAGATTAAGAGATCGAGATTATCCTGGCTAACATGGTGAAAACCTGTCTCTACTAAAAATACAAAGATTAGCTGGGCATGGTGGCACACGCCTGTAATCCCAGCTACTCAGGAGGGTGAGGCAGGAGAATCGCTTGAACCCGGGAGACAGAGGTTGCAGTGAGCCGAGATTGCACCACTGCAATCCAGCCTGGCGAAAGAGCGAGACTCCATCTCAAACAAACAAACAAACAAACAAAAAAACTCTCTATATATCTGTATCTGTATCTATCTATCTATCTACATATATATATATATACACACACACACACACACAAAATGCTAAATGTTGTAGAGAAGACAGCCAGCAAGGGAACCAGGTAGCCAAGAATGACACAGTTGTCAGTTCCTTATTTTTTTCTTTGTTTATTTTCTTCATATATCCCAGACTTACAGTCAAAGAAGCTGTCAATCTGGGAATGACAACAGGCACTCCAACTAAATCCTTTTCTCTCTGATCAAACACTAGGTTAAAGGCAACATAGCAAAACAGAAAACTTTTAGTCAATTAGCACTCTACCACACCCAAGCACCTCAGAAAAAGCTGTGCTCCCCCACCTCCTACATGTCAGCAAAGGCTGACTGGTGAGCCTAGATTTCTATCCTTGTAAAATTGTGAAGAACTGCCCCAAGACACTCTCCATAGTAGTAGCAGAGAAGGCCAAAGAGGGAGCCAAAATTTCTATCTGCACAGGTCAGTAATGACACTTCTCTTTCTACTGTTGGATGATGTCAGAGGCAGCCTGGTGGGGAGTCTGGACCTTTACTATTTCAGAATGGCAATGAAGCCACCCCCACAGCAAGATGAGAGTAAACGGCACTGGGGAGCCAGAACTCCCACCTCTACTTGGCAGTGATGAGGAACTCTTTCCCCTTAAGCATCAACAAAGGTTTAATTGGGAAACTATTAATAGATGTCTACCTCCACCACGCATTAATGAGACATTCATTCACCTGTTGCAGACATGAAAAACATAGTTAAACCAAATGGTTTAAATATAATGTAGAATCCCATAACATAACATGAAAATGTCCAGGTTTCAATCAAAGGTTACTTGTAGTACCTCAAATCAGGAGTTATGTTGTGATAAATAATAAGAAATAAATATTTTTATCTTTGACCCCATTTTCTGGCACATGGCTCCTGAAACCAATAGAATCTCCAAAGTGATGTTTTTGTATGCTAGTGAGATGACTGATGGCTGAGGCCTCCTTGATATCCTAAGAATGGGGGTGTGTTGCCTGAAGAATCAACCATTTGATTAGAGGGTTTGAACTTTTTAGTCCCATTTTTGACTCTAGGTACTGGAGAGGGGCTAAAACTTGACCCAATCACCAATGAC
Organism: Homo sapiens; assembly: GCF_000001405.40. Taxonomy (NCBI): domain Eukaryota; kingdom Metazoa; phylum Chordata; class Mammalia; order Primates; family Hominidae; genus Homo; species Homo sapiens. The sequence continues at coordinate 66,362,619 of NC_000018.10, forward strand.
CAATGATTTAATCAATTATTTCCTATGAAATGGCGGCTCTATAGAAAAATAAAAGATTGGGGCGTGGAAAACTTCTGGGCTGCCAAACACATGGAGAGTGGTGTGCCCGGAGAGGACAGAGACGCGCTCCACTCCTTCCCCCCATACTTTGTCTTATGCATCTATTTCTTCTATTTCTGAATTGTATCCCTTTATCATCTGGGTAAGTGTGGAGTGTTTTCCTGGGTTCTGTGAGTCATTTTTAGCAAATGATTGGGCCTGAGGAAGGGGTTGTGGAAAACTTCAATGAATAGCTGATTGGTGAAACACAGGTAACCTGGACTTGTGATTGACCCCTGAAGTGGGGAAGCAGTCTTGTGGGACTGAGCCCTTAATCTGCTACATCTGATGCTACCTCCAAGTACAGAGTGTCAGAATTGAGTTAAATTGTAGGGCAATCAGCTGATGTTTAAAAACTGGTTAATGTGGGCCGGGCACGGTGGCTCAAGCCTGTAATCCCAGCACTTTGGGAAGCCGAGGCGGGCGGATCACGAGGTCAGGAGATCAAGACCATCCTGGCTAACACGGTGAAACCCCGTCTCTACTAAAAATACAAAAAAAATTAGCCAGGCGTGGTGGCGGGCGCCTGTGGTCCCAGCTACTAGGGAGGCTGAGGCAGGAGAATGGAGTGAACCCGGGAGGCAGAGGTTGCAGTGAGCCGAGATCGCGCCACTGCACTCCAGCCTGGGTGACACAGCGAGGCTCCGTCAAAAAAAAAAAAGAAAAGAAAAAAAACTGGTTAGTGTGGAAAATCTCCCCCTACTCCGATACTCCAATAAACATTTTGGTGACCAGAAATGTTCTGTGTTGAGTGAGAGTATGGGAGAAAAACAGTTGCTGGTTTTGTTTTTTGTCTGGTTTTCTATGCACCAAGATGATTTCAAACTTAATGAAAACAATCAAAAGAAGGCAATATGGAGATTATAGAGATATTAGTTGTCAGACAAAAATTTTAAGCAGCCATGATGAACACACTGGAAACAAATACTAGAAAGCCTCAGTGAAAAATAGTCTCAGCAATGAATAGAATATGTCTAGAATAATATAATGGAAATAGGAGATAAAGTGAAAAATACAGTAACCAAAGAAAAGCTTATTGGAGAGGCTCAACTTCAGAATCAATAGGATGCAGGAAAGAATCAGCAAACTTGAAGAAAGAACAATAGAAATTACCCAATCTGAACAACGGGGGAAATAGAGTGAAAACACAGTAAGCAGAGCTTCAGGGTCCTGTGAGACCATTATCAATGTTCTAATAGTTATGCTATTGAAGTTCCAGAAGGAGAGGAGAAAGAGGCTGACAATAAAAATATTTGAAGAAATAGTAGATAAAACTTCTCAATTTGGCAAGAGACATAAACCTGCAGATTTAAGAAGCCGAGCAAATATCAAGGAAGATAAATCCAAAGAAATTCACAGCAACGCACATCACATTTAAACTTTTAAAAACTAAAGCCAAATAAAACAATCTTGAAAGCAGTCAGAAAAAAAAATACCTTATCTATAGTGGAAAAAACAAATTGAATGGCAAAAATCATGAAGTCCATAATAAAATGGTACAATATATCGAAGTGCTGGAAGAAAAGCATTGGTCAACTGGGAACTGTATGTTCAGTAAAGCTGCTTTTTAGGAATGAAAGAGAAATCAAGACAGCCTTAAATGAAGCAAAACTAAGTGAATTTGTCATCAGCAGATCTAAGCTAAAAGTGCAGCTAAAGGAAGTTGTCTCAACAGAAGGAAAAGAAAACAAAAACCTTAGAACACCAGGAAAGAAAAAAATAACATAGTAAGCATAAATGTAGGTAAATAAATAGGCTTTTTTTCTTTTTATCTTGTGACTTGTGAATTTTATTTGATGATTGAATAAAAAATTATAGCCCTGTGTAATAAGGTTTGGAATGCATGTAGGAGCGTATTAAAAACTATTACATAGTAATTAGGAGGGTAAAAAAGAAGTACAATTTCTACCCTTCACTCAAACTGGTGAAATCATTACACTGGTAGACTTCACAGGTTATGCATATAAATGTAATACTTAGAGGTAGCAGTACAAAGACAACAAATAGATATATTCAAAAACACTATAATCAAAATGAAATTATTTTAAAAATTTCAAGCAATCCACCAGAAAGCAAGAGAAGTAAAACAGAGAATGAGAATGAGAAAACAAATAGAAAAATAAAATAAAATTTCAGACGTAAGCCCTAGAATACCAATAATTTTATTAAATAAAAATGGTCTAAATACACATTTAAAAGACAGACCATAGCAGAATAAATTTCAGGATATGGCCTCACTATATGCTGTTTACAAACAAATCACTTCAAATATAGCAATATAGGCAGGTCGAAAGTAAAAAGATGAAATAAGTTATATCATGCAAACAAAGTAAGGCAGTAGTGGTTATATTAATATTAAATAAAGGAGACTTCAGAGAAAATAGAATTACTAGACACAGAGACACAATCTAAGAAGGCAGAACAAATGTAATGTGTATGCAACATACAACAGAACTGCAAAAGTTGAAGCAAAATGATAGAACCAAAAGAACAGATAACCCACAGTTATGTTAGAGATTTCAACAAGCTTCTCTCAATAAGTGACAAAACAAGACAGAAAATCAACAAAAACATAGAAGAATGCAACACCATCAACAACAGAATCCAACCTACATTTATAGCGCATTCTACCCAACGACACAATATACATCCTTTCCAAGTGACTATGGAACGAATACCAAAATGCATCACATCCTCCACAATAAAATAAGCTCAGAACATATAAAATAATTAAAATAAATAAAAGTATTGTATTAATCTGTTCTCGTGCTGCTAAGAAAGACATACCTGACACTGGGCAAAGGAAAGAAGTTTTATTAACTCACAGTTCAGCCTGGATGTGGAGGCCTAAGGAAACTTACAATTATGGTGGAACGGGAAGCAAACACATCCTCCTTCAAATGAAGGCAGGAAGGAGAAGAATGACTGCCCAGTGAAGGGGGAAGCCCCATATAAAACCATCAGCTCTCATGAGAACTAACTCACAATCACGAGAACAGGATGGGGGAAACTGCCCCCATGCTTCAATTATCTCCACCTGATCTCTCACATTACACGTGGGGATTATGGGAACTACAATTCAAGATGAGATTTTGGTGGGGACAGAGCCAAACCATATCAAGTGTGTTCAAAAAAAAAAAAAAAAAAGGAATCAAACTAGAAATCAAGAAATCAATAATTGAAAGATAGGAAAATATCCAAACACATGGAAACTAAACAATATACTTATAAATCATCCATGGGTCTAAGTAGAAGTCCGAAAGGAAATTTAAAAAATACACGGAACTGAATAAAAATTAAAATACAACATGTCAAACTGTGTGAAACAAAGTAAAAACAGTGCTAAGAAAGAAATATTTAACACTAAATGCACACCTTAAAAAAGAAAGAAATGTATCAAATCAAGTTTACAAGATGTAACTTAGATTACATCTAAGTTTATATCTTCATAATGTAAAAACAAAGAGCCAGATAAACCCAAAACAAGCAGCAGCGAAAGATAATAAAGATAAGCAGAAATCACTGGAACTGAAAATAAACAAGTGAAAAGATCAATGAGGAAAAAAGCTTATTTGAAAATATCGACAAAAATAACAACACTCAGGCAAGACTAACAAAGCAAAAAATGTATACAAATTATTAAAGCAGGACTAAAAGAACCAGTGATACTTACTTGATATGATTTGGCTGTTTCCCCACCAAAATCTCATCCTGAATTGTAGCTCTGTTAATCCTTATGTATCATGGGAGGGACGCAGTGGAAGGTAATTGAATCCTGGGGGTGGGTTATTCCCATGCTGTTCTCTTGATAGTGAATACATCTCACAAGATCTAATGGTTTTATAAAGGGGAGGTCCCCTTCACAGGCTCTCTTGCCTGTCACCACATAAGATGTCTCTTTGCTCTTCTTTTGCCTTCCACCATGATTATGAGGCCTCCCAGCCATATGGACTGTGAGCCCATTAAACTTGTTTTCTTTATAAATTACCCAGTCTCAGGTGTGTCTTTATTAACAGAGTGAGAATGGACTAATACACTACCAAACATTTTCAAAATAAGTAACACCAATTCTATATAACCCCTTTTGGAAAATAGAAAATACTTCCTAATTCATTTTATGAAGATTATATTATCCTGATGCTAAACACACGCAAAATTCATACAAAAAAAACCCTGAAAACCTACAGACCAATATCCTTCATGAATAATCCTTATCAAAATATTAGTACAGGAAATTCAGTAATATGTAAAAAGAATTATACACTATGACTTAGTAGGTTTTATTACAGCTATGCAAAATTGGATCAATATTTGAAAATCAGTGTAATCTAAAAGAAGAAAAATCACATGATCTGATTAATTGGTGTACAAAAAAGCATTTGACAAAATTCAGCAACATTTAGGGTGGGGAAAAATATTTGCAAACCACAGAGCTGACAAAGTGTCAATATTTAGGATATATAAAGTCTCAAAACTCAATTCTATAGAAAAATATCCAAATAGAAAATAGAAAAAATACATGTAGACATTTTAACAAATATATACAGATGGTAAAAAGCATATAAAATATATTAAAAGTATTTGCTACTAAGAAAATTTAATTAAAACCAAAATGAAATATTTTTCCACACCCATTAGAATGGCTAATTTTTTTTAGATGTGTCAACCACCATCTTTCTAGACAATTGAGGGAAAACATAAGTAAAAACATTGCATCAAAGGGAAGTTTTTTTGACTATGACAGATACTACTAATAAGACTATAAAGGTGAGAACTGAAATGAAGCATAATTTTCAGAGATGGCAGAAGCACGAGAAAATCTACATATAAATAGACATCCATAGTTTAAACTTGTGTTGTTCAAGAGTCAACTGCACAGTAGAAGACTTATTGCGAGGAATTTGCTTATGTAATTGTAGGAACTCACTAGACAAATCCACAATTCATAGGATAGGCTTGAAGGAAGGGCTGGATGGAACTCACCAACAGGAGCTGAGGCAATAATCCACAGGCAGAATTTCTTCTGGGAAGCCTCAGTTCTACTGGTAAGGCCTTTCAAATGATTTAATCAAGCTCATCTCAATTATGTAAGATAATCTCCCTTACCTAAAGTCAACATTTATTGCAGCTACAAAACCGCAACTTTCACCAAGCCTAAATTAATCCTTGATTGGGTAACTGGAGATGACCTATCCCTAGTCAAGTTGACACCTGAAACTGATCAGTAGAGTGGATATGAAATGCATATAAGAGAAAATAGAAGAAGTTGAAGTGAGCCATCAAGCGAATCAATTCAACAATTCTTACAACAAAGAGGAACAGAGAAATACGTTAGTAGCAGTATCTCTTTATGTCACTGGAAATAATCTACGGGAGAAACAAATTATAATACATGTTTTGGAACATAGAATTGCTACAGCCATATTAAGTATTTGATAGGGGAATGAATCTAGCACATAAATTAAAGACTGACCTCAGACAGGAGGAAGCGTTTACCTTTCATCAGAGGAAACGAGACAGAGTATATGGGTTCAGATGCTGGTCATTAACAGAAGAAGATGGTGTAAATCTGTGTAAGTTCTCCTTTCTTAGGAAAATGGGAAATAAGGACATCAGCTGAGAATGAGAATGGAAGAGTCTATGATGCTAAAACTGTAAATAGTGAGTAGGTGTGCAGTAGTCTACCGGAAAACTGAAGATTAACCTTAAAGAACTCAGAAAATGAAGCTTAAGTGTCTACCTGAGGTTCAAGGTCATGATTTTAAGTAAGACCAGTCTCTGTGGTTGTGTGTTTTCCTCTAGACATGCTTAGCTGAATGTGCTGTGCTGATTAGGCAGACAGTTTAATTTGTTACTAACCTCACAAGTCAAGAAAGAGAGCTCATACTATGCAGAGGAGTTGGCCTCGTGGCTAGACAAGAAATTTATCTTGATTAAAAAGGGAGGTAAGAATATGCACATTAAGAGGTAGGATAAAAGCATTGTAGATATGGAGAAAGTATAGGAATTTCACAGTTTGGATGCTAGAGGGACTAGGTGGAAATAGATGTTATCAGAATGTGGGATACTTGAAAATGAATTGATGTAGCGAATGTTGTTATTAAGAGTTGGTCTAGGAATTACCAGAGGATTAAAAGGTCGACACACAGTGGGTGTCAAGATCATTTAAGGAGTAGAATTGAGTGAAATGAGGAGTCAGGTTATATGTATATTGACATTATAATGAATTAAGACTGGATGCGATCAATAAATATTTCTTAGTTTAATGAAGAAATAAAAGTATGAATGGGTGCTTTCCATATATCAGACAATCAATTAATGATGTTAATTATTTGCCATACTTACTATAATTACAATACAGTAACAGTACTAATTACTAATCACATAAAAATAAGCACAGGCTACAGTGAGATATTTTGAAGATCTAACTTCAAAGATTAGGAAATCCTTCACAGAGAATAATGATATAAAATAATATTCTTATAGTAAGGAAGAGTTTAGGACAGGATGTTGAGAAAATTCCAGTAGACAGCATGTTCAAAGACAACAGCAATGGCTTTGACTTCTGCCTCTTTGAGCGCAGAAACTAGGACAATGGGTTGGTATAAAATAAACAGGGAAAAAAGCGGCATGTGATAGATATTAAAAGAACACTAAAGGGTCCCTTCCATTGGGTCCCTCCCATGATACATGAGGGTTCATGGAGCTACAATTCAGGACGAGATTTTGGTGGGGAAACAGCAAAATCTTATCAAGTAAGTATCACTGGTTCTTTCAGTTCTGCTATTAATAATCTGTATTTTTTTTTTGCCTTGTCAGTCTTGCCTGAGTGTTGTTATTTTTGTTGATTTTTCAAATAAGCTTTTTTCCTCATTGATCTTCTCAATTGTTTATTTTCTTTTCAATTCCAGTGATTTCTGAGTTCAGAACACAGAGATAGAAACAAGGATAAATATTTTATGGTTTATCCAAAATACAAAAAGTATATATTTTAGATAGTTTTTGGAGGAGAAGTATTTCCTGAAATTTCCTGAAAAGTCTAAATTCTTAGGGATGTTCTCTTTAGTGGGTTCCTATAATCCTCCACTGAATTAACAATTAGATGATTGTTAAGTGATATACCAGTGAGTCTCTCAAGTTAGATTTATAGTCCTCCTATTGTGTAGCAGCACAATAACCCTTTCGTAAATATAATTTATTATGCAGGCCTTTCCAGTGATGCCTTTTTCTGTTTATTAATTCAAGAGCATGAGAACTTCAAAATAGCAACAATGAAAAACCACAAAAATCCGTATCAACCTTCAATGTAATTGAACTATTGTGATAATTAAGATTAATGTGTGAATAATTGACATCTTAACAATACTGTCTTCAAATTCATGAACACACAGTATCTCATTATTTTATTGCAATTCTATAATTTTGAATATACAGATCCTGTACTTATTTTGTTAGAATTATACCTAAACATGTAAGTATTTCATTTATTTTTGGTGCTATTGTAAAAGTTTTTAAACATAATCGTTATAGACATTCATGTTATCTGTGAATAAACAGCTTTGTTTCTTTCTAATCTGTGAACATTTATTTCTTTTTATTTTCTTATTGTGCTAGCTAGGTCTTCCAACAAGATGTTGAATCGAAGTGATGAAAGAGGGAATTATTTTTGTACCCTGTCTGAGAAAGTTACTATCCATTCCTACTTTGCTGAGAATCTTTTTTCATAAGTAATAAAGTATTTTTCTTCATTAGTTTAGATTATTAGTTTTCTTCTTTAGTCTGTTGATGTGGTAGATTAGATTGATTGATTTTTCAAGGTTTCAACCAGCTTTTTACCATGGAAAAAGTTCCATTTCATTGTGGTGTATAATTCTTTTAATACATTTTTGGAAATGTCTTTTAATGTTTCGTTGAGGATTTTCACATCCATGATCCCATCAGACACTGATCTCTATTTTTTCTTTTAATGTCTTACTTGGTTTGGAATTAAGTTAATGTTGGTTTTATTGATTAGTTAGGAAGTGTTTCTTTTGCTTTCTTTTTCTAGGAGAGATTGTGGAGCCTTGATGTGTTCCTTTATTAAATATTTGGCAGAATTTACCAGTGAAACTACCTGGGTTTGGTGCTTTTGTGGTTTTTTTTTTTAAGGTTATTACTTATTGTTTCAATTTATTTAATAGGTAAAGGATTTTTCAGATGTTCTATTTCTTTTTGTGTGTTTGGCAGTTTGTGCCTTTCAAGTAGTTGGTCCATTTTTCTTATTATTAAGTTTTAGAAATGGAGTTGCTTATATTATCACTTTAGTGTTCTTTCAATGTCCATGGGATCCATAAATATTTTGTTAATGTGTTTTGAAATCAGTATGCAAACAAGGTCCAAACTGATATTGGTTCATAGACTTTTTAATTAATTTGCTTTTGGCGGCATGGTGGCTCACACCTGTGTTCCCAGCACTTTGGGAGGCAGAGGCGGGTGAATCACCTGAGGTCAGGAGTTCGAGACCAGCCTGACCAACATGCAGAAACCCCATCTCTACTAAAAAATTTCAAAATTAGCCGGGCGTGGTGGTACATGCCTGTAATCCCAGCTACTCAGGAGGCTGGGGCAGGAGAATCACTTGAACCCAGGAGGCAGAGGTTGCAGTAAGCTATGATCACACCATTGCACTCCAGCCCAGGCAACAAGAGCAAAATTTCATCTCAAAAAAAAAAAAAGTTTTCTCTCTTTTTATTTATTAAAATTTATCACAAACCATTTTTTTTTTTTGTCCTCAGCAGACTTTGTTTTCTTTTCTTTTGTTTTTGGTCAATCTCAAGATTATCTTCAGTCTTCTATATTTTCTGTAAATTGGTTGTTAATCCAGAGTTTAATGAAATTAACCTTTGTTGTTTTAGACCATAATATTGTATATAATTGCAATTGCCTAAATGTCTAACAGTAAACAACTAAATAAATAAATTATATGTTAAACTTTAAAAACGGGAGAAAAGGCCATATATTCTATTAAGAAACATTCTCGCAATGGTTAATACTGAGTGGCAACTTGATTGGATTGAAGGATGCAAAGTATTGATCCTGGGTGTGTCTGTGAGGGTGTTGCCAAAGGAGATTAACATTTGAGTCAGGGCTGGGAAAGGCAGACCACCCCCGCCCCCCCAGCTTAATCTGGGTAGGCACAATCTAATCAGCTACCAACAAGGCTAGAATATAAGCAGACAGAAAAATGTGAAAAGACTAGACTGGCCTAGCCTCCCAGCCTACATCTTCTCCCATGCTGGGTACTTCCTGCCCTTGAACATCAGACTCCAAGATTTTCAGTTTTGGAAATTGGACTGGCTCTTCTTGCTCCTCAGCATGCAGATGGCCTATTCTGTGACCTTGTAATTGTGTGAGTTAATGCTTAATAGAATCTCATACATAGAATATATGTATTATTCCATTAGTACTATTTCTCTGGAGAACCCTGACTAATACAGATTTTGGTAACAGGAGTGGTTCTAGAGGAACAGAATATTAAGGATGGAGTAATTTCATTGGTTTTGGGTTTCCTGGAATTGGCTGCTTGATATGATTATTCCTCAAAATGCTAAGGACTCTACTTCTAATAGTATGGATAACACTGATAGTCATTGGTGTGAACTGTTTAGAGAGTTATGCAAAATAAATGCATTTGACACTCCTGATTCATCAGTCATGAGAGGCAAGGAGTTTGGTGACTCTAGACATAATACCTTTGACCATATGTGGAGAACCAAGGAACATAATGAAACTGGTTGGTTGCTCCTAAGTTCACAAAACAAAGTGATGAAAGAAAATGATGAGCTCAAGGATTCTGTCTCCCGGTTTCAGAACCTGATACTGAGCCTCAAATCAGCTAAGATTGCCTGGAGTGAGAATCTTATCTCCTGTAGGGAAAGAGCTGAAATTGTGGAAAAACAGACACAAGCTCTTATCATGTGAGTTGCTGAACTGCAACAAAAGGTGCATGCACAGCCTCATCATGTGTCTACTGTTAAAGTGAGGGCCTTGACTGGAAAAGAATGGGACCCTGCAACTTGGAATAGGGACTTGTGAGGGGACCCTGATGGAGCTGGGGACACTGAATTTGTAAACTCTGATGAACGTTTTGCCTGAAGAAACAGCTTCCCCATCCCCTGTACTAGCAACATCCCCATCCCACTGATCCATGCTGCCATCACCCTTTCCACCATTGTCTGAGGAGATAAACCCTGCACTGCCTGAGGCAACAGTGTTGGCCTCCCCTGAGGCAGTTGCCAGGAAAGATAGTGCTGATTCCCCTCAGGAGTCACCCCCAACACCTCTGTTTGCTTCTAGACCTATAACTAAACTAAAGTTCTCATATGCAGCTAAAGGTGAGGTTGAGAGTGTGACCCATGAAGAGGCACATGACATTTTAAAAGGACTGTTTGAATTCTGTAATTTATATGAACAGAAATCTAGAGAACAGGCATGGGAATGGATACCAAGGGTATGGGATAATGGTGGAAAGAACACAGAGTTGGATCAGGCTGAATTTATTGATTTGGTCCCACTAAATAGTGACTCTGCTTTTAATGTTGCAGCTCAGGGAGTTAAAAAAGTTTCTAATAGTTTATTTGCTTGGATAGCTGATATATGGATTAAAAGATGGCCCACTGTGAATGAGCTGGAAAAGCCTGATCTCCCTTGGGTTAATGTAGAGGAAGGGATCCAAAGCCTTAGGGATATTGGGATGGTAGAGTAGATAAGTCACTTTAGAGCTACTCATCCCAGCTGGAAAGGTTCAGAAGACATACTATTGACCAATGCCTTGTGAAATAGATCTGTGAGGGCAGCACCCGCATCTTTGAAGAGCCCTGAAATTGCTCTTATTTCTACGTCATATCTAACAGTGGGAACTGCAGTCACTCAACTACAAAATTTAAACACAATGGGAATAACTGGATCCCAAGGTGGCAGGGGCCAAGTGGCAGCCCTAAACCATCAAAGGCAAGGTGGGCATAGCTACCTTAATGGACAGCAGAGGCAAAGTGGCAATCAGAATAGTCTTACTCGTGCAGACCTCTGGCATTGTCTAATTAATCACACTGTTCCTAGAAGCAAAATTGATAAGAAGCCTACTGCATTCCTACTTAATTTATATAAGCAGAAAACTTATAGGTTAAATGGACAAAAGGCTAATTTGAGTTATAAAAACAGAGAATTACAGCCCCTCAATCAACTTCCAGACTTAAGCCTGTGTACAGACCCAGAACCCCTTGAATGAAGTGGGGGCCAGGTGCCCTTCAGGAAGAATCCCACTACATTACCGACAATTTATGCAGTGAGTCTTTTTCCCATCCTTCCCCAAGGAGACCTCAGGCCTTTTACCAGGGTAACTGTGCACTTGGGAAAGGGAAAAGATCAGACATTTCAGGGATTACTGGACACTGGCTCTGAGGTGACGTTGATTTCAGGGAACCCAAAACATCATTGCAGTCCTCTAGTTAAAGTAGGGGCTAATGGAGGTCAGGTAACTAATGGAGTTTTAGCTCAGGTCTGACTTACACTGTGTCCAGTGGGTCCCTGGACTCATCCTGTGCTCATTTCCCCAGTGCCAGAATGCATAATTGGCATAGATGTACTTACCAGCAGGCAGATTCCCCACATTGGCTTCCTGATTGGTAAGGTGAGAGCTATTGTGGTGGGAAAGGCAAAATGGAAGCCATTAGAGCTGCCTCTACCTAAAAAATGGTAAATCAAAAACAATATTGCATCCCTGGAGGGATTGTGGAGATTAGTGCCACCCTCAAGGACTTGAAAGACACAGGGATGGTGATTCCCACCACATCCTCATTTAACTCTCCCATTTGACTTGTGCAGAAGACAGATGAATCTTAGAGAATGACAGTGGATTATTGTAAGCTTAGCAAAGTGGTGACTCCAATTGCAGCTGCTGTACCAGATATGGTTTCATTGCTTGAGGAATTAACATATCTCCTGGTATCTGAAATGCAGCCATTGACTTGGCAAATGCCTTTTTCTCCATTCCTGTCCATAAGGCCCACCAGAAGCAATTTGGCTTCAGCTGGCAAGGCCAGCAATATACCCTTGCTGTCCTACCTCAGGGGTATATTAACTTACCGGCTTTGTGTCATAATCTTATTCTGAGAGAGCTTGATCACTTTTCACTTCTGCAAGATATCGCACTGGCCTATCTACATTGATGACATTATGCCAATTGGATCCAGTGAGCAAGAAGTAGCAAACACACTGGATTTATTGGTGAGACATTTGCATGCCAGAGGATGGGAAATAAATCCGACTAAAATTCATGTACCTTCTATCTCATAATATTTCTACTGGTCCAGTGGTGTGGGACCTGTCGAGACATTCCTTCTAAGGTGAATGATAAGTTGCCGTATTTGGCCCCTCCTACAACCAAGAAAGAGGCACAACACCTAGGGGGCCTATTTGGATTTTGGAGGCAACACATTCCTCATTTGGGTGTGTTACTCAGGCCCATTTATCAAGTGACCTGAAAGGCTGCCAGTTTTAAGTAGGGTCCAGAACAGGAGAAGGCTCTGCAACAGGTCCAGGCTGCTGTACAAGCTGCTCTTCCATGTGGGCCTTATGACCCAGCAGATCCAATGGTGCTTGAGGTGTCAGTGGCAGATAGGGATGCTGTTTGGAGCCACTGGCAGTCCTCCATTGGTGAATCACAGCAGAGGCCTCTAGGATTTTGGAGCTAGGCCCTGCTATCTTCTGCAGATAACTAGTCTCTTTTTGAGAGACAGCTCTTGGCCTGTTACTGGGCTTTGGTGGAAACTGAACATTTGACTATGAGTCATCAAGTCACAACGTGACCTGACTTCCTATCATGAACTGGGTGCTTTCTGACCCATCTAGCCATGAAGTGGCATGTGCACAGCAGCATTCCATCAACAAATGGAAGTGGTATATACGTGGTCAGGCTTGAGCAAGTCCTGAAGGCACAAGTAAGTTACATGAGGAAGTGGCTCAAATTCTCATGGTCTTTCCTGCTGCCACCCTGCAGTTTCTCCCCCAGCCTGCACCAATGGCCTCATGAGGAGTTTACCATGATCAGTTAACAGAGGAAGAGAGGACTAGGCCCTGGTTCACAGATGGTTCTGCACGATATTCAAGTACCACCCGAAAGTGGACAGCTGCAGTACCACAGCCCCTTTCTAGGACACCCGTGAAGGACAATGGTGAAGGGAAATCTTCCCAGTGGGCAGAACTTCAAGCACTGCACCTGTTTGTGCACTTTGCATGGAAGGAAAAATGGCCAAATTTGCGATTATATACCACTTCATAGACTGTAGCCAATGATTTGGCTGGATGGTCAAGGTCTTGAAGAAGCATGATTAGAAAATTGGTGACAAATAAATTTGGGGAAGAGGTATGTAGATAGACCTCTCTGAGTGGTCAAAAACTGTGAAGATATTTGTATCTCACGTGAGTGCTCACCAACGGGTGACCTCAGCAGAGGGAAATTTTTAATTATCAAGTGGATAGGATGACCCATTCTGTGGACACCACTCAGCCTCTTTCCCTAGGCACACCAGTCATCACCCAATGGGCCCACCAACAAAGTGGCCATGGTGACATGAGCTCAGAAACATGGACTTCCACTCACCAAGGCTGACCTGGCTACAGTCACTGCTGAGTGCCCAATTTGCCAACAGCAGAGACCAATGCATATCAAGGAATGGCCTCAATACGGCACCATTCCTTGGGGTGATCAGCCAGCTACCTGGTGGCAGGTTGATTATACTGAACCTCTTCCATTATGGAATGGGCAGAGGTTTGTCCTCACTGGAATAGACACTTACTCTGGATATGGGTTTGCCTATCCTGCACACAATGCTTCTCTCAAGACTACCATTCGTAGACTCACGAAATGCCTTATCCACTGTCATGGGATTCCACACAGCATCGCCTTTGACCAAGGCAGTCACTTTACAGCTAAAGAAGTGTGGCAGTCAGCTCATGCTCATGGAATTCCATGGTCTTACCATGTTCCCCATCATCTTGTAGCAGCTGGATTGATAGAACAATGGAATGGCCTTTTGAAGTCACAATTGCAACATCAAATAGGTGACAGTACTTGGCAGGGCTGGGGCAGTGTTCTCCAGAAGGCTGTGTATGCTCTGAATCAGCGTCCAATATAAGGTACTGTTTCTTCCATGGCCAGGATTCTTGGGTCCAGGAATCAAGGGGTGGAAGTGGAAGTGGCACCACTCACCATCCCCCTAGTGATCCACTGGCACAATTTTTTCTCCCTGTTCCTGCGAACTTACATTCTTCTGGCTTAGAAGTCTTAGTTCCAGAGGGAGGAACGCTGCTACCAGGAGACACAACAATCCTATTAAACTGGAAGTTAAGATTGCCACCTGGACACTTTGAGCTCCTCCTACCTTTAAGCCAACAGGCTAAGAAGGGAGTTAGTGTTGGCTGGGATGATTGACCCAGACTATCAAGATGAAATCAGTCTACTATTCCACAACCGAGGTAAGGAAGAGTATGCATGGAATACAGGAGGTCCATTAGGGCATCTCTTAGTATTACCATGCCTTGTGATTAAGGTCAATGAGAAACCACAACAGCCCTATCCAGGCCAGACTACAAATGACACAAGCCCTTCAGGAATGAAGGTTTGGGTCACACCACCAGGAAAAAAAAAATGACACAACCTGCTCCTTGCTGAAGGCAAAGGGAATACAGAATGGGTAGCAGAAGAAGGTAGTCATCAATACCAGCTATGACCATGTGACCAGCTTCAGAAACGAGGACTGTCATTGCCATGAGTATTTCCTCCTTCGTTTGTTAAAAACATGTTTGTGCATGTATACACTTGTGCAAACAAAATATCTTCATTTTATTTCCTTTTTCCTTTATCATGTGACATAAGGTTTATTGACTTAATATCAGCATGTAAGTATTGTTAACTTTATGTAATAGTATTTGGGTTGGGGATTGGTGCAACTGTCTAAAATAACCTGTTATAGATCTGCAAATTTAGTTCAATATGTGGCAGAAGCTTAAAAGCTCAGTCCTGATTAGAATTTGTAGTGGCATAGCACTTGATGTAGTAATGGCTTATTATGTTTTAAAATGCCACTCTTCACCAGAAAAAAAGTAAAAATAATGGGAACAAAGGGTTATTTATAGGTGATTTTTATTTTCATAGAGTACTCTGTCACTTGAATAATATTTTTCAGCATTTCTTGTGTCTTTAAAAGGCTTTCTTTGAATTAAGTCATATTAATCAATAAAATTCTTTCATTTTCCTTGCCATTATCAAAGAACTTCCAATATATGGAAATCAATAATATTGAATGTATCCTAATACTAAAAATGTAAAATATCAGAAAAAAGTTAAAATCTCTTTTTAGATTAGCAGATATGTATACATTTACCCATATTTTTAATGACATTTTCTTTCTTAAACTTTCAGAATATTACTAAATCAGTAATGATTTTGTGAGTAAGAATCATAACAATACATAGTTGGAAAACAAATTGTTCTCCAGATAATGTTTTGAATTAATCTATTACTTTCATTTTCCAAGGAGAAATGGTTTTGAATGGAGTGCCATGAACCATTACAGAAAATTTCTTCTCTGCAATTGTTTGATTTAAGGTTTCAATTATCTCTTGGTGGAAAACCTATGCAGTGACCCTATGTAGAACATTTTAAAAATGTAATGAAAAAGGGAGGTATTTAAGTTATAGTTCATTAAAATACCAAAGAAATACTTAAAATACAGTACTAATAAAAAAGTAAATCTTGTGATTTTGCTCTTTTAATTTAAGCTCGAGTAACAAACAAGATGAATGTAATCTGCAGGTAACCTTAAAGAATAAATTTTATACAAAAATAAGCTTAGAGAAAAGCTTTGAATTTTTGAAAGTTATCACTGTTTAATTTTCCTACTGTTTTTCCAGTCATATGTGTTTTATTTAGTTTTTCTCATTCAATTTTCAGTCATTTCTGATTCGTTTCTAACTTGTGTTGGAAAAAATATTTAACTAGCAAAATCACATACATATACACACATAGACACGGACAGAATGAAATTTGATTTGATGTTTCAGAGGCAGCATAATAAAAAACAACATATAATAAAAAGAATATTTTAAAATACAGTAATTTAGAAACTTTATGAAAGTAATTTTCTCTAATCTCCATTCAATGATCCATAACTTTAAATTCTCATCAATATAGAAGTGTACTTAAACATGCCATTGGCTCAATCAATAACTATAGCGTTGATTGACTCCTCTAATGTAGGAGTTAATGTTCCAGTTTATGAGTGATTTTACCCTGAACACTCTTAAAACTTAATGATAAAAAACTGTGATATAGCAAACATTGCTGCTATTTAAAAAGTCTGCATGAAAATATTGCAAGTAAGGCAACACTTCTTCTACTAATTAAATATTCTTAAGGCCCAATGGCAAGTATTGTATCCGCTCAACAGAAATAATTAATGTTGTTCAAAAGCTTTGCATGTAAACATAATAGTCTGCATCAAAAGAAAGATCTTTCTAATTCTTTAAAAGTATTCCTTGTTATATACACTACTAACTTTTAAAACAGGTTTGTATTGACCAAACAGAATTTTTTTTAGAGCAATATTCTCAGTTCCTTTAGTGTCACTATAAAGGAACAGCTGAGGTAGGTAATTGATGAAGAAAAGAGGTTTATTTGGCTCACAGTTCTGCACGCTTTACAGGAAGCATGGCACCAGCATGTGCTTCTTATGAGGGCCTCAAGCTGCTTCCACTTTAGGCAGAAAGAGAGCTGGAGGTGTGTGTAGAGATTACATGGCAAGAGAGAGGAAGCGAGTGGGGGTGGGGGGAAATACCACGTTCTTTTGAACAACTGGCTAGCCCTCCTGGGAACTAGGTGACAACTCACCCTTTCTCCAAGTTGGGGGTGAATCTACTCATGAGGAATCCATCCCCATGACCTAAAGATCTCTCATTTGGCCCCACTTCCAACATTAAGGATAAATTTCAACATGAGGTTTGCAGAGACAAACATCAAAACTATAGCAGCAATTATTCAATGATTGTAAACAATACACATGTGAAAACAGATACTAGAATCAAAAGTGTTTTTCTCTTTTTAATTCTAGAAAACATTTATCTTCTTATTATATAGTTTGGCCATTTCACGAAGACAAATGCACTCATTTCCTTAATTTGTTTTTTGTTGTTGTTTGAGCTCCTTATATATTTTGATTATTAACATCATATTAGATGTATAGTTTGCAGATTTATTCTCCCAATCTGTAGGTTGTGTCTTTGCTCTGTTGATTCGTTCCTTTGCTGTGCAGATGCTTTTTAGTTTTATATAATCCCAACTGTTTACATTTGCTTTTGAGGTTTTATTCAAAAATCCTAGCTTAGAACAATGTCTTAAAGTTTTTCCTTTGTGTTGTCTTCTAGCAGTTTGCTATTTTGAATTTTACAGTTAAGTCTTTAATCCATATTCAGTTAACATTTTGTATATGATAAGAGTTAAGGGTCTAATTTCACTCTTCTAATTGATAACCGATTTTCCCAGCACCATTTTTTTTAAGGGGCTGTCCTTTCCCCATTGTGTGTATTCAGCAACTTTGTAAAAAATAAGTTTGCTCCAGTTGTGTGGACTTATTTCTAATAATGCCTGTTTTAGAAAAAAAGAGGAAATAGAAGTTAGACTTGTCAAATCATTTGGCCCAGAGAAGTCACCAGGTAGTTGTGTAAACTAAAGCTGCCAAGGTATACTGAAGGTTAAATTATGAAGTACATATTATATGTTCCTTGTTACCAAATTTGTAATTTAGCTCATTAACAATGTCGAGTTCATATAATTAATATTTAATAGTATTCGGTTTTGTTTTTAAAAAGAGCAGCACCATTGAATCAAGTAGGAATAAAGAGTAAAATGTATTTTATCTCTTTTTATTAACTATACTAGTACTTTATGAGGTATATTAAGAAAAGAATGCTATTCACATGATTTCTGATATAGACCATTCTTACTCCATATTTTATAACAATATGTCAGTATGTAAAAAGATGCATATTCAATTATGAGTATATATTTATACTCATGACCAACCAAAGCTATTCTTTGTAATATGCCAGTCACTGTGTTACTGAATAATGTAAGGAACCAGAATTTCTAAATTTTCTACCCCACATTTGAGATTATATTTCTTAACAGAAATTTACTTAACTGTGAGGATGCTGTGTGGCAAGTATTTCTCATTCTCAATTTTTTTAAGAGGTAGAATTAAAATCAATTACAGATTGATTGTACATTAATAGTTTTACAAAAAGAAAGCTAGTATAATATAAATTTTGATTCTCAAAAGGTAACAAAGTGATTAAGGGTTTCTCTGCCTTCAATCACCAAGAGATAATTTTATGAAAATAATTGAAAATACTGGCATGGTAAATTTAACATAAAATTAATTTTACTTAATGATGTCATGTAATGGAAGCAAATGCTCAATGTATTTTTAAATAATTGTCTCTGAATTGTCATAACAATTTGAAAGTACTTCTAGAGATACATGCATATATTTAAAATACGTATTTATTTGTTCTATGATTATATGGCATCTGACAATTTTTTTAAAGATGAGATCTTGCTCTGTTGCCCAGGCTGCAGTGCAGTGTTGTGACCATAGCTCACAGCAGCCTTGACCTCTTGGTCTTAAGCCATCCTCCCGAGTAGGTGGGACTACAGGTGCTCACCACCATGCTCAGCTATTTTTTTTTTTAATTTTTTTTTTTATAGACAGGGGTCTCCCTACGTTGCTCAGACTGACCTTAAACTCCTGGGCTCAAGCAATTCTCCTGCCTTGGCTTCCCAAAGTGCTGGAATTACAGCATGAGATACCATGCCCGGCCTGACATTCTTTATAAAGAACACATTTTTAAAATTAAGCAAGTATTTGTACTCTATAAATATATACAACTATCATTTGTCAATATACAATAAAAATGAAATAAAATATTATACAGAAAAAAACATAAGTAAGAGTGCTTCCACGAGGGAGGAAATGACTTTATAGCTAATTCTTATGGTCTGCTTATAGGGATTCATACTAAAATGGGCTTCTTTGTATGACCCGATACATTAAATACCTGTTTCTATTATCATTATTTTAATCAAAAGATCAGACTTAAAGTATATACATACAAACATCCATGTGTGCACAAACACACTCTTATTACAATAACGTGGGCTATTTCTGGAAGAAAGGCAACAAACTTTATCCATAGAGAAACTTTTCTTTCTTTTGTATGACTTTTGAATGTGTTAGCAGTGAGAAAAAAATAATGTAGGTTTTGAAGGGTGTTCTTAAATTAATGTCATTACTACAAGTACCAATGGTCCTGCAACACAAGTTTATGAAAAAACTGAATGTGACTTTTATGTTTAATGTTCTTCATTTCTCATGGGATTGAAGCTCAACCTTCCCAGGCACCTTGAAATTTTGGTGATAACCTGTATCATTGCTTATCCAGTTGCAGCCTGGAACCTGAAAGGGATATTGAGCCTGGGGAAGAAACTAATGTAAGGGAAAAGAGTTTGTCCAATAAAGAAAGCAAAATTACTATGCACATAAAGAATTAGCATGCACATTTTCTATACATTTACCTGTCTATTTTTTGTGAACTTTGGGATTTTCTTTAATTTTAAATGGCTGTCACACTTTTATTTTTATTAATGTCTAGGAATGTTTTATACATTAAAGAAATTAGTCCTTAATTTATGTGTTATAAATATATTTTATAAATTTTAAATTGTACTTCAATGGTAAGATTTTTTGGTATATATCATCAGCTTTATTAATCTTTCAATTTATCATTTTCAGGTTTTGTGTTTGCTAAGTAAGGCCAATCTTACTACATATTGAATTGATTTTGTGTTATCTTCAAATAGTTTCAACTATTTGAAATATATATATATATAGAGAGAGAGAGAGAGAGAGAAACTATTTGAATTATTTGAAGATAACACAAAATCAATATGTATAAGACTGTGTATATATCTGTATAAAATTAATCTGCAATTTTTGTGTAAATGTCTAGATGATGTATTGTGTCTATACAATTTCTCTGAGTTCAGTTTTATGTGAATTTTAAGATGTTTTGCTTCAATGGTATTCCATATGAATTTTCCTTATCATTTTACTAAATATTGTACAATTGGTTTTGGCTTTCCTTTAACAAAATAATAATTGGGCATTTTTTCACATTTGTATTTGGTTGTAAACTTCAAAATTACTTTATACATAGTAACTGGATCTCTATTACCAGTAGTAATATTTGTACTGTATTTAATTAATTTGTAAAATTGTTACATCAGGAACATAAATTGTATCTTCATTTAAACAACATGAATTTTATTTTTCAAAACAAAACCTAACATGCATTGATGTGTGTCTATTTATAGTTGTTATTTACCCAACGAATGTAAATATTCACACAGTTTTACCATAGGTAAATTAATGCATTTTTATGTGTTGTCCATACCCTACTGGGACTATTATTTAACATATATATTTAATGTTAAATACCAAAAATTATATTTCAAACAAATGTGAAATATGCCTGACCCCAGTGGTTCTGGATAAAGAATTGTAGACCTGTTTTGGGGAATTAATTGATAAATATATTTTTCTATTTATACTACGTATAGCATCTGTTCCCTAATCTCTCACATGGACCTCATTAACAAGTCTAATGTTTTTTAACTCCAGAGATATATCAAAAATCATTAAAAATTGAAACATTTAAAAATAGTCAAGAAGATTTTTAAAAATTGTATTCAGGTAAGTGACACAGTAGATATAAAAGTGATGTATTTGGAGGCAGGCGGATCACTAGAGGCCAAGAATTCGAGACCAGCCTGGACAACGTAGTGAAACCCCGTCTCTATTAAAACAAAAATTAGCAGGGCATGGTAGCACGCTCCTGTAGTCCCAGCTATTCAGGAGGCTGAGGCGGGAAAGAATCGCTTGAACTCGGGAGGTAGAGTTGCAGTGGACCGAGATCATGCCATTGCACTCCAGCCTAGGCGAAAGAGCAAGTCTCTGTAAAACAAACAAACAAAAAAACAAAACACAGAAGAAAGAAATGTTAAAGCAAGTTCTTAGGGCAAGATCTTCAAGCAAGGGAGAAAAGGGATAAGCAGAATAAAATTTAGATCTACCTAAAGGAAAAAAGATCAGAAATGCTAGTTACATGAGTAAATATATAAGATTTCCTTCTTATTATTCAATGAAGAAATTTTAAAAAATGATAAATTATTTTAACCAGAAGGAAAATAAAAACACAATATGTCAAAATTGATATCAGAAAAAGAAGACTGTCTCAAATAAATGACCCCAAATATTCCTTGAGAAACCAAAAGAGAAAGAGGAAATTAAACCAGAAGTAAATAAGGGAAAGAAAACAATAAAAATCAGAGTCCAAATCAGCGAATAGAAAACAAAAACTATTCCCAAATTTAATGAATTCAAAGGTTGGTTTTTGACATCAATAAATACGATAAACTTTTTAGTCAGAATAATCAGGAAAAAAAGAGAGAAGACACAAATTACCAATATTAAGAATGATAGACCATATCAGGAAAGATTCTACAGATATTAAAATGAAAATAAGAAAATAATGCAAACAACTTTACCCCTATAAATGTGACAACTTAGACAAAAATTGAATTATACCAGCAAACCAAATTCATCAGCACATTAAGTGAATTATACACCATGACCTAATAGGATGTATCCCTGGGATGCAAGAATGATTCAATATATGAAAATAAATCAATGTGAGAGACCACATTAACAGAATAAAAGATAAAACCACATGATTATCTCAATGGATGCACAAAAACACTTGACAAAATTCAACATCTATTTATGATAAAAACTCTCAGCAAAATAGATAGAGAAGTAACATACCTCAGCACAATAAAAGCTACATATGGAAAGTCCACAAGTAACATCATAGTAAATGGGAAAAACTGAGTACTCTGTGTTAATCTCCAACTATTCTCAGTCAGGATAGTCATCCTCTTTTTTTTTTTCTCTCTCTTCCTGCAGGTCTAATAAAAACAATAAACAGATAAATGATGTCAAGAAATATTTGAGTAAAACCATTATTGCTTGTTTTTTTCCAATTTGAAAAGCTATATTTTGCATCTTCAAAAAAATCTGTGCGGTTTTATTGTACTGTTTATACAGGGAACCACAAGAGAATGTCAAGCTCAAGCTATTGACTATTTCTGTATTGTAAATATTGCTTGCGACACGTTTTTGTGAAGAGATAATGTATTGGGAAGTTTGTTTATGTTGGAGAAGAATAAGACTTTCCTATCAGGTATGAAATATTCCTGAAAGAAAAGGTATGAGAAGATACATTAGAGCAGACTGAGATTTTATTATGTGTAACTGCTCAGATTTCAGAAACAGATTTGAAATCTCTATAGATGCATCAGGAGAGATCAGTGAATTTCAGTTTTGAAGAGTAGACACAAAGAAAAAGTAATGGAAACATCTCCATCAAAAAGTGCAGCTCAACCTGTTAAAATAGGGTTGGGAAATATATGATTTCTACCCCAGATGCTTTGTGGAGATGTGATTGAGGACAATTTCCAGTCACCATCGAATGCTAATATCAATTGACTGATGAATATTTATTAACACAACTGGAGCAGCAACCTGTAGGTCAAAATGACTTACGGGATGTAGAGCACAATATACTTAGAAGAAAACATATACACACCTATGAATATAGTAATCTGAAAAATTCTATGCATATCTTAGTATGTGAAAGAATAGATGATCAATACATGATGTATTTTAATACTGCTATTCTAGTTTTACTTCTATTATAACTTTAATTATAAATATTTATAAGAAAAATACTTGTTTATCTTTCTTTGTCATTATTTTTAACTCAACAATTGTACCAAAACTTCGCCTATAGGGATCTTATTTTCCCAATCCAAATATTAATTATTTGTGAATTGTACTTTATTTAGCTCTAATACATTAATTTATGTACAATTTGACTCAAGATTTTGTAACTTTAAAAATGCAACTCTGTATAAATGAATGAAACTCATGAATAAGTTTCAGAATAAATGAGCAAATGAATTTCACTCTAGAAATGAATCAGATTTTCTTGTCTGATTACATTTTATATAGCCAGTTCCTTAATCTTATTGAAGTAAAGGTATTTATTTATCCTTAATGATAGCATAACATTTTATGACATTTTTATTTTTAATCTTTTATTAGAAAGTCTAAACTAATAGAAAATAATTTATAATCTACATTCAGCCACACAAAAGGAAATGTGTATTATGGCTTTCTTTTGCAAATTGGTTTCTCATGACATCATTAATTTAGATTTCCTTTCTCTTGTAAGAGTTTTTACAATTATTTTAGTACTAAATAAATTATATAATAGATAAAATAGATATAAAAAGAGAGAAAATAATATAGCATACCCTTGTATTGCCATCAGCCAAATTATTTCAGGTTAATATTTTATCTATTTCAACTAAATGAAAGTAGTTTACATATTCTTAAAAAATTATCGCTAGTGGTAAAGCCGTAGCATTTTCTAAATTCATTTTCTTTTATTCCCACTCACTCACCTAGGTATAATACATATATTTTATTATGTATAATTATTGTTATAGGTTAAATTATGACACTGATAATTGTTGAAATTTTATTGCAGTTTTCATTGGGACCCCAATTAACTTCTTAATCAATAGTATTTCTTGGAAGTTTGCAGTGACTCATGCCTGTAATCCCAGCACTTTGGGAGGCAGAGGCTGGCGCATCACTTGAGATCAGGAGTTTGAGACCAGCCCAGCCAACATGGTGAAACCCATCTCTACTAAAAATGCAAAAATTAGCCGGGCGTGGTGGTGCACGCCTATAGTCCCAGCTACTCGGGAGGCTGCGGCAGAATTGCTTGAGCCCGATTGGCGAAAGCTGTAGTGATCCAAGATTGTGCCACTGCACTTGCAGCCTTGGTGACAGAGTGAGACTCCGTCTCAAAATAATAATAATAATAATAATAATAATAATAATAATATTTCTTGGTTAATAATACATATAGACAGAGTTTTTATTCCTTCTTTTTGCATTATAATACCTTTTCAATTAAATAGAATCTTATTTCCTATACTTGTGAGGATGATCTTAACAATTTTTGTAAAGTTTTCTTTCCACTACAAATGTTCAGTATCTTCTTGAACAAGTACACTGTCCTATGTCAGCTTTAATAGATTTTTCTCTTTGCCCCTTGGTGAATGTTTGGATGAAACAACTTTTCTTCCAGCTGTTAATACCACTCTGATGAAAACTCAAACCAAATTGACAAGCTAGTAGAAACAGAGATAGATGGTGAAACTCTAGTGATTTCATCCTTTGAAAAAGTGACTGATAAAAAAAATATAGGCTTCCTTTGGAGTAAAAAGAGAAATGATTCAAGGCTTTATTTCTCATGGGTCAGTATGTTATGTGCTACTTTTTCCCCTCTTTATGGAACTATATCCTGTTTATGAATAATGCCTTTTGAAACATCAGCATTCACAGAAAGGTTATGAGTGTGTCACAAAAATTCACTAGCCTATATTCTACCCCTTTAAAAGTCAGCTCTAGTTGGAATGAACATCACTCGGATAAATAAGAACTTTATCCCACACTACAACTTGTGCTTAAGAGCTTATTCCCCAGCATAATTCCCAATTCCCAGGTATATTCCGAGCAAAAGAAAATGCAAAGTCATATCACATTTAGTAGCAACATTTTCCCCAAACTTGTGAAAAACCAAACATTGATGATCACTCTCCTTTCTCTCTAGAGAAACATATTTCATCGCCTACTCAACTGCTTGTTTTTCTCTATTAAGCCTGGCAAAAATAATTTTCCTAAAACTATCAACACAAGAGTATTTGGAGATCACAGTAACATCTTTAACAAGTGCTTATTATTTATATTATAACATTTCTTTCAAAAACCCTGTAGCAATTGGCATTAGAAGAAAAATTATTTTCAAAAATCAATGTCCTTTTCTTCCAACATGAGATGCCTTTATTGTGCTTATTTTGGGTTGCTTGTTTATCAGCATAGACTAAAGGATATTTTGTCAGTATAACAAAGTTCTCTGTTAGTTGAGAAATAAAAGATTGTGGTATAAATGTATTGTCAGATCAGGAAAGGGTTAAAAATAAAGGTAATTGCATTCAATTTAATAAGTACAACTCAAACTAATTCAGGCTTATAAGCAAACAGCAGCAGACAGATTTAAGAAAAGTAATTGTCTACTCAGGCTTTTACTGAGCTAAATTGAACTGAGCAAATTTTTTACTTTTACTAAATTGAACTGAGCAAATCTCAACTCTTATCAGAAAGACCAAGGCAAAGAATTACATGTATGTACAATTAGTATGTAAAGTTGATTCAATAGCACGAAATGTACGCTTTACATGTTAAGGCTAGGGAGATGGGAGGTTGTGAGACAGCTGGTGAGACTGTATCATGTCCACAGTTCATTAAAAGAGATTTTCATGGAGGCATACATTATGTTATAAAAGTGAATTCTGAAGTATCGTCTTTCTCCACTGTGCTTTCATGACACTTTGAGAATTTATTTAACACTCTTCATAACTCATCATGGCTATTTGTCTCTTAATGCCACATTAATATCTTCAGTATTTTTTATGAGCAATCAAACATTTTCCAGAATAAATTAGAATTAATATGCCAATTAATTTACTTAAACCATGTATCACCCCTTCTATAATGTAATGATTTTGTCCCCATTCTCATACATTCTTTGGAGGGCCAATGAAAACACAATGTTTTGTGTGTTTTGTAACAATCAAATGCTAATTAAAATGTGCAGTGATAGGCAAAATTAGAATCTATCAGTCACCTATGTATAATAGGTGAATTCTAAAAAGAATGATTTTTAATAGTATTTATCATTATTAAGTGTTTAATTATTAATTTAAAACATTTATATGCTTACTCCTTCATTTACTTATCAAATATTACTGAATACATATAATATTCTGGACACTGTTCAAGAAACTAGAGATGGTGGAAAACAAGATATAGAACATGGAACTAACTGGAAGCAGACATATTAGGAATTTCTCAAATGTTTGGGGACTTGTTAATTATAGAATATACAACCCATCATGCAATTTGGTATGAACAGATTATTTGCTATTAAGGCAGCTTTAGAAGCAGTTGGATTAAAATTTATCTTGATAGTTGTATACTATCTATTAAATACTTTTTTCTTTTTTCCCTTTTTTCTAGATTTTTCTTGATTATATTTCTTTTATCTAGGGTTTACAATATATTTCTGTGATTAATCAAAGTGTAGATTGGAATTGGTATTATCCTTTGTTCCATGTAATTCATAAATCTTGCAACAATATATTCCCAGTGTTTTGTTCCCATCTTTTTGTGCTATTGTTATACATTTTACTTTTCACAGATTTTGTTGCAAAAATTATTATTTTTGTTTTGAAAATACAGTTTTCATTTAGAAATATTAAAAATGAGAAAATTTATTTTATCTTTTTTATTTCTATTTTATAATTTGTAAGTAGCACTTTATCAAAGGAATAGGTACTAAGCATTCAAAAAAAATATTGCATGGGTTAATTTCATAAGGAATATGGTAAACAGCTAACTGCATGTTGAGGTAATGGTCATCACCCAGTTTTTACTCAAAGCTAAATGAGAGCTAAGTATGTGTTATTATTTAAAGTGTACATCAGACTATGTAGAAACACAGACTGATTTGGCCTGGCTCTGTGTCCCATCAAAATCTCATCTTGAATTGTAATTCCCATACGTCAATAAAGGGACCTGATGGGATGTGTTTGGATCATGGCAGCAGTTTCTCTAATGCCGTTCTTGTGATAGTGAGTGAGTTCTCACAAGATCTGATGGTTTAAAAGTGGAACTTCCCCCTTCATGTGTGCTCTCTTTCCTTCTCTCCTTCCACCTTGTGAAGAAGCTGTCTGCTTCTCCTTTGTCTCCTACCACAATTGTTACTTTCCTGAGGCCTCCCCAGCCATGTGGAACTGTGAGTCAGTTAAACCTCTTTCCTGTACAAATTACCCAGTCTCAGATAGTTCTCTATAGTAGTGTGAAAATGAACTAATACTGAAAACTGGTACCAGCAGGATGAGGTACTGCTGTAAAGATAACCTGAAAATGTGGAAGCAACTTTCAAATTGGGTAATGTGCAGAGGTAATGGGAACAGTTTGTTGAATGGTTTTGATCAAAATGCTGATAGTGATATGCACAATGAAATCCAGGCTGAGGTGGTCTCAGATAAAGCTGAGGAACTTTCTGGGAACTGAAGCAAAGGTCACTCTTGCTATGCTTTAGCAAAGAGACTCATGGCATTTTGCCCCTGCCTGAGAGATCTGTGGAACTTTGAACATGAGAGAGATGATTTAGGGTATCTGACAGAAGAAATTTCTAAGCAGCAAAGCATTCAAAATGTAACCTGGCTGATGCTGCAAGCATTTAGTCATATGTGTTCACAAAGAGATAGCTTGAAATCAGAACATGTTTAAAAAGGAAGCAGAGCATAAAGATTTGGAAAGTTTGCAGTCTGACCATGTGGTAGAAAAGAAAAAAAAAACACATTTTCTGGGGAGGAATTCAAGCCTGCTGCAGAAATTTGCATTAGTAGCAAGGAGCCAAATGTTAATCACTGAGACAATGGGGAAAAAACCTCCAGGCCGTTTCGGAGATCTTCACAGTAGCCCCTCCTATTACAGGCCTGGAGGCCTAGGAGGGAAAAATGGTTTGGTGGGCTGGGCCTAATGCCCCCTGCTTTGTGCAGCCTGAGACTTGGTCCCCTGTGTCCCAGCCATTCCAGTTCCAGCTCTGGCTAAAAGGGGCTGGGGTACAGCTGGGCCATTGCTTCAGAGTGTGCAAGCCCCAAGAACTGGAGGCTTCCATGTGGTATTTGGCCTGCGGGTATACAGAAGACAAGAGTTGAAGTTTGGGAACCCTTGCCTAGATTTCAGGCAGTGTATGGAAATGCATGGATGTCCAGGAAGAAGTCTGCTGCAGGGGTGGAGCCCTCATGGAGAACCTCTGCTAGGGCAGTGCAGATGGAAAATGTGGGGTTGGAACCCCTACACAGAGTCAACACTGGGGCACTGCTTAGTAAAACTATGAGAAGAGGGCCATTGTTCTACGGACCCCAGAAAAGTTGATTCACCAACAACTAGCACCACATGCCTGGAAAAGCCACAGACACTCAACACCAGCCCTGCAGAGCCACAGGTGAGGAGCCACACAAGGCCATGGGAGCCCACCTCTTGCATGCCCTGGTTGTGAGGCATGGAGTAAAGGGAGATTTTTGAGCTTTAAGATTTAATGACTTCCTGACTGGGTTTTGGACTTGCATGGGGCCTATGGCACCTTTATTTTGGCCAATCTGTCCCATTTGAAATAAGAATATTTACCAAATGCCTCTACCCCTATTGTATCTTTGAGATAACTAACTTGTTTTTGATTTTTACAAGTTAATAGGTAGAAGAGACTTGACTTGTCTCAGATGAATCTTTGGACTTGGACTTTTGAGTTAATGCTGAATGAGTTAAGACTTTGGGGAACTGTTGGAAAGGCATGATTGATTTTACAATGTGAGAAGAACATGATATTTTGGAGGGGTCAGGGTCAGAATGATCTGGTTTTGCTCTGTGTCCCCACCCAAATCTCATCTTGAATTTCAATCCCCATGTCTCAACAGAAGGACCTGGTGGGAGGTGATTGGGTCATTGGGTGGTTTCCTCCATGCTGTCATCATGATAGTAAGTTCTCATGAGATCTGTTGGTTTCAAAGTGGAACCTCTCCCTTCACTCTCTCTTTCTGTCTTCTGATGCCTTGTGAAGAAAATGTTTGCTTCTCCGTTGCCTTCCAACATGATTGTAACTGTCCTGAGGCCTCCTCAGCCATATAGAACTGTGCATCAACTGAACATCTTTCCTTTATAAATTACCCAGTCTCAGGTAGCTTTTTTATAACAGTGTGAAAATGAACTAATAAGCAGACTTTATTTTAACCATTTCTGTTGATCTTTATTTTGTTTTGCAGATTCACATTTCTGTTGAGTATTATATTTTCTTTCCTGTTCTTCTTTTAACATTTTGTAGTGCAGATGTCTTGGTACTGAATTGTGTCCTATGTTTGTCTGAAAAAGTACTTTTCTCCTTTTTGGGGAAAGATATTTTCACTATATAGAATTCTTTTTTTTGGCAGTGATTTTGCTCCTGTTTAGCATTTTGGAGATGTTAATCCATTATCTTATGACTTAAATATTACATATTTCTTTTTCATATAATATGTATTTTATTCTCAAGCTGCCTTTGAGATTTTATCTTTAGTATGCAGCATTTTGAATTTTAAGTATAGGTGTGTGTACGCATGTGCGCACACACACGTGCATGCATGCGTTCACAGGTGTCTGTAAGATGATATTTGTTTTCTTTAATTTGGTTAACTTCCTGGATCCATGGTTTGATTTCATTAATTATTTTTAGAAATTTCTTAACTCTATATGCTAAAATTTATTTTCTACCACACTCTCTTCTGCTTCCAAGATTCCATTTAAAAGTAAGTTAAATTGTCTGAAAATTTTCCACAGTTCTTAAAGGCTCTCATTTTGTTTGTTGCTTTACAGTTGTTGTTTTTTTTTAACTCATGTTTTCCTCTTTTTGTTTCAGGTTGGGTAATATCTATTTATCTATCCTAAGTGGTTCTTTCCTCAGCTGTGTCAAGTCTAGTGAATGGCCCTTTCATTAAAGTCACTTTTCATCTGTTCTATCATTCTTCTAGCATTCCTATTCAATTCTTTCTGCAGTTTCTATTTCTCTGCTGAAATTTCTCAGCTGCTCTTGCATTCTAGATATCTTTTCTATTAGAGTCTTTAACACATTAATTATAGTTATTTAAAATTTTCAGTCTGATTTTTACAACACCTAGATCATGTCTTAGGATGGAATTTTTACTTTGTATTCATAACTGGAAATGTGCATGAACATTTTGCCGGAATGTTAGCGTGGAGAGGTAAAGGAATTTTTCCCAAAATTGAATTGGATGTGGACTTTGTTGTTGCTTCAGGGCACCATTAGCTTTGGTGATAGGACACAGGTCAAGATCCTCAGGTTGACCGCTACTGCAATCTACAGTCCTACCCCCTGCAATTTCTGCTTCTCTTCAAATTAGCACCTGGGCCCTTACCAAAATATGCCTTAGTGTCTACCACAGCTGTCTCCTAAAAGAAAAGAAATTTACTGAATTAAAAATGCAAGACACTATTTTTCAAGTAACTATTTCTTACTCTGACTGTTGTTCTTTAGTGTTTACCTGATGGATCAATTTTTAATTATTTGTTTTCTATTCATTCCAAATTAGGGAAAACTCTGCTTCATGGGTTCAATCAATGGAGTGTTATTTATGGAATGGAACATGATAAACAAATTACCAGATACGATTCTTCATTTCCCAATGTAAGCTCTAGACATTTCTAGGGAGATGGCTTTGAAAACATATTGCATCTAGTTATTTAGAGACTGAATAGTAGAAATTAGAGTCACAGGATTGACAACCCTGTAAATCTTGTTCATGAGCAGCCCAATTATTTCCCCAGAGGTCTTTGGGATGGTGTAGAGTTGGATAAAAAAGGAAAAACAAAGGATGTTGTTTCTTGCTGGAACATTGGACTAAAAATTCAAAATAAAATTCTAGTGAGATACAAAACAACTCTTTTTTACTCTGTCTTTCTAGACAAAATTAACCAAATATCACAGCATGCTGTGGCCCACCCTTGCTTTGTCTACATCAGTCTCTGGTTTTACCTACAGGTGGCAGCAGCCTAGTCCTGAGAATATGCAGTGTGGAAACCTGAACAAAAGAGCTTGTTGGCCCAATACAAGCTCATCGTGGATGATCACTGTTCTTCTCTTTTTCTGCTTTACTACTTTTTATCATTCAAAACACAAAGCCATCAACACTTTCTTGATTCAGTACATTTCTGAAAATTAAGGTTAGCTGAAGCTGTATATCTGCTCAGATTTATACCTGTAGGAAGGTCACAAGGGATCAGAAAATTCCTACTATTGAGCAAGAATAAAGGGGATTTCAATAGAAAAATTTCAAATAAAAATCCAAGTATGAAATCATGCATGGCCAGATTACCATCATTCTGTACTCGGGAGCCCTTCTCCCATCTGACTGAATCCCCTCCATTCTAGGGGGAAATAAACTGCCTGTAAGAGAAAATCCTGTGAGTAAGATTAAATAACTTCCCTGCCTGAAGGAGACCAAGCACACATGCAGAGAATCACAAAAGTCTAAAACTAGTATTGAACCTTTGCCCTATCCCAGTCCCCATACCCATATTAAGTAGGCAAGTCAGCTTTACACAGAGATTATTAAGAAAGTTTCTGAATGAGCTTAGTTTGTTGTTACAGATCTCCATGCTTCATTCTTGTATCTTGTTTTATCAACATTACAGAAACAAAATATCTTTGGCAATATTACCACATAAAATTAATGAAAGTTATATAACCTTATAAAAGCAAAATAACACTAGTCGATATTCACATTTACAAGTAATAAAAATATCTGGTAAAATATTTTAAAGATATATAATTTAGCTTATTTTGAGCTGGCATAAAAGGAATTCTCAGAGATCAAAATAAAGTAAACGTAGAAATCTTATCAGGTAAGGAAAGGGTTGTTGAAAATAGCCAAGTATATTTTTAAACACAGTCAAATTGACTTTCTAGAAATTAATACATAGATGCTGAATTTAAAATGTATTTGATTATTTGAACAACAAATTAAACACAACTAAATGAAGAATTAGTAAATTGAAAGTAAACATAAATAAAGTTTTCCTAAAGGCAGAGAGGAAAGGATAGAAGATATGAATGACAAAAGAAATGGAAATAAAAATAATACAACTTTATATATCAAGTTTAAATTCCAGAAGGTGAAAAGAGAGAGAAAAGGCAATATTTTAAGAAAGTATGAATGAGACTATTCAATAATTGATTGTAAAAACATCATTTTTATAAAAAGCAAACTAAAATACAATAAAAATTTAAAGGGTTTATTTGACCAAAAAACAACTCATGAATTAGGCGGCTTTAAATAAGTGGTTGGAAAGCTTCACCAAGGGAACACAAGAGAGAAACTTTTATCTGATACACACAGAATTAGAGCAAAGAAAATATTTGATTGGTTACAGTTATACATTTTCCTTCTTTGGTCTTTTCTGTTAGAGAGTCCCTAGTTATATAAGTCTGTTTGTTGGCTGCTTCTGATTGGTTGAACTTTAGTCCTCTTTATCTATAATATAGACATTAACTAAAAAATAGCACTAGTTAAGTTTCGCTTGTGTTTGCAAATCAAACAATATTTAGGTCATTTATGAAGCTTAACTGGCTTTGTCAACTCAGGGATTCTTCAGGCCTGGTCTCCATTTTGATTTACTTTAACCACATTAATATTCATAATAACAAAGCTCAACAAATCAGCAGAAGGGTAGATGAAATGTAAGCAACACCTGGAAGGATCAGGATACCATTTGCAGAGTACAAAGTACAAAGAGAAGATGTGAAAGGCAGCTAGAAATTGATGAGAGATTTTCTGTAAAGAAATGGTATCTATTCTAAGGGCAGACTTTTCCACAGGAATGATGGAAACCGGAAAAATGGAGGAAAACCTTTTCAATGTTCTAATTAAAATTATATATCGGTCTGGCATTGTATATGAAGTGAAATTATCTTTCAAATTTAAAAGCAAATTAAAGATATTTTTAGATAACCAACACTGAACTAGTGTTTACCCTAAATAGGTGTAGTAAAGTGGGAGGGGGATCCCTGTGAGAGTGACAGCATGCTGGCAGCCCTTGCAGCCCCAAGCCCTTCAGCCTGCCACTGTGCTGTGGGGGCCCCTCTCTGGGATGGCCGAGGCCCGAGCCAGCTCCCTCTGCTTGTGGGGAGGTGTGGAGGGAGAGGCGCGGGAGGGAACCGGGGCTGCACTCAGTGCAGGCGGGCCAGCGCGAGTTCCGGGTGGCCGTGGGCCCGGCGGGTCCCGCACTCAGAGCGGGCGGTAGTAGCCGCCAGCCCCAGGCAGTGAGAGGCTCAGCACCTGGACCAGCAGCTGTGGAGGGTGCGCGGCCTCCCCCAGCAGTGCCAGCCCACCGGCACCACGCTCGAATTCTCGCCGGGCCTCAGCTGCCTCCCCGCAGGCCAGGGCTCAGGACCTGCCCGAGCCTCCCCACGCCCCCACCACCCCACCACCCCACCACCCCCACTCTTTGGGTCCGCACTGCCTTTATGAGCTGCAACACTCACCGCGAAGGTCTGCAGCTTCACTCCTGATGCCAGCCAGACCACGAACCCACCAGGAGGAATGAACAACTCCAGATGGGAGGAACTAACAACTCCAGACTCGCCGCCTTAAGAGCTGTTACACTCACCGCGAAGGTCTGCAGCTTCACTCCTGAAGCCAGCGAGACCACAGCCCCGCCAGAAGGAAGAAACTCGGAACACCTCCGAACATCGGAAGGAAAAAACTCCGGACACACCACCTTTAAGAACTGTAACACTCACCACGAGGGTCCGCGGCTTCATTCTTGAAGTCAGTCAGGCCAAGAACCCACCAATTCCAGACACACCTGGACTGGGGTGACCC
Source organism: Homo sapiens (assembly GCF_000001405.40). Taxonomy (NCBI): domain Eukaryota; kingdom Metazoa; phylum Chordata; class Mammalia; order Primates; family Hominidae; genus Homo; species Homo sapiens. The sequence goes on from NC_000018.10 coordinate 66,396,508, forward strand.
TAGAGTTCTTGTGGCCCTTTGGTCTGGAAGGAATCGAAACTTCATTGTGACTGTGAATGAGGAATGGGGGATTAGTTTAGGTGAGGAGAAAAGCTGATGAGCTACGCTGCAGTCCCCTGGTTAAAACATAAAATGACACTAAGAAACGGGTACGCTGTCAATTAGAGAGGGCAGTTGGGGTAAACATTAACAAAAAGTAACTTTGAGAGGCAACTGGATCACCAGTAAATGTGAGAGTTGAAAAAAGCTGGAGAGAGCAGTGTCTGTGACTGCATTAGGAAATTTATATAAATATTCCCACTGTTATAAGGCTTATCCAAAGAGTTTATACATCAACCCTCCCAAATTCCCCAAACCCAGTTACACCTGCTTTAGATGTCGGAAGCAGGTATAGCATAAATAAACGCTTTTTTTTTTTTTTTTTTTGACATGGAGTCTTGCCCTGTCACCCAGGCTGGAGTGCAGTGGCGCGATCTCGGTTCACTGCAAGCTCCGCCTCCCGGGTTCACACCATTCTCCTGCCTCAGCCTCCCGAGTAGCTGGGACTACAGGCGCCCACCACCACGCCCGGCTAATTTTTTGTATTTTTAGTAGAGACGGGGTTTCACCGTGTTAGCCAGGATGGTCTCAATCTCCTGACCTCGTGATCCGCCCGCCTCGGCCTCCCGAAGTGCTGGGATTACAGGCATGAGCCACCGCGCCCAGCCTAAATGCTTTTTTGTTTTAACCAGATTGTGACTGACACAATAATTTTACATTGAATACACCTGCATTCATTCACCTTAATAACTTTGTACACCATAATCTGTGGTTCAGAAATTTGTTTTTACCTATGAAGTTCAATTAATGTATTCACAATTTTGTGACTTGAAATGTCATATTGTCATACTTTATAAAGTAAAGGAAAAATGCATTATATCATAAAAATGAAGGAATGAACTTTAGTGATAGGATCAAAAGGACAATTGAAGGTATCAGATTGAAGGAAACTAGACGAGGCTTTCACTTACCAATGCAGCAATTATCAAAGTATAGCACAATGCTTTGCACACCGTAGGGAATCAATAGATATGGATGAAACAGTTGAATATCACAGTTGTCGGGATATATAAATAGTGAAAAATCAAAGGATGTTCTTTGATTATAAAATTTATAGAAATTATGATTTTTTAAAAATGTATCAATTAAGATTAAGGAATCTAGAATCATTTCTGTCCATTTATTATTAGCTCTGAACTGCTATTTTGTATGAGCATTATTCCCCAAAAGATAAAAGAATAAGGAACAAAAAGAGCCAGACCCAATTTTAAGTGGGTCACGTCGTACCTGTTTACTTCAAAAGTGTTCATGATAAAGTATGGATAGCTATTGCCAGTTCATAGACTATTACTCTAATTTAGGAGTTACTATGATTTAGAATTGGCGTTCTTTTGTTGCAATTAAAGAACATGTTAAACAAGTATATAATCTACATTCTATCATTAAACTTGAACATAATTTAATAATGATTCAGTATACTACTCAATATGCCAAAACCCCCATTAAAACAGGTGACGGTAAATGTTCAAAAATCCACATATTTATCTCCAAAATTTTAGCCAAGTACATACAACAAAACAACATGTTTTGTTACTTAAACCTCTAAATATGAATATTGCAAAACATAAATGTTTTTTAAAGCAATTGGGAATCAACAAATGAAACGTATATATATATAATTTCTAGTTATTCTATGAATTATTTCCCCAAAATAAGCCTCATTCTACAATACTCCAATATTTGAAACCACTTAGTCTGTGTGTTTTTCAGGCAAACTTGTTCACCCTTTTATAAAACCATTTCAGCTGTGCCTATGCAAAAATAATGAGGGAAATATCTTACTTTATTTAAGAATGACATTTTTCTGTTTTTGGTTTACTCTGTTTATACAGCTTTCAAAGAAGTAGAGTGATAGTCTTAGGTGAAAAAATTCTTTAAAAACAAACAAACAAAAAACTATTACAACATCAGCAGTCCTGAGGTTCCTGATATGTATGTAACTATGATACCCTGTTATTCAAATACAAAAATGCAGCCAATATGAGTTAGTTAATTCTCTAAAGGGCCAAGTCATGTCAACAACAAGGTCCCAGGAGAAGAGAAGGAGCTATTCTGTTGCTGAATCCATGGCACACATGTGAAATAATGCAGCATTGCTTATGCAGTCACAGACACCTGCCTAATCATGATCGATGACATGAAGTATATTTTTTAATGAAAACTTATCACCCATCATTATTTCTTTAAAGTATGCTAACTCTATTATCTCCAGAGTTGAATCTCCTTCCAAGTCTAGGCCTTTTGGTGTTTCCTTTGTTTCTTTATTCCAATGGATGCAGCTAAAGCTTCAGTACACACTTCCGGTCCCGTTGCTGTTGATCTTGCGTATTGTTTCTGTAATTTCCTCTCAATAATAGAATGTTTGCCTCTGTCAGTTTCCAAGATTGTCCAAATGCTGAGCTGGATTCACATCATTAGGTCATCAAACTGCACACAGAATAAATTGTAGTACTTTTGTTTCAACTGCAATCTAACTTTACAATTTTATTCCAAACCAGCTTGTTCTAGTTGTGTGTTGATTGCTTTGTGATATGTTGTGTTCACACTCCATTACACAAATGCTGATGCTATAATTCATCTTGAGGGACATGGAGATTGAGAGTAGCCCCAAAAGGTGCTCCCCAGAAACGTGTTATTCAAAATGCATCTCACTAATTGCTGCTGAGAAGTTTCCTACTGATCCCTTTGTTTTTATACTGACAAAGAATTATAAGAAAATTATTTTTTTCCTGAATAGTACATAACAGTCATTTTTTTTTGCTACCAAACATGACCCCAATTGTCAATGGGGGAACATAAAGACAAGGATAGAGATATATTTTATATGTATATGTAAGATATATAAATAAAAACAATGAGAAATTCAGTAGAAAAAAATATATTTCAAAGTTGATAAATGAAACGTTTAGAAATCTTTCATTTCTTTCAATGACTTTTTCTGAATATTGTTTATCTTAACAATAAGGTACATTCATTAATCTTTCCAATGTGTTTTTTCCTATCAATGGCTAACACTCTGTCTTGTAAAAGGAATAAGAAATAGCTTGATGATAATTACCCTGAGCGTAAGAATTTTGCTTGTGTATCTCCTTAGCTTTCTCTTATGGGATATCACGTCATTTTGTCTTCATGTTTCACTATTGTCAAATACCTCTTCAATTTCTGTTTTGTAAATTAACTATTAATCTAGCTCATAAATAATGTAAATAATCCAATTTTTCTTTATACTTTCTCCTTCTATTCGAACCAACTATATAACTTACTTTCTCATACCAATTATTTATTGATAATATGAAATTATAACAATTCAAGTATATGTAACTTTTGACATAATACAGCCGTCTGATAAATACATATTTAATATTTATGTACATAAACTACTATGTTTCTGAGTGTGTATGTAGGCAAAAAGGCAACTATATTAATAAACTCTTCTTAAAATTGTATATGGAAAAACAAAAAGTAAATATCTGCAAAGGCAAAATATAAAAATTTCGATATGATAGGAAAACAAAGTACAAGAGAAGTTCAAACACAGAGCTCTCACTATAGGTGATCTATAATTAGAGATTGCCATAATAGAGAAGAGTGTGACAACATACAAGGAAGAAGATTATTACATGTGAAAACTATAGGATAAGCAAAGGTGCTGAGGCACAAAAGCTCTACTGCTGTTACCTAAGGAACTACTAGCAAATTACCTAACATGTACATAATTCAGTATATAGAAGAAAGTATGTTTAAGAGCAGTTCATCAGTTGTGTCAAATACTTCATTGATTAAAGAGGATGAGAACTAAGAATGATTGATGGTTTGCATTTCAATCATCTTGTAGAGACTATTTTGTGGTTGTGGCCACAAGTGGCCATTTCCCCTTCATGTGTATTCTACCTTACTATATGCCCAGGACATTAGTTCAAAAAGCTATTTCCTTTACTGTATGGAACCAGTAAGTACAATCCTAAGTGGAAACAACATGTAAAATTCAAACACAGTTACAGAGGGCAAAGCATACCCAAGTGTTCTTTGAAACAATTGTATTTGGGATTTTAAAACATGTTTTTTTTCCATATTTATGTTATTATATTTTTCAATCACTAGTTTTAGTAGACAAGTGGAAATCTGTTTGCTAATGGGAGACAATGTTAAATGGATTTAAACCAAAGACACCACTGACCATTTCCACACTTCCTTCTTGAAGATGAATTTACTCTTACTCAAAAAATCAAATAGTTGTAACACTGTAAATGATCTTTTGTGGTAAAGGAGGCGACTACTCTCTTTTTCTGCTGTTGTGTTTAGGGCTGAGTTTGAAAGGAAACTTTTCACATTACTAGCCTAAATAAGAGCTTTTCCTACCAACACCCAAGGATAGAAATTTATTTATTTTAATTCATCCATTGACTTGCTCACATTTATTTTAATTCATCCATTGACTTGCTCAGTTACTCACTGATTCACTTTTTCTCCCATTTAGTTACTCACTTGTTCAAGGAATTTATATCACCACCTGTTAGGAACTGAACCATGAGAATATAGCGGCAACCACAAAAAGAAGCCCCTGGCTTTCATAAAATGCAAGTTATCAAGCACATCGCATTAACCTGAGAGACAGTTTTGAAGGTCAAACCTGGAATTACAATGCTGGGAATAGCTATATGAGTTAACAATATTATTTATCTCCCTTTTTATCTCTTCCATAATTGACCCCACCGTCATGTCAGTGTATGATAAATGACATAAAGCCCACCACGAATCAAATGATGTTCTGTCTTGATTTATTCATTTAATTTTTTCTCTTTCAATTTTTTCATCGTGCCTATTTCTATCCTTGGGTTTCCAAAATTTAAATGTTAAAAATTAAAGGGTACTATACATATTCATGGGCATATTACTGCCATGTTTTTGCCCATATTAATTTAAGAATTTAAGAGTTGAGGATTGTTATAAGCACCCAGAAGATATAAACTGTTTCTATAAGGAATCATATATAACAGTTTTATAAGATATTTATTGGTAGTATTTAATGCTTAACAATAATGACTAAGTTCTTGCATTTATATTATGAATTCAGTATACATTTTCCCCATTTAATCTGCATAAGTACTCTATCAGAGATTATGCTCATTTAAAATTGAGAAATAGACTCTAAGAATAATTAATATAAAAATAATTTTAATAGCTCACTAAAGCTGCCTCTTATTATTTACCATGTTAATTCTCTTCATTTTCTTTAAAACTGAAAGACATCTATACATTGCTGAAAGAGCAAAGATCATAGAGTACCAGGGCATGCCTCTCTTTTGATGTTTGCTTGATCTAAGGAGAAGAGACTCAATACCACAAACTCAGCTTTTAAAGGGAAAACATTACAGTCTATCCAAATATATCAAATCTCTGGAACCATCTGTGGGTTTGGAGCCCAGCAATAAGTTAGAAACTGAAAATATAAGATTTCTTTTAGGCTAAAAGGTTACAATAGAACACATTACATCTGTAATGCCATCCAGGAACTGGATGTCCTCAAATTCTTCTGTGCTCAGCAAGCCTAGAGGGGAAATAGAGTGATTTTCAATAATGCTGCAAAATAATGGATCCAATTCTCCCCTGCATCTCAGGGAATATGGGTTTCTTAAACACAAGGAAGCAAATCTCTGCCATTTTCATTCCGCTCCTATATCCTACAATTTAATCTTTCCAAAATTAGATTTAGAAAAAAAACTGTTTCGAACTGAGCAGAACTACTCATTCTTCTGTACTCTGTGTATCCTTTAAAATGTAGCACTGGTATTTCAAATCTTAAATGTTGGAATTTAAAAAAATATATGGAAATAAATTTTAAGTAGCTAAAATATTTAATTTTAAAAGTGAAACATCCATTTTTTAATATGCAGGTGATGGAGAATAAAAATTAAATACATATCATAAAGTTTAATTTATAACATATTACAAAGATAAAAGAGTCCTATCAAAATATTGATGATACAACTTTATTGATCATTTTATATTTTCTAGCTGATATGTTCATTACTTTCTGGTCACATATCATTTGATTCTTACATAACCTATGTGATGTATATAATTACTATTATAATTGTTTTACAGAAGAAGTCATACTTATAGTAAAATAATTGGAATTCGACTCTGTTGAACCTGTATCTGTCTCCAATTCCCATGTAGTTAAATACTGTCAATTACAGGGGTGTGAATTGTGTATGTCTGTGTGTGCAACATTTCTTCATCAATGACCTTACCAAATTATGTATATATATATAACATTTTTGTAAATATATAAATTTTATGTATATATAAGTCTGATATATGTACACACATATACATAAAAAGAGGTACTCAAGCCAGGGAATTTAAAACTAGAGAAATCTGAATCAAAATTATATTGAGATGCTAAGTTATTATCTTACAGACATCACATTGCCAAAAATGGTGCAGGTTGACAACACCAAGTCTTCGAAAGGATGTGAATCCTGTGTTAAAAAATATGAATTAACATCAATTTATATACATTGCTAGTGGGAGTATAAATTTGGTAAGAACTTGGGAAACAAATTGGCATTATTTTGTAAAGTAAGCATATCTAATCCAGGTATATACATAAGAAATACTCTTGTATTTGTACAGTAGGAGATACGTATAAGAATGTCTATTGCAGCACTGTTGGCTATTAGGACAGAAAATTGGAGGGAGGTTAAATATCCACTGAGCAGAAGTCAAGGATGCTACATTCACACGAAGGAATATTTTACAGTAGTAAAATTGAACGTAATTCAGGTCCATTGTATGATATGAATGAATCTTAGTAAGGCAATGTTTAGTTTGTAAAAAGTTATGGAAAACTACATCAAATATAACTTTCTTTACAATTTTAAGTAAATTTAAAAATAAAATTAATATTTTGTTCAGGTAAATACAAACACACACACATTTGTCAGATTTGTTATATTGGGGATGAAGTCAGGGAAACTGACTGCCTGGTCAGAGGAGTCAATGGGAGTCAATACTGGTAATTTTAATTCATGGGGTTGCATGATGGGTCTTGTCTGTCTATTTTATTGGTAAAATAAATATATAATAAATAACTAATATCAAGTAAAATAAAGTGGGTAATGCCAGTTTGAGGATTGAATATGATAGTGCTTAATTAGGCAAGAATTATGATGTGTCTATTTCTGTGTACCTGACCCCACTTCTTAAAAAAACAAACAAAAAGAAGCAGCAGAATTTCTGAAATCCAAGTTTCCAAATTGCTTGAGACTCATTTCATTCTAGATGAACAGGTGGTGTCTGTGATGAGATGCCACAATAGTCGTCCTTCTGGATGTATGAGCAATGCCCTATGAGCAATCTCCACTTTATTCTCAGTACACTCATATGGCTTTCCTCTTGCCCTATCTCTACTTCCTTTCTTTATATATCCCAGACTGTTTTAGCTTAGTTTCCAAGAAACAGATTCTGAGATGGAGGTTTGTGTACAGGAAGTTGATTTGTAAGTGCTCTTCGGAAAAGCAGTTCTAAGAGAAAAAGAAGAGCAGGGTTTAGCAGAAGGAGCGATTAAACTACCACACAGTGGTCACAAAGGCAACCTGTCTGGAGCTCTGCAGAGGGATAGTCTTTCTGAATTCCCCTACAGAGATGTCAGGGCCTTTGAATTTATCCAGAGACCAGTCATTGGATGCTGACTTCCCAGGGAAGGGATTTGCAAACTTGTGTGAGGCGGCCTCTTTTGGCTGAAGGAAATTTCTGGAGAAGGACTCAGCTGTGAACTGTCAGCAGTGGGTAACTCACAGCAGCCAGGGATGAGTGCTTGCATCTCCAAAGAAAGTTCTAGGCTGCACCCCACACTTTCACTGGATTTCAATTGTGTGAAGAGACCATGTCTTACCTTCCTTTCTATTTGTCTCATTGCCTAGAATTGGGCCTGTTTCAGAGTAACTGACCAATGAATCATTGGTTATATTATTATTCATTAAAAATGTGCGCTCTTTGACTTTTAAGATTGTAATAATAAAATACATCATTGTAATTTTATCACTACTCTTCAGGTTCAAAAAACTTATGTTTCCAATTTACCATGGCACGAACTGAGTACATAAATCTTATTTGCCTGTAATAAGAATATTGATGACAGAACTGTAACATTCATCATGGTCTTTTATGTTCAACTGTAGTGTTCTTTATTTAAAAAATCAAGACAAGGGCTTCTGGAGAGATTAAGAGAAATAAATGGAAAATTATGACTCATAAAATGTTAAAGACAGTTTAGAATTGGAAACCGGGTAAAATTCTTGTTATCCAGTTAAAACATACCCTGCAAAAAAAGGTTGTTAAGATTATGTTCAAAGACAATATACAGAAATTCAAATAGCCTACTACCCTTCCTTACAACAGTGACTGTATGATTACAATATCCTATTAGGAGAAAATCCCATTCTGAAGACTAAATATCTGAAAGAGAAAGGATGAACTTAAAAAAAAAAAAAGGAATAAACAAAAATGTTGATATAGAGCATGAAAGACAAAAAGAAAGCACAGAACAAATGTTCCCAAATAGCTATGCCACTAAATAAGTGAACGCTTTATAACAGGGGAAATCAGAATAAAATTTAAAATGTTATAAGACATGTTACTTTGTAAATTAAGAACAAAATACAGAATAATTTTTGTTTGTTTGTTTGTTTTTTAGACAGAGTCTCACTCTGTCACCCAGGCTCCGCCTCCCAGGTTCAAGTGATTCTCCGGCCTCAGCCTCCTGAGTAGCTGACATTACAGGTGCGTACCACCACGCCCAGCTAATTTTTTGTATTTTTAGTAGAGATGGGTTTTCATCGTGTTAGTCAGGATGGTCTTGATTTCCTGACCTTGTGATCTGTCCGCTTCGGCCTCCCAAATTGCTGGGATTACAGGTGTGAGGCACCGCGCTGGGCCCAGAATAAAAATATGTAAAGATTAATGGTAACAGACAGATAAAAAGCCAGCCTAACTGAAGAAAGAAATATGGAATTAAAAAAAAATCAACACAGAAATGACAGTAGTACAAAAAAAGTAGAATTTAGGATAGGGGACTTGAGGAAATAAGCAATTTTAATTGGAATATAACTGCAGTAAAATTATGTGAAGAAAATTAAAAAATATTGATTATAGGCAAAAGTAAAGCTAAATAAGGCTATGTGAACCTTCCCATAAAAAGAAAAAAATCAAACCAAAAATGGTAAAAATGTCCCTTTAAACAAGCGTTGCCTGCAGAATTACCTTGAATATGTAGATTGAAAATACAGAATATGAACAAGAAAATGTAACAGAACATTAAAAGCACACATTCTGCTAAGATTTTTAGACCTGAAGGATATAGAAATAATTTGAACCATTGCCAGCATGCCCCAAGAATCACCTACATAGGAAAAATAGCTGATGAATTTTGGACATCTGCCTTAGTAGAACACTAACAGATGTTCTCCAATATGTGACAGCCCAATGTAATAGCTATTTCCTGAGAACAGAAACTGAGACTTCACTCAGTCTGTAATGGAGTAGCCATGATAGTAAGAATTGAATTCATTAATTGTTGAACTAGGGTAAGTACTGGTACTAATTACATGATAAATGTTACAAACTTTACAATAATGAAATAATAGCTTGGTTGTTTTTCAAAATAGTGCCTGTTTGTTAAAGCACTTCACAAGAGTACACATTGTATATGAAAAGAGACATCTTTCTCTCACTTCTCTAATGTCGCTGTAGAAAAATAGAGTTGGGAGCAGGAGTATGTTACTTACAACAACGTGGTATTTGGCTAAATCATTAAATATATGCCAGAGTGGAAACCGGCGACCACCTGCCTTCCCCACTTTTGTTGCACGTGTCAAACACTCGGGGCGGGTTTCTGCTGTATCTCTCATGCTCTCTCTCTCTCTCTTTCTACGTGCCTGAGTGAGGTTTCCACCATACAGATTCCATACATGTAAATAGCTGCCAAACTATAGGTGATAGTAAAATGTAGGAATATAATTAGAAGTGATGTTTTGAGAATTTGTTGGCTTTGTTTCAAAGTATTTTATTTTATTGTAACCTAATATAATTCAATGTTAATAATGCCTATGTTTAACAACCAGCTTGTACAAATCTTGAAAAATTAGCAATAGGCTGTAAACTCTAGCTGTTTTTGTTCCCTTGGATTCTCGGCTCCACTCACTCAAATCAGGCAGTCCAGCATTTTCATCCGCTGTTCTCCTTCTAGTGTCACATCCTGGAAACTCTCTCAAGACATTTGTCTGGGAAATCACAGGACACAACCAGCCTATTTCCCTTGTTTCAGAAATCAGTCTACTTCATTTCCTTTTACAACATTTTATTGTATATATTTAAGGTGCGCAACATGATGTTTTGATGTGCATATAGATAGTGATGTGCATATAGATAGTGCATATAGATAGCCAAGCAAATAAACATAGTCATCATCTCACAGTTACCTATTTGTATGTGTGTGTGGCAAGAACACCTAAAATCTACTCTTTTAGCAGAAATCCCAAATTCAATACAATAGTATTAAGTACAGTCCTCGTGTTGCTTGTTGCATTTTGTCCACTATTTTGAAAATCTTTGTTTCATATATAGTATCTAGTTTTTATTTATTTATTTGTTTTTGTGGGAGAGTAAATTGTGTTTCTGAAACAGGTTTTATGTGAAAGCCGTGTGAAATTTTTCATATTAATAAAAATCCATAACGGGATGAATGGGAATTGAGGAAATGGAAACAATAAGAAAGATAATCATGTGGATATTTTTGTTTTAAGGCAGACGTGAGCCTGGAAGGAATGTAGCATCATAGAAATAAGATTTTTTTCCTTTTTTTTTTAAGAAATAGGGCATAATATCTTGACTTAAACCATCATCCTTTTACCTGTTTTATATAGTCCCTAAATATTTATGTTATACCATAGAATATGGTTTCTACAAGTGATCTTCAACTTGTGCTTTAAAGGGATATAAATTCCTTTCTAAATGATATTTAAAAATTATTCAATGAAATTTTACTATGTGTGTTACTATGACCTGGTCAATGATTACATCTTATTTATTTATTTGCTTCTAACTCAATTTCTCCATTAATATGTTTATACAACCAACCTTATTTTCTTTCATCACTTATGCTATTCAAAATATTTATGGAGAAATACTGAAAAATTTTATATGGATATTTAAAACAAGCTGAAAATTTATTACAATTATTTCTCTGTAATCAAAATAGGTATAGTAGTAAAATAACAGTAAATACAAATGTTCAAATTCTGGTGATTTTGAAAATCTAAGACTGAGGGCAATGAGTCATCCACCTGACCATGTAATAATATTCAAATTCATAACCCAAAGAGTTACGAGAAACAAGGAATAGCCAGGAAAAGGTAAAATGGAATTTGTAGAAAAAATAATTTCTGAGAAATTAAGTATATCTCTGTTTAAACGAGAAAAAATATATTTTGAAATATAAAGCTTCTAAAATTGTTGAAGATAGCTGAAAATATGTATTGATACCTCCCGTTCATGGCCAACAATTTAACTAGAATAAAAAATAATAATAGAGACATGTTTTAAAAAAGCTTAAATGGTTTGCATGACCACTTGTAAATTGCATATAATAATAGAAGTAGGTATTTGACCTGGACTAGAAATAGTTCCACCTCTACTCTGATGAGACCATCTTTCTGAAAGAGTTAGAGATTCTGCACAAATTGTTCAGACAACAGGTAGATACAGGGGGAGCAATGAAACAAGTGGGTATAAGCAGCAAAGATGTTTTTATACCTCAGGCTTTCAGGTGAAGGACTAATTGCCCTCTTGTCACATTACAGAATAGATCAACTAGTTATTATGTGTAATGTTGGGCTATTATGATAGCATGGGCAGAGTTTTAGAAATACTATACAGCAGCATTAACCATAGTTGCAGAGTCCAAGAAGAAGCAAATGGAAACATAATGTGTTTTCTAAGCAAATTCCTGTAATTTTTTATTCAATGCCTTCCTATTTCTAGAAACCTGAAAGGAAAGAATACTGCCTCAATTTTAGGAATGAGTGTACTGGCCTTTTGGATTATGAAACTCTCAACAATTTTTGGCATGTCTTCATTCATTCATTGATGTGCCTCGATTTTCTTGCCATACATTCTTCCTGATATTCTTAGTTCCTTTTTATTTACATTCACACTTTGTCTTTATGGTCAAATTACAGAAATCAAAAATCTCTGAAATTTTCTCAACCATCATTTTCTATAGTTTATTTTAACATAGTTATTCCTACACCAATATTTCTGATAGCATAGAGTATAATTTGACTAGACCTCCTTCTAAAAACTGATATAAACACAGAATTATATCAGGTAAATCTTTTTTTTTTCTAGAAAGCATCTTCCTTTATTCTAGCATGGATCTGAAAGTCTCTAAGTAAATGAGACTACCCCTTGAGTGTGTGTGCCTCTGAAATAATTCTGCAAATGTCAGGAATGACATATCTATGCCATCCAAGATCAGATTGGTGATTATGTAGTTTGAGATATTAAAGAAGCTCATTTCCTTGACTAAGACGAATGATTCAGCCAAAAAACTCTTATGTGAATTGGTATTATGGTTTATTTTCCAGGCTGTGTGACTCAGTTTCTCATATTTGAAATACCTGACAAAATATACACTGCTAAAATGAGTAGGCTTAAAAACCTTGGGAGATCCTTAGAGTCTATAGCAGAAAATCCTGTTATGTTCCACTAAAAAGTCCAGACTTCCCAAGAAGTTTCCTTTTATCTGTTTTTAGGATTCCCTGTCAAATAGACCAGATATCCCATACTGAAATCTGTTTATTTGGTGATTTATTAGTGCAATCATCTAAAATATATTCTTCACTGCCTTTACAGGAAAATGTGCCATTTTTCATCAAACTCAAATTACCACTGACTGTAATTTGTGCCATGTCATTTACCAAACAGAATTATAATTACAATTGTAAGTTGCTGATTGTAAGATGTTTCCTGATTTCTGATAGATCAGTTTGTGAAATCTTGGTATTTATTGTGGCAGTAATTGACTTTATTGTCAATGCTGTTGCAATAAATGCCAAGACTTCAGATGGCTTACCTGGATATGCAGATTCTTTAGGTGTCCCGTCACAATTAATTAGCCTGTGATATCAGAATGAAGTATCCAAGAGGATGGATGGTACTTAGTATAAGACACCACAACCATGAGATTCTCTTTTAAATAAAAGTTTATACATTTGGCATAGTGTGTTTGACAAACTTGTGCATTCAGTCAGACTTAGGAGCACGATGTAAATAAAATGAGTTTCAAGAGATATTATGTAATTTGTAAGGACCACTGAGAAATAACATGTTTCAGCACTATGTTTAGGGCTGGTAAGCTATCAAGTCATTAAGTAACTGTTCTCAAGCCCCTATGACTGGAAGTAGAAAAACTCGAAAGCAAGTATCAGTCCATGATAGGGTATTATCAAGAAAAGATAATTTGGATGTAAAGTAAAAATCTTTTTGCAAGAAAGATTTCAAATTAAACTATAAAATAAATTAAAATTGTTTAATTATAAGGAATAATTGAGTTAATTAAAATACATGAAATGCACAAAAGATCTCAAGACAGAATGCTGTGTGTAAGAAAATACTTGTTCATTCTTATATAATTATAGAGAATGTACATACAAGGTCTAACAACAATGCAATACCATGGATAATGATAACAAAATAAAGCTGTTGTTTGTATTGTTTGGCACTTGGTTTAAGTCAATGTATTCACCTCCAAGAGAGTGAAAGTTATTGACCTGAAACTCTGGTTGGATTGTGTTCAGCTAGGCATAATGAAAAAGATTCTGTGTTAAAGAAAAATATAATCACAATCTAAGAATATTAATGATTCATAAAATATAAGCAATCATAAAAAATAATAAGTTGTAGCATTGTCATCTCGTAGTCATAATCTCTTCCTGTACATTTTTCTTCTTAATTTTCAGATTTGTTATTAACTAACAAGTAATAATTATGCATATTTGTATATTTGTGGGATATAATATGATGTTTTGATCTATGTATATGTTGTAGAAAAATCGAACCAAGCTAAAAATATATATTCACCTTAAACTCAGACTTAAAGCCTAAATTCCTTTTGTAGGAATTGTAAACTGAGCCAATGCTGAACCCTGTGTGCAAATCCCTCCAGTCCTACCTTTCAGTGTGGTGAGTCATGCGACTCTGCTGCAGATTCATCCTCACACACATAGGCCATTTGAGAAATGAGAGCCCAAATGTTTAGTTTCAGTGTAGATGTGAGTACACAGCAGAACGTGAAAGTGTGATGGATGTTTCAGCCAACAGTTTCACAAAGGGGCATAAACTGCTTAATTAAAAACTGTCCAAAGTCACAGTTCAGATTATTCTCCAATAGAAACAGAGTCTAGACATAGAATCATGTCATCTGCAAACAGCAAGAGTTTGATTTCATCTCGTGCCTTCTGTTTCTTTCTCTTGCTGATTGATCTGGCAAGGATTTCCAACACTGTGTTGAGTAAGAGTGGTCAGAGAGGGCATCCTTGTCTTGTGCAGATTTTTGAAGGAGATGCTTCCAGCTTTTGCCTATTCAGTATAATGTTGGCTGTTGGTTTGTCATAGATGGCTCCTATTATTTTTAGGTATGTTCCTTCAGTAACTAGTTTATTGACAGCTTTTAACATGAAGGGATGTTGAGGGATGTAAAGGCTTTTATCAAAAGACTTTTCTGCACCCATTGAGATAACCATACGATTTCTGTCTTTAGTTCTGTTTGTGTGATGAATCACATTAATTGATTGACATATGTTAAACCAACCTTGCATCCCAGGGATAAATCCTACTTGACGGTGGTAGATTAGGTTTTTGATGTGCCACTAAATTTGATTTGTAGTATTTTGTTGAGAAAGTTTGTATCAACGTTTGTCAAAAATAATGGCCTGAAGTTTTCTTTTGTAAGTGTGGTGTCTGTCAGGTTTTGGTATCAGAATGATGCTGGCCTCAGAGAATGATTTGGGGAGGAGTTCCTGCACCTCAATTTTCTGGAATAATTTTAGTAGGAATGGTACCAGCCTTTCTTTTTATGTATGGTAGGATTCAGCTGTGGATCTGTCTGACCTTGAGCTTTTGTTTGTTGATAGGTTATTTATTACTGATTCAAATTCAGAAAGAATTACTGCTTTTTTCCAGGGAATCTGAAAGCTCCTTCAGCTTAACCAAAGTTTCAGGATACAAACACAATATACAAAAAAATCACTAGCATTTCTATATGCTGACAACAGGCAATCAGAGAACCAAATCAGGAATGCAATCCCATTCACAACTGCCATCAAAAGAATAAAATATGTAGGAATGCGGCTAACCAGTCAAGTGAAAGATTTCTACAATGTTAATCACAAAACACCGTTCAGAGAAATCAGAGATGACACAAATGAATGGAAAAGCATTCCATGCTAGTGGATTGAAAGAATTAATGTCATTAAAATGGCCATATGGCCCAAAGCAAATTACAAACTCAGTGCTATTCCTATCAAACTACCAATGATATTTTCACGTAATTCAATAAAACTATTTTAAAATTCACATGGAACCAAAAAAGAGCCGAAATAGCCAAGACCATCCTAAGCAAAAAGAATTAAGCTGGAGGCATCATGCTACCCAACTTCAAACTATCCTACAGGGCTACAGTATCCAAAACAGCATGGTGCTGGTACAAAAACAGACATGTAGCGCAATAGAACACAATACAGAACCCAGAAAAAAGGCCACACATTTACAACCATCTGATTTTCGACAAAGTTGATAAAAACAAGCAACGGTTGAAGGACTCCCTATTAACTAAATGGTGTTGGGGTAACTGGCTAGACATATGCAGAAGCCTGAAAATGAACCCCTTCCTTACACCCTACACAAACATCAACTCAAGTTGGACTAAAGACTTAAATATAAAACCCAAAACTATAAAATCCCTGGAAGACAACCTAGACAATATCATTCTGGACATAGGAACTGGCAAAGATTTCATGCCGAAGATGCCAAAAGCAACTGCAACATAAACAAAAATTGACAAATGAAATCTAATCAAGTTTAAGAGCTTCTGTACAGTAACATAAACTATCAACAGAGTAAACAGACAACCTATAGAATGGGAGAAAATTTTCGCAAACTATGCATCCAACAAAGGTTTAATATCCAGTGTCTATAAGAAACTTAAGCAAATTTACAAAAAAAAAAACCAACCTCATTAAAAAGTGGGCAAAGGACATGAATAGACACTTCTCAACAGAAGACATACATTCAGCCAACAATCATATGAAAAAAGCTCAGTATCATTGATCATTAGAGAAATACAAATCAAAACCACAATGAGATTCTATCTCAAACCACTCAGAATGGTTATTACTAAAAAGTCAAAAAATTGCAGATACTGGTGAGGTTGTGGAGAAAAGGGAACACTTACACACTACTGATGGAAGTGTAAATTAATTCAACCATTGTGGAAAGCAGTGTGGCAGTCACTCAAAGAACTAAAAACAGAATTACCATTTTAACAGGAATCTTATTGCTGTGTTTATACCCAAAAAAAATATAAGTCCTTCTGCCATAAAGACACATGCATGAATATGTTCATTGAAACACTATTCACAATAGCGAAAGCATGGAATCAATCTAAAAGCTTATCAATGGTAGACTGGATAAAGCAAATATGGTACATATACACCATGGAATACTATGCAGCCGTAAAAAGAATGAGATCACGTATTTTGCAGGAACATGAATGAAGCTGGAGGCCATCATCCTTAGCAAATTAATGCAGGAACAGAAAGCCAAATACCATATGTTCTCACATATAAGTGGGAGCTAAATGTTGAGAACACTTGGACACAAAGTGGGGAACAATAGACACTGGGGCCTACTTGAGTGTAAAGAGTGGGAGTAGGGAGAGGATCAGAAAAAGATAACTACTGGGTACTAGGCTTAGTAGCTGAGTGAAGAAAGAATCTGTACAACAAACCCCAGTGACATCAGTTTACCTGTGTAACAAACTGCACGTGTATCCCTGCAGCTAAAATAAGTTAATAAAAAGAGACAGTCAATATGATTCTTTTAATTTTCTCCATGTTTGTTACTGTTACAAACTTGATTGGCAGGATTTTAACCACTTATATGGGGTTATCTCCCCAGCAGATAAGCGCCATAAAATGTATGCATAGGCTAACCTAATAAACAAAAAAAAAATGGTCTGAAAATAAATAAGAATTTGCATTGATCCCTTTACCATTATGTAATGCCCTTCTTTGTCTTTTTTTTTTTTTATCTTTTTTGGTTTAAAATCTGTTTTGTCAGGGACTAGGATTGTAAACCCTGCTTTTTTTTGCTTTCCATTTGCTTGGAAAATATTCCTCCATTCTTTTATTTTAAGCCTATGTGTGTCTTTGCATGTAAGATGGAAAGTAATGTATAGATTAAATGCAATCCCCATCAAGCTACCATTGACTTTCTTCACAGAATTAGAAAAAAACTATTTTAAATTTCATATGGAAATACGTATATAAATATATACATAAAAATAATATAGCTGAGACAATCCTAAGCAAAAAGAACAAAGCTGGAGACATCACGCTACCTGACTTCAAACTATGCTACAAGCCTACAGTAACCAAAACCACATGGTACTGGTATCAAAACAGAAGTATAGATCAAAGGAACAGAACACAGGCCTCAAAAATAATGACACGCATCTACAACCATCCGATCTTTGATAAGCCTGACAAAAACAAGCAATGGGGAAAGGATTCTCCATTTAATAAATGGTGTTGGGAAAACTGGCTAGCCACATGCAGAAAACTGAAACTGGACCCTTTCCTTACACCTTATACAAAAATTAACTCAAGATGGATTAAAGTCTTAAACACAAGACCTAAAACCATAAAAACCCTAGAAGAAAACCTAGGCAATTCCACTCAGAACATAGGAATGGGCAAAGCCTTGGTGACTAAAACACCAAAAGCAATGGCAACAAAAGCCAAAATTGACAAATAGTATCTAATTAAACTAATGAGCTTCTGCACAGCAAAATAAGCTATCATCAGCATGAACAGGCTACCTACAGAATGGGATAAAATTTTTGCAATCTATCCATCTGACAAAGGGCTAATATCCAGAAGCCACAAGGAACTTAAACAAATTTACAGGAAGAAAAAAAAAACCCCAACAAAAAGTGGGTGAAGGATATGAACAGACACTTCTCAAAAGAAAACATTTATGTGGCCAACAAACACATGTGAAAAAGCTCATCATCACTGGCCATTAGAGAAATGCAAATCAAAACCACAATGAGATACCATCTCACACCAGTTAGAATGGCAATCATTAAAAAGTCAGGAAACAACAGATGGTGGAGAGAATGTGGAGAAATAGGAATGCTTTTACACTATTGGTGGTAGTATAAATTAGTTCAACCATTGTGGAGGACAGTGTGGCAATTCCTCAAGGATCTAAAACCAGAAATGCCATTTGACCCAGCAATCCCATTCCTGGGTAGATATCCAAAGGGTTATAAATAATTCTACTATAAAGACACATGCACACGTATGTTTATATTGTGGCACTGTTCACAATAGCAAAGACTTGAAACCAACCCAAATGCCCACCAATTAAAGACTGGTTAAAGAAAATGTGGCACTTATATACCATAGAATACTATGCAGCCATAAAAAAGGATGAGTTTATGCCCTTTGCAGGGACATGGATGAAGCTGGAAACCATCATTCTCAGCAAACTAACACAGGAACAGAAAACCAGGCACCACACGTTCTCACTCATAAGTGGGAGTTGAACAATGAGAACACATGGACGCAGGGAGGGGAACATCACACACCAGGGGGTGGAGGCCTATGGGAAGCATAGCATTAGGAGAAATACCTAATGTAGATGATGGGTTGATGGGTGCAGCAAACCACCATGGCACATGTGTACCTATGTAACAAACCTGCACGTTCTGCACATGTATCCCATAACTTTAAGTAGGATTATAATAAAGAAAAGAATTTGCAAACGCAGCCTCAGAGAAATTGGCAGACACAGGGTTTTTTTTGCATTCATCACCTGTAGGTCAGATTGAACAAAAATAAACACTTGTAAACATACCAAAGGTGAGAGTGTAGGTAACTTGTTATGAATGTGAAGAATAACTAACATATTTGAATGCCATTTGGAATTGAAGCCACTGAAAATGTTCTTCAGGATTAAGGGCCATATTTGTTCATGACCTTTATCCCAGAGTTCAAAAGCAATTTAAAATCACTTTATTGAACAGAGCTGAGATGCAGATTCCACAGACTGAGACAAATGATTGATCACTGTCTGCCATTGAAATAAATGGGAAGATACAGTGTCAAAATGTTTTGCTTTTCAACTTAATATTCTTAAGTTTAAAGAAAAACACATCGTGAGACAATCAGGATCAAGGGAGACTCTTATCAAAAATGCACAAGTCAATGAAACTGAAAATGGTTCATGAAATTTTATTCTTCCTAGTGTCTAATATTAGCAGAAACAGTAAGGACTGTAGAAAACCCAGTGTGTTAATTGATTTTGTCAGCCACTTTCTAAAACCCTTCTTGAAAACTAAAAATAAGAAAGAGCTTCTCAGTTTTAAATACTGGTAGTACAGTGCAGGAATCAGATTTTATCTTATACTTATCTCTACTTGAATTTCTAGAATTCAGAGCCCCTGTTCCACCGTGAAATACCGATCACCAATTAACTATTACACTAAGTAATCTATGTTGGAAAAAAATATTTGCTTTCAGGTCTCTACCTGAAAATATCCATGTTCTTTGTAGGAAGGTAATATATTCTTTATATGGGGTCATGTATGGATTCCTTTCAAGGTAAAGTTTGTAAACAAATCACACATTTCTTCCAGATTCAATCCAGCTTATGATGTTCCTATTATCACAGAGTTTAGATGCAGTATACATAAGTAATTAACTTATACAATTTGTTAGGTAAAGAATGTGCCATTTAGTCACTTGAGGCAATCTCCTTTGTGCTATTGAGCATAAGGACAAAGTCCTAACAAAAAATGCTAACTTGAGCCACAGAAAATCAGCATGCAACAGAAGACTTGACAGATTATTCTCATTCTAGATAATATTCAAAGTTATAGCTATGTTATAAATTACACAAGGTGACAAGTTTATTATATTATATATTATAAATGTAACTTATTGTGTAAGTTTAACTTATAGCTAATATACTAATTGTGTAACTTATAATGTATAAGTAATAACTACTTTGTAAGTTATTGCTGTAACTGTGCATAATAAAAAATCTTATACATATATATGAAAAACACATCCAGACCCTTTAGTCTTGAAGACTTGAAGACAAGAAATTGTCAGCAATTTCTTGCCAAGTGGGTCAAATTTAAATATACTGGAGATGGTGGATCATAGAGTTAGAAAAAGAAAAAAAAACTAGTAAAACATAGTGATTTTCTGTTTGACTATTTTTCTTTGAGATTATTAGCTCCATGTTGGCATATTCTTTTTTTTCTGATAAAATGGGAATGTTCTGTATTATTTCTCTGTGTTGTTTCTGTTGCCATTATAAACATATTTTGTTTAATGCCTACTTGCTTCTCATATTTGTCTCAGTGCTATGTCTTCTCGGATACAGAAGCCTTTAGTCAAGTGGTTTACCTTGACAGGCACAAAATACAGTGTAGTATTACAATAACTATGATTCACCAAGTTGAAGTTGCCAAGTGACGATTTACATATATTATACCACAGAACTAATTAGTAGTCTGAATGTTAGCCTGCTCAACCTGTCATTAGCAGTTTCATTCTGCCCTGCAGTTTCATTCTGCCCTGCAGTTTCCCAAATTCTTAATGAGTTTCCTAAGACCTCACTAAGTAGAACTTCACTAAATCTGTCCATCTTCCCTTCTGAAGATAGCCACTAATCGAGAAAAGCATGCATTGCCTTATATTAATCTATTTAATTTTGCAGGTGAATGAATTAGAAATTGCTACTAGAAAAATAGCAAGCAAAAATTCAAAATAAATTGTAAATTTTTTAGTTATAATTTTTTGGTTGACTTAGGTCATTTCTACTTAAACAATACGAATAAATTGCTGGATATATGCCCACACAATAGCTTTATTTAAAAAAGCCAAGCTTTCCTTACTATCCTCACTAGTACATCTCTTTGGGAATCAGCTTATTTTTGTTACTGAATAATCTAGTTATTCAACAGACCTAGACCCTTTGAAATATTAGATTACCACCCTGGACAGGTAGAAAATCCGAGTTGGTGCATAAGCATTGTGTAAATAAAATTGCTATCTCTACTAGTGGATTTATGAGAAAGTGACTCAATTTTATTGACAAAATGCATGCTTTAAATATGATCTCTTCCAACATGCTATTGAGATTGACAATTTCTCAAACAATAATTTCTTCTGATATGCCTTCTAGGTAGTTATTAAGCTATTTATAATCAGGTAAGTATAAAATGGAACACAGAAACTTTTCCTGCCTAAATTAATCTTTAATATGAAGATAAAATGCAATACATGATTTTGCTTGCCAACTCTCTTCATCCATTTTTGCTAAAATCATATTGTATAACAAAACACATCCAGAGTGTTTTATTTTCTCTTTCACTTGTCTTTAGGTTTGATGGAGAAGCTCTCTTTGAGGCCTTGGGCCAAGCAGCCTTGGCTTTAGTCTTTGTGTTGTGTTCACATCTGCTCCACTTGTCTCCGCACTATCTTTGAACAGCAGCTGGTTGTGTACACTATTTTCACGGGGGTTCACAGAAGTGCAATAGAATAGACAGAAATGTGAGTAGCTTCTTGAGGACTTGGCTCAGAACTATGAGATTGTAACTGCTTTACCAATTCCATTGATCAAACAAATCTTAATACTGAACCAAAAATAAATATAATCTGCCCAATATCTTATCCTATAAGATAATATGCTAGGAAGGAGTACATAAAGAATAACGTGATCTGCCATAGCAAATCTACATATAGAAAACTGAGCTTATTACCCTTTCTTGTACTTGCAAATGACTCTGGATTGTGAAAAATGTAACCAAAAAATCTTGCACAACTTCACATATTTTATAAAATCTAGGGACATATCTTTGATAGAAAAAAGAGAAATAACAAGCATTGCAATAGAACCTCAGGCTCCCATGAGACAAAGAGAACCATGATTTAGAATCAAGAATAAGTGATTTTTTAAAATTCCCCATTATCCAAAGAACTGTGAAATACTAGACACATTCCACTGCAGATAGCATGACTCTTTAACAAATTTGACACTGAAAGAAGTAGTCACAAAAATTGAAAAGGGGCATGTGTTATAATCAATCAAAGAAATACTTGTTATAATCAATCCTTTATTTCTTCGTATATCAAAAGATGCATATTCAAAGCAATACAAGCTGTGGGAAAGTATTCGAATATTATGTGAGACATCTGCAAAGACTAACCCACGGTCCCTGTAGACAATAAAATAGCAAGTAAGATAACTACTGTGCTTAAGATGCAAGTAATATTACACAGAATGAATATTGTGATTAGTTAGATCTTGTATCTCCTCTGGAGAAGGATTGAAATGTGTTTTTCATTTGATTGCTTGTTTCCTTGTTGTCGTTGTTAAATGAGTAGTTACATTAGGTGAAGACACAATACTGTTATATTTTAGAAGTTTAAATATGGGATGGATTTATAAAGATTGACTAAAGGGTAGACCAGGGCATATAATAATTATTGGGTCACTCAACTGCAGTTCAACTCCTTTTCTTCTTGCAGTCTAAGTCACCGTTTGTTTTGTGCATGTGACCTGGCTTCCACAAGCAGGTGCATTGTAAGAAGATTCGGAACACTAAAGTGAGGCTGAGACAGTGTTTAGTTTTTCCGGAGTGTTGGTAACAGAGAGGTGTGCTTTCTAATTTTGTGGGTGTCTGTGGGCAAATCTAATTTTCGGTGTGTGTGAAAGGTAGTGGAAGTATTGTGGTCCTTAAGTCAGCTACTTTTTTTCTCTCCGAATTGTAACCAAGACAGTGTCATTCTGAGTCAGCAATTAGAATTCCTGGTTCTCCAGTCTCACAATTATAGAAGATCCAGTACTTCCCTCTGGGAACTAATTCTCTGTGTTTTTCTGACAATCATTCTTAGAACCTAAACCTACAGTAAGCTACTCTTTAATTCACTATATTTTTCATAAATAAATTATCTTTGTATATTTGTTATTTTTATATAGATGTATTTTTCCTCAAAGTTTAAGATCATTTTTATAAACTAGGAGGGTCAATCTATGTATGCTTAAAATATACATAGTGACAAGTCATTGCTGTGATAGAAAGCACAAGTATTTTTTTCATTTTGTCATTTATCTCTCTACTTTGACTTCTTAAGTAGTTTATCCTGTAGATTTGCTTTATTTGGTTTTGTTTTAAGTCACAGATTTATTGATGACTTCTAGATGTTGAGTCATGGTTAAAAAGTGGTGGGGCGTAAGGATGGCAAGCAATGTGCTGGTGATGGAAGGGCAGACCTGACTCTCCCGGCTAGTGATTGTTCCTGGATTCTTCCAACAGCTGCGAGTCCCTTAGGTGTGCTGCTGCTCTAGTACAAATCTTTCTTCTCTCTCCCACCACCATGGCCTTGGATGCTGTGCATGACTGTGAGTATCAGAACCAGAACCAGACACTGAAGAAGGTTCAGTTGGGAGATGGCACTTCAGAATGATTCACTTGGTTATTTGTTTTTTTGGGGCATCATTTGGGAAACTGTAAATGAACAGCAGAACTGGATTTCTTTTTCAAAAGCATGTATTACCAGAAAAGATGGTGGATTGGGAATGTGTGTGTGTATGTGTATATATAAAAACAAATATACATATACACATATTTGCTAAAGAAACATTTATCCATTAATTCCCATGTTTTTCATTGTTTTATCCTCTGTGGAGATACGTTTCACCTTAGAAACAATGAAATGATAAATTGATCTATTTAGACTTTTCTATTTTACATCAGTTTGGTAAATTTATATTTTAGGTCAGATTTTTATATGCATTTACATAGACTTGTGCAAACTTGAAATTTGTTATTTTTTAAAAACTTTCCATGCCCTTTGATTGTTATTTCTCACTTGCTATTTCTTATTTTGCGTGTTTGTGTTTTCTTCTTGTGTCTCCAGATTAAATCATTGAGAAATATATCCCTTTTACTGCCTTTCCCCTAGGGGCAAGCTTTTTTATTTACATACACGGTTTACTGATTTTATGCTTTGTAACTCATTAATTACTTTTTTTATCTTTACTTCTTTTTTTACTACTGGCTTCTGACAGCTTTCTTAAACATTGCCTTGCTTCAGATACATAATTCATTTATTTTCATTAAAAAGTATTTAAAGCTATTAATCTATAAATCTATATGCACATACACAATGGCATAAATGTTCCAAGCCATTTATTTCTAAGCATTGCTTTAGCTCTACCCATAGATTCTAATGAGAAATGTTTTCATTATTATTATTTTTTAAACTATGTGACTTGATTTTATTTTTCTAGGGGTCTGAGTTTTCTGGTTTTTGTTTGTTTGTTTCACACGAAAGTTTTAAAATAAATTTTAAAATAAAATGACCTCTTTCTTCTAAATGTATGTTTTGAGTTTTATTTTTATTTTATTGATATAACATTGCAGAAGGCATTTCTAGTTTGGAGGAACATTTGAATTTTTTTGGGGGGGGGAAATATATAATTCATTCTCATGAACCATCCTTCATGGCACTTGGAAAGATATATTTTGTTTTATTTTACATTTTAAATTTATTATTATTTGAAAACAATTGAGAATATATAACACAAGTGTAACACAAAATTAGAAACACAGAAATATACTTTAATTGGTTAATATAATACCTATAAAATTACTACCCAATACAATGAATAAAACATTGTCAAACAGGCTTTCTATCAGTCCATGATTATCTCTTAAATTTTTCTAGACATTTTATTTGAAAGAAAATAGTAGAAATATATTGAAATATATAAATTAATATTTCTCTATACTTAGAATTTTATGTGCAGTCAGATGATGCAAAGTTTTGAGTCAATTCTTTTGAGCACTGGCTTAATTTAAGCTTACCAATTATAATTCAGAGTTAAACCAGGATTACCAACTATTTAAGATGCAGCCTACCAGGGTCCAAACATCAAGCTCAGTTACCACAGATCCATGTTTGGTGGGCCCTAGATTTCAACTTTAATCCTTTCTAGTCAAACATTTCAGCTTATAGAGCCTCAGTAATGGAGTTCTTGATACACTTGCACGAACTCTCAAATAAGAGTAGAAAACCTATTTCACAGTAAGTGAAATTGTGGGCTGGGTTTATGGAAATGGCATTCACTATTTGAAAAATTCCCAGACAAATGAAAATTAAACAATATGCTCCTAAACAACCAATGTGTCAAAGAAGAAATTAAAAGCACAATTTAAAAAATAACCTGAGACAAGAGAAAATGGCCACACAACATATGAAAATGTATGGGATGTAGCAAAAGCAGTTCAAAGAGGGAAGTTTATAACAATAAATGCTTACGTCAAAAAAGAGAACGATAAATAAACAACTTTATATTTTTCCTCAAGAAAATAGGAAAAAAGAAAACAATATTAAGCCCAAAGTTAGTTAAATGAAAGAAATAACAAAGATCAGAACAGAAATAAATGAAGTAGACACTAGAGAAACAATAGAAAAAATTAAAAAAACTAAGAATTTTTTAAAAGATAAAATTAACAAACATTTAGCTAGACTAAGAAAAAGATGGTGCAGGCTCAAATAAATAAAATCAGAATTGAAAGAGAAGACATTACAGCTGATATCGAAGAAATACAAAGAAGCATAAGAGACTATTATGATTAATTATATATTAACAAATAGGATACACTAGAATATATAAATTACTATACACATACAATCTGACTGAATCATGAAAAATGGAGAATATGAACAGACCAGTAATGAGCAAGAAGATTGAATCAATAATAAAACGTCCCCCATCAAACAAAAGTTCAGGTTACTGATAGCTTCAGTGCTGCTTCCAAACATTTAAAGAACTGATTCTTCTCAAACTGTCTCAGAAAACTGAAAAGAGGAAATACTTCCAAACTCCCACATCACCCTGATACCAAAGCCACACAACGACACTACAAGAAAGGAAAATTACAGGCTAATAACTCTGATGAACATAGATGCAAAAATCCTCAACAAAATACTAGTGAACTGAATTCAACAGCACATTAAAAGAATCATCAAACATTATCTAGTGTGATTTATTTCCAAGATGCAAGGGGAGTATAACATATGCAAACCAAAAAATGTGCTATACCACATCAATGGAGTGAAGGACAATCAATACCACGATTATCTCAATAGATGCAGAAAAAGCATTTGACAACATTCAACATTATTTCATGATAAAAACTTTCAACACATCAGGTATAGAAGGAATATAGATATAGAAGGAATATCAATAAAATAAAGGATATAAATGACAAACCCACATAATATGCAATGGAGAAAAGTTGAAAGCTTTTTCCTTAAGATCAGGAACAAGAAAAGGATGCCCACTCTCATCAATTCTATTCAATGTAGTACTGAAAGTCCTAGCCAGAGCAATAAGGCAAGAGAACAAAATAATTTAAATTGTTCTTGTTTGCAGATGATATGATCTTTTATATATATATATATATATATATATATATATATAATTATTCACCAAAAACTTTTAGAACTAATAAGCAAATTTAGTAAAGTTTCTGGATACCAAGACAACTTACAAAAATTAGTAGGGTTTCTATTTACTAACAATGAACTAAGCCAAAAAGAAATCAATAAATAATCCCACTGTCAATAGCTATGAAAATTAAAATATTTAGAAATAAATTTAACAAAAGAGGAACAAAACCCATACACTGAAAACCATAAAACATGGGTAAAAATGAAGACATAAATTTTAAAATATTCATGTTCATGGACTGAATGTATTAATATTGGTAAAGTGTCCATACTACTCAAAGAAATCTATAGGTTCAATGCAAGTCCTATCAAAATTCCAATGACTTTTTTTTCACAAAAACAGAAAAAAAAATATGAAATTTGCATGCAACCACTAAATGTCCCAAATGGAACAAGCAATCATGAGAAAAAAAAAGCTGCAGGCATCAAACTATTGACTTCAAAGTATACTTAAGCTATAGTAATTAAAATATTTTTCTGTCTCAGATAAAAAGAGACACATAGATTAATAGAATGGAATTGAGAGCCTAGATATAAATTCACACACTTATAGTCAATTGATTTTGTCAAATATGCCAATGACACATGATGGGGAAAGGCCAATCTTCAATAAATAGTGTTGAGATAATTGGATATCCACAGACAGAAGAATAAAATTAGGTCCTAATCTTTTACCATCTATAAAAATCAACTCAAAATGTATTAAACACTTAAACATAAGTTCTGAAACTGTAAACTTACTAAAAGAAAACAGAAAAAAAACCTTCATAACGCTGGTCTGGGCAACAATTTTTTGGATATGTCCCCAAAAGCACACACAACAAAAGCAAAAACAAACAAATGGGATTATGTCAAATCAAAAAAAAAAAAAAAAAAAAGCTTCTGAGCAGCCAATGAAACAATCGACAGCGTGAAAAGACAACCTATAGAATGTAAGAATAATATTTGCAAACCAAACATCTCATAAAGGATTAATATCAAAAATATGTAGGTAACTCAACTCAATACGACAATACCAACCCCATTAAAAAAAGAGCAAAGGACCTTAATAGACTTTTCTCAAAAAAAGACATAAAAATGGCCAGCAGACATGAGAGAAATGTTCAAAATCACTAATCATCAGAGAAATGCAAATTAAAACCACAATAAAATATCACCTCAAACCTGTTAGAATGTCTATTATTAAAAACATGAAAGTACAATAAAATACTTGATGAGGATACGGAGGAAATAGGACCCTTATGCACTGCTGGTGGGATTCTAAATTAATACAGGCATTGTGCAAAATAGAATGGAGGCTCCTCATATAACAGAAGTAGAAATATTGTATGATCCAGCAAATTCACTACTGGGTACACATACAAAGGAAATGAAATCAGTGTGTTGAAGAGATAGTTGCGCTCCCATGTTCATTGTAGTATTATTCACAGTAGCCAAGATGGGTAATCAACCTAAGTACCTATTAACAAATGAATGGATAAATAAAATGTAACATATATACACAATGGAATACTATTCAGCCATAAAAATGTCATCCTGCCATTTGTGACATCATGGGTAAATCTGGTAGGTATTAAATAAAATAAGCCATGAAAAGAAAGACAAATATTGCAGAATCTTACTTACATGTGAAATCCAAAAAATGTGAGCTCATAGAGGTAGAGAGCAGAATGGTGTTTACCAGGGGCTCAGAGGTGGGAGGCACAATCGGAAACATATTAGTCAAAGGATACACAATTTCAGTTACAGGAGGAATAAGTTTATGAGATCTATTTTACAACATGGTGAATATACTTAATAACAATATGTTATATTCTTGGTAATTGTTGAGAGCAGATTTTAAGTGTTCCCAACATCAAAGTACGATAAGTATGTGTGAATTGATGCATGTTTATTAGCTCAATTTAGCAATTCTACAATCTAAACATATTTCAAAACATTATTTTGTATACAATAAATATTGGGGTTGGCACAAAAGTAATTGCGGTTTTTGCCTTTACTTCCAACGGCAGAAACCGCAATTACTCTTGTGTCAACCTAATATATACACTATTTTTCAATTTAAAAAAGACATAAAACCATAGTGGTGAAACATTGGACAATTTGTGCAAAAACAGATATATAGACCATGAAAGAACATATCTTCTTTAGTTTTGATCCAGCTTTTAGAAATAAACTTTGCTTTGTGATAGAAAAGTAACTCTTGGAAGAACTCAATAAATGAATTAATTCAATTCTTAAACCCAACACAAAATCTCTGCAGGTGGAGGCTGCGAACTAAATGCGCTCATCACAGCTGATTGAAAAATTCTTTCTTCCATAGATATCATGGCTGCCGCAATTCTTCCGTTGAAATGTCAATGCATGGATCTACTTCACAGAAATTCAGAGAGAAGCTCCTGCAAGATTCCAGGGGGGCAGTCTCTCTAAGGGGAACTCAGAAAAGGGAGGTTATTGAGAAAATGACAACTTCCCGTGGCAACGGTTAGTCTTGGAGCTCAACTGGTACACTCATACTCTCCCTCCTCCACTTTTCATTTTAAGTCTCCCTTTTTCATTGCCATTCTCTTAGCTGAAGTTGGTCTTGGAAGTGCAATTTATACTCATCAGTTCAGTGTTTGGCTACTGCAACTAGATTCTCTGGAGAACACAGCTATCCCAAAAGATGCAAGTCTTAACAGCACACTAAGCCCTCTCTTCTCCTTCCTCTGCTCTCCTATTCTTTTTGCATAATGTTGCTATCATTTCTTTTTTTGGTTCTTGTTTATCTTTATGGAATAACTAAATTTACTATTATCGATTAATTAATCATTTGTTTAACTCTACATGCATCATTTCATTCTTGAGCATTACAACTGTTTTTATGGGACTGCTTCATTAAAGAATGTTTTCAGATAATCTTTTCATAAACCTTCTAAATCATCATATGAGTAAGAAATTCTTTACCATTTTCTTTTATTTAAATATTATAATAATTGCTAAAAAATGATTGATTTGATTTTCATTAATACTTTGAAAGTAGATTTCATTGTTCCCTCATATCCAGTGGAAAATCTGTTATTCATCTCTCTTCTTTGTGTATTGATTTTTATTCCTAAGTCTTGAATTTTCTCATTCTCATTATCACAAATGTTCTTAAATTTTTATCATATTTCTAGATGTTTCCTGCTCTTCTGTTTGGCATTCAGTCTCTCATCTTTTATCATTTCCAGTTAGTTTCTTTTATAGGTTTCATAACCTTGTTAAAGTTTCCAATATTATCTTTTTAATTTACAACTCTATGAGGATATTTTTTATCTTCATGATAAATCATTAGTTTCTTTTTCTGCTTCATCTGTTTGTTTCTTCTTTTCTATAGCAGCTATTTCCCTATGTCTTTTTTTTTCTATCTCTTTATAGTGCTTACTCCCTAATAGCATCAGCTATGAGGCTAACATTTTGAGATTAGATGGGTGACTCGTGTACTTTCAGATGGAGATGGCAGGTCTTGGATTCATACAGTATCCTGTTTATCCCTAGCAATGAGGCATCATTGTCCCTTTGGAAATATTTTTGTTTTCTTTTCCTTTGGGTACTACTATAAGAATCCCTTCTTAACTCACTTTCACTCTGAAGTGAAGGAAAAATTGTCATGAAAAGGTTAAGAAAAAGATTCTCAGGGGACAGAAGCTCACTTACTCTTGCTTTATCTGCTCTGAGCCTGGAGTCTTCTTCTCTGACTAGAGATGAAGAAAGGTCAGAAAATGACCTGCAAAGACCAAGATATGTAAGAGAGAGAGAAAAAAAAAAAGAGAAAACAAACTAATTATGAGAAAAAATCTTCCACAACCAATCCTTTTCCAGAATTAAGTCTTCTAATCAAAATGATAATATCTGCCGTGTCTGGAGTCTCTCATAGGTTGAGGTTTATTCCTCAGATATCTAAAGCTCTCTTTCCCATCTGAAGTATCTTAAGAGTTGTAATTCTGGAAAGAGCTGAATATTGTCAAGACTATTATTTTAAATGTTTATTACTTTAAATTCCTCAATTTATATAACCGAGTTGATATTAGTTTCTTCTGTTCTGATGACAGTAGCATCACTGTTTCATCTGTGGGGATAAATAAATAAATATTTTAACAACAGGAATGAGCAATCATCTCTGCACAATTCTTCCATCAAAGAATACTGAAATTAAAAGCTGACCACAAGAGAATACATTATTTCCTTTAATTCAAAGCCAGTTGATACCCTATTCTACGTCCCTTTTGCAAAGCACACGTGAGATTTATGGCATTTATTTTCCCCAGTGCACAGAATACTAATTAGCTTACTATTGAATCTACATATTTGTTTCAGTGGATTCACAATGTCAGCTTATTAGATAAAATGATTATTACTATATATAAATACATATGTATTAATTATTTTGAGTAAAAATTAATTTAAATTAGTAAATCAAAACAAGTAAAAGCCACAATTTTTGAATTATGAAATAGCCAATTTAATCTTTACTGGACCTACAAATCTTTACTGGACCTACAAATTAATTCTGATGCATTTTTGTTCCTTAAATAATACTGGTTATATTGTCTTTCTAGTGATCATTACAGCGAATAGTTCCTGATGACTACAGTTCTAAAATCAGAGTGGAGTAAGACATGTATAATTAGAGTAAAAGTCAATGTAGCATCCCTTTCTTCCCTTTTTTTTGAGATGTGTTATTATGAATATCCACAGTAGAAAGGCATTCACATGAAATATTGAAGCCAAAGATCATGAAGTTAATGTATTTTCTTCCCTATAATAAATCTATAGCTTGTACATATAAAAACTGAAATTCTTGATTTATTCTGCATGACAAATGAAAACATTTACACTTGGAATTGCTGTTAGCACAGTTAAAAAGAAGTGCACTAAAAGTGAAGAAAAATAAATCTACTAGGCCCCGTGTTTAGAAATAGTAAAATCTCCAATAAAATATATTATAATAAAGAAAATACTCGAATAGTAAATTAGTAGTATGAGAATAGCATTCATAATTCAACAAATTTTAAATGATAATCTAGATACTCCGAAGGGAAATTAAGAGTAAAGGTTGAAATTGTATCCTTAATTCACTTTCCTCTTCCTCAGTTATTTTTTGTAAGATAATATTTTCTACTTTATTTTCTACTGTATATTGGTATTATGGGTTTATATCCAATGACAAAAATATTTGAAATTATTATGCATGCTTTTACAACAAACTTTGGGAAGTAAAATTTGAATAAAGTAATCTTTTCGGTACTGAATGGAGAAAATTATACTATTCTGAGGTAGTAACACTTATGTCACACTGTAAAGGAATATGATGTTTGGGCATACGAGGATCATGCTGCAAATCTTCATCATTACTATCATGTGCTTGTGATGAGCTATTAGGTACTAACTGAATCTCAAGACTACTGTAGTGTTGCCTTGAGAATCTAATTAAGCAGCAGACCACAGTTCTCAGGTTGCCAAAGGAGATTCTAAAATTGACTAGGAATGCCTTTACAGCTCTGCTCAGAGGATAATATGCTATTGTGCACATATATTCAGAAGGTTACTGGGTTGGAGTGGGGATGTATTTGAAGCCTGTATTTTCCTACCCTTAGCCCTCTGTGCTATAGTAGACTTTTCATTTTTGTTTCTGAGTGTCATCCTTTCCTTTAGACAACTTCCCCTCTTCCACTCTGTTATTGTATGAGATACAAACATCCAATATTACGCTAATAACTCCAGGGTTAGAATCTAAAAAGATCCTCAATCCTTGGGATTCAACTATTGAACACATACTTAAATGTAAAGAAGTTGTATTGGAATTATTATGCAAAACCCTCTTGGTAATTTTGCTTTTGTCTTTTGAGATTCTTGGAGCTACTTGTGCTATCTCTTTCTCTGTGATGATTTGGTGGGGTCCATTTTTTATAAATGAATTTATTTAATTAACCAAAGGAAATATAGAAAAAAAATCCTTTTATTTGTTTAATGTCACCCAAAATTAACTGATTTTGATCACTATGAAAAATAAAATAAATGTGTGATGTCAGTGAAAATGGCAGAGTGTGTAGCTCTGGTACAGGCCAGTACTGTTACAGAAGCATCAAAAATTTGAGCAAAAACTTTCAGAATGAACTTTAGCTGAATTATGGAAAATACTAAAAGGTTTACAGCAAATAAGTGTACATTAAATTTTTTAAAAGATAACTTTTAAAAAGTTAGGATAGCTTGTTATTTTAATTATTTTTTTTGGTGAGTGTTTGTCTTGTTTTTTTGCCCTTTGTCAGTGCCCTTCCTAATTTTGTAATGGTATTCAAGAAAGTAGCCCATATATCTAGTGTGGCACTCTTCTCCCTGTTTTCAAGGAGCAGAGCAGATATTACTCTTAAGAAGTGTGTTTATCTGTTTTTATGTATCTGTGGGCTATTGATTGGAGGTCACATGAGAGATATATATATATAATATATGTCATATATTATATACTATATAAAATATTATATATCACATATTATATAATATATATAATATATATTATATATATATTCATAAAGAATCCACATGCAAACTTTTAGAAAATTAGCAGGATACAAAATCAACACAAAAATCAATTGTGCTTCAATGTATTTGCAGTGAATTATCTAAAAAAAGAAATTTAAAAACATTCAATTTGTAATAGCATCTATAACAATAAATAATAAGGAATAAACTTAACTAAGTAGGTGAAAAATTTGTACACTGAAAACTATAAAACATTGCTGAAAGAGACTAAAGAAGACATAAATAAATGGAAAGACATCACATGTTCATGGATTGAAAGATATTATTTTTTAGTTGACAATACTACTATAGTGAGATATAGTTTCAATGCAATTTCTGTCAATATTCCCATGATATTTTCGCATAAATGGAAAAACTAGTTATCAAATTTATTTGTAACTTTAAGGGCCCCATAACAGCCAAAACAACCTTGAAAAAGAACAAATTTGGAGGACTCATACATTGTGATATCAATAATTATTTCAAAAATTACCATAACCAAAACAATGTTGTAATGGCATGAGTAGAGGCAAGTAGACTAGTATAATAGAATTGAGAGTCCAGGTATAAATTTATGTATGTTCGGCCAATTTTTTTTTTGAGATGGAGTCTTACTCTATTGCCAGGCTGGAGTGCAGTGGCATGACCTTGGCTCACTGCAACCTCTGCCTCCCGGGTTCAAGAGATTCTCCTGCCTCAGCCTTCTGAGTAGCTGGGATTACAGGCTCGCACCACCTTGCCCAGCTAATTTTTGTATTTTTAGTAGAGACAGGGTTTCACCATGTTGGACAGGATGGTATTGATCTCTTGACCTCATGATTCACCCACCTCAGCTTCCCAAAGTGCTGGGATTATAGGTGTGAGCCGCCTTGTCCACCATTGGCCAATTATTTTTAACAAAGGTGCCAAGATCATTCAAGGAGAAACAATAGTCTCTTTAATAAATAGTACTCGGACAACTGGATTTTGACCTGTCAGTAAATGAAAAGAGACCCTTACCTCACACCATAAACAAAAATTAGCTTAAAATAAACATCCATATAAGAAGTAAAACTACAGTATTCTTACAAAAAAACCATGGGAGTAAATCTCTTGACCTTGATTTGGCAATGACTTCTTTGATACAGCATTAAGAGTACAAGCCACAGAAGAACACATAGATAAATTAAAATCCAAAAAAATCATTTTGTTTGTCAAAAGATACCATCAATAAAGTGATGACAAAGTACAAAATGGAAAAACAAATATTTGCCAGTCATATATCTAATAAGGATCTAGTATACAGAATATATAAGGAATTTTTACAACTCAACAACCTAAAGACAACCCAATATGAAAACAAGCACAGGACTTTGGTAGGCATTTCTCCAAAAATTATATGCAAATGGCTAATCAACACATACACCGAAAACAGGTGCTCAAATATTTGTACACAAATATTCATTGCAGCACTACTGAGTACAGCTAAAAGGTGGAAATAGTCATGTTTGCCAACAGATGTATGGATAAACAAATCTGTTATATCTACACAATGGAATATTATTAAGCCATAAAAATGAATGAAGTACTGATACATATTACAAAGTGGATAACCCTCAAAAATGTTATGCTAAGAGAAAGCTAGACCCAAAAGTCACATATTATATCATTCTGTTCTTATGAAAGTCTAAGAATAGGTAAAACAATAGAGATAAAAAGTGATTGGTAGTCATCTGCTTATTATGAGATTGTTTTGAGAAAGCTTGCTAAATTTTAGCAGAAAAATGCCCAGGAAAGCTTTACCAGAGTGTCCTTCTCCACCATACCAATGCTCCTGTCCATTCCTTCATCAAACAAGTGCAGTTTTGCCAGATTTTCAATTGGAAATTATTAGGCATCCACCTTAAAGTCCTGATTTGGCTCCTTCTGACTTATTTTTGTTTCACAATCTTAAACAATCTTTAAAGGGAGCCCACTTTTTTCCCATTAAAAAGACTACATTGACTGCATGGTTAATGATTAAATTCCCAGGACCCTCCGTTCTTTAGGTGTAGACTAAATGGCTTGTATTGTTGCTTACAAAAATGTCTTGACTTTAATGGAGATTATGTTGTGAAATAAAGTTAATAGTTTTTTTATTTTTTATTTTTTACGAATTTTTGAAGTCTCCTTTACAAAAGGGGCTAGAATTACTAAGGTTAGGTAGGTGAGGTTAATTTCCACCATTCAGTAGGATTAATGGTGCAAGTGATAATATTGATTATGAAGCATATAGTTGCTTATTTAAGTTAAATAAAATTGATATAATTTTTAAATTATGTAGGAGGAAAGACATTGCTTTAGTATTGTTATTCAATACATGTTAAATACCATCAGGGATGCCAGGATGGTTAAATTAAAATTGCTGCTTGATATATATTATTTCCTGAAGCATTCTGTCTTTACTAAATTTAATGGCAGTGGTCCTTGTACTTATGCCAAACTGTTGGCAACAAATTTGGAATCAACCTTTGCCTTTATATCATACTTTCAGTTCTCTGACAATAATTTAATCAGTGTCTTAAAAAATAAACCATCGACTGACCATCTTCCAGCTGAGGTTGAGGCAATAGATTTTGATGCTTTAACCTCTGGGTTAGAGCATCATCATGTTCCCATTTAAATGGCCTTTTAGTGGGGGAAAAAAGGCTGTAGAACTTCCAACTTCAGCAAAATGCTGCTGTCAAATTTTTATTCACACTAAGTGGCCTCAGCATGTCATTGCTTTCCTGTGGGAACTGCAATGGCTCCCTGTCAAATACCAAATTGATTTTAAAATTGCTTTGATGGCTTCTGAAGCAGAGCAGTTGGGGGCTGTGGAGCTGTGTATTTATCTGAGTCAGTGTCAGTACATAAGCCAGGGTCTCTCCTAGTGGGTGTGAAACATGTTTACGTCATGTTCTAAGTGCAGGAAAGGTGAAAAGACCCAGATTCAACATTTTAGTCTGTGCATGTGTCAATCACAGCACTAAAGCCATTTATACATGTGAAATATTTCTATTGTTATGTAAAACACATTAACATTTAAAAATCCTTTAAAAATATCTGACCTTTTATACTTAGACTGTGACATAGAAACATGCCATATACAATGCACGATAAAAGATAAAGGAAAAACAAGTTTCCAAATATAGCTAAAGTCTTACAGTTTGAACTTAAGAAAGAACACAAAGAATAAATCAACAGAACTTGTGAATTCTCTGAAGACTCCGTGAGTTTTAAAACAATAATCTTTATTTTCATTGTGCCTATTAACAGTTACTTCAAAACACACAGTATGAAAAACGGCACCCAAGGATGCTTCAAGTGCACACACAACGACAATATAGTTAACCATTTAGCCTTAGTTTGTACTGTCTATTTTTGAAAATACAAACACATTGATTTGGTTTTAAAAAGTTAATTATTAGCATATATATGAAATAAAGAATATTTAAAAAGTTAGAAGAAAGTTAAAAAAATTTCAAGCCAATTTCCACCTCATAACTATCGCAAGAACAAAAAACCAAACACCGCATATTCTCACTCATAGGTGGGAACTGAACAAGGAGAACACATGGACACAGGAAGGGGAACATCACACTCTGGGGACTGTTGTGGGGTGGGGGGAGGGGGGAAGGATAGCATTGGGAAATATACCTAATGGTAGATGACGAGTTAGTGGGTGCAGCGCACCAGCATGGCACATGTATACATATGTAACTAACCTGCACATTGTGCACGTGTACCCTAAAACTTAAAGTATAATACTAAAAAAAAAAAAAACAAAATTGCCATCCTTAACACAGCAAGCAACATTCTTCCTTGGAGGCATCACAGATGGCACAGTTGGGTTGCGTGCACTTCAACACTGTTGTGTGTATGTGTGTGTGTGTGTGTGTTTGTTTGGATGGCAGGGAATACACATAGTCTCCTGGAAACACCACAGAACAAGTAGCACATTCACCCTTCCTCCTATGGTAAGTGGAGCATAGGATGTGAAATGTAGGAAGATAAATAGGCATTTTTGATAAGCTATAAGAGAAGTAATAGTCATAGAGAATGGCTAGGATCAATAAGAGAAAGAAAGATAAAACTCACCCTGGAGAAGTTAAAGAAGAAAAAAGGAAAGAAATGTTATAAGTTACAGACTGTGAATTTGAGAGAATACAGTGGAAAAATCGTGGAGGTTCAGAGGCATTAGAGATAGGACCCCATTCATGTATTGCCAAACAACATGGGCATAAGTATCCATTTTATGATGAAGGACCCCAGAAGCCTAGACGTCTACAATGACAGAGGTATTCTAATTTGTATGTTCTTGGAGACATGCTGCACCCAATCATGATAATGTCACAGGGAGAACGTGTGGGTAGAGTCCATTTTAACTTTATGAGTCATTTCCCTGCCAACCCCCTACTTCCAACCCCTGCCTAAACTTCATTTTTAGATAGCTAGAATAAGCAAGTGACATGTAAAGAGAGAGGTGGTTGTAACAGGGACAGTGTAACAGGCTCTGGTGAGCCTCCTCAAAGTCTTCCTGTAGGTGAAGTCCTAACGGAGAGAAACCCAGCTATCCAAGCATTTGGAGACGCATTGGAGGCCTAATTTGTATATAATTATCAGGAATGCCCCTTCTTGCTGTAACGTGCAACTCTGAGGGTTGACTTACCATACCCTGTGGGCAGGGGTAGGGATATAATCAAGAGTACTTGTAATTCTGGCATATTCTTTAAATGCTAGAGAATAAGAATGAGGGATCCAACTCTGCTTTCTGATGGTTGACTGCTGTAAAGTTTTAAGACTCACTTTCTCCTTTTCCACTCTGCACCGCATTGGGACTAACTGATAAGAAGCTCCGTGTTCTCCCTTTTTTCATGCAGGCAGGAAATTCAAACCAAAAGTCCCTACCTGTGTGTGGGAACCCTGAGCCAGCACCTAACCCGATCATAGTA
Source organism: Homo sapiens (assembly GCF_000001405.40). Taxonomy (NCBI): domain Eukaryota; kingdom Metazoa; phylum Chordata; class Mammalia; order Primates; family Hominidae; genus Homo; species Homo sapiens. The sequence goes on from NC_000018.10 coordinate 66,434,984, forward strand.
AGAACTCTAGCCAGTGTTCCTTTCTACTCTCTCAGGTCACTTCTGATCCATTTTGGAGGCCTGCCATGCTGCTTACAAAGACCTCAACTATGCATGCAATAAACTGTTTCATATATAGGCTTGTTGTCAGGTGGCATAATCAGTATTGACATCCTAACCAAATTGTGAGTAAGAGTCTGTGTTAGGGTTCTCTAGAGGAGCAGAAGTAATGGGAGATATATATATATATGTATATTATATATATATGTATAAATATGATATACATGATATGTTATATACTATATATTATATGATATATGATATATTTTATATATAATATATATTATATGATTATATATGATATATTATATATAATATGTACAATATATATGAAGGGGAGTTTATTAAGTATAATATATATGACAGGGAGTTTATTAAGTATTAGTTTACATGATCACTAGGTCCCGCAATAGGCTGTCTGCAAGCTTGAGGAGCATAGAGAGCCAGTCCGAGTCTCAAAACTGAAGAACTTGGAGTCCAATGTTGAAGGGCAGGAAGCATCCAGTACAGAAAAAAGACATAGAACAGGAGGCTAGGGCAGCCTCTCCTTTTCACATTTTTCTACCTGCTTTATATTCACTGGCAGCTGATTAGATGGTGCCCATCCAGATTAAGGGTGGGTCTGCCTTCCCCAGCCCACTGACACAAATGTTGATCTCCTTGGCAACACCCTCACAGAAACACCCCGGGTTAATAGTTTGCGTCCTTCAATCCAATCAAGTTGACACTCAGTATTAACCATCACAGGGTCCATCCTCCTTTTGCAAGGTGAGAATAACAAGGACATAAAGGCAAATGGCCTGATAATGAATGGAAAGAACATAATTAGTTTCAACATTAAAAGGAGAAATATTTTCAACCTTCAAAATTATAATGGCGTTAATAATGATCTCAGATAATACTTCAAAACAAGATTTTTTGTCATAATTTATACAATTGTATATAATAGGATGTTGAGAATGAATGCTTAGCAGCCTAGATTAATGGTGAATGACACAATTGGTGAAGAACATAATTGTTTTACAATTCTATACTCTAAATAGAGCTGCAACCAGTTGAGGCTAAAATGTCCTCCAAGCATTATTAAATCTGTAGGCCAATTAAATCTGCTACCCTGATCATAACACCAGCCATATGTCCCATATAGAGTCCTTCTCCTGAACCCATGGTTGTAAGCAGTTAATTTGCGGAGAGGGATCATCAGGTAAGTACATAGTCAGAGGCATGCATTTTGGAAAAGTGGGGAATATTGTAACTTTTTCGGCTCCTTCACCTGTGGAATAAAAATAGAATGTTCCAAAAAGTTGTCAGGTTACATTAGAATCACCTGAAGAGGCTGAAATACTTTCAAGGGAGTTCATTTCTAGTTACCTCTGGCTAGAATCTATTTAGGCAGTGGATCTGATGTGTCCTGCCCTTCCCAGGCAGGATAAGAGACATTGAAAAGAGATGAAAGAAATAAGACATGCCATGTAGATGTCAAATAATTTAATATAGTTTTTGTGGTGGTAATATATTTTCTTCCTGACTCTGTTTAAATCTTGAGGTGTCCTTTCTAAATAGACATTCAGTAGTAAACAAGCATGCATGAGTTTAAATCTTTTAAATGAATCCTTTCCTATGGATTCATTGTGTGAAATAGTAGTACCTAGATTCCATTTCGTAAATCCTTTTAACCTATTATAGCACTTGATTGCATATTTTATGGTAAGATATACTTTCAGTGAAAATATTGGTATTATACATATGCTTTTATGGCAATCCCAGGTCCTACAGTCCATTTCACTATGTAAATGATAATAAGTATTTTGCTTACATTATTTGTTAAAATTACTATTTTTAAAATGTTTTGTTTAAATAAGGCGATACTTTTCAATTTATGTTATGGAAGTTGGAGACTTACCAAAATACTTTAAGATGAGAAACTGTCATTATTTAATTGTCGTGCATTCTTAGAAAAGTTATGATGTATCTTACATGAGCCTTAATTTGCCTTGAAGTAAAATGATGGGGCTGCACTAAATCACTATGACTTTGGGAGACCACACAGAACAATATTTAAACAATGGGCTCAGGAGTCAAATTGCTTGGTTTGAAAGTGTAATTCTGTCTTTTAATAACTGTGAATTTGACTAAGTTACTAAAACTTTCTGCTACATTTATGACAGGGATACTTGAGTATTAAGTACTAAATACTTACAAAAGTACCTGAAATTAAAGAGAGAGAGGGAGAGAGAGATTAGATAATATAATGAATTACTCTATTAATAATTAGTCTTAAAAGTTTAGAAGAAATCACCTGATAGATCACTTACCAGCTAATACATTACCAAATAGTTTGTTTTAGTACATAACATAGGAAACAGCACAGCCTAGAATATAAAATAAACTCATTCATTTAACTATCTGACAAAGTTTTATTACAGTGATATAGAGATACTACAGTTACAAAGCCATGACTAGAATCTTTAGCTTTTTCCCCTTACTAGATGAATTCTATCCTGAAAATCTATGCATTTGCTAAAGTTGACATCCATCCATTTTTTAGAAGATCAGAACACATTTCACTATGTAGCAACAGGAAATCGAGGAAGCAGATGAAACATGAAATTGAATCTCATGAGTGATAAAGAGAACAATTACAGTACAATCACTTTAAGGTGGTATCATGGAGCCAGTCCCTCAAACAGCATGAACAGAAAAATCTTAGGACTATGACAAAACATATTGACAAATAATGGCTGGCAAATAATGGATGAAACTTCCTTAATAAGTTTTTATTGTACTTGTATTTCCTAGTATGAATCGTAATGATACCCATATATTAGATTTTTTTTCCCACTGAAGACTGTTGGGATTGCTATTTTTACTTTATTTATAATACAATTGAAATACTATATATTTTCACCTTAATTGCCAAATACACTCCTGGCTTTCATTGTTCACACTAGGCTAAATGAAACTCACTCGCATTTTAGTGCCCATAGTATTGGTACAGAATATTTCTTGGCACATTTACAAAATAAAAGTGTATGTTTATGATTGAATTTGCATAAAGAAATATAGGCCTGTGCTAGAGAAACTGTACTTGACCTCTCATTTAATGCTCGCTTCAACCACGGGTCCTAGGATCCAGTCTATGAAACTGCTGTTTAACATATTTGTCATATAATTCATTGTTTTGCTGTTGTATTAGTAAATGTGCACTAAGCTAAGATGCTATGGCATGAAATACTCAAGGAAAAGCTTGTAGCTTGTGAGGAGTTTATTTCTCTCTCACCTAATGCTGCAGGTAGGGCAGTTATCTTAGGTCTGTGTGGCACTCTTCTCTATTTTTTGATTGAGAGACTCAGGACCATGTGCTCCCACAGCTTACTCACCACTGACGTGAGAGAGGGCCAGTTGTCATCTCCAGGGGAGCAGCATCCCAAAAAGAAAGGGATACATGAATAAAATATGATTAAAGAGACCTCTTTCAGAAATGAGACACTTCTACTTACCTTCCATTGGCTGGTCAAATGATTACATCTGAGTGCAAGACAGACCAAAGAAAGCAGTTTGACCATGTGCCCATGATGAAGGGCTGGAGGAAAAATTTCTGCTAGAAAGCTAACAGTATCTTGTGCCTGTATTCATTTTCTTAATTTGTACTATGATAAATGTCCTTATTTGGTACTGCAGATATTATTAGGAGTTCTTAGTAAGAGAAATATACCATTCCAACAAACATTATTATTCCATTAATTAGTTGATACAATTCATGATAAAAAGAATGAATGCAGATGTTATTCACTTGTGTATTCATTCTGTTTTTCTCGCCAAAGGACAATTCCTGGAGGGTACAGATTTTGCCTTGTAAGCTCAGCATGCAGTAGTGTGAGTGTGACTGAAATAGTCTATGAACATGTCAACACTTTGGTTATGGCATGAAGAAATGTGGCTAGGTGAAATTGTCAGGAAGATTTTTACCACCTAAAAAGAAGAAAACTATATAAATTAACAGTGCTTTGATGATGCCACCAGTGATTTAGCACTTATTTATGACACTAAACTTAAATAAAAATATGTGCAAACAACAGTATCTGCAAATTAAAAGCAGCTTAATAAAGATTGGTCCAGATGAAGTGGTAATTCACTACCATGTCATATGAGGACTTGTAGCTCATTAGTTTATGGGATAAAAGAGACTCATGAGAATATGATAGCTGTTCCAGCTGTTTCCAATATTCAAAGAGACACATGTTGCTCTTTCTGGCCCTCCAAAGAAAATCTTGATTACTTGGTTAAAAGTTCTTAGCTCAATTTAAATAAACACACTCTATAAGTGATGACAGCAGTGGCCCATCTGGAGTGGCTGCTGCAAAGATGCTGGCAGCAGCAGGGGAGATGTGGCTGTGCTTCATGGAGCCAGGGGGAGCCAGTGGGGGCCAGGAACAGGTGGAAGCCCCACCCTCTTCCAAGTTGGAAGGGTGAGACCAACCTCCCAGGCTCAGCTACAGCCTCCCAGCCCAGCTGTACCTTTGGACTGTGCTCTCAGGGACCAGGAAGACCCCCTGCCCTTGCAGGCTCAAAAATGCCTGCTCCTGCACCCTGGTCTCTCCCCATTCCCAGCACCTGCATCGATTTCGGAGCAAAGTTGAGGCTGAACCTAGCTGTTGTTGGGACCTGGCCGGGTGTGTGTGTGCTTGGGGCACTGCTGACACACTATACCCCTGCCACCTTGGTCCCCTCCAAACTTTGGGTCCCAACAAGCATGGGAGGGAGGCTGAGAGGGTGCTTAGGGCAGCTCGGTGCAGGTCCGCAGGCACCCCTCGGCATGAATAGCATGGGTGTCGTGGACGGCAGGTTGATGGAGGCAGGAGGCAGATGGGCTCTTGGGTGGGAAGGGGCCAGTCCCTGGTGAAGCCTCACTTTCAGGCCTGGGAAGGCCTAAAGCCTGGGGGCTGGGCAGCTAGTTATGCAGACCAGAGTGAGAACTTATGGTGCTTTTTCGGCCTATCAGCATGCACTTCCTCCCCACTGAAGCTGATAAAATCCCCAGACTCAGCAAGACTGGGGCAGACATCATGCTGACCTGCCTGCAGAGAGGAATTACTCATTGCAGGTCTCCTCTGAGCTGTTCTGTCACTCAGTAAAGCACCTCTTCATCTTGCTTACCTTCCACTTGTCCATGTACCTCATTATTCCTGGGCACAATAAAGAACTTGAGACCCACCCAGTGTCAGGGCTGAGAGAGCTGTAACACAAACAGGGCTGCTCATCACATAGCAATTGACAAGGAAAGGAGAGAGAAGGAGAGAAGAGCTGTGGCCCTTCGGGGAGGCCAAACCTAGGAGCTCCCTGAGGCAGAACTGTGACACCCTCTTTGGGGCTCTGTGGTTCCCGGTGCCTGCAAGCTTCTGGGCACCACCGTGTTCTGTGGTACCTACAGTGGAATCCACTGATGGTATGCCTGGTCAAGCCACAGCCTCACAGGGAGCTGGTGCCTGTGCTGGTGCCTGGGGTTGCCCACCCTGCTTAGTCAGCGTACCCGGCTCTGCACAGTGGCTGGACTCTGCACTTGTTTGTTCACACACCCCTCTCTGCTCTGCACCTGGCTTGACCTTGGCAGTCATGGGATCCAGGCTAGTAGAGCAAGCTGAGCACAAACTGCCAGGCTGAGCGGGTGGAATGGGCCCAGCGGATCTGAGCAAAAGTTGGGCTAAAGGGTGACTGGCCACAGAGGTTTCCGGCTGGTGAAGCAACACCCAAAGGATCCTGTGACATAAGTAGTTGCAGTTCAAAATGTAGTAGGTTAATCAGAAAGATAGGGAATCCTCAGTCTCTTGAAGTTGTCATAGAATAAACTCTGAATATTTTGTATAGACAGAATCCATGCATTCTATATGTGATAGGGTAATGATATTTATAGCTCATGTGGAAATGATAAAATTTTAGATCAAAGCCAAAGTAAGGATTTAAATAGCATTGTTCCTAAAGGGAACTTAAGGACTGTATCAACTTAAAGTTTAGTTTTCTAGACAATGTTTCAAAGATAAATGCCATTTTAAACATTTTGAAAATATCTCTATTATTATTTTAATAAAGAGAGAACATTGCTATTCAAAAGAACAAAGGATATGTTTTTATATGTATATATATATATACATATACATATATATACATATACATATATATTATTATTATTATTATTTTTGAAACAGGGTCTCCCTCTGCCAGCTGGAGTGCAGTGGCATGACCATGGCTCACAGCAGCCTCAACCTTCTGGGCTCAGGTGATCCTCCCATCTCAACCTCCAGAGTAGTTGGGACTACAGGTGTGCACCACCATGCCTGGATAATTTTTGTATTTTTTGTAAAGACAGGGTTTCACCATGTTGCCCAGAATACTCAAGCTCATGGGCTCAAGTGATCCACCCACCTTGGCCTCCCAAAGTTCAGGGACTACAGACATGAGCCACAGCATCCAGCCTAACTTAATATGTCAATTTCAGGTAAACCAATAAAGTTGTGTTTTATTGAATATTTATATTTTATAGTTAAATCATTTCTTTTTTTTTTTTTACTGATTTCCTTTAAAAAAGTATTTTATGCTGTGGAGATGCTAAAGATAAATCATGGTTCTGGAGATATAGGAATTTACAATCTTGAAATTGTTTATAGAAAATTGCCACATGTCTAATTTTATTATGTATATATAGCCCATTTTGTAATTCTAAATTCCTAGTCAAAATAAAATTATAAAATATTACACTTGAGGAATAAAAATGGCATTCTTCACAAATTTATTTAGGTGATCTTACACATAAAATTATATTTAATGTACAGGTTTAAACTTTTAACTTTATAATAAGAAACATGTTATTGCTATTATCAATAATTAAATCATTATTACAAGACCTCCATGACTATCTGGGAAATGCCCAAGATGGCCCAGGTATTGGTACTTGTTGTAATTAGGCACTGGAGTGCTTTGGAAGCATTTTATACAAAGTCTCTACTCCTGGACACAAAGTAGTTCACCCCTTATCTTTGATTTCCCTTGCCTTGGTTTTAATTACTTTTGGGCAACCTTGATCTGAAAATATTAAATGGAAAATTTGGGAAATAAACAATACATAAGTTTTAAATTGCACGTCGTTTTGAGTAATGTGATGAAATCTCCTGCTCAGGATATGAACCATCACTTTGTCCATTGTATCCAGGCTGTACATGCTAGTTGCCCATGAATCATTTAGCAGCCATATTGGTGATCAGATTGATATCACAGTGCACACTGCTTGAGTTCAAGTAACCCTCATTTTTCTTAATAATGGCCCCAAAGTGTAAGGGTAGTGATGCTGGCTATTTGGATATGCCAAGAAAAGCATAAAGAGCTACTTTTATGTGAAAAAGTGAAAGTTCTCCACTTAATAATAAAAGGAAAAAAAATCATATGCTAAAGTTGCAAAGGTCTAATGTAAGAACAAATCTTCTATCTATGAAATTATGAATAAGGAAAAGAAATTTATGATAGTTTTTTTGTTGCACCTGAAACTGCAAAAGTTAGTCTGTGATAGGTGTTTAGTTAAGATGGAAAAGGCATTAAATTTGTTGGTGGAAGACATGGACAGAAATGTGCTCTGATAGAAGGTAATTGGATACTACCTGCAGCTTCAAGCATCCACTGATGGTCTTGGAATATAATCCCCAAAGACAAGAAGGGACTGCACAATTGGCCACTTTAGAACTTCTCTTTCTAAAGACACATTATTTTTCAAAGAAAAAGACATAAATTGTCTGACTTTATCTAGTTTGCAGCTGCATAATTTATGTGATGTTCCTAAGTAGCTCACAGAGTTAATAACTGAATTTTCTTAAAAATTATATTATAGAAAATATTTATAGAAAAATATTTCAACATGAGTTTGAATCCAAGGTGTTCTCACTTGTATGAGGTGACACTCAACAATGATTGGTTTGTTGAATGAAAGGTAAGGTAAAAGTCAAACAAACAGACAAACAAAAATCATATTGCAATTGCTCCTGTATCCAGCCTCCACGGATACATTTAATATCACAGCTTAATTGGCAAGCCATCTTTATTTCTTTTACCCTTGAATTGAAATTCATTCTCCTTGTAATACTGTAGACAATATTAAGACAATCAAAATGAGCTAAGATGCAGCAGTATATTCCATCTATGATTGCCAGAGCTTCCAGTCTCCAATGAAACTGGGAATAACGCCCTTTTCAGGTACACCCTTCCCTCTGTATCCCTGGGAGATTGCTTTCAGGACCCTTGGAATTACAAAATCCACAAGTGCTCAAATCCCTTATGTAAAATGATGTAGTATTTACATAAAACTGATGCACATCCTCCTGTATAATTTAAATCCCCACTAGATTACTTATACAACCAAATACAATGTAAGTCCTGTGTAAAAAGTTGTTTTACTGTATTTTTCTTTGAATTATTTTTTATTGCTGCATTATTAATTTTTTTATTTTAAAAATATTTAAAAACTGTAGTTAGTTGAATCTACGACTGCAGAGCCAGCAGATAAGAAGAACCAACTCTGTATCAAATCACCACCACATTTAAAGACAAGCATCTGTTAACAACATAAATAAAATTCAAATAAAAATAAAATATGTACATAAGGGAGCAACTATGAAAAGTATTTTTCTTGATTTTTCAATAAACTATCTATGACTCAGCTGCAGAGAGCAAGTCTACACAGACCTTTAGAGAAAATAAGAACAGTGTATTATATATCTGCAAAATATTTGGAAATAAACATACATAAAATAATGGCATTATTATTTTACTTGGTATAAAAACTTAATTTTAGTTACCATTTGTGTGTTGTTGATTGATTGATTGATTGATTGAAACATTGGTGAGCCAGCATCCATCTCTACCATCAATATTTGTCTAGAATTCAACTACATAACTCATAATGCAGTATATCATCATGCTTCCCTTCCTTTTGCTTCCCTGTATTTATGCAGCAACAAAAACCGCCTTTGCTCTCTAAATAACTAAAAAAGTGAATTGCTTGAAAAGTAACCAAGATGACAAAAATATAACACTATGCCTTTGTAAAATAATTCTAACACCGTGGGGTGCCCAAGTTTCTGACCAACTGCCTCTTTTTGGAGGCTGAATTAAGAGAACAATGCATTGCAACCAAAGCCCTCTGTGGCTATCTTCACAATCTTATTGCCTGTTTAGTTGATTTTTGTGTGTGTGTGAGATTGTACTTGGCAACAAATTACTTCAAATTGCAGTTTATGTAATTTTCCCCAGCTTTTGAGAAGTTTTCTTTAATATTCCACCAAAGTTCAGTGTTCATAACAGTATTTTAAATAATTTTCTGGATGTTTATGATAATATACTGGGAAGTTAGGACAGCTGGTAACAGAAACATATAGAAGATCATAATATTGACCTTTGTCTTGGTTGAGTTCTTCAGGAAAAAGACCTGGAGATGGTGTCTTCAGTAAGTTTATTGAGATGTACCTTTGTGATGATGATCTGTGGGGAAATGAAAGAAAGAAGTAGGACTGAGAAGAAAAATCATTGAAAACCTGGAAGTTGCAACAAACATTTCAAATAATCCCACAAGGACCTGTAAAGGTGGCATACACTTTTAAAACTGTTGTATAAAGAAGCAAAGTGTATCAGCCTTTATATTTTCGATGTTGACTAATATTGATTGCAAGTTATTCCAAGAAGGAGCATGACCTTGGACATGGCTGATAGAAATTTCTATAGAATGACTTGGCTAAGAGCCCTGAGATGCCAATGCTTCTAGCACCTAAAGGAACAAATGCTTTAGTCTTGAAGGAGGAATCTGGACAGTGCACCGTGTCATCTACTGCAGTCATAAGGCTAAAATTGCTATCAACTGAAAATATTCTTGGATGTTATAATACTTGTTCCTGTCATAACCACTTATAAATTTGCTTGAATGATGGTTCCAAATTCTCATTAAGTTTTGATATAGAAAGCTGCAAACTGGAGCTAAGCATACACAAGTTGAGCTACAAAACTATGGATACAATATATGAATTCATGTCTTAATAATTTATATCTAGCCAATTACTATCTGAAGTAACAATTAAAGGTATGCCTGAATTATTGTAGCAATTTTTAGTAGATGCCAACATGTCTCTGTGTGTATGTGTATATGTATATATACTATAGGCATGTGCTATATTTAGATTGGGTAAGCCTCTATGCAAAAGTATGGTCCTATTTGTTTGGTAACCTACAAAAAACACATGTATCATTGACACAATATAGATCTTTAAAAACTAATGTTTAAATAAGAACAAGGCCGGGGACAGTGGCTCACGCCTATAATTCCCAGTAATTTGGGAGGTTGAGGTGGGTGGATCACTTGAGGTCAGGAGGCTGACCAATATGGTAAAACCCCATTTCTACTAAAAATCCCCCCCCAAAAATTAGCCTGGCATAGTGGCAGCGCACCTCTAATCCCAGCTACTTGGGAGGCTGAGGCAGGAGAATCACATGAACCAGGAGGCGGAGGTTGCAGTGAGACAAGTTCACGCCACTACACTCCAACCTGGGCAACAGAGCTAGACCCTGTCCCAATAAATAAATAAATAAAATAAGAACTGAATATATGTGAGGTCTAATAATAAATCCCTTTATACTCTTCAATTAAAAATTGAGGTAAAATACATAATACAATTTACTATCTTAATTATTTTAAAATGTATACCTCAGTGGCACCCAGTACATTTACATAGTTGTGCACCATCACCACTGTTCATTCACAGAAGGCTTTTTATCTTGTAAAACAGAAACTCTGCCTATTATACAATAGTCACAATTCCACTCTTCACCCACCCCCTAGAAACCACCATTCTACTTTGTGGTCCTAAGAATTTGGCTACACCAGGTACTTCATATGAGTGTATTCATACAGTATTAGTTCTTTTGTGGCTGGCTTATTTCACTTAGCATAATGTCTTCAAGATTCACTCATGTTGTAACATGTGTCACACTTTCCTTCTTTCCTTCCCTTCCTTCCCTTCTCTTTCTTTCCCTTTCTTTCTTTCTTTCTTTCTTTCTTTCTTTCTTTCTTTCTTTCTTTCTTTCTTTCTTTCTTTTTCTTTCCTTCCTTCCTTCTTTCCTCCCTCCCTCCCTCCCTTCCTCCCTCCCTCCCTTCCTTCCTTCCTTGCTTCCTTCCTTCCTTGCTTCCTTCCTTCTCTCTTCTCTCTTCCCCCTCCCCTCCCCTCGCCTCCCTCCCCTCCTCTCCTCTCCTCTCCTTCCTTTCTTCTTTCCTTTTTGGGACAAGGTCTCCCTCTGTCTCCCAGGCTGGGATGCAGTGGCGCGATCTCGGCTCACTGCAAGCTCCGCCTCCCGGGTTCACGCCATTCTCCTGCCTCAGCCTCCCAAGTAGCTGGCGCCTGCCACCGCGCCCGGCTAATTTTTTTTTTTTTTTTTTTTTTTTTTTTTTTTTGTATTTTTAGTAAAGACGAGGTTTCACCGCATTAGCCAGGATGGTCTCGATCTCCTGACCTCGTGATCCGCCCACCTCGGCCTCCCAAAGTGTTGGGATTACACACGTGAGCCACCGCCCTCGGCCGACTGTACAAATAGCCTTTTGGGATCCCATTTTCAATTATTTTGTGTATATACCCAGAAGTGGAATCGCTGGATTATGTTGTAATTCTAGGTTTAATTTTTTGAGGAATGACCATACCATTTTTCATAGCAGCTATACCATTTTACATTTTCACCCACGGAATACAAAAATTCCAACTTTTCCGATCTTCACTAACACTTGTAATTTTCTGGTTTTTTGAAAGTACCTATCCTCATGAGTCTGAGGTGGTATCTCATTGTAGCACTGATGTGTATTTTTCTAATAATTATTGATATTCAGATTTTTCATGGGCTTATTTATTATTTGTATATTTTCTTTAAAGTAAATGTTTATTCAAGACCTTTTCTCATTTTTAAATTGTGTTGTGTTTTATGTTGTTGAATTGTAGAAGTTCTTAATATATTCTGAATATTAACTCCTTTTCAAATATATGATTTACACATATTTTCTCCCATTTCATTGGTTGCGTTTTTACACACATTGATTGTGCCTTTTGATGGGAGGCATTTCTAATTTTTAAGTGATCTAATTTATCTATTTTTTCCTTTGTTGACTGTGCTTTTTGTGTCATATCCAAGAAATCGTTGCCAAACTCAATGTCGTGAAGTCTATTCACTTTCAAAAATGTGCTTTACTAGAACGCTGAGAAAATTTTAATGTTGGTGCAGTTTTTCATGTGTAAGTTTTACCTATTTCATCTTCCTGCTTCATCTTTCCTCAGCAGTTGGGACTACACACTCGCTCTGTCATCCAGGCTGGGGTGCAGTGGCTCAATCTACACATACATCACTAAATTTCTTCAATTTTTCATAAACTGCACAAGTAAAATGACACCCAATCTCTGCAAATAATGATCTATGCTGTTAAAATAATGCAGAGCAATTCTATCAAATGTTTTATTTTTTCTATGAGATCTGTCTTCATTGTACATTTAATTTTAATATTTGAATGACAATAACTCTGTTATACTGCAATAGGCAATAAAAACAGATATAAGCTCTTCTACTAAGTGAAGTATTCATGTAGTTTTTCTCAGTAAAAAAAAAAATATATATATATATATATATTCGTACACCAGTAGTGTATTATTGCTTTCTGGTGCTACAGAGGAGAAGTTAAAATCTAAAACATGGGGGAGTCTTCCTATCCATATTAATCAATTTTATCTCATCCAGACATCAGTTCTGTCCCCTGTTTCTCGAGAACCCTCATGGTCCAATTGCAAGATGCTTTCTACAGGCTTAATTATTCATATTAGTAAATTACTGCAAGTACTTTGGTGTACGATCCATTTTGTCACGTCAGTAGAAATTTGAAATAATTACTGGATTTCTTGCAGGAGGCAATTTGGAAGTCAAATCTTCAGAAACTATAATATCATACAAAGCATCTCACTCACAATTTCAGGGTAGAGTGACAAGGCCAGTGAAGAAACCCTAGATAAAAATCAGTACTGATACATGGCCACCCACAAGCCAGTGTTATCATCGTTGGCTTAAAATAATGCATATTAGCTCATATTTTATGGTTTCTCTGATTCCCAGTTACACCACCTAACAAGTATGTGAATTTTGATTGTGTTATAGATCCTCCCAGGTCCTCAGCTTCTGAATATAAAATGTGGAAATCATAGCAAAGTACATTTGAAAAGAAAAAATAAAGCAAGATCAATAAGTTTTATGTGTATATATATGTAAATGTATGTTTATGTATATATAAACAATATGTATATATACATTATGTATATATAAACACATCTTTCTCTAGTATATATACTAGAGTATATAAGTTTTTATTTATTTATATATGATATATACAATAATATACAAATTTACATAATAAATAAATTAATTTATAGATATTAAATACATATAATAATACTTATGAACATATAATATTAAATTTAAATGTACAAGCCTTGATACTATTAGCCTTGTGAAGTAATTGGATATAAAAGCAGAACTCCCATAGGACTAGTCTAAAAATCTTCTCCAAAATGATCAGGACATTGATTATGTAATTTCATATAGAAATATGCATCAGTTAGGGATTTACCAGAGAATCAGACAAATAAGGATTAGTTATGGGACTCTGAGAGCTGATGAGACAATTCCAGTATCTGTGGGTTAGAATGTCAGGAAAGGCACGCTGGAACTCTTGGACATGAGGAGAAGCCACTGTTTACAGTCAGAATTTCTTCTTCAGAGAAGCCTCAGTTCTCCTCTTCAGGCCTTTCAGGTGATTGAATCAGGCCTATGTGGATTATCTAGAAAAATTTGTCTTACATAAAGTTAACCAGTTATATACTTTAATCATCTATACAAAATTTCTTCGTGGCCGACATCTGGAAGTGTTTGGTTGAATAAATGGGGACTTTAAACTAACCAAGGTGACACTGAAAAAGAGCATCATATTTGATCTCTTGTCAATTTGATCTCCACACATACCTCTTCAAACCATATTTCTTCTCCAAGTAGAGGCTAGCAAAGTCCTGTTTCTGCTTAACATGATTCAAGTATGCTGTGTACAACTGAAAGCAGGCTAACTCTTTCTCCATGAGATAATGCCTATTCCTAGATGATGTTAACTTTTCTCTTTCGATATCCTGTAACCTAAATACAGCAATGTAAAATTTTCTATTATTAATATATTTTTGCTAGATTATGTGGGATGATAGAGAAGAAAACAAAAATATTCAGTTAATATGTATACAAATATATTCATAGAAAATAAGAAAGAAATACTAATACAGTTCTTGATTTTTCAAATGTTCACATGGTCCTATCTGGTACTTATAACCATATTCTTCCTCTACTGATCCCATTGTCCCTCTGTCCTCAGTGGTACTTTCATTTGTGCTACTTCTTTGCTTGGTTGCTTGACTCAAATCTTCATTCCTGAGGGGTCTGGCCCATTAGTAAGTCCAACCTCAATTGGGCTTGGGTTTTTCATTGACTTTAATCATGGTATGATTAGCATGATTTCCCATAATGTTAGATATGGAGATGATGGTTGGGCTCAGCAACATGGACTTCCACTCCTGAAGGCTAACCTGGTGAACTCATGTGAATTGCCTAATTTGGAGGCAGGAAAGAACAATGAGTGCTTATTATGGCACAACTTCCCAGACTAATCAGCCAGCTACTTGGTGGCAAGTTGATTACATTTGGCCACCTCTGGTATGGAAGGGGCAATGCTTAGATTTTAATGGAATAGACACCACTCTGGATATATATTTATCTTCCATGTATGGAATATTTCTGCCATCCATGACTTATCATTTACTATTTGTGGACTTATGTAATTTCTTATCCATTTTCATAATCCTCTAAACAACATTCTTGCTGATCAAGGAGCTCACTTCACAGTAAATGTGGTACATCAATGGACCCATGGAAATAAAATTCATTGGTCCCACTGCCACACACGGTAGCATGGCAGTACTAAGAGATACCCTAAGGGACCTGTTGAATTTCTTATCCAATGTCATACTCTTCCAAACAATATTCTTGCTGATCAAGGAGCTCACTTCACAGTAAATGCAGTGCATCAGTGGACACATGGAAATAAAATTCACTAGTCCCACTGCCACACACAGTAGCATGGTAGTACTAGCAGATACCCTAAGGGATCTGTTGTATTCCAGATGTACTATCTCCAATTCCATTATGGAGTAGCAGCCCAATTTCCTCTTGATAATCAGGATCAAACACCCATCAAGTACAATAAATTTTCTCTTTGCCTAATTTAGATGAATGAGGAGGCCAGAGTAGCTGGATTGCAGTCATGACTTCCAGTTCAATAAAATCATTGTGTTTCTTGGTGGAAGCATTCCTCCCTTTGGAAGTCAGCCCTCTAATTCAAAAGAGACTAAGGTCATGGGGATAGAAAACAAATGTTTTCTAATGGATCACCAGGTATAATACGAGTGTAGCCACTCTCATTTCCACTCCTTCATTCATGTACCCACAGATCCTGCCTATGGGAGAAACAGGCCATATTGTTGTACTGCTTTAGAGCAGTACAGCATTCTGGAGGACATTGTCCTAGCACCACAAGGTACTACCACTTATTCTGCCATTCTATCAAGGCAATTGGACCAATGCATTTTACTTACATGGGTCCATTGATGTACCTTATTTACTGTGAAGTGAGTTCTTTGATCAGCAAGAATGTTGTTTGGAGGACTGTGAGGGTGGATAAACAATTCCTTAAGTCCACAAATAGTAAACATATAAGTTATGGATGGCAGAAGTATTGCATACATGGAAGATAAATATATATCCAGAGTGAATATCTATTCCATTAAAACTAAGCGTTGCCCCTTCCATACCAGAGGTGGTCAAATGTAATCAATTTGTCACCAAGTAGCTGGCTGATCAGTCAAGGGAGTTGTGTCATACCAAAATCTCATCATTGTTCTCTACTGCCTGCAAATTGGGTAATTAGCATGAGTGGTGGCCAGGTTAGCCTTCAGGAGTGAAAGTCTATGTTGCTGAGCCCATGCATAATCTGCACATCTATTACAATGGAATTTTTTTTATGAGCCTAACAGACAATGGCATAAATGTCTGCGGACAGGCTAAATGGCATTTATTCACTGATCATCCTATCCTTTGAATGATTAAAGTCCTCACCTGCTGAGGTCACCCTTATATGGGCATATACATGGAACACAGATATCTTAACAGTGTCTGACCATTCAGAGAGGTCTATTCATATTCCTCGTACCTAGACCCCCTTGTCATCAATTTTCCAATCATGCTGTGACCATTCAGGCAATCTTTGGCCACAGTCAATGAGTTAATATTTCTCTCTTCTACCAGGCACAATGAACAACCAGGTTGCATTAATAGAAGCATTACCCAGAGAGACACTTTTTCCTTATCATTGTCCATGGATGTCCAAGAAAGGGCTGTAATTCTGCAGCTGATCACTGTCTTTTTGGTGCCTAAGTATTGTCCAGAGCCATCTGTAAACCACACTCAAGTTTTCTTTCCCTTAATCAGCAACTGTTTATGAGGCATGGGTGTAGGCTAGGAGAGATAGGTAATGTAGTTGGTGAAGGAGACATGGAAAATTAGGATACTTCTTATGCAAATTATTTGTGCCTTCAGGGCATGTATGAGCCCAATCTTACATTGACCACTTTGATTTGATGACAGAGAACTCCTGTTCATGTCCAACATTATGGCTTGGTAAGTTCAACAATGGTTCATGACAGGCAACTCAAGCTGCATGGTGATTTAGTGACCCATGGTCAAGTGTTAAATCTTTTCCAAGGCTCAGGAGCAAAAAGCTGTTTTCAAAAGGAAATAATTATGTGCAAAGGATGGAAGAGTTTTGCTCCAAAATCCTGGGGTTCTGTGATTAATCTGTGGGTATCTGCCATAGGCTCCAAACAGTATCTTTATTTTCACACACTGAGAAGAGGTCATATGAGGATACAGCAAGATGGTAGCTTGCTGTCTGAAAGCCGGGAACAGCACTCTCACCAGACATCAACTCTGTTGGCTTTTTGATCTTAGACTTTGAGTCTTAAGAATTTGTAGAAATAAATTTTGTTTTTTGCGCCACTCAGTCTATGGTTGTATTACAATAGCCCAAGCTGACTAATGAGCTAGTATGTACAAATTAGAAACAAGTTGTCTCCAAATTCCAATTCAAAGAGACCCCCTAGGCTTCATGCTTTCTGCATAAAATTATCAATGTATTGGACCAGTGTGATGTCATTTGAAAGAGAAAGGTGATCAAGAGCTTTATGGGTACTAGAGCTGGAGAGTTAAGGTATTGGTGGCCAAACCAGCTGAGAGTAAACTGCTTCTGGTGGCTTTATTAACTGTTAAAGGGAAAAATAAATCCCTTGCCAGATTAGATAGCTGTGTACCAGGTACCAGGCAGGATATGTGTTAATTTCTCAAGCAATGTTACCCCATCTAGAAATCAGTTGCAATTGTAGTCACTGCCTGATTAAGTTTGCAATAAATAGTGTCATCCTCAAACATACATCTGTTTCTGCACAGGCCAAATAGGAAGTAGAATGGGGCTATAATGAGAATCACCAATCCTGTTTTGCTGTAGTCCTTAATGATGGCAATAATCTCTGCAATCCCTCCAGAAGTGCTGTGTTGCATTTGTTTTAAGCTTTCTGTAAAGGAAACTCCAGTGGTTTCCATTTGGTCTCATATAAAAATAGCTTCCACTTCGCAGGTTAGAGAACCAATGTGAGAATTCTTCCAGTTGCAGAGTATGATTATTTCAATGATAAATTCTGGAACTAGATAAATAACTACAGGAAGAGCCTAGGAACCCACTGATACCACTGTGAGATGGACTCAAGTTAAAACTCTATTGATTACTTGACTTCCATTAGCCACTAATCCGGTTGGTGGATCACAGTGACATTTTGGCCTCCAGAAATTAATTTCACTTCTAAACCAGTGTCAAAAAATCCCTAAGAAGTCTTATTATTTTCTGTAATTCAGAGCCACCCAAGTATATGGTCACAAGACCCTTTGAGGAAGGCTGGGAGAAATATTTATTAGAAAATTTTTGGCAGTGTAGCAGGGTTCTTCCTCAAGAGGATACAGCCTCCCATCCATTCAAGGTGTTTTGATCTGTAAATTGGCTCAAGCCTGGGTGTTAATTGAGGTCTTGTGGTTTTGTTTTGATGATTTAAGGCTTACTTATTTGTATTAGACCTAGAATTGTTCTGTGTATACAGATCAGTAAATAATTTAGTAGACCACCCATCTGTTTTCTAAGAACATTATGACCAACTAGCCAATGCCAGTTATCTGAAAGTCAGACTATTCTGATTAGTTCTCTGGGTGGATTTCATGATTTATAATAATCAGAAAACACTTTTCATTGGTGATTAAGTGATATCACTCGATCTTGTCATTCCAGGATTCCATTATACTCGTTGAATTTTGTGATCCCAGCTTGCTAGTAGCAGTTCCCACTGTAATTTCTGACCTACAGAGGAGTGAACAAGGGCCTTTCATGGATACTGGAGCTCCTTCTTTATTTCTCAGGGTCATAGTAAAAGGTGCATAATATGGATACTCCAGGCTTGGGTAAACAGGTCTTACACAATAATTCCCTCATCCAAAAGACCACCAGAATGGCTAAATAGTAGGAAAGAGAGCTTAATTGGTTATATCAGTTTGCTAACTGGGAAGAGGCAGCCTCTGGTGTGGATGAAAGGTGTTCTCTCTTTGAAAAAGGAAAGGATGGGTTGAGTTTTATGCCTCACAGGGTCTGTCTTACAAAATAGAAGCATACATACATATTCAGCAAGTTTTGAGGGTGTATTTATAAGGGAAGCCAAGTGCAGGTGCAATGGGCAAACAACTCATTTCCCTTTGGCATGGGGTTTTCAGCATTAAAATGAGATGGAATATGGCTCTGTAGATTGAAAAGTAAACCACAGGATACAAAGACAACTTGTACACAGCCTCTATCAGCTGCTGAAACTACCTTAATATCTGCAGTGGCTTAGCAGAAAAAAAAAATGTTTGTAAGGCCAGTCCTCTGTCCGAACAAGAGTTGCAGTTGTTTGGATTACAAATCAGAGTTAGGAGGGGTCTGATAATTTGCCTGATAGACTCTCTTGTTAGAGATTCAAACAAAAGTCTGGTTTTTCTTGGAGCCATAGGAATGTAGGAAGATGCCATGATAGCCCAGCCCTGAACCCTTGACACGTAGGTAACTTTTTTTCCTTCACTTTAGGGTCCACCTTAGTTGATAAAGAAAAATCCATTTTAGTCTCTTAGATCACACCACACTCATTAGGATCCATTCCTGCACATGTCCCAGATTTCTGTTTAAATTGAAAAAAAAAAAGAAAAAGAAACATGCAATTAATCTGGTGTATGCTGTAACCCCTTGTGTGCCGCACTTCATACTTCATCCTTCGGGACCTACTGAGACTAGTTTAAGTCTAGAAGCAAAGAGAAGGGATGAGGTTGAATCCTGAAAGGAACCAGGAGTGTTTTGTAAGCAAATTCCTCAGGAGAGGCCATTATGGGTCAAGGAAGGGTTACCTCTTCAGGCAGGGGTGGAAGGGAGGCCGCTGCTGACAGGAAAATGGCAGCCAGATTTCAAGGTTTGATGGTGCCGGCTTCATTGGGTCTGTCTCTACGCCCCCATTCTAATTTTAAGATTACATATCTTCCCAGTCGACGCCTTCACTATAACTGAAGACACACTGAGGGTTGGAAAATAAACTGCCTTGTAACTCAGCCAGTGGCAGTATGGGGCTCAAGGTTTGGTTTTCAGAAATCTCAACCCTGTGGCTGGAGGAGATTAGGATTTCTTTCATGGCAAATATGAAAACATTCAGGTCATTATGTTAGCTGTGAATTTGAAGGCCTGAGCTCATCTTTTCTTTTCTCCACTTCTCCAGCCAGTTAGGAGCAACCAGCCAATTCCATTTTACTCCTTAATTTGACTAAAATGTTCTAAGGTGGCAACTATATAGAAACCAGTAGTTCTCTTTCTGTAGGTATTTAATTAGGAGTGTCCACTGAAAATATTTTGCTTATTTTTATTACCAGATTATGCCACGGACAACCACTGCCCACTTTTACACCAAAGATAATGGCATAAGTGTCCTTACATACAGTCAGATGGGAGAACCAATTCCAGAAACTCAGAACATTTTCCCTAATAACATAACAGTGCCTCCCCTGCGGACCTCTTAAGAAGTGGCTGTTTTCCTTTTCTTTCCCACCTGCTTAATACCTTTTGTGCCTGGAAGTGAGATACATTACATTCTTTCTCATTATTGTTGCTTCCAGGCTGTTCTCCTTTTTCCCTTAGAATGACAAGTCTTTAGACTACAGCACTGACTACCGCTCTCAGCTGCAGCCACCTGCTCCTCTCATCCCACTGGCCATCATTATTTCATCCCTGGTGATTTTAGCTTCTGGCATATTGCCTCTTTCACATTGCTTTTGTTGGAATGTTTAGTGATATCAATATTCCCATGAATTCCCCTTTCAATAAGTTGCCCTCTTTTACTCCACTGGCCTTGTTTACCACCTTACCTCAACCTAGACCTTACTAGACCTTTCCATTTTTAAATTCATATATCCAGCTTGCTCACCACTGACTCCTGTTTTCTGTTTTAGTTTTTTTTTTTTTTTTGTTTATTTTTTCTTTTGCTAATTCCCTCTTGTGCTACAAATCCAACAATCTTTCTACTGCTGGTACCTTGTCCGATGACCCTATTATCTTTTTATTACTCCTCATGTCTCACTTTACTCTCTCCTTAACTAGTTTAAATTCTATAGTCAGTTATTATGATCACTTTCTTCATACACCCTAAACTCCTTTGTTTTCTTTTACTTTGCTCTACTCCTCAAACCAGAATCTTACATTACTACACGCTGGCATGCACGCTGGTGGAAAGCACACTGTGATACAGAATGATGCCACTTTAATTCATGCTCATTAACCTCATAAGGACCGGGCAATTAGTGTATTATTTTAGCCCATGTGCTTTTTCATGTTCCAGGATAACTAGTTTACATATCTTCTCTTTCCTAAAACCTCCAAAACCTTATCCTCACTATTGCTTTAGCTGATGATTTGCTTTTTGCTGAGAAAACAGAAGCTATCCGAAGTGAAATTCCATAAACCCCTATACTGTACCAGTTCACCTCCCTACCTCTGCGCTAATATATTTTGAACTTAACTCTTGTTACCGTGAATGAGCTGTCTCCAGTCTCCTTGCTGAGAGCAGCTCTTTCATTTGACATTTAGATTCCATTCCGTTACCTGCTCAAGGATATTGCACTAGTAATTTCTTCCTCACTTTTTACTATCATTAAATATTCCCTGTCAACTTGCACATTCTCATGAACATGTTGTTATTTATTCAAATTTAAAAAATTATCAACTCCAATCCCCTTCAGCTAGCTGCAAATTTCACTTCTTATTTTATATGAATTTTCTCAAAAGGGACACATAAGTCACTGTCCCAATTTTTTGCCTCCCATTTTCTCCTATACTAAATTAAAATATGTGTTATTCTCTGCCACTCCACTGATACAACTCTTGTACAAGTTACTTCTATGTTAATTTAATTGGCGTGATTTTATCATTTATATTTAAAGTAATTATTTATATATTTGGGATTAAGTCTGCCATTATGTTTTTTTGTTTTCCCTTTGTTACCTCTGTTTCTGATTCTTCTGTTTCTCTGTTCTTGCACTCAGGCCAGTTACAGAAGAGGTTTTAAAATTCAATTTTGATTTATTTTAATGTGTTTGAGTCTACTGCTTTGTATATTTTTCTTAGTGATTGAACTAGATATTACAATATGTTTTATGTGACTTTTCCAGGCTTACTGGTATCAGTTTTTATCACTTTCAGTGAAACATTAGAGACTTAATTCCATTTCAGCCTCCACCCTACTCAATTTTGAAATATGGTCTCCTTAAGCATTTCCTCTACATACTCTGACCACATCAGATGCTGTTACAATTTTTACTTCAGCCATCAAAGATAAATAAGAAACTCATTGGGTAAGGGATCCTTATATTTACCTTATTTTTACTCATTCTGTTGTGCTTCTTTTAATTTTTGAAATCCCTAGCTTCTTATATTCTTTTTTGTCTGGAGAACTTGTTTGCCATTCTTTAAAACTAGATTATTTACAAATTCAATTATTGCTGCTGTAGTGAACTAATTCTACTGCTGCCCTCAGGATGGAGAGAGTGCTCCTACTGCTACTATCCCCACACTATCAATCAGGCCACTGCTTCCTGAGGTGTGAGGCACAACCCTGCGGCATTGCAACCACCTGGAGATCATCCCATCACTGCCCTGGGCTAGTATCAGAGGATGAGGCTCCCTCCTAGACAGCTGCTGTGATTCCCCTTTCTTGCTCCTTAGAACAGAAAGAATAGACTTTTTCTATTGTTTTGTTCTGTTTATTTTTGTCAATGACTGTTGGCAGTCTAGAATGAACACATCTCTGGTAAGCAGGCTGGGATTCTGGGATACATAGGAAATAGAAAATTTATGAAAGACAGCACAGTTACTAAAGAACTAAGGTCTCTATTCACTTATGCTTTGATTTTTTAAGGATCATTTGTGATAGCATTTTGAATTATTTCTAGAATATTTATTTTCACTGAAAGAGGAGGAACAAAGATGTATGAGTATATGCCATCTGGAAGTGGAATGGAAAATAATGAAAATTTCCTTAATTCTCTCAAACCATCACCTTCTTCTAGACTTTAATTAGTAAAATCAAACAAGCAAATACCCACACACACACACACATGCACACAAAACAGAAACAATAAAAACAAAAGACAACATATATTTTGTTTCTTTTTATATAAACAAAGTTTTATTAATGAAACTATGTCCATAAATAGAAGAATAGCATGTTTGTATGAATGACCCTTAAATAATAATTGAAACATGCGAGAGAAGAAAACTGTTTCTAAACAACGGATTTGACAGTTTAAATTGAAATATAAAATGAGTAAGAAAAAATTTTGAAATTCTATGTAAATTATATTTGTAATAACTCTGGACTTTGGTTTAATTAAATGACTATTTTTATAAGCAATCTCATGAATCCAAATTTTTTAAAATAATCACAAATTTTAACCTTTTAAAATGAATGTGGCTAGAAGTTTTACTTTTATAGAGTATATAAAATTTTAATTATTGATAAAACAAGAACTTTTAAGTAAGCCCAACCAAAGCAAAGAAACAATTTTGCTTAATTGATAGAGGTGATGAAATAGAAGGAGGAAGAAAAAAGTTTATTCTCAGGAAAATGCTCTGCATCTGTGAAAATACGTTGAGAATGTTTCAAAGAGATATTCCATAAAACTCCAGTAATCTTACAACAGAGTACTTGGAAGTGAAGATAAGATGACTAGATGTTATGAAAATGTAATTTTATTCTAAGTTCTATACATTCAGCAGAATATTAAAAAATGTACATGGCTTTACTGTTTTTTACAGGTTGATTTTCCAATTCATATGAAAACCTAAAACAAACAAACAAAAAATAACCAGGGAAATTCTATAGGGAACATTAGTGGGAAAATGGGAGTGAGACCTTTCACATATTAAAGCAAATTATAAATAACATGCAATTCAATGAGTTTGATATTAGAATGATACATGAATGAATAAGTAGACTAATTGAAGGAAAAATAAAAACCAGAAATAGATTCAAATGAACATCAGATGGAGAATATGGCAAAATAGTACTCTAATTTATGAGAAAAACTGGTCAGTTTAATAAACGTTGTCCAAAAATGGTAATACTTGCTCTCTCATTAACAAGAATAATCTATCCTAGAGATACATATGTATATAATGAACTCATACTAATACCAGTATAACATGTGGGAACAGGAACAGCATTCTTAACTCTAATCAACATTAAGAAAAAATAAAATAGACAACTGAAAATTTTAATTAAAAATGCAAAGCAAACAATATTTTTTATGTAAGACAATGTAAATAAAAAGAAAAAGTAAAATACTAGAAAAAAGTTTTTTAAATTATATCACAGAAAAACAGCTAAGATACCTAATACAAAAATAGCTCCATTAGTTAAGGGCAAAAGCCTCATAATCTAAAAGAAAAATGGACAATAATAAAAACTGAAAATTACATTCAAGTTGTCTCAAAATGGATTAAAGACTTAAATATAAAGACAAACTCGAAGAAAGCATGGAGAACCTACATGGCATTAATCTGGGCAGTAATTTTTTAGATATGACCCTGGATGCACAGGCAAGAAAGACAAAAATAGAAATATGTAATTGCATCAAAGTAAAATATTTTGTACAGCAAAGGAAATAATCGACCAAGCGAAAAGACAAACCACAGACTGAGAGAAAATGTTTGCAAACCATAAATTTGATAGGGGATTGATATCCAAAATATATAGAGAATTCAACTCAATAGCAATAACCTGAAGAGATATTACTTAAAACAAGAAAAAGAAATGTCCAACACGTTTGGTAAAAAAGTGCTCAACATAAATAATAATCAGAGAAATGCAAACTGAAACCACAGTGATCTGTTAGAATAGTTGTGATGAAACAAATGAAATACAAGTGCTGGTGAGGATGTGGGAAAAAAAGAACTCTTGTGTACTGTTGGGGGTATATAAATTAGTACAGCCATTTGGAAAACAGTATGACACTTCCTCAAAGAATTAAAATGTAATTACCACATGATCCAGTATTCAAAATTCTGGGTATATATTCAATGGAGATGAAATCAGCATTTTGAAGAGATGTATCTGCACACCCATGTTCATTGCATATTGCATAATTTCATAAAAGCCTAGATATGAAATCAACCTAACTGTTCATCAGTAGGTAATAAGATAAAGAAAACGTGGTGTACATGCACAATGGAGTACTATACAGCCTTAAAAAGGAAATATCATTTGCAACAATGCAGATAAATCCATAAGATATTATGGTAAGTGAAATAAACCAGAAATAGAAAAACAATACTACATGATCTCACTTAGATGTGAGTGGAATAAAAAAAAAAGGAAAAACAAAGCAAACAAACTAAACAAAACAAACAAAAACTTCTTAAACTTATAGAAGTAAAGAGTACAATGGTGGTTACTAGAGACTAGGCAGGGATGGGAAGTGGTATGAGGAATGGGAAGGTTGATCAGAGTACAAAGTTTCAATTTTAGAGGAAAAAATAATTTTTGAGATTTATTGAGCAGCACAGTGACCACAATCAATTATAATATATTGTATCTTTTAAAATTGCTATAAGAAACTTCTATTCATGTCCTTTGCCCATTTTTAATGGGATTATTATTTGTTGTTGTCGTTTTAACCGTTGAGTTGTTTGAGTTTCTTGTGTGTTCTGGATGTCACTCTCCTGTTGGATAAGTAATTTGCAAATACTTTCTCCACTTCAACAGGTTGTTTCTTCACCCTGTTTATTGTTTCTTCTGCTGTCCAGAAGCTTTTTAGTTAATGCAGCCCCATTTGTCTGTTTTTGGCTTTGTTGCCTGTGCTTTTGAGGTCCCTACCATAAAATTCTTGCCTAGAATAATGTCCTAAAGATTTTTTCCTGTATCTATTATCTTTCAGTAGTTTTACAGTTTTGTGTCTTATGTTTAGGCTCATTTATGTATATAATAAGAGATAATGATCCAGTCACTGTTCTGCATATGGTTACTCAGTTTTCCCAGCACCATTTTTGAAGTGAGTTTCCTTTCCCCAGTGTATGTTCTTTACAGCTTTGTCAAAAATTAGTTGGCTGTAAATATTTGGGTTTATTTCTTGGTTATCTATCCTGTTCCATTGGTCTATGCATCTGCTTTTATACTAATACCTTGTTATTTTGGTTACTATAGACTTATAATACATTTGAAAGGTACATAATGTGATGCCTCCAGTTTTGTTCTTTTTGTTCATGATTACTTTTCATATTCTGTCTCTTTTTTGTTCCCATACAGATTTTAGGATTTTTTCTTTCTGTAAAAAATTACGTCGGTATTATGATAGTGACTGTGGTGAATTTGTAGATTGCTTTTAGCAGTATGGTCATATTAAGGATATTATTTTTTTCAAACCATGAACAGGAATGTCTTTTCATTTGTTTGTGTCCTCTTCAGTTATTTTCATCAGTGTTTTGTAGTTTTCCATGTAGAGATATTTCACCTCCATAAACTTACACCTAGGTAATTTTTCTTTTCTAGTAGCTATTGTAAATGGGACTACTTTCTTGATTTCTTTTTTGGTCATTTAATTATTGATGTATAGAAATGCTACTAATTTTGTATGTTGATTTTGTTTCTTTTCTCTTGCCTGGATACTTTCGCTATCACTTTCAGTACTATGTTGAATAGGAGTAATGAAAGTGAAGCACCTTTTCTTATTCTAGTTCTTAGAGGAGAGGCTTTCAACTTTCCCCATTCAGTATGATGTTGACTGTTGATGCATCATATGGACTTTTAAATTTCGAGGTATGTTCCTTCTATGCTTAGTTTGTTAAGAGTTTTGATCATAAAGCAGTGTTGAATTTTATCGTTTTTCTGCATATATTGAGATGATTTTATGTTTTTTTGATGTGATGTATCATATTTAGAAAAGAAGACATACAAATGGCCAAACATTTATATGAAATAATGCTCAACATCAGTAATTATCAGAAAAATGCAAATTAAAACCACAATGAGATATCACCTTCTATCAGTTAGAATGGCTATTTTAAAAAAGACAAAATATAACAGATGTTGTCAAGGACATGGAGAAAACTAAACTTTTATACGTTTTTGGTGGGACTGTAAATCAGTACAGCTACTATAGAAAACAGTAATCAGATTTTTTAAAAAAGCCATGGGTGCAGCAAACCACCATGGCACGTGTATACCTATGTAACAAAACTGCACATTCTGTACATGTACCCCAGAGCTGAAAGTATAATAAAATTTCTTTTTTAAAAATGCCTAAACATAGAACTACCATATGATCAAACAATCTCACGACTGGTTATGCATCCAAATAAAAATAGATCAATGTATCAAAGGGATACATGCACTCTCATGTTTATCGCAGCATTATTCATGATAACTAAGTATTAAATCAACCTAAGTATGCATCAACAGCTGAATGAATAAAGAAACTGTGGTGTTAATACACAATGGGATACTGTTTGGCCATAGAAAATGAAATCAATCATTTGCAGCAACGTGGATGGAACTGGAGGTCATTACGTTGAGTGATATAAGCCAGGAACTAAAAGGCAAATATTGCATGTTCTCATTCATATGTGGAAGCTAAAAAAGTTGATCATGTGATGGTAGGGAGTCTAATGATAGATACCAGAGACTGAGATGGGCGTACAGGTGGGTTGTGCGGTGGGAGGTAAAGAATTAGATAGAAGAAATGAGCTCTAATCTTTGATAGAAGACAAGGGTGACTACAGTTAGCAACAATGCATTGTTGTTTTAAAATAGGTAGAAAAAAGAACTTGAAATGTACTCAACACGTAGAAGTGATAAATACTGGAGGGATAGAGACTCTAAATATCCTGACTTGATATTACACATTCTATGCATGCAACAAAATTTCCACATACCCTATGAATATGAACAAATGTAAAATATCAAAAATTGCTAAAAGCGTTCAATTTAAATGTTCTCCCAACAAAATAAATGTGAGGTAGTGGATATACTGTTAGCTTGATGTAATCATTTCAAAATGTGTGTGTGTATATATTTGATATATATGCATATATGAAAACATCAAATTGTATCTCATAAATATATACAATTATAATTTGTCAATTAAAATTAAAATTTTAAAAATCAAATTTTCTTTAAACATGAAAAAGATCAAATAAATTTTACTTCTCATAATAATAGAAATTCAAATAAATATAAAATGAGATAACCTATCACAAATAAACCCATTGCCTTGGCAACAATTCTAGTTTGAAGATAGATTGATAGACTGGAAAGAAACCATCACTCTTATACATTATGGGTGAGAATGCAGGGTGATACAACGTCTACTGTGGTACATTTGAAAGATCTACAGAAATTAAGTATTTTCTATTGACATCAATTCATCTTCTATTAAACGAAGAACTAATAACATACAGGCAAAAACACAGAACAGTTGCATAAAATCACTTACCATGATAACAACTAATGACTGAAAAACCCACATGCCTATCAATGAAGACTGATTACACACATTGTGCAGAATTACTATTCTTGAATGCTTTGCTGCTGTAAAAGCAACGAAGAATATGTGTCTCAAAATGGCAAGTGGCTGTTGGTGTTCTCAAGGACTCAAGTGGTGTTATCAAGGATAGTTAAATCGTAAATATTAAGATGAGGAAGTGCTCATGACATGTTGCATTTTGTGTAAGGAGATACACACACACACACCACAAGGAAAAAAATGAAAATATAAATCAAAAGTAATAAAAAATCTGAAACAAATAAAATAAAATTCTTTGTGGAATAAAAATTTCCAAGGAAAGAAAATGCAAAGAAAACAATGAATATAATACATAGTTTGGTTATGGACTCCTTTAAGAATTTTAATGAATTAAAAAAAATTAACGACTTTCTATCAAGTATGTGATATAATTATACTGGGAAAAACAATTATTTCACAAGACCTTAGTGTTAAATATATTGACATTACATTGAAATAAAATATTCTCAAAAAAAATTATTGACATTTGTTGTTAAATATTTAAATTCTTATTTTGTGAAAGTAAGGAAAAAATTATTGTATTCCAAAAAAGTATTTTAAGAATTTAAAATATTTACATTCTTATTTTCTTTATGTAATCAAGAAAATATGTGTTCTTGGTTACGTAAAGCAATTATTTCTTTTCATATTATTAGCCTACAAGATACATTTCAACCTATAATTCAACACTTTCAATTGGATAGCTATAGCAGTACAAACTCATGCTTTTATTTATGTTTTAAAATTGCTTCTTTTCTACCTCAGTTCGCTGAAAAATATCTAGAAGTAATTGAAAAAGAAAAAAAACTGACACCTGGCCCTGATGCCACAGTGATTAAGCACATCACATTCCGTGATCAGGAAAAATAAAAAAATAAAGAAAAGAAAAGAAAAATCTTGCAATAAACTTTAAAAAGGCAAGACTAGCCTGTCTAACACCAAGCCCAAAAATGAATGAAAATATGTGGTTTGTTGTTGTTGTTAGTTGCAGACTTCCTAAGAGAAAATAACAGCATCCTGGACATTGCAATATTGATATCTGCAAGTATGTAATATCACTTACAGTTACAATAAACATATAAGAAAACTACTTTCTATCAATAATAGAACTTGGCAATTCTGTGTGTTTATTTATTTTTTCATCCAATTCCTCTTTTTTTTTTTTTTTTTTGTCTTGGAAACCCAATTACTCTAGACACCCTTGCAAAATATTTTGGGTGAACATTCTTTTTATCTTAATGCATTTGCCTAAGAGCCATCATTTCACAGATGGAAGTTCCAGCAAGATGCCCAGAATAGAATTTCATAGGAAAGTACTCTATGGGATAGTGTTTCCCTGCTGCCATGGTGCTTCTAGCTGTGCTGTTCCTCTCAGTTACTGTTTGTTGTTATTATTTCTTTTAATTTTCATTTATTTATGTATTTATTTTTTTATTTGAGGTTGTTTCTGTTTCTTTGTGAAGTCTGGTTCTGTCATTTATACAGCTGCCATTGTATTTTGTCAGGGGCATAACACTAGGTGACTATGACACTGTGGAGTTACAAGTAATCAGTAATCTCATTGTGTGTTTTGATGTCTGATTGTCTTGGAGATTCTAATATTTTCTGGGATTTAGACACCAATTCTTTGTCACAAGGCCAGGAAAAATTTGTTTATTCTAATAAATGGCCATTATCTAAAGCACAGTGGAGGGCAGAATGTTACCTTCCCTTGACTTATAATTTTGTCTTTATGAACTTAAAGAATTTTCTGCTTTATTTTTGCTGTTTGTTTATGATTCTTAGAAGAGATCAGTTATGAAAAAAAGTGTGTCTCATGGGAAACAGCAAAATAGAAAACAACTCATGAATCAGTATAACACACTTTTGAGATCTTTGACCAAAATGAAATTAAATTAGAAATAAATAAGGCAGCTATACAAATTTAAAATATTTGGAAATTAGACACATTTGCAAATAATTTCTGGGTCAAAAGAGAAATTAGCAAATATTTTGAAATATAGAATAATTAATATTCGACATTTCAAAAATGCCAGAATGATGCTAAAGCTGATTTTGGAGGGAAATGTATAGGTTCAGATGCTTAATTACAAAGCTAAAAAAGTATCCTTCACTAGGCAGACAAATTTATTAAGATATCAATTGTCTCTAATCTGAGTTTTAGATTTGGTGCAATTCCAAACACAATCCCACTAGTTTAATTTACTGAAATTATGAAACTGTTCCTAAAATGTATATGGAAAGTGAATACAATATGAATATCCAAGAAACTCTTTAACAAGAGAAGCAAGGTAATTTAAACTAGTAATTTTAAGATTACTGCATGGAAGAAACAGTCAAATGATAGAGAGTTCAGAAATTGTTCCACACTGATACGGCTATTTGAATCTCTTTTAAACAAAATGTTCACAGCACCTTTAATTTTTAAAATTATTTATTAAATTATATATTGACAAAATATGGTTATATATGTTTATGAAATACATTTACGGTGTGTTTTTTTGTGTGCTGAGTACATTAGAATCATACTCTCTTAGCAAAATTAAGATGTTATTTGTATCTTGACAGTGACAAAACAATCCACTATTAATAGGACAATCTTTTTAAACAAAGGAAGCTAAAACAACTGGGTATTAATTAATCTCAACTCTTACGTCACGCGGTAAACAATAACTAATTCAAGTTAGATAATAGATCCATGCATAAAAGCTAAAATTATGAAACATTTTAAAGAAAGTATAGGGGAATATTTTTATGAGGTGGGGTAAATACAGGTTTCATACATTAGACGTGAAGAGCAACACAATAAAAGATCAAAACAGACAAGCTAACAATCATAACATAGATCTCTTTAAAATTAAAAACATTTGTTAATCAGATAACATAATTAAGAACATAATTAGTGAAGCCATTTACTTGAAGAACACGTTTTCAGAACATATATACATACGGAATATATATATTCTATATATATATATATATATTATTTATTTATTTATTTATTTATTTATTTATTTATTTATTTATTTATTTTGAGACGGAGTCTCGCTCTTTTGCAGCCTCCACCCCCCGGGTCCAAGCAATTCTCCTACCTCAGCCTTCCAAGTAGCTGAGACTACAGGCACCTGCCACCATGCCTGGCTAATTTTTGTATTTTTAGTAGAGACATGGTTTCACCATGTTGGCCAGGCTGGTCTAACAACATATTTTTAAATGCCTACAACTCAGTAACAAAAACAATAAAATAAAAAGTATGCGGCAACACAGACACTTCATAAAGATACAGATCACTAATATGTGCATTCACATATTCAACCTCATTTGTCATCAGGGAAATTCAAATTAATCTCACAAAAATATATCACTACACAAAAACATACCCGTCAGAACGGCTTATGTAATCAGACAGAGAACAACTGATAGTGGCAAAGATAGAACAAATAAAGTACCCATCTTTTGTTGAAGAGGAATATCAAATGTTAAAACCACCTTAGAAGAAAAATCTGAAATTTTTTAGGGACTAAAGTAGATACACATTTGCCTTATAACCCAACAATTTCATAATTTTATTTCTAAGTATACGTCCCCATATATGTGTATGTGTGTATATTTCATATATACATATGTATATATGTACATTTTTAAAAATTTATAACAGGTAAAAGTTGAAACAGTTCATTTTGCTCATCAATAAGTGTATATTTAACTGTGATATTGTCAAGAAATGTAATACAACTAAAAGATAAATGGGCGTAAACTACTAATGTACATTTCAACGGATGATTCTCAAAATAATATGCTGAGTGAATGAAACATTAAATGTCCAGTGTGATTTTATCATTCCATTTTTATGAAGTTCTAGATGTGGAAAAGCTAATTTATGGTGGAAAATTCAGAGAAACATATGGTTGCTTCTGGTATTTGAGAGTTTTTGAAAGCGAAGAAATCTGAGAAAACTTCCTCGAGTGATGATAGTATTCTGTGTCTTGAAAGAAGTTTCAGTTGCCTGGGTGTATTTTTTGGTTTGAACTAATCTGTTGGCACGCTTAGCTTCATGCTTTTCATTGTCTTCTATTTCTCTCTTTTTAATTTAAGCTTTTTAAAGTGGAACCTAAGGTCATTGATCTTAGGCCTTTGTTTTGCTTCAATTAAGCACATAACCTATACAGTTTCCTCTAAGCACTGCTATAGATTGTGTATCTGATTTATTTTGAAATGTTATAGTTTCTTTAGCATACACTTGGAAATATTTTCTAAACTATCGATATAGTTTGGATATGTGTTCCTGCCCAAATCTCATATTGAAATGAAATCCCCAATGTTGGAGGTGGAACCTGGTGGGAGTCATTGGATTATGGGGTTGGGATTCTCGTGAATGGTTTCACATCATCCCCCTTGGTACTGTCCTAATGATAGTGAGTGAGTTCTCACGAGATGTGATTTAAATTGTATAGCACCTCCCCGCTCACGCTCTTGCTTCCGCTTTCAACGTGTGATTTGCCTGCTCCCTCTTTGCTTTCTGCAATGATTATAAGCCTCCTGAGGCGTGCACAGAAGATGATGACACCATGCTTCCTGTATAGCCTGCAGGACCCTGAACCAATTAAAACTCTTTTCTCTATAAATTACCCAGTCTCGGGTATTTTTTTTTTTTTTTTTTTTTTTTGAGATGGAGTCTCGCTCTGTCGCCCAGGCTGGAGTGCAGTGGCGCAATGTCAGCTCACTGCAAGCTCCGTCTCCCGGGTTCATGCCATTCTCCTGCCTCAGCCTCCGGAGTAGCTGGGACTACAGACACCCGCCACCACGCCTGGCTAATTTTTTGTATTTTTAGCAGAGACGGGGTTTCACCGCGTTAGCCAGACTGGTCTCGATCTCCTGACCTCGTGATCCGCCCACCTCGGCCTCCCAAAGTGCTGGGATTACAGGCGTGAGCCACCGCGCCCGGCCTCAGGTATTTCTTTATAGCAATGCAAGAACAGACTAGCCCAAGTATTTTTGACCTATGGGCTATTTAGAAGTATCTTACATAATTTCCATGTATTTTGCTGTTGTTTTTTTTTCTTGTTATCTTATTCTCATTGATTTCTAATTTAATTCCATTGTGGCACAAGGGCATAATCTGTATGATATCAAGTTTTTAAAAAGGAATTAAGGACAGGTATCATTAGCCAAAGATGGAGTAGCATATGAATGTTGGGGAATGAAATACATACACTTGCAAAGAGCTTGCATACTGCAGTATTTTTAGTGTTATATTTTAAAATATCAATTACGTCAAGGTGGTTAGCACTATTGTTTAGAGTTTTTATGTCTTCATACAGATTTTGTCTTGTTCTATCAATTGTAGGGAAGGATATTAAAATCGTAACTAAGACTCTGAAATCATCTTTTTTTCTATTTTAATCTGTTACATTTTGCTTCATGTATTTTAAGTCTCTTTTATCAGACATGTGTACAATTAGAATTATTTTCCATTTCTAGACATTTTGGCACTTTTACCATTATAGAATATACCTCGTTACATGTGGTATTAATCTTTGTGATGAAGTTTCTTTCCCTGGTATTTTAATAGGGACTTTAGTCTTTTTATGCTTATGGTTTCATGTTGTACTAGTTAACTTCTTTCTAATTCTGTATATTTATATTTAAAATATTTCTTCAGACAACCAAGAGTTATATATTACTCTGGGTATCCATTTTGACAATCTAGAGTTTTTTTTCTTTAATTAACCTGCCATAAAATTGACATTTTGTTATAGAGTTCTACAGATTTTAACACATGCGTATATTTATGTAATTACCATGATCGGAAATATTCCCTTGCCCCCAAAAGAGTTATCTCCTTCTCCCCATTTGTAGTCACATGCTTGCCTCTCTTTTAAGCCATAGCAATGACTAATCTGTTCTCTATCACTGTAATTTTATTCATTTGAGAATATAATTTAATGAAACAACATGTAATCTCTTAAGACATTTTATCTAAGTCATCAGTCTTTCAAATTATTGTTCCTTTTTACTTATGCAATGTGTCATTTACTTTTTGGCTGGTTTAAGATATTTTCTTTGGTTTTAGCAGTATGAATGAATGGATCTGGTGTCTGGAAATTTTTACTGTTATTTGTTTGATTTTTCAACCTATTCTTGTGATTTATTGTAACTCTCAACTTTGTAAATTTATATTTCTCAGCAAATACGGAAATTCAGTACCATTATTTTGTCAAATATTTTTGACCTTAGTCTTACTTTCCTTTTTTTCTGAATTCTAATTCTGTATGTGTTTATTCTTTTCTTATTGTCTCTTGTGTTTTTCAGGCTTTGTTTATCCTTCTTGATTGTTTTTTCTACATTTATTTTCTGTTGATTCATTTTCAAGTTAATTTACTCTTGCCTTCTCTTTATCCATTTTGATCTTAAGCTAATGGAGTAATTTTTATGTTATTTTGAATTATTTTTTGGGTCTAAACTTTTTATTATGGGTCTATTATTTTGTTTCTTATTCATTCCTAAGATAACCTACTTTTCATTTATGAGAAACATGTCTTTCTTTAAATCTTCGAGTATCATTGCATTCTCTGTAAAACACCCTTCTCTGTTATTACAGCATCAGAGGCATCTCTATGTTGGTCACCACTGATGATCTTTTCTTATATACTTCTGTTTCTTTGTATGTAGAACAATTTTGGATTTTTCCCTGGACATTGAGAATAGACTTGTTATGTTCCTCCAATAAAAGCTATGTTTTAAAGTAGCTATAGAACTTAGCTGAAATAAAAGTTCAAAATTCTTCCTTCTGCAATGAATGACATTTCATTCCACTGGAATTATACTAGCTTTAGGTGGACTACTTAGGTCCTTTACCTAAGTAAAGGCATGTGTGATTCAGCCATAATCCAATGATTTGTGCTAGAATTATACCCCTGCTTCTCTGGTTCTTGCCTTCCTGGAGTTTTTCCTTTCATATCTCAGTGGCCATGGTTGCTCTGAACCATCTCCTTTTATTCTCCATGCAAGAATTATTGTGAGTTTTCTGTCAGAGACCTAGAAGCCCACCACCACCACCTCAGCACACCTGTGGGTTTTCCTGCATGGTGATATGTCTAACAAACTTAGAAACTCATATGTGCCATTTTCTTCTTCCAAGCGTTAGCTTCTGCTATGGTTTGAACATGTTTCCCAAAGGCTCATGTGTTGAAAATTTAATCTCTCTGCCCTCATGAATGGAATAATATTGGCTCTGCCTCCTGAGGAGATTAATGGATTAGTGAGAGCTCTGTCCTCATAAATGGATTAATGTTGCTATCACAAGAGTGGGTTTGTTATCATGGAAGTAGCTTTGTTATAAAAGCGAGCTTTCTCTGGGTCTCTTACTCCTGCATTCTCAACATGTGATGCTGTCCACCATGTTATGGCCCAGCAGAAACGCCCCTACCAGATGCCAGTGCCAACCTCTTAGACTTCAAGACCCCACAACCAAGAGCTAATACATCTCTTTTCTTTACAAATTACCTGGTCTGTGGTATTTTTGTAGCAAAACGGACTAAGACAATATCCCTTCAGTTCCTGATTTATTTGTTCTCTTTCAGTTTTTTTTTATTTTCATAATATTACAGGATTAATTGTCATTGTTTGTCAGAGTATAGGTTAAATAGATTTTACTCAGCCATACTAGAGCTAGGAATCCTCCAACCCCTTGTATGAGCTAGGTCCAAATAGCAACTTTTGTTTCCTGAGTCATCTTTAGAATAACTGATTTTAGTCTAGTATTTCTCTTATGCCAAATTTTATTTTCTGTAAAGAAAACTGTGGACAAAAATGTTCACATTTGAAATTTGTAAAACTCTTCAAAGAAATCCTTGGGATCCGTCTTGCAAAAAAGACCCAAAAATGTCCTTTTATCCAAGATACAATACATAATAACAAAAAATAATTTTCTCATAATAAATATTAGTTTATTGCTTTCAAAAAGCATTTTATGAACTTTTAGGTAAAATAAGCTACATGAAGTTACCAAAAATATGTTTTTCTTAATTTATACCTGTACTGCTGAGGAGATAATTATCAATTTTAAGGTGATTTGTCTACCACTTGACACATATATTTCTGAGGCACAGAGTTGGGACTGATTGGAAAAATACTCAGCTACAATTTTATGAACAAATCTCACAAATGAGGAAGTACTCAAGTAGCAATTTCATTAAAAATATTGCCCGATATTATTGGGCTGAAAACAAATCTCAATGTATAATAGTCTACTTTCTAATTGGGATGATACAAAGAGCTGACAAAAACCATGAAGTAGGACACCAACTATTTTATTTGCCAAAGACTAAAACACCTTCTTCATTTCCCTATATACATGTCTCTCTACATGGATTAGGGAAATGCTTAACAAAAGCCAAATCATAGGCTGTAGTAAAGCTTTATGCCAACATCTTACACTCCTCGAGAGATATCTAAATCCTTTTGCCTAAATAGAAACATTTGTGCAAAGAAGTATTGCCAAATCTGGTGTTTTCGAAATATAGGAAGAGTTTTCTTATCCAATGTAAAAAAAAGGGGGACATTAAAATCGGGATCACAGCTGTTTTACTATATTTTGTTGTAATCTAAAATGTTTGGCTCCTTTTGTTGAAAATGAGCAATGTTTCCATTTTTAAAACGATACTATTAACACATCAGCCGAAATTTCTCTTTCTCTTTTTAAACACGGCAATAAGTCAGTTTCAAGAAAACTATTCACAAAATAATTCTAGATTTGTATCAATTCCTCTAAGATCACCTCAACAAAACTTATAACATTATCTCGTTTAGAGCATTTGGGCTGCCGTAACAAAACATTATAAACTAGGTAGCTTATAAATAACATAAATTTATTTCTTACGGTTCTGGAGGCTGGGAAATCCAGGATCAAGGTGCTAGGAGATTGGGTGTCTGGTGAGACCCTGTTTCCTTGGGGTCTTCTTGCTGTGTCCTCACTTGGTTCAAGAGGATGAGGCAGCTCCCTGGGGCCTCGTTTTTGTTTTTTGTTTTTTGTTTTTTTCTTTTTTGAGACAGGGTCTGGCTCTGTCACCCAGGCTGGAATACAGTGGCCTGATCTCAGCTCACAGCAACCTCTGCCTCACAGGCTCAAGCAATCCTCCCACCTCAGCCTCCTGAGTAGCTGTGACTACAAGCCTATGCCACCACACCCAGCTAATTTCTGTATTTTTTGTAAAGACAGGGTTTTACCATGTTGTCCAGGTTGGTCTGGAACTCCTGAGCACAAGTGTTGTGCTCCTGGGCCCCCCAAAGTGCTGAGATTACAGGTGTGAGCCACCACACCCGGCTGGGA
This sequence comes from Homo sapiens, assembly GCF_000001405.40. Taxonomy (NCBI): domain Eukaryota; kingdom Metazoa; phylum Chordata; class Mammalia; order Primates; family Hominidae; genus Homo; species Homo sapiens. The sequence goes on from NC_000018.10 coordinate 66,472,716, forward strand.
TCTATTTTATAAAAATGGGCAAAAACTCATGAGGACTCTGCCTCTTAATACCCTCCTAATATCATCACCTTGACAGTTAGGATTTCAACATATCAGTTTGGGGGAGATACAAACATTCAGACCCTAGCACTCTCCCACATCTAATTTTACACAAATGTTTTAAAATAACTTACATTTAGTGAGTTATTTCTAAGTATGCAGATAGTTCTGCATAGGAAAAAAACTCTATTTCCATTGATCCAATTAATATTTAATTTAATTATGCAGTGATTAAAACTGCAGCTAGCATAAAGTTTTGGAGCAAAAATACAATGAATTACTGAATATATACACTGGAAAGCATAGTACTTGAGCACTGATCCATGAATACCATCTACGAGTATCATTTTTATAGAGAAAATAGAGTCATTTATCTATTAAGTCAGAGAAGGAGCTTCTATTTAACACAAGTTTTCTTCCTTTATTCTCTACACAAAATATGAAGTTCAGAAAAGACTTAGGGAATAAGACAGGACAAGATTTTAAACTCAATATATAAAGTAAACACAATTCAGGAAAAAGTAAGAAACATATATACATGAGAAATTTTGTCACTAAATATCTTTTCTCTCTCATATGTGTTATTTAGTTAAGTAGTTTTCTTTAAATTTATTTCTAATTATCACATAATTGGTGGTTCTAATCATTAGTGAATAACTCAGCCTTCATCATGACTGGGTAATTTATTGTATACATTTGGGCAAATAAGCAACTACACATAACCTCACACAATTTGAATTTTACTCATTCTTAATGAAATAGGTGTAAAATAAGGCAATATAATAAAATTACACACACACACACACACACACACACACACACACACAATTTCCATAAGACTTTTCTCTTTACTCTTTGGGACACCAGGCAAGAATAACTCTTACAGGAGCAGAAAATTCTACAAAGTACATGAAATGAAATTAATGCAGTACATAAACCGAGAGCTCTGCTGTTTTACCGACTGAAGTTCACGAGAAGTGTGGGAATGAACAGTATTAATGTTGCGAGGTTGTGTCTGAATAATTGCTGATTGCTCGTTTGTCTTTTTCCCTCAAATTATAGATGTATGCATTTGTACAGAAACAATGCTTTTGTTAGTTTGTTTGGGGTTTTGTTGTAAAACTTTTTACATAAAAATTTTGCCTCCGAAAAAACCTTTCACTCCTTTTACTGGATTTATAAATCTGGGTCTCAGTATTCATTTTGATGGGAAGTGGAGAACGAGAATCTAAGGTCCCAATATTTAGTATGTGGTTTGTGCAGATATCACCTTATACTGCACAATGTTTGCATTAGAAACAGGACACCACATTTGTGCAAACATAGCCCTATGAGCAAAGGAATATGGAATTCCCTGACTTCAGTGGTCCCTTTTTTGTTCTGCAGGTTACATTTTTGCAGGGCACAGACTGCACACATGTACACTGTGTCCTAGTAGATTTCTACTTCATGCCTTGTGTGCAGTATGGTACCATTTCTGTCCTCCATCTCCGGCAGCCTTCACTCCAGAGATTGACCTCAGACAGGGTGAAGAGAAGGGCCTCAGGGTGCAGAATGGGGCAAATGGTCTGAAGCTCTGGATTCTTCTTTCGTAGATATTCATAATCACCTTATCTTCCTTATTGCTGCCACACTTTGGCCTTTCAGGCAAATCTGAGGCCATTAATTCCTTAGCCTTTGCAAATTTTGTTGTGCAAATCAGGTAGCACCTTGGCTTTCTCCACTATCAGTTTAAGATTCTGCTTTCTTGTGCTTTCTAGATTAGATACGCTTTCTAGATTTTGAGAATGTTTTACTGTTCTCATTTATAGTTTTGTTTTCTTTCTGTAGTCATTTCTTAAAAATACTCACTATTGTCATTCAGTGGAGAGTTTCAGAGGCAAGGAAGTTAAATCAGTGATTGTATGTATCACAGGATTTTGAAAATAAATTTTATAGCAGTATCTATCTATCATTTGTCTATATATTTGTGGTGTAAAAGACTAAAAGAGGAAGTTGTGAAAGAGTAATCATTAATGTGGATGGGAAAGCAGAATACGCCCAGTAAGAATATGGTGACATCATAAATACAACCAAGACAACATAACACTTTTTAAAGAGAATTTTCAAAACTATTTTCTCTTCCAGTCATATTTTATTAGTCATATATATCAAGAAAATAATGTAAATTTTAGCGCAACCTAAACATGCTATCAAGGCAAAAAAAGGCAGAACAAAACGAAGCTCAGAATATTTATGCTATAAAAAAAAATCACCTGGAACTCTCAATAGTGTCAATTTTCTATTGCTTTTATGTGAGCTGTAAAAAGAAACATTGGTACCGGTGCTCTGGTCTCAGGCTCACTAAACAAACCAAACTGTAATTGCCTGAAAGTTTTCACATTCATTTTAATTGACTTGCCTTGTTTTAAGCTTACATTAAAATTTGTTTTCTAGATAATCTTTATTTTGGAGGAGGCATTGGAATTGGTCTTCAAGAAACAAAATATGCTCTTTCAGTAAGTAATGTTATCATTTGAAGGAATGTAAGTCAATGTAGATTTCATCATTTGGAAGTATTTACCCTAATGAATAAGATTAAAATTCGCTTATAAATAATAAACTCCATGACTAAAAATTTTAGAAAATTATACTAATATGTAGATGTCTTCAGTTTTCTATTTGCTTACTGTGTGGGATGTAATCAACTAGGTGTATTGAGGAGCTAGTATTAATAATTGCCTAGTCATTTTCTTACAATTAGCATAGGAATTTTGTTGCTCTGGATGAGGGAAGCTAATATAGTAGAAAACAGAAGGATATAAATATTGAACTAAATGTCGGGGAAATCAGGATTAAAATTCTGAGTAAAAGGAATTAACCAAGCGTACCAAAAAGCTCTCTTGTTTCACTTTCTTTTATCATGAGGTAATAAGTTGAAATATCTGCTCTGTGGTCTGCAGAAATTGACCTTCAGTGGGATCCACATATACACAGTTTAATTTATTCTATTTAAAGAAGCAAAAGGGACTGACATGTTGAACTAAAATAGCAAACTATCTATTTCACACAAAAATTATTTTATTAATTTTGAATGGGATTTTTAAAATGTAATACTTTGCGCCATGTCCTGGAAGAAAATTACCATGAATTCTGCATTACAGACCAGAACATTGCTTAAGGAAGAAATAAATATAACAGAAAAATGATATCATTAAGGACTATTTTTGTGTATCAATGATATATGCATTGTCTTTCTATACTCAGGCTCAATTCCGACCTTCAAAAAAGTCAAGGAGAAACTTGTCTGTCTTATCATTTCCCAGTGATTTCTGGACTCTAAAAAACACATCAAACAATCTTAAACTACCATTATTTCTAATAGGTTGTATCTGAAGGAAATATTGTGTTAGCTTAAATCCTTAAGTTTATTTGTCATTTTTTCATTCCTAAGCATAAATTTGAATATTTCTATCTCTCCAAATGATATCTTCTATAGAAGGAATATCCCAGTTTTTCACATAATTTATATTAGTAATATTTCACGGAAATAAAAGTGTTCTAAATGGAAGATACAGCATGTTGTCTCTATTGGTATTCCTCAGTACTGGTTAAGAAGTTTTTTTTATAAAAAGGCTTAAACAATAGGAATGAACCACAAACAAACACCAAATATGTTCATCATTTAGGGGGAATAAATGAGGTTTTTTTTTTTTTGCTTTTTTTAACTGAGAGAGAAGAAGTTATAGCATTTGATTAAGAAAGGGTAGAAGAAAGGAAGGAAAGAAGGAAGAAAGAGGAAACTGCATATATCATATCAACTTGAAAGTATATTCTTAGATTATAAGATAAAACAAGATTAAGCTTTTTAAGATTTAAAAAACCTGCGAATACCTACAAATTCTTAATACTTCTGTAGAAAAATGAAACACCTGGAATAAAACAGTCAAGCAATGAATGGACCATGAATTTCTGGAATAATGTTTGAAGAGATGAAAACGTTATCAAAGCCCAGAATTCCAAATTCTGCTCTTTAAAATTTTGATAGACATATACTTTTAACATGACTAACTTGTGTCAGAATTCAAAATTTTCTTATTGATAAATAATGAAAAGGCAACTTGGTCCCTGAGTACAAAATTAAACAAATTACATATTATACCATCAAATATATATTAATGATTTCATATTTGACATCTCGATGGTGTTGCTCTCCAACCCAAGAAAAAGGTATGTCTCTCCAATTATTTATGTTATTTTTATTTTTTTCCAGCACTAGTTGTATTTTGCAGTCTACAGCTGTTTCACATCTTTTGTGAAAATTTTTCCTTAGTGTTTTATATTTTTGACACTAATGCAAATGTTATTGTTTTCAATTTCCATTTGTTCATTACTGTATATAGAATATAGTTGCTTTGTATATTAATCTCGAATTTTGTAGCTTTACCAAACTTATTTATTATTTCCATTTAAAAATTACATTTCACAAGATTTTCTACATAAGCTATTATATCATTTTCAAGTAAAGATAGTTATTATGACAGATACTCCATTTAATCTTTTTTATAATGTACTTGCAGTGAAGAAACTTTGAAGATTTTCAGAGGACAAGTAGTCTAGAGTAATTGAAATACATATTGAGCAAAATTATCAAATAAGATTTATGTTAAAACAAAGTAAGCAGATTCATATGAATGACTCTAACTTCCTCTAATCATGGCTCTAAAATGAATTGAGGCATCTGCCTTAGGCTGATAACAATGCATAATGCTTTCACTGGCTTAATGCTCAAGGGAAATGACAGTAAGATCTTACCCTAAAAAAATACCTAAAATAATCTTTGTCTGTCTTCATCTTTTTTATTGGAATAAGGCTATTAGCATTTTTGCCTTACACATGTGAGATTATAACTGTATTACATGTTTAATTTTGTGCAGCACATCTTGGAAAGATATAACAGCAATTCAATCATAGAGAGCCAGAGTGGGGATCTAACACAGGTATCTGAGGAATGATTGGAAAAAGAGAGCTACTTAATTTGCAAAAGTAAAAATTAGCCATAGATGGGAGAGGAAGGTGGGGATACGATAGGTAATAAGGGCTTCTAAATGTGCAAAGAGACTTCACATGCAAAAGAATGAGGGTACATTCACATGGTTGAATGTGTCTTTTAGAAAATTATGTGACTATTTTCATTTTTATTCACTCACTTCCAAAGTGTTAAAAAAATGGTATTCTGACAATTATTACTCTGCTACTGAAAATTCCTAAATCTAACCTTCGCATGTTGGTCCTTGCGACAAGTATTTGGCTCTATTATTCACAATTAAAAGAGAGAGAATCACTAATAGTATTGTCTCTTGCATTTATAAATATTTGGCACAGTTAAAACTTTTGAAGCCTTTCAGCATCTTGGCAAATAAGTTTGAGATAAAGAACAATAATTGCAAGTTGGCAGTGTTTATGCCTTTAATTATTTAGTATTTTTTATTAGAAATACTTGAATAACACCAACAACACTTACCACATTTAGTGGAAGGGGATTTGTGCTTGTTAGACAATATTTTCAAAGCAAAATTCAGTTTTATATAAAAGAGTAAACACATTTCTCTAAAAAGTTATTCTTTCTTCTCTTTAGTTGTTTTATATAAACAAGTTTTTCTTATAACTTTTATTTTAAGTTCAGGAATATATGTGCGGGTTTGTTGCATAGGTAAACTTGTGTCATGAGGGTTTGTTGTAAAGATTATTTCAGCACTCAGATATTAAGCCTAGTGCCCATTTGTTGTTTTTCCTGATCCTCTCCATCCTCCCACTCTCCACGCTTCACTGTCACCAGTGTGTGTTGTTTCCCTTTATGTATCTATGTGTGCTCATCATTTAGCCCCCACTTATAAGTGAGAACATGAGGTATTTGGTTTTCTGTTCAAGTTAAAATCGCCAAACTGCACAAAGCAATTATAAGTCCAATGCTATTCCTATTAAACTACCATTGACATTCTGCACAGAACCAGAAAAAAAAAACTATTTTAAAATACAGATGGAAACAAAAAGGAGCCAGAATAGCCAAGGCAATTCTAAGCAAAAAGAACAAAGCTGGAGGCATCATGCTACCTGACTTCAAACTATACTACAAGGCTACAGTAAACAAAACAGCATAGTACTGGTACAAACAAGTTCTTAAGAAAGTTTTATATTAAATAAATTTGTAGCTAAAAGAAGTACTTTAAGGATAAGAAAATGAAATAGTATATATTTTTCTCCTGTGTTTCTAATTCTTCTTTCCCCTATTTATTTGCATGTCTCTCATTCTTTTTTTGTTATTGTTTTTCGGTGAGACAGAGTCTTGCTCTATTGCCCATGCTGGAGTGCAGTGAGATCTCAGCTCACTGCAACCTCTGCCTTCTGGGTTCACGCCATTCTCCTGCCTCAGCCTCCCGAGTAGTTGGGACTACAGGCACATGCTGCCACGCCCAGCTAATTTTTTGTATTTTTAGTAGAGATCGGGTTTCACCGTGTTGCCCAGGCTGGTCTTGAACTCCTGGCCTCAGGTGATCCACCTGCCTTGGCCTCCCAAAGTGCTGGGATTACAGGCATGAGCCACTGTGCCCTGCCAGTCTCCCATTCTTTATATTAATATTATTTTCACTAGAAAAGTGATGATTATTGGCTTAATGTGAACTTATTTTGGTAGGCGTTGTAAGTGATTAAAACTGAATGCATCCTTTCAAGTTCTTGGACTCTATTAATTCTTAGTTTAAATTAACTAAATCTAACAATGTTTATGGAACAAAATTTCTTATTAAATAAATTTGAGATTTATAGTCCCTTAGATACAACAATCATATGATGGACAGAAATACAGTAATGGTATAGGTGAATTTAAACATATTATTTTCAAAACTACATAAAATAACTAATACTCAGAAAAACACTACTATGTTCCAGGATCTATCTGAATTGCTTTATATACTTTAAGTCACCGAAAAATAGTTTTATTATCACCATTCAGCCTATGAGAAAACAAAGGCACAGAGAAGCTCAGATTTATTCAAAATCACACAGATGGAAATCTTTGAGCTGTTTTCACACCAGATTCCACCATGTGCTTTCAATTTCCATCATAAAAAAAATCTTACTGAAGGTTAAGAAACATATTTGTTAATTTTGTTTATGGCTTACATTTTGTATAATCAAAGTTGCTATTCTCAAGCATAAGGAATTTAAATTTCAGAAATTTGTAATGATTGATTTCATGTTTTAACAGGAGCATTTTTACACGTTACTGCACATATGCACAATTATTAATTAGAGTAAACCATTTCAATATCTATACTTTCTTAAGGTATCAGGAATCCTTTAAGTTGGCTAAATAATTTATAAAATTCTTATTGATTCTCATTATGTGCCTGTGATATGATACACTTAGAACATCAAAGTAAAAATCCAATTTAAATATGAATGGCTACCAGGTACTTACTGGGTACTTCTTTGAGAGGGTTTCCAAAATTAGGCCACTTTCAAATCCTTTCAGTCATTTGTACAATAACGATATTACTAAATTATAAAAGGAATATTAAAAAATCAATGAGATAACTTCATACAATTAATAGATTAAAATGGATAAACTTGTGGCATTATAAGTTCATTGATTTATTCATTTATCCAATATTTATTCAACACCTATTTCAAAATTCACCCATGTGATCCATAATGATGACAAACGGTATGGTGTATTTAAGTCATCCACAAAGAGTCTGCAGATGGTTTTTAACAACTGTCTCATATAAAAATCAACTCTAGAATCAAGCTGTTGAGGAAGGCTTCTTTCTTCCTTACTGAATATCATTGAAACCTAACTCGGGTAAGGATAGTGTTTCTGTTCCTCCGGCAGTACCCTACTACATATGCTGCTTACTATCTTTCACATTGCCATTATACTAGGTTCATTTGTGAATTGGAAATTTCATTTATTTACATCTGACTCCTCCTGTTACTGTTGCCTAACAATTTTCTGTTCATTGTCCTCATTTTTTGATCACATCTTTCTCTGAAAAAAATCCAATCTTCATTATGGATATGTAAATATTTCTACAGATAATTCATCTTCTTCACTGTAACCACTCACTATTTTGATCATACCTTAAAATGTGTCACTATAGGCCCAGTGCGGCAGCTCGCACCTGTAATCCTAACACTTTGGGAGGCTGAGTTGGACTGATCACCTCAGGTCAGGGGTTCGAGACCAGCCTGGCCAACATGGTGAAACCCTGTCTCTACTAAAAATACAAAAATTAGCTGGGTGTGGTGGTGTGCACCTGTAATCCCAACAACTCAAGGGGCTGAGACAGGAGAATCACTTGAACCTGGGAGGCGGAGGTTGCAGCATGACGAGATTGCACCACTGCACTCCAGCTAGACGACAGAGTGAAACTCAGTATTAAAAAAAAAAGTGTCACTATAAATAATTATTTTCATGTAAAAAAGGAAAGTTATGTATCTCATTTTCTTAACAACCCATACGGTCTTCCTGTAATGAACAACATTACTCTTCCTTTAGAGTGTCAAACTAACTGATCTTTAGATCTCGCCCCATAAAATACAGCATGTTTCATACATTGCAGTTGAAATGATAGTTCTAAAACCTAAATATAATTATGAAAACTTTTTGTCACACCTTATGACAACTCTGGGTGAAACTATCCAAAATTCATGACGCACCTCAAGAAACTAAGAAATATATTTAAAATTATACAGACAATAATGAATAGCAATATTAGTTGGGATTCTCCCCCCCAAAAAAAATGGAACCAATATTAAGTGTGTGTGTGGGGTGTGTGTGTGTGTGTGTGTGTGTGTGTGTGTATTTGTGTGTAGAGAGCGAGAGAGAGAAATGGAGTCTTTTTTTTTAATTATTATTTTAAGGAACTGGCTTATAAGATTGGCCATTAGCAAGTTCAAATATGTAGTACAAGCCAGCCAGCTGGAAATTCAGGTGAGATTTAATGTAGTCTTGAGGCCAAATCCCTTCTTCTTTCGGGAAACTTCAGTCTTTGCTCTTAAGGCCTTCAACCAATGGGATGAGTCTCATCCATATTATGACGAGTAATCTGCTTTATTAAAAGGCTACTGATTTAAATATTAATTACATGTAAAAAATACTTCCTGAAAAAGAATCATCTAAAGAAGTCTTTGAATAAATAACTGGATGCCATAGCCTAGCCAAGTTGGTGCACACTATTATCAAGAAAGAATTGAAAATATGAGATAAAAGTTGAATAAACAATTGTACATTTATACTGTGCAGATTTTAGTAAATGTGCATTGATTGTGATGGATATATGCAGTATTTTGATAAGTAAAAAAAATAATGGAGTTACTCAGCAGTATGGTATCATCTCACATAAATAGCATTGAGAATATTGCAATGTGTAACACTTGGAAATAATGTCAACATACATCCGTTATATATATTCATATCTTTTCGTACTGGTACGTTTATGTTTATTTCAGATAAAATTCCTGAAATATGCTGCTGGGGTAAAAGAATAAATATGTCATTTGTACCTTATTTTTAAAAATGACTGTGTATAAAAATTAGCAAGAAGTAGCAGGATAGTAATTATAATACCTGGTTTAAAGCAAAGCAATACAAAACAAAATGTTGTGGGTAGAGGAATGGCTATGGAAAAACTAATTACATATTTTATATCAAAATGACCTACTGTTGGGATGAGATGAATCTGTCAAGTTACTTTTCCATTTTCCAGTTGAACATATTGTTATATCCTCCATAGGCATGGAATGGATATGATACACGCCAACATCAAATGATTTCTGACCATGAGAACTCAGTTGACGGGAGGTAAAGAGTTAAACTTTTACGTGGAACAAAAAATTTCCTAAAGAAATAAACAAAACACCACATGTTCTCACTCACAGGTGGGAACTGAACAATGAGAACACATGGACACAGGAAGGGGAACATCACACTCTGGGGACTGTTGTGGGGTTGGGGAGTGGGGAGGGATAGCATTAGGAGATATACCTAAAGCTAAATGAAGAGTTAATGGGTGCAGCACACCAGCATGGCACATGTATACATATGCAACTAACCTGCACATTGTGCACATGTACCCTAAAACTTGAAGTATAATAATAATAAAATAAAAATAAAAAAAGAAATGAACAAAACAAAACAAAATGTGGCTAGGTTATGGCATGCCTGAGGTAGCTCTTGAAGCCACATATGATTTCTTCAGTGTCACAGATTTTGTTGAATTGTGATCTGCTGGCAGCGTCACAGATTTTGTTGAGTTGTGATCCGCTGGGGGGTCCCTTGCTTAGGGTAATTAACTTCAGCAAATGTTTCAATTTAGGAAAAGTAAATGCAAGGAAAGAACTTAATAAAACTGACAACCTTTGGAACAAGTTGTTCCAGAACTGGCTAACAGAATTATATGACAAGACATAGATTTCAGATATATAAGCTATGTTTTTTAAAATAAGCAAGTAAAATTAATGCAGTACTATATTTTACTTAACTCAGTATGTACCATATATTATCATTTCAACATGCGTCAGTATAAAATTATTGATATGATACTATGTATTGTTTTATTTTCACATAAAGTCTTTGAAATCCTGTGTGTATATTATATTTACACAACTTTTCAATCCAGACTAGCCTTATTTCAAGTGTTAAATAGTCACATCTTTCTAGCAGTTGTCATATAGGCCATTCTAGAGTTGGTCGTCCCCACCATGTTTGAACTATTAAATTCACCTGGTTGGGACCAGGAAGAGCTCCATAATCTACCATTCATGAATAGGTCAATAGAAACTTTTGTGGCTTAAATTTGAGTAACTGTCAGAAAATAGACAAATTTGTTTCATTTCTTGAGAAGAGCAGCTGTTGGAGAAATTGGGACATCCAACATAGAACATTAGTGTAATGCTAAGAATGACTTGATAGTTGGTTTTGTAAATTGTATATAATTTTCAAACTTGAGCAGCTGAGATCTCCATTTATTCATTCATATTTACTGAGTGACCACATTGAACAAAACGTTGGTCAAGATACAAAATTGCTAGTGTTTTAGAAACAGACTCTGCAACTTACAGTGCATCTAAAGAAACAGAAAATAAGTTAACAATAGAATATGTAATTACAATTTTGACAAGTGTAGACATGTTTTCTAAAGATATACAGAAAATAATCGTAAAAAATATCTATAAATAGAATAGTCTTAAAAGTCTTATCTTGGGAGATATTTAAATCAGGACTTGAAGAATAAGTTCTACAAATAATAGCAGGAAACTATTTCACAGATTAAAAATAATATGTGCAAGGCAATATATCAAGATAGACATCAGTATGTGCAAAAAAATGAAAGTAATCGATTGGGTCTGGACCATTGTGAGTGAGAGAAAAGAGAATGAATTTGGAAGAATGACAAGTAGCTAGCTCAGGAATGCAGCACAGACCATCACGAGTTTTCATATTAACTTGCTGAGTGGCCATAAGTTGTTTATCACTTTTTGTTTCAACTTATTATTGACAAAATGGACATAATAAAGATATCCACCTCCCATGGTATTTCTAATGCTTCAATGAGATACCAAATAGACAGTGCATGGTATATTTCTTGCACATAGTAACTACTTAATGAATGTTAATTTTTTTTATTGCTGGCGCTATGCTGAGGAGTTTGATATTATTTAAATGCAGAGTAAGACATAAAGTAATTTAGGTAGTGGCATGACATATTGCAATAAGCACTTTAGAAGAATGACTCTGGCAGCTGAACAAATGTGAAGGAGACAAATCTAGTATTAGAAGTATTTAGAGACCAGTTAAGAGTCATTGCAATAGTCCTTGTAAGAATGTTGGCTTGTAATTGGATAATAATGGTAGACATAGAGACAACTGAATAAATTTGATATCTGTTTAAGAGGTATACTCAACAGAACTTGATAATGGATTGAATGTGGGTGACAACAAACAGAGAAAATGATATATTTTAACCAACAATCTTGCCCATCATCTCTTAGCACTTCCTGACATCTTAGGGACAGGAAGCATTTCCAGCAAGTTTCTTGTTAAGTTTTGCTGGTGAAAAGTTTGAAAGGCAGAGAAATAAAGCCAATTTGGAAGGCAGAAGAGAAGAAAACCCATTAATTTTCCTCAATAGCCTCAGGCATGTGCATGGTTTTTGGCAGATATTAATTTGTGCAGCTCTTTAGTATTTCCATGAAAATTTCCCTGTTTGGTGACATAGGCAGTTGAGATTAGTGTCAGAAGTTTTCTTGTATTTTTGCAAATTAATGATTTTTTAAAAATCAAAGAATGAATTTGAGAGCTAGCAATATTTTTTTTGACCATGACCTCTTCAGCATTCAAAAGGATTTTTTGGTGTATCATTTCCTATAGTAAATACCTATCTTCAGGAAAGAGTAGTTTCTATTTTTCTTGCTGACAGCTTGATGGCAGAAATGGGCCGAACTTCCCCTCCATTCTCATTATTTTAATTTTAACTCTACCAGAAGAGGAAGTTCTGTGAGTTCTGGAAGGTGAAAAATTAAAAAACAAAACTGATTATTCCAGTAACGGTAAGCAGACCATGGACATCGAAGGAAGCAATATTCTACGCCTTTGAGGCTTTATTATTTTTTTCCGTAAATTTCCTGTCAAGTGCTATAGACATCTGTGATCGTAGAGATTTTCCTGCAAATCTGGTAACTTTCTAATCCCTGATAACCAAATGGAAACTATGTAGTAAACTTTCTCCTAGACTTTTAAAAATGGAATCTTCTAATAATTTTATGCATTTAATTTCCTAAATTAAATTTTATCTCATTTGACTTACCAAGAGTGATAAAAAGCAAACTTAAATGTATACATTACTGTACCCTGTAATTTATGTTTAGCAAATATTAGATTAGGAAATAGAGTAAGGAAATAACGCATCTGGATTTTAAGAACAATAAAATCCTTCACAGTATTTCTCAGGATATTTTCGTAGATACCTCTGAGAAATATGGGTTCTATGATAGTGTTTGTACAAAGTGTATTACATGTTTATGGAAGTCCCTAAATTGAATTCTCCAGTTGATAAGGTGTGATGCTAATGATCTTTGATATAAGACTAATATGAAATTTTATGTTTTCAAATTTTCCATGACTTCAATTAAATTGTAGAAGATGTCATCATATTATCAAATGTAATAAATCTGAGAAATTGAAAGAATAGATTGTATACTCTTAAAGATTCTCTTCATCTTGTGATTTTTTGGGGGCCAGTTTACTAAGTTTTTTTTTTTTTACACTTGTAAAATCCAAATCTTTAGTTAATTTATAAGAAGCCATAGAGAAACTTTCACCTGCTTGGCACATTTTCCCAAGTTTGACATAGGCTCTCTAAAAATAATGTTGGTGTAAATTCATGCACCATAAATGCATGATAACATTCAGGCTGCTGCAGTTCATTTAATTCTTATTATCTTGAAATAGAAGGTGTCTATGACCCAAAAAGAGCAATGGTCTCTCTTAGCACAGTTTTAACCATTCCTCTTTTTGGATAAGTGAATTTAGTAAGGATAATTTATACCTATCCTAAGAGCCTAATTTATGATTTCATTGATCACTTATTAAGCACACAGCTCTGTATTATGTTCTGTGATTATTAAAGAGATAACTTTTTGGCATGATCAATTAGGATCAATTCAGAAAGGAGTAACAGAGATGAATAAAAAATCTAAGCCAACTAGTGATAAAAAAGACAAATAACCACTGTATCTTCATGTGTCCTGCAACGTGTCACTATGGGACTCTGAAAATGAAGTGACTTGCATTTAATCCCATTTCTAAATGTACCTCTTGATGCATTTACTAGTTTCAGAAAAAGGGCATGTGGATAGAGACAGTGCTTTAAAATTATTTCAGAATATGCTTTCTTAGTTTAATTTTAAAGTCAAGTAGACTGATTTCACACTGGACTATGTTTCAAAATAAAATTGCCCATAAAGACACTAGAGTTATATCCTGACAAATTCATGTTTTAGAAAAATTCCCATAATTCTTTAGTAAAGCATTAAACCCACTTCACTGTTAAATTATATAAGAAAAATGATCTACAGGCTTTTGCTTTAAAGAAATGACAGGGATGGCCACTACTTAAAGAAGATCTGTATCTTATGAGAAGTACTGTATATGATAATCACTCCACTGAAAGTGTCCATTCAAAGAAATGGCTGCACTGGGAGAAATTATGGGTGAAATGTGGAGTTATATGCTAAAAATCTAGGTTATTTCAAAGTCATGTAGTCTTCTCTTAACCAAGCTAAGTTAAAGCAGAGCTGACTGAAAAACCAGTAGTAAAGAAGCATCTTCTTTAAGAAGTGAAAATACCAGAAAATCAAGGATAAAAATGGCATTGTTGATCAACTGATCTGTTGATTGATTGTCCATTGAGCTATGGGACTATACCTAATCAGAGGGTCAGATAGCACTTAGCTAGATATAAGGAACATAATACACTTACTAGTTATAATAATAAAAGTTTACATATTAAGTATCATCATTTATAGTATACTTTCAGGTACATTTTCTAATTTGATCTTCAAAATCATCCCAGGTTTATTAAGCAGATGTTTTTAATGAATTCCTAGAAAGATATTAAAATATGAATAAGCAGGTTGTGAAAACCTAATTGGTTTTTCTCCTTTCTAACCTCTTCTTTCAGATAGATCTTCCTGTAATTGATTTTGCACATGAAAAATCTGAAGTAGGGGATTTAAATTACCTGCCTGTAACTGATAGAGTCAGTACCAGAACCCACCCTCCAGAGCATAATCAAGGCAAATTCTGTATCATATTGTTTAACTCTCAGGACATTGAAAATAAATCATTACTTAAAAGACTAGAGCACCAAACTATATATGTAGGTGTATTGTATTTCCAAACAATATCGTAGGGGTTAGAGAACTATGGCTGGTGGGCCAGCTATCTGAGTTTATGAATAAGGATTTATTGGACCATAACCATGCCTATTAATTGACGAATCATCTTTGGTTCTGTTATACTACAAAGCAGGGTTTTATAGTTTCCATAGAGACCGCATACACAGCATGCCTTAAATATGTAATATCTGACTCTTTTTAAAAAAAGATTTGCTGACTGCTGCCCTGGAATTCACAAGGGCCACAAACAATTTCCAATTACAACACAACAGTAATGGAAGCCTATAAAAGTCAGGCCCAAAGTGTGTACATTATCCTAAGAATTATGCATGTTTTGTGGTGTTGTCTCTTCATTATTAATAGTGTAATTATTTTAAATAAATGTATATATAACCATACTTATAATGGTGATTTTTAAATCAGATTTAAATGTATTAGAGAAAACATATCACTTAGGAAGATGGCCGTGCTGATTTAAATTTTAGAGTGTATATTATGATAAAAAAAATTTGGGAGTCTTCTCTGAGCCACTCATTAATTCTAAGAAAATAAGAAAAGAAAAAACAATTTTTAATGAAAAAATAATAAAAAGTTAAGAATTGTGTTGTTTTCTTAGTTAATTCAATCGAATCTAGGTTGTACTAGCCCATGTATGTACATATATATGTGTGTATATGTTAGTCCGTTTCACACTATTGACAAAGACATACCCAAGGCTGGGCAATTTACAAAAGAAAGAGGTTTATTGGACTCACAATTCTACGTGGCTGAGGAGGCCACACAATCATGGCAGAAGGTGAAAGACACGTCTCACATGGTGGCAGAAAACAGAATAGAGCTTGTGCAGGAAAACTCCCCTTTATAAAACCATCAGATCTCATGTGACTTATTCACTATTACGAGAACAGCACAAGAAAGACCTACCCCCATGAGTCAATTACCTCCCACTGGGTCCCTCCCACAACAATTGGGAGCTACAATTCAAGATGAGATTTATGTGGGGACACAGCCAAACCATATCAATATAGTATTAAATATTTTTACACAAGTTAAAATATATCACATAGTTTAACATTTTACAAACTAATTGATTTTATAAGGTTCTTCATTGCCTTATTATGCTGTGATTCTACTCTCTTGCCAGCCAACAAATTAATCTGTCACAATCTTATAAACACTAGCAGAAGACACAAGATTCCAAGGTCAGAAACAACAGCCTTCCTTACCCATTTTAAGAGTAGTAACAACAGTGTCAGAATTTGTGCCTGTTCCCCACCATAATTTCTCAGTGACATAATGCTCTAAATGACACCTACACATTCATGGGATTGCATTTCAGAAAAGGAAATCTGAATTTAAGAGCTTAGTTTTAGTTTAGGAAATTTGAATCTTTTATATTAGACAGTAAGCATGACTATTTTTTCTGCCAATGGGAGATGCTATCGTGCCTTCTAAGACTACAAACTCAACCTTTGCTCTTGACTGAAACACAATCTCTTCCAAGAATGTGCTATAACACATCTTTGAAAAGATAATTCAGAACAGAAAAGAATCAATGTTTCTGTTACAAAGTATGCAGAAACATAAGTGAACCAAGTAGAATCATTTTCCTACATATGCCTTATTTACCACATAAGGAGGTTTTAAGTTTTTTGTTCGTTTATATTCATATGTCAATGATTGATTTATGAAATTTTATAACCAGGTATTAATGCTTTTAAAATTTCCCAGGGCTACTTATTGATGCTTATTCTCATCAATGAATTTCTACTTATTTGCAAATACTGCAACATTTTATATAAGGAACTTATATATCCCTCATGGATAATGAGAGACAACTGTATTAGCAAAACAAGGTGCAGTTGACACCCAAACAACACGAGTTTGAACTGTATGATTCCACTTACATGCACAGTTTTTGCAATAAATATAGTCGGCCTTTCATATCAGAGGATTCCACATCTGCAACCAAATGCAAATCACAAATATATATTCAATGGATGAGAAACTTACATATACAAAGAGTCAGATGTGGGACTTGGGTGTGCACGGATTTGGGTATGGGGAAGTCCTGAAACCAATCCCCCATCGATGTCCAGGGATGACTGTATAATGGTATTATATTCCATTACTAGTCAGGAGTTTTTCCAACTATGGTAGGCTAGTTCAACCTTAGAAAATCAATAAATGTCTTCTACAACATGAACAAGTTAAAACAGGAAAACCATTATAGCAATTGTTGCTGAAGAAGTACTTTACAAAATCCAACTCCTATTCATGATAAAAACTCTTAGCAAAACAGAGGAAAAATTTGTCAGCTTGATGGAGAATATCATAAAAGCTTTATGGCTAACAACACAGGTAATGCTGAGAAACTGGACTTTTTTACACTAACTGGGGAAAAGCAAAGGTATTTCCTCTCACCATTCCCATTCGACATAATATTGGAATTCATAGCTGCTGTGATTATACAAGAAAGTAAAATGAAAGGTGTACAGATTGGGAAAGAAGAAATAATGTATTTGTTTTTTGTTTGCTGATGACATCATTGCGTATTTAGAAAATCATAGACAGTTGAAAACAAACAAGCAAAAACCTGAAACAAATAAGAAAGTATAGCAAGGCTTCAGGATACAAGGTTAACATACCAAAGTCAATTGGTTGCTTATATATCAATACTAAACAATCAGAAATCAAACTTGAAATGCATTTACATTTATACTAGCAACCAAAAAATTGAAACCCATAATAAGAATCTTTAGAAAATCAAAAATCCATGGAAATCTACAAAATTCTGATAAAATAAATCCAAGGAGATCTAAATAAGTAAATAATTTGACAGATAATTTTGTTCATGGAATGGAAGACAACCTTGTCAATTCTCTCCAACTTGATCTTTAGATTCAATGCAATTTCAATACAAACCCAAGAAAACTACTTGGTAGATATAGACAAACTACTCTAAATTTTCTATGGAAAGCAAAATATTTAGAATAGCCCACACATACTGAAGAAAAGTAAGCTATGAAGGATTCCCACTATCAAGTTTCAGTCTTGTTTTAAAGCTACAGTTATCAAGAAATCATGGTACTGTCATGGAAAAATGGAACAGAATTGCCAGCCCAGAAGCAGACCCAAACAAATATCGTCAACTAATATTTGAGTAAGTATCAAAGTGAATTAAATGAAGAAATAATATTCTTTTCAGCAAATGATGTTGAAACAATTTGGTGTATGCTAGCAAGAAAATAATAATATAAACCCAGACAGACATTACACCAGTCACAAAAATTACCACAAAATGGATGATACACCCAAATATAAAGCCTAAAACTATAAAATTTTGAGAAAAAAATATTATATAAAAATCTATATATTTTGTTTTTTTAATGATTTCTAGATGTGACACCAAAAGCATGAGCTATGAAGTAAAAATAAATAAATAAATAAATAAATAAATAAATAAATGTTATCTTTTACTAGAATAAAATATTCCACCCTGTAAATAGCACTGCTAAGAGAATTAAAAGAAAACCACAAGCCAGGAAAAAATATTTGACAATTATATCTGATAAAGTTTTTCTATCCAATATACAAATAACTCTTAAAACTCCATAATATGAAAAACAACCCAATTAAATTATGAGGAAACATTCTCAATAGACATCTCACCTAAGAAGCTATACAGATGGCAAATAAGCATATGACAAGAATGTCGTAATTCATTATTGCGAAACACAAACTGAAATAATAATGAGATACAACTACACACCTATTAGAATGGCTAAAATCCAAAAATTCTCAATACCAACTGCTTATGAAGATGTAGAGTGAGGGTAACTCTTATTCATTGTTGATATGAATTCAAAATGCTACCTCCTTTTAGTTTCTTCTCCACCCCCACTGTTTTCCTTGACTGGTTAAAAAAAAAGTTAAAAAAGAAACAAAATGGTATATCCACTTCGGAAGACTATTTGGCATCTTCTTAGTAAGCTAAATATAGTTTTACTGTATGATCAAGCAATTATGTTCCTAGGTATTTATCTGACTAATTTGAAAATGTATGTTCACACAAAAATTCACACAGAAATATTTATATCAGCTTTATTTATAATTACCAAAAAGGGAAGAAACCAAAATGTCCTTCAATAGGTGAATGGATCCACAAAATGTGGCACATTCATGTAGTGAATTCGTATTCAGCTATAAAAGACATGAGCATTCAAGCCATGAAAAGATGGAGGCAACTTAAATGTACATTGCTAAGTTAAAGAAGCTAGACTACCATATTAATCTGTTCTCAAGCTGCCCAAGACCGGGTAATGTATAAAGAAAAAGAGGTTCAGTGGGCTCACAGTTTCACATGGCTGGTGAGGCCTCACAATCATGGCAGAAGGCAATGGATGAGCAAAGTCATGTCTTACATGGCAGCAGGCAAGAGAACTTGTGCAGGAGAACTCCCATTTACAAATCTATCAGGTCTCATGACACTTATTCACTATCATGAGAACACTATGGGGAAAACCACCCCCACCATTCAATTAGCTCCACCTGGCCCTGCCCTTGACACATAATTTGGGTGGGGACACAGGCAAACCTTCTCAACTACAAAAGCTACATATTGTCTGATTCAAATTATATGGCATTCTAGAAAAGACAAAAGTATAGAGAAAAGTAAAATGATCAATGGCTTTCTAGTTTTTGGTGGAGGGGAAGGAAGGTTGAATAGATAAAGCACAGGGAATGTTTCAGGAAAATAAAACTACTAAATATGATACTGTAGTTGAGGACACCTGACACTAGGCACTTGCCAAATATCGTTGAATTTTATACCACAATATGAAATTTAATATAGGTTAATAAAAATATGACAAAACAATGTAACTTGTTACAAATGAATGAAAAATATCACTCAGGGGGAGAGTTGCTGACCTAAGTAATTTTGTAAATGAATGGATTTTGTAAAAATAAAGGTGAAAGAAAATTGTAAGCCCTGTTATCTAGGTGATAAAGTTTTGTCCAACAGGAGTACTGGTTAACAATCCTGATATGATGGATGGCAGATATTAGAAATCAGGTTTCTCACTGTTGGAGTGAAGCTTAAAGATAACAAGTGTAGAAGGCTAGAATCATCCATGACCTAGTGAACTATAATTAGAAACACCAATATTAATTCTGTACACTTAATGTTGACACACACACATCTTATACACAATCATGAGGGTATGCCATTGAGACACAGGACTTTCAATGGCCAAAGCTGAAACAATTTGAGCAACAGAAAAAACTACTACTAGATTATAACCCCAAAATATAAAGTAAATATTCATGAGTTCATACTGATATAAATAAATGATCGAATGAGGAAAACAGATCAATATTCCTTGCAAAAGAAATCTGAAAAAATATGTGGGTACTCTGATCTCAATGAGAGGAAGCACAATCCCCCACATCTTAAGTGGGGGCTGCACATAGTTACTTATTTTCAAAGACTAATATATGAAAAAGGGGAAAAAAGAGTAATTTGAGAGTGGAGAAATATAACAACCTCTGTCTTAGCCAGGTAAACAAGGTCAATATTAGCAGTGATAAACCATGTTGATAGTATGTAGTTTTGAAGTGATATGATGAAAATGGCAATTTACCTCTGTGTTCTTCCTCTCAAACACCTATTAGCCTATCATAATCTTTAGAAAACCATTAGTGAAATCCCAATATTTCTACAAAATGCTTTATTAGTACTATTCAAAACTGTCAAAGTCATAAAATAAATAAATAAAACCGTGAGAAGCCGTCACAGCCAAGTGGATCCCAATGAGACTTAAACACTGAAAATAACAAGGTATCCTGGAACCGAAAAGACATTAGATACAGATGAATTGAACCAAAAAAAAAGAAATAAAAAAAACAGTTAAGATCTAAGGAAGTCTGAATAAAGTATGGACTTTAATACTAAAGTATCAATAGTGGTTCATTAATTGTAATAAATGTACTATACTATTGTAAAATATTAACATTAGGGAAACTGAGTATATCGTATGTGGGTATGGGAATTATGTACTATCAACAATTTTTCTGTAAATCTAAAATTGTTTTTAAAAATTAAGCATAGTAAAATTTTCCTGGGAGGTAAACATTTGTGGTTGGAGTTGTTTCACGTCAAATACTATACAACCTTCCCTGCAAAGTGAATGGCACCCGTAGAATGGTATAGCACAGTGTCCTCTCTCCCTATCATGTAACCAAGCTTCCTGCCATTAGTTTTTGCATTTGCTTGGCCATCAACTTATAGCCCAATAAATGAGATTCACTACCTGAAGGTTTGACCTACCTTTGAGGTAATTCTCATTTACCTGCAAGCTGAACAAGGTTCTAACATCCATAGAAATTCCACCATGGAGTAGGTAAATATGCATGAGGCACAGTATCATGTCTGCAAAGATCATGTCAATGACCAACTCCTAAGCTCCTCATTAAGCTTTTTCCCACCACACAGCTCCGCTGGTCCCCCCCACTGGGATTGAGTAGCCACTGGGAGGATCGCTCCTCGATTTTCCTAACCCACTTTGTATTTACCTCTAAAAGCATTCCAATTGTGAAAAATATTTTGATGCACTCCCATCTTTTGAATATAGTTTTTTGGTAATGAAAAGTGTTGTGTTTTTTTGTTTGTTTTCCCAGCATCTACTGAAGTGCTTGGCATATAAAGGATACTTAATAAATATGCACTAATCGGATGAATAAATGAAACTTGAATATGAGTGCTGGCCTTATTTAAATTAGAAAGAGGCTGGGACGAGAATCTGTCAGAGGGAAGTCTCCATCTTATGGTGTGATTTCTTCCCATTCGGTATACACATATGCACGTACAGAAATTTTCTTTATTTACCTCATAGAGTTGTGATGAGGAAATGGGAAATACTGTTAAAATGTCTATCTGTGTGTTTGTGTGATTATGTATTTGTGTTTATCTCACAACTTCCTGTATTAGAACCAAGTCATCCTAAAATATGAAACCACATAAGAACCATCCTAAAATATGAAACCATATAGGAATCTTTTAAAATGTCTGTGTGCTTGTGCATTCATGTATTTGTGTGTTTATCTCACAACTGCCTATATTAGAACCAAATCATCCTAAAATATGAAACCATATAGGAATCAGGTCGATACCACATTTTATAGCTATTTCATGATATTAAAAAGGAATTTTGAAGCTTGAGTAACAAAAGATTTTCTAAAATTTGCATTTTTATCATATTACTTTTAGTAGTTGAGGGACAATTTGGAGACATATTGTCTTACAAAGTGGTTTAATACTCATTTAACTATATGAGACTTAACTTTTGAAAATATTAAGAAAGCCATACACTATAGTACTCCAGAGAATATCTACCTATTTTTTGAGTATTCCAAGCCAATATCTCTTGATTCTTTTATTATTAATGCAAAACACTATAGGTATGCTATCTAAAAATTCATTATTATTCTGATCTTCTCAAATCTGGGGCAATGTCTTAAGGCAAAGGCTAATTGTAAAAGCCACATATCAGAACATTTCTACTTGAATTAAGGAACTGCCTGGAAGAAGAGAAGCATATGGAATTGCTTTATAAAGGTGATGATGATGTTGAAATTCTTATGTCTCTCAGTGGGACTGTTGCCATGTTCAACATATTTAATACATTTAAGCATTTCACCTTGCAGAAAAGCAATTAGAAATCATAAGGGAATACTCTGATTTACTTAATGCTACGTAGAGTATAAAAATAAGTAGAAATGATTAAGGAAGGGAAATTTGGGACTGCAATCTGCCTCAGGGATGAGTGTACATGCCATAGAAAGCAGCATTTGGCTTTTGGAATATTGCAGCACGTGGCAAAACAAGAGCCAGCATGGAATGAATAGCTCTGCCTCCATAATGCTCTTTGAGTTCAAACCCCAAGGTTCCACAGGCTTTGTGCAACCAGTTTTATCAGGACAAGAGAGCACATAATAGGTAGCACACGATTCACAATGGCAGACACTCTTCTGCAATCTGGAATATTCACTAAATAGGCTAACATGATTCATTCATAAAAGTCTAATGACTCTCAGTGCTAGTTATCATTATACATTTTAATAAAACTATCAATTATTTTTGACTAATATTGCAAACAAATAACATAAAAAATAAAAGCCATAAGAAATTTAGCATTTAAATTAATATGATATAAAATTCTGTGTGGAACGATACTACTTCTGTATACCTATTAAATCACATTCTCTTCATCTGAGCTGGTAATACTAAATGCTTGTCTCGGCACAAACTACATAAAGGCCCATATGCAGCCACCTAAGCAAAAATAGGTAGAAGGCACCCCCTGCTGGGGGAGATCATGCGGATGACTTGTCTACTCTGCCTTTGCCAGACCATGGTCAAGCTGCATTTCAGCAGTAGGGACAAGACATTTTAATTACTTAGTATCACAGTAATGATACAATGCTAATAACTGTCACCATGCTGTAATGTTTTCTCCAAAAATATTACCAAGAAAGGATTTTACATTGCTTGCTTTCTACCATAGACTAGAAAGCAGCCACTTAGCCATATTTGTCCTTTGAAGATGTGTCTAGTTATGCAACTCCTGATGTGTTTTTTCTTGTTTTTGCCCTTTACATGTTTATTATTTCAGAGATTTGCTTGGGCCCTAAATTGAAACACAAGACATTTTAAAATATGGACTCAAGTGAAAAACACCAATTAAGTTGACTGGTATTGTCATAAGTTAGCCACCTTAAAATCAATGCCATATTTGAAAATGTATGTTTGAAGGTCCAAAATAAAATGGGTTATATATATATATATGTTTTCTGTGTATATATATATGATTTATATATATATATATGATCTGTGTATATATATGTTTTCTGTATATATATATATATATATATACACACAATTTTTTTCTGTACCTTTGGATATTCTGAGTGTGTTATTTCTATGGTTGATTGGCACCATAATGAATAATATAATGATAATAATAATAATAAATACAATATGTGACATGTAACCTAATAATAGAAACTCAGACTTAGTAGTGACATAAATGGACAGATGGATTTATTTTTGAAAAAAGAACGCTATTCCCCTCCTTAATCCATCTATGTGAATATATAATATTTATACAGTATTAACATCTAAAGTAATAGAAAAAAACTTTGGCAACCATAAGTAACAAAAGCCCCTATGTTACTAACTGAATGAGGTGGTGCAAATGGACAGTCATTATTCTGTAATGGACAAAAGCCTGGAATCTAGAACTTGTTTTCCTGGATTTAAGTTTTATAAATAAAAATATAAATATGGTTTATTCATATATATATATATATACATATTCCTTATATAATAGCATATATAGTGTATTACAGGTTTTCTGAAGTAATAAGACCAGCTTACTTCTGGGGGAACTCTGTTTTATTTAGGCTTCAAAAGGACTGCTTTAGAAGATATACTGAAAAAAATATTTTTTTCAATGATTCTGAGAACTGGTCATGATTTATTGCTTGTATAAATGCAAATCTTTTCTAAAAACTATGAATTTAAGAAAATCAACATCTCAGTCTGATAGGTTGTAACCATACTCACTCTTTCAAAAGTGAGTAGTTGATATGCTTTTCAGCATGTTAATTTTGAGTTATGACAATTGTTATGGTTTGGCTGTGTCCCCAACCCAAAATCTCATCTTGAATTTAATCCCCATAATCTCCCTGTGTCAAGGGCAGCACAGCCAGTATGCTGTAAATGGACAAAACCCTGGAATCTAGAACTTGTTGGCCTGGATTTAAGCTTCAACTCTGCCACCGTTAGGTGTACGACCTCGGGCACAATACAAAGACTCTCTGTGTGTTGGTTTCCTTATCAGTATCTTGGGGGTAATAAAGATACCTACCTCGTTAAATGAAGTAGTACCTTAAAAACACTTAGAATAAGATGAGAGAGAGAGATTTAGAACAGATTTGTTGGGTATATTCATTAAAAACTGAAAAAACCAACGTCCTCCTATTACGAATGTTTTCTTCTTTCGAGCTGCAGCGCAACTCCATGAGGACCACGTAAAAGCAGCTACAGCTTTGCAAGGTGTGAATGGGAGCTGAGCTCAGCAACCAGTCTCACCTGAGCACCGACCTCTCGCCCTGGCCCCTGACTCCACCTCCAAGTGTTTCTCATCATTCCTTTTTCAGCCAGGACACAGATAATTAATTTAAGATTTTATTTGGGGTTTATTACATAGAACTCAACTTAGAGAGACTCAGTAGATGCTACTAGTGTAATAGATGCTGCTAGCAAATAAAGTTTGCTCCTTGTTATTTACTTGATATTTGGGTTGACAACACAAGCATGAGGAAAACTTAGAATTTTCTCAGTTCACACATTTTCCTAGTATGCACTTTTGTACAAATTTCCTTCTCTGGTCTTTGTGCAAAAAGGTACATAAAGTAACAAGCCTGGCTGTAGATAATATGTTATAAAAAAGAGAGAGATTTTTGCTGTTGAAAACAGTATTAGTGGGACAACTTAATTTAATAGTGTTTGATAATGAATATACTATGAATATATACACTGTATGGTATATCAACCTTTTATTTTTACAATTAGTAAAACTTAAAATATTTTTAAATTATTGGTGAAATCTCTCTATATAAACTGAATATGTCAAGTGTTAACATGTATGTTTTATATAGAGTTGAAAATAGATAATCATTTCTACAAAGCAAGCTTCCAGAATAACATAGAGGTCATCTGGGATAAGAAAAATGTTTCTGAAAACTGAGGTGTCAGTTTTAGCTGGACAATTGCCTACAACTTGTCTGAGACCTAAGATTGGCTCAGATATGCGAAGGCTAGATGGTAAAAACATACTCATCAGAGAACATATGGGAATGTGACCTTAATTTTTATTTTTAAAAAGCACGAGGACAGGGGAAAGCAGATAGGGATGTCAAGGCTGCAGCTTTTCATCTTGCATTTTCAGAGGTGACAATCTGCTTGTAATTTAATTTTTATTTCTTCGTATAAAATTACAACTACGGTCATCAGATCTTAGATATTAACAACATGTTTGAGAAGCTATCTGTTAGTGCTATTAGTATATTTATTTTGTTTCTTCTATGTAGTTCTAAAATAATATGGGAATATATTTTTCTTTATTACTTACAAAATGAGATAAACCAACTCCTCTTTTTCAACAGGATTTCTCCTGAAATATCTATACCTAGGGAACATTGTCACAAAAAGGTTGGTTACTACTTAACTTTCCAGCATTTTTTTCCCAAAATAAATGCCATAGAATGATTAATTTTCATCGGAGCACCTCATACATAATGTATAAGTTGAGCAATTAATTTCTTCCTTTGGTATTAGAAAATTACCCTGGGAGGGTCAGGGTGAGGAGGCAGTAAGTAACAGGAAGATAATTATTGCCCTGATTTCATTCCCTTTCTTCTCTCTTCTTCTCCATATTAATTCTCGTACTTCAGTAAAAGGGATAGGTCTATAAACCTTCCTAAAGGTAAAATTAATAATATAATGATTCCTATTTTGACAATAATAACAACTGGTAAAAATGTCAAGTGTTTGCTGCACGTTTGGAAATATTCTACATTCTTTAATATTATTTCAGTTAGTTCCCACAACAATCCTATGACTTACGTATTCTTAATATCTCCGTTGTACAGGTGAAGGTATCAAGAGAAAAAATACTAAATAACTTACTCAAGGTTACACTGCAAAGTATGTTAGCAACAAAAAGTTAAAGTGAACTTCATAGACCACTTATTTTCACTAGCATACCAACTAGGTAATCTTATGGAAATGTTAACATTACCACGTGTGAATACTATCCACCAACTTTTCTCCCTTTTATAGATAAAACATTGTATTGATCTCAACCTCTATATAATCATAAAAATATTGTAGTTTTCCTGCCCAGCCTTATTTGTAGCTGAGATAAATCACTTAGCACTGTGGAAGTCAATAGAACGTATATTATAAATATTAAAATGAATAAATACAAAGGAACTGCTTGAAATAAAGCTGTGTAAACTATTTTAATATGCTCTAAGATGTTGTAAGGACACTATAAATTATATTTTCTTTGTATAGTTAGCTTATGGTTTATATTAAAAAAGTGAATTTCAAATTAGTATTTAAACTATATGAAATGCCAAATTGATTTATTATGTTTCCAGCCTATTACTATGTAATTTGGTGGGAATTATCATGAAAATGAATTCTTTTATTCAGTTTGGGACATTTTTTCTGATGCTTACCTTGGCCAAATATCAGACAGTTTCCACAGCTTCTTGTCACTTTCAAATATCTTTTAAAATCTATGCTATTTACTAGAAGACCTTAACCTCACATCCAGTATAAAATCTAACTCCTATCCTCTCCCAGAGGAGCAGACCTCTGCTGCTTCTGATCCTCTGAGGTCTGGGTAGGAAGGAAGATATGAGAAAAAGGGGGCACAATAAACATGTTGGTGCCATCCTGACCTCACAGCCAGTGACCTCTGTGACCACAGGCATCTGAAGGCTGGTCCTCTGTCATGGGGCACATGCATGGACGATTCAGAGACACATCTCAAGGACGTGAGATCTCTATTGTTCCTTGACCTATGTAATGTATTTTTGGATGACTGTCTTAAGCTCCCTCTCACCTCCATCTGTGCAAAATTTCTACAGCTGCAGTCCCTTAAGCTATGTAAAACTCATTCAGCTTCACCCTGTCAAAAGCTAGGAATGGCAGTTCCCAGTTACTACCCTCTCCCGTTCCTGCTATTTCAGGTGGATCGGCCAGTCATCTTCAGAGCTCTCTAGGAAAAAAGGGCAGCACAAATTTCTAATAGGTCTCAAGGAACTACTTGCAATTGGATGCTAGTCCTTCTTTCAGGAAATCACAATTTCCATATAGACAGACAGATCTGAATATGTAAAAAGTCACATATTCCTTTCCTCCATTTATCTGTCTACTTAATCTCCCTGTCTTTCTTTTACTATCAAATACCATAGACTATAAAAAATCTTCAAGCCACCTTGTAGGTTTTTTGTAGCCCTGAGAGCTGTGTAATGCATCTGTTACCAAGTTGTATTTTAAAATGTGAAGTAGGATTCTTATGCATGGCACATGATTTCATATTTCTTACACTTTGTGAAAATGTTTTCATATAAGACTTTCTACAGCCATCATTTAATAACCTGTTTTGATTGAACAGTATAACTTCATCAACTATCTTTCCTCCAGATACATCAATGAGTTCAAGCAAGATAAATGCCAAAGTTATGTAATTTTTAGAAAGATTCTGAAAAATCTTTACCGTATCCACTAACTACTCAGTACTAACCCATTTTGAAAAATACTTTAATTCCATATTAATATTCTATAAAAATAGTCAATGGAAACCAAAAGAATTTCTACAAGTCACTAAGTAAAATAGATTGGATTCATTACTACATTAATTCCAGAAATATTTATTGGTCACTTTCTGTGTGCTAGAAACATTTTTTATACGATGATAAATGAACAAGACTGACAATTTCTTGCCCATTAAGGGTTACATTCTAATAAGCGATAAAGACAACAATAATACCAGGGAGCTGAGTAATCTAATACAAAGCAAGACAAAGCCAGGGTCACTGGAAGCAGCAGTGGTCTTTCTGAGGAAGTTGCAGCTGATCACCAACCTGAATGAAGTGATGTAATGGAAAATAGAAGTGTTTGAAGGAAGATTGCTTTAGTAACTGAGGAGGAGAGAGGAAAGAGGAGAAACTGCACAAGTGGGTAGAGATGGGAAAGTCCATGGCCTATGGGGAAGGTGAGGAAGTTGACTTTTATTTTCAATGTGCCGTGAGGCTGTTGAGATCACTCAGAATTGGAAAAGAAACAGACCATGTGTTCCAATAGAATACCATTAGCTGTTGTTATAATAATTCACTGTTATTTATTGAGCAGTTATATTTTGTCAGGCACTATTGGTGCTGCTGGTTTTACATATCTTATTATTAATTCTTCATAACAACCATGTGAAATAGGTTGATTGGACGTCATTTTACAAAGTGAGATCTGGAAAGATTAAGCAGTTTAACAAATATTATATGTTCGCTTAATTGAAAGTAACTAATTCAAACAAAGATCTGTTAGGCTCAAGCACATGCACTGAGGGAACAACTAGCAGTTCGCTAGTCCTAATTTTCTTATTTTTACCATTAAAAATTTGAAGCTTACATACAAAGCTGTGAGTCAACTAAGGGAGATATTTAAGTACTGTGGGTATTAATGTGAAGCTGTGCTATTTTCATAAATATTTTGCATTAATTTAGAGTTTATTAAAATTTACAAAAATAAATTCTTAATGTAATGCCTTTTTAGTTTAAGAGCTGTGTTCTTGCAACACCCATGTGATGCAAAACATAAAATAATTATTGAATATAATACAAAGTATAATTCCTAGGAAGTTGCACCTTCTGTATTAGAATCAGATAGTATCTTTTGATGTGGTTAAAAGGAACATATTTTAGACTACCAAAGAGATGAGCAATCGTGTCTGTGCTTTCCCTGTGTATCCTATGATTGACAATCTTATAATCAACTCAACCAGAATCTATTTTAATATATCTCTTTAGTGCCACTGGACACAAGTATTAAAACTATTTGTACAGGTATTCCATTAATGTGCATTTTAATGAGTTGTTTATCCAAATGTATTCATTGTTTATAAGGCTTTTATTCATACAAAATTTCCGTCATCTCCAGAAAGCCTTATTTACTTTTTCTCGTCTATTTTCCATGAATTCTTCCATCTGTTGTTTATCATACTTTTTAGTTTTCTACTAAGATTACCTAGCATTCTTTTTAAATAAAGGAAACAACACTTCATGGAATAATTCATGAAAATTTCTCTGACTATACATTTTCAATTTTCATGTCAATGTGATAGAAATGTAAATGTTCTCTCGATTTGTGCATTTCTATTTGACTTGCAAATTTTTGCTCCTTTAAATTTTCTCTTGTTTGGTATTTTTCCTCTTTCCTAATAATGGTATCATTGCGTTAAGGATTGACTACATCTTATGTCCTCTCATCCACTTTTAATATCTTCCTAAATTATTTCACTTCAAATCTGGTTTTCTCAAGCTTTTGTGAAATGATAATATTTGTGTCACCAATTTAATGGTGCCTGTTTCAGATTGATGAAAAACTTTCTTTATTATGTGATATAGATGTTTAAATTTCAAAGTACCAATAAAATATATTATAACCATTTAACTACTTCATCAATATTTCAAAATTACTCAAATTATTTGATTTAACATATATGGCCAGTTTGGTTCAGCTTAGTCTCACATGCTATTAATAAAAAAATGATCATATGAACCAATTTTAAGAATTTTGTATTCACTACTTTCTTCCTGTTCAAACCATAAATTTTGAAGTCTACCTTGATTTGGATAGAATAATAAAGATCATTCTTAAAAGGTCGATTAAAATTAAAGTGTTTTATTATCTTGTTATCTAATGTTACTGTAAAGTTTTATGCCCAACAGCTTAGCATTGATTTCCTTCTTAAGGCTACAATAAATGTATCTATTGCACCTAATTTTATATTCAATAATAAAAAAATGACACTGAAGCATCAGTCATATTCCAAGCTCTTAACAGAAAAGCAAATACTGAGAATTGTATCATGTTTTATCCCATGAATGGTAAGTCAGTTCAGTTGATCATAATATTTACAGTGAATAGTAACTGAAGTTTGAATCCAGTATTCCTTTAAGTTGTCTAAATAATTTTTAGTAGAGGTAAAAATTTACTTAAATTTTTCCACACTTTCCACCAGTTTCATAAAGTTTGCATTTAATTATGAGTAAATATTGACTTGTATTTTGCTATTGTATTTTGACATAAGAATGTGTTTTGAGTTGCATATGAAAAAAAATCTATGACAAACACCTAAATATATTTTCCTTTTTAATACAAAGTTGTAATATCAAAAATAATACAAATTTATACTATATAACTCTGATTAATTTGTATACACCAAGTATCTGTTCAAATTTGAAATCAGTTTTAAAGAGTGCTCTTGGCAAAGTTTTAAAATATCAAACTAGAATGAATCATGGCATCTTAGTCAGAAATCTGCTTTCCATATAAGGTAAATGTTTTTAAACATTTATGTAATCACCCACATTATCCTAGGTGTTAAAGTTTTAAAGTTTATCTCTATATAGTATCAGGAACTTAACCACAAAAACATTTTATTCTTACAGTGTGAAAGATGAAAATTGAGTAAATAAAATAACACTAAGATATCTTAATTCAGTGCCTTTCTCACATTAACCATTTAAAAAGGTTGAGCGTTTGCATTAGATGACATTGAAAAATAGTAGAGGAATATTTTAGTCATATGCCAGAGCTGGTTTTATAAGGCTTTTATTCATACAAAAGTTCTGTGATCCCCAGAAAGCCTTATTTACATTTTCTCGTCTATTTTCCATGGATTCCTCCAACTGTTGTTTATCATACTTTCTAGTTTTCTACGAAGATTACCTAGCATTCTTTTTTTTTTTTTTTTTTTTTAAATAAAGGAAACAATACTTCATGGAATAATTCATGAAAATTTCTCTGACTATACATTTTCAATTTTCATGTCAATATGATAGAAATGTAAATGTTATCTCGATTTGTACATTTCTATTTGACTTGCAAATTTTTGCTCCTTTAAATTTTCTCGTTTGGTATTTTTACTCTTTCCTAAGTAAATAATGATATAATCGCATAAGGATCGACTACATCTTGTGTCCTCTCATCTACTTTTAATATCTTCCTAAATTATTTTACTTCAAATCTGGTTGTATTGATGCCTGTGAGCTGATTGTTTACATTTCTCCCCACATCTCTGTTCAATGACAGCATGTAGGTAGCTTAAAATAACCATGGAGTATTTACTCCAGGGAAATCAGAAAACTCCATAGACTAGGGCTTTCCCCGCCATAGAGCCAGGGCACAAAACTCTTTAAGACTACCATTGGGTTCGAATACACATTAGCACTTTTAAAAATTTTGATGGTAAAAAGCCCTAATTATTTGACTGCACTGCAGAACCAAACATGCATGCTAATCTTTTAAAGCGAGGTCCCAACTCATTAAGGTAATCATAGCTTTCATCCTGATCAGAGACTGCTGATTCTAAGGAGCTCAGGGATCCAGCTAATGACCCTGTTCCCTCAAAAGCGTAGGTCTGGAGGGAATCAAAAGGAGGGGCACACGGATCAGTATTAGCTTCTTCGAGCTTTTCCAGAATGAATTTCCTGAATATGGCACTGTCGGGGCCAACTTGCAAAGACTGCCTGTATAGGCTCCTGATCTCAGCGCTTGTGGTTTTCCGAGTCTTGCGTTCCCGCATTATGGTACTACTCCTCAGCTCTGCTATATCAAAGGCCTCTGTATCTTCTTCTCCACCCCCTTCATCATCATATTGGAATATATTCTCTCTGAAATCTTCACTTTTCTCAGGAAATAGAATCTGTTTTCTCCGTTGTTTTAAACCCAAAGTCAAAAAAATAAACCCTGATGAAGAAAGCACATCAGAATATCAATAAACAATAAAGAGTATTATAAACATTACAGTCTTTGCTCTCATTTCAAGCTCAAGATGAGTGCTTAAACTTTATGATTATAAAACAAAAAGATACATTTGTTATTGAAAATTTGCCAAAGGGACTTGCAAAATTACAAAAGAATGTATCACGATTTTTCTGGCTGATGACTTAGAGTCAAAGAAAACCATAAAAATATAGTGAACTATATTTATTAATATATATATTAATATATATATAATATAATATATATAGTGAACTATATATATTAGATGATGAACAATTTAACATTCAAAATCTGTTTCTTCTCAAATATTAAAATAGAATAAAGTAGAATAAAACTTTGCAACCTGAATGCGTTTGTCAACTTTAGTAGCCAATGCTTCATATTAATAGTAGTTCAGAACAACAGAACAGTTTGATGTTCCCTATTGAAGCAAAATTCTGTGGCATAATTATTTTCTAAATTAATATGTATTGACTATGAAGCATACATCAGGCATTCTTCTAAAAGCTTTATATTTATTGATTGATTTTATTCTTGTGAAAGTCATTATATTATTATATCCTATTATAGATGAGAAAACTGAAGCACACAGATGTTAAATGACATTGCTAGAAAGACACAGCTAGTTGAGAGATACAATGGAATACTGTTCAGTCACCAACAGTGAAGTCATTTACAGCAACATAGATGAACCTGCTGGACATCATGTTAAGTAAAATAAGCTAGGCACAGAAAGAAAAGCACTGCATGATCTCACTTATACATGGAATCTAAAAAAGTTGATTTCATAGAAGTAGAGAATACAATGATAGGTACCAAGATTTGGAGAGTAGTCAGGGGAGTGGGGCTGAAGAGAGGTTATTCAATTGGTGCAAAGTTACAGTGGGACAGGAGGAATAAGTTCTGGTGTTCTATTATACCGTAGGGTGATTGTAGCTAATAATTTATTTCAAAATAGGTAGAAGAGATAAATTGGAATGTTATCACCACAAAGAAAGGCTACATGTTTTCAGTCACAAATATGCTAATTATGCTGACTTGAGCATTATACACTATATACAGGTATTGAAACAACACACTGTACCCCATAAATATGTCCAATTTGTATCAATTATAAATACAATAAAATAAAAAAAGACAAAAGTAGAAAGTTGGTTCAGAGCCTGTTTTCTGTGACACCACATAAATTTCAGAAATTTCAAACTATCATGCATTTGAATCATAACACATTTGTCTAGAATTATTATTTATTACATAAGATAATTTTAACATCATGTAGAAACAGAAAAAATTCAGAACACTTTTGCTTTAATTTTAAATAAAAATGTGTGTGTGTGTCTGTGTGTGTGTGTGTCTTTGCGTGTGGGTATCAAGGATAACCAAGAGCCAACCTAGGATCTTATGTAGCTGTTCAGAATTTCACATGTAGGATTTGAAACACACATGAAGTAATGTTATGAATAGTATCACAAAGAGAAATATGTTGGTTATATAGTATTTATATAAAACTTGCATTTAAAATATCTAAATTAAATAAGGTCACCATATTTGCATTCATGTATTGCACTTTAGAACTCATATGATATATATGGTTGAAATAGAAAGGAGTCTAATAAATACTTTTCTGATCTGAATTGGAGATAAACATTTATAAAACATTCAAAGGAAATCACTATTGTAATAGTTGACCCGTAACTCCCACCTGCTAAATTTTACTCACATTTGTAATTACAAAGCTGCCCCTTGTTTGTTTGTAGATTTTCAGGGCTTGGTTTAAGTCTGTATCTATAGGTAGCTCAGTATTTTAGTCCCCCAAAATTATGCTTTTACTATTTATCTTTGCTTCTGGATCTAGCTATGTAGCTATGAATTCAGCTTCATAATCAAAGATCATTAAAAATAATTTTAAAAACTGAAGCTAGGTCCTAAACAATTGTAATGGTAGGTGTAAATGAGGAATGGATTGGTTTTGAAACCTTGAGAAAGATAAGTTAAGTGAAGACAAGGCAGGTCCTGAAACATATCTCATGCCAGTTTGAGTGGTCAGTTTGACATTTCAGAAACTAATACATTTGCTCTCACTCTTCAATGTAGTTTCATTGGCTTTTGGTTTGAAGTTTTGAGGGAGGCAAGAGCAGAGTTTAGACTATATATTTTGGCATTAAAAAAAGGAAAAGGTTATGCTAGATGAATATTTTATAGTCCTGAAAGCCTGATTAAGACCTTTTGGTGTTCAGCTGCCTCATTTGTGAAATGAATATAAATTATCTGCTTATAAAAACAGTGATAGCAATAGAAAAAAACAAGCAAACAAAAACTAATAGCGCTCTTTTACTGGGATTTCTTTCTCTTCTGTACTTGGATTTAAAAAAGACGTTCTCTTATACATTCCTCATTTCTAACATTTACTGTCCTTTTTATTCACAAAAGACTTTTGGATTATTTTTAGTTTTAATTGACAAAAACATATACATTTATGGTATGCAATGTGATGTCTGATATATGTATACATTGTGGAATGATTAAATCAATTTAATTAATATATTCATCACCTTAAATACTTATAAATAAAAGTGGTATGTTGAAGAGATAGCCACACTTCCATGTTCATTACAGCATTATTCATGATAGCCAAGATATGGAATTGATGGAAGCTAAGTTTCCATCAGTGAATTAATGGATAAGGAAAATGTGGTATACAGACAGAACGAATGCTATTTAGCTTTAAATAAGAAAGAAGTTCTGTCACTTGCCACAACATAGATAAAACTAGATAACATTATACTAAATGAAAGAAGCCAGCCACAGAAAGACAAACACTGCATGATCTCACTTTGACAAATCTAAAACAAGTAAATAAGTAACTCACATAAGTAGAGAGTAGAATGGTAGTAGCAGGATAGCAGGTGAGAGAATGAAGAGACATTGGTCAAAAGACACAAAGTTTCAGTTAGACATTAGGAATAAATTCAAGAGATCTATTTTACCACATGGTAACTATAGTTAATAATAAGGTATTTTATACTCGAAAATTGCTAAGAGAGTAGATTTTACTGCGCTGTTTTTTTTTTTAAATGCACCTTGGGCTCTAGTCAGTTGCAGTACAGTGTTGTATAACAATGTGTTGTGGTCATGGAATCTTAGCACATCATTTTCTAGCTGTGTGACCCTTCATAAAGCACAAAGCTTTTTGAGTTTCTATTCCTTCATCTGGAAAATGTAGGTGATATTAGTTACTACTTAATAAGGTTATTGTGAGGTTTGGATTGCATAGTGCATATAAAACACTGAAGATTGTCTCCTGGAGTA
The DNA here is from genome assembly GCF_000001405.40 of Homo sapiens. Taxonomy (NCBI): domain Eukaryota; kingdom Metazoa; phylum Chordata; class Mammalia; order Primates; family Hominidae; genus Homo; species Homo sapiens. The sequence continues at coordinate 66,508,648 of NC_000018.10, forward strand.
TAATAAGCACTCGAGAGAAGCTCGCCATTATTATCACTAATTTTTACATGTTTTATACTGTTACATTGTATATGTGTCAAGAACATGCATAAACAGATGTGTACATACATACTCATACAATTCAAAGATCATGTTTTTATCCACTTATTTACTCCACTTGATTTAAGAATTATACTACATTCAGAGGAGCAATAAACGTACACACAGACCCACATTATAATGCTATAATAGAATTAACTATGTATTTATCATGTTATTTTAAATAAATGAGTATATGTTCAGTTCAGCACCACCTACCAAATATGATCATAATGCAAATGAGAATAGCAATGATGACTTCTACCTACCAAATATGATCATAATGCAAATGAGAATAGCAATGATGACTTCTGTCTTGAATCCCATGGAAAGCACAAGCTCCTGGTACTGGCAGGTCTGTGTGCTCCCACTGTCACCACAGTCACAGACATGGATGGTAAGGGTGTTTGTACTTGTAAGTGACGGGATTCCATTGTCGGCAATTAAGATGGAGATGTAGAAGACAGGTTCTTCTTGAAGGTTAAAACCAGTTCTATTAGTCAAAATGACAGCTGTGTTATCTAAAACAAAAATCCATGTGCATAATTTTTTCAACTACGTAAGAGAAATTTGTATGTAATAGTCACATGTGCTAGGGACAATAGTATAGAGATATGATCAAGTAAGTTCAAATAAAAGGAAGACGAAATTTCTGACGAGAAGACAACTAAAACATCCACACTAAATTATTAGTGTTTTGACATTACCTAAACCCTAATTATGTAATCAGATGAATTATTTAAATTATGTAGTAAAATTACTATTTAATATTATTAAATATTGAGTTGATACTACTTATTTAGTTAAAGTATTTATATTATTATTGAATTAATTAAATTGGTTCCAAAATGTCTTTGACACATATATAAAACATACGTGTAACACAGAAAATGGCTTTTTAATCAGATATCAATAATTTATAGGGACTACCAATATGAAATATAAGCTGATTGAGCTGGCTTTATTTGTGTTAATTACATATGACACGGTCTATTTTCTAATACTTGTGACCCATTATTTGTACAAATCCAGGGAATATACAAGACTTTCAAAGATATATATCAAAGCACATGATCTCAAATACTATATTTTCTAATTAGACAAAATAATTTCACTTGGTAGACAAGATCCTATTAGTATATTTCATATCACATTGCTGTTATTAATCTATTTTGTATTTAAAATTCTGAAAATCATTACACTTAGACTGATTCATTTACCTAGAGAGTCCATTCAAAAAAATTCATGAAAACAAACAATAAGCACTTCAACAAATATGCAATGACTCTTCTGTGAATCCCAAAATATTATGAATAACTTTTGTCATTGTAATTTCTTGTACCTCAGAACTGTATTTTCCCTTTACTTCTTTTTTACCATCCCTCAAAATATTTTCTATAGTCACCAAATTTTAGAAGACAATAGCAGTAAAAGGAAAATAAAAGCCTTTTGAAATGCATGCTTAAGTAGGACATTTCCCAAATCACCTTTTTAAAGACAATTCACTATGAAACCCTTAAGGTCTATAAAGCCCATGTGATTTTATTCGCTAGGCAGATCTAAGAGTTGAGAGACAGTTGACACTTTTTAAATATGCGTTTTATTAAATTACTTGTGACCACAAGCATTAAACCAAATCAATTTTGTATGCTTCAATGTATTTATTTCACCTCAGTAATTTATTTTATATTAATATAAATTAATCTATATATACAAATATCAATGTATTTAAATATATACATTTAAAAACTCCAGCTTAGATTCATTTATATTAATATATGTATTTTAAAATATAATTTTTAACTTAGAGTATAATAATAAAAAATAAATAAATAAAATAACGTTGAAGTCTGCAACAAATAATAATAATAATAATAATAATAATAATAATAATAATAATAATACATGTACCCCCTGAATCTAAGAGTTTGTTACATGGCTAAATTTTGTGGAAAGGAGTCTGGAGATTTGTCAAAGAGCTTGAAAGAGATATTTGTGGTTTTTGTCTGAAACATATTTGAGTTTCCTCCCCGGGGGAATTTGACGAGGGCAAAACAGACAGAAAGGTGTTGCATTTACTCTCGTATGAAAGGCCTCTTCTGAACAAAGCTTAACCTCAGCTGTAAGGAGAACTGCAAGTATTTGGTTACAGATACTTGAGTAATAAATCAACTGTGTTTCATAACTTTGAGGTATGAAAAAATTAAAACAGAAGTTCTTATTATGACAAAAAGTATCTCTTACTGAAGCTCATGAAAAAGAAGCAGCGTGGCTTTGTATAAAGTTAATCCACCTCTACAGAAAGGAAAAATAAATTCTGCCCCTACAAAAAGTTCTTTGGAACACTTAATCCTTAGATTGATACAAATTATTTAGTTTTGAAGGAATAAGAACTATATTAACCCAATTTCACATATTCTAAGCTCCTAATTGATGACCCTAAATATTTTTGAATCAATCAAGCTAATATGACTAACTAAAATAAATATCATTTTCTTCCTCAGTCATAGATTGAAGTCTGAGTTAGATGAGAACATGAAAGGAGCTGTGGTGTCAGAACTGCAATTATATTCGCAGGGTCATTCAGACTTTACAAGAGCTTACAGCCATTGATAACTTTAAAAAGTGTTTCTACTTTGAAGAAATGCGGTGAGAAATGGAGTCAATATTTTTAGAACTTAACATTGAGTTTTGTTTTCCATTTTAATTGTTACTCTTTTGCTTGATTTCCAAACATTATTATGTTGCAAGAACAGTATAAAAATCCATGCCATAAATTCCATTAAAGTCTAACATGAGTCACAAAAATGTATCAAAACTCATTATGAGTGAATGACATTACCTTGATTATCTATGATTGTAAAACTTGAATTGTTAGTGTCTTCTACAGATAGATTAAAGTAAAAATGGTGCTCTTCTATGGATTCATCTCTATCCACTGCACTGATAGTCTGAATTACCTAAAAAAAAAGGGGGATAGATTTTTGTTGTTGTTTGGATTCAGGAAGAAGATCACTGCTGCTATTATTATTAGCTTTTATTCACATTGCTTTATTACAATCAATAGGGACATTGCAGAAAATAACTGTCAAATCAGTGGAGAATATTAAAATGTTTTTTCTCAGGTTAAAAATATGTTCACTTCCTTTTTTCAAAGAGTGTTGTAATATTACATAATAAACAAACTCTTGTTGATGGATCAGGTGGATTCCAAAAGCTGTTTGTTGAAAGTCTCCAAAGCATTGCTTTTGTATTACTCACATCCTCCCTGCCTACATTTCACTCTTTCTTCCTTCTTAACTTTTTCTTTATCTGAATGTCAGACATTATGATTTGCTAAAGTTGTCTATTTCCTGTTTTTACTGAGAGCAAAACTGTGGTAGAGTTACTGGCTTACTAAACTATTTGCTGAAGTAATGAGATTTGCAATTGATTGAGGAAATAATGCATTTAAAATGTAGGGGCAATGTACATGATTTCCTTTGACCCATAATGATTATAGGAAAGTGTTTTACATCAAATAAGTTCATCTCTATATCTCAGATCATAAAACAATGAAGTACTGCAGACATGAACAAATCCATTTTCAATTAATTTTCTTCTTTCAAGACATGAATCTGTCAGTCAAGTAGTTCATTATTGTCGAAAAAGATATGCTGTCAAGATCACATAGTGAGATTGTGATTAATTGTGGAAATTAAAGTAAATTGATTATAGAAGTTATTGTTTCGAATTTTCTACAATTAAAGTGCCTTTAACAATATGTCAAACAAAAATAGCCTCAGATGCAAGATGACAAGCCCAGATTTATATTATACTTCAAAAAAATAGATACATCTTCACAGGCATAAAGAACATTAGGAAACCAATACGATCTGTATATTACTTCTCCACATTGATTTATTTTTAACTCATTACACATTACTAATAAATAATATTCATTTAGTGTTAATTAAGTAATTTAACAAAACACATTTTATTCAATCCATGCTTATAATTATACATGTGGATATTGATTTATGTTAAGGTAAAGCCTTCATTTTAGAATATTACAGGATTTTGTATAGGCTGGGTAGAGGGCAGGGGCTTGGAAACCCAATATTCTGAATCCTGGCTTTGCCATTTAGAAGTTTTTAACCTTGAAAAATAAAAATACTAATACTTAACCTTCAGGGTTCATTTTCAGGATTATAGGTCTTGGCTTGTCAGAGGGTTTGTCACACGACAAACTATTATGTGTTCCTATGTCTATTATGTGTTCCTCATGAAAATATTCTCTTGTTGAGTTTTTGCATATCATGGTGTCCTGAATATTGTTAGTCATAGGCATATGGATATCTTTATATGCACATTTGCTGAAATAAGATTGATAACAAAGTATAGAATTCATGTTTATCTTGCTGGCATATGTGGCTACAGTGTTCAGATAAGGAATATTTTATTTTACTACCTGATGTTCTGTATTAAACATGAGCATCTGAGTAAATGTTGCAAATGTCTCCCTTTGGGAATGAAGACTTAAGAAGACTGGAGATATGCTGTATGTATGTCAAAAGATTTTTAATAAATCAAAATACCTTATGCATATGTACAGGAAACTGAATGAGCAAGATTTCAACAGTCTGCCTCCTTTTAAATGATCATGTCTCCACTTATATTTGCTTTGTAAGTTGGGCTTCCAATAAGATATGTTTTACTGGCTTTCATAATTACTTTATAAAAATAGGAAGACACAGACATAAAATGAGTCATATATCAAGTATTATGAATTTTATTGAAGTTACCTTGAACAGGTACACTTAAACACATACCACTAATAAAGGGACCACATTAATATGCTAATAAGTTTTGATGGAGGATATTTATTTTTCCTTTAAATATACCAATGGAAAGGTTTTCATTTTCATTTTAAAATAAAATTATAAGAAAAACTTCTATATGTTGTATTGGTTGCTATTTACTTATATCTCTTTATCTGGGAACTATCGTTGACCTTATACATTTATGAAAGGAGTAAAGATAAATTAAAAGGTAAAAGTATATACCAAGAACAGCCATGGCTTGAGAGATTGGGAAAAGAGAAAATGAAAATAACTCCAAATTATGACCAATTCTGAAAGCTCAGATTTTTAGTATTCTTTTTGCTCTCTACGTAGAATGTTGGCCAATTTATTTCTGATGCAGTACATTCAATCATCTATATACAGTGCATTGAAAGCTACAATGGAAATACATTGTGTAAGCCCCAAGAATTGAAAAGTAACTACAATTTAATAAGAACTTACCTATGGGCCAGGATCTGTTCTATACATTATCTTAGATAATCTTCACAATGGTCTCTGGAATAAATCCTATTATTGTTCCCATGTTATAAATGTTTATATTAAGCTTCATATAAGCTAAGTGTCTTAGGTAAGTAAATTGGCTGGGCCAGAATTAGAATGTAAGCTGATGTCATAGGCAATGTGAAATATGAGTAGTAAGTGTAGCCCTCTAGGACATATTGTTCATATCCTAGACTTGTTCTTGTCCTACCAGATTTACATACAAAATGATACCGTAAAAGACATGAAATTCCAAAAGCAAGTAAAAATATGTCTCATAAAAGTTAGTGACAGAGAAATAAGTAATATAATTTTGTAGAATAAGGACCAAAAATAATGGTTAAAAATAGAAGAAAATAATGTGTTTTGATATGGGAGAAAGGGAAGATTTTCTAGGGTAAGAGTACAGCCAATGAGCTAATACTCAAATAAAAATATGAATTGAGGAAAAAAGTGTGATCCCAAGCAAAGAATATCAAGAAAATTAATGAAGGCAAAGATATCATACATTAGGTATAAATGTATGAAATTAATATTTTGTAGATTAAAGATGACCTACTAATGGAAGTTTCATAAGTTCCAATTTAGTTATTTTATGAAACTATAATCACTATTTGACTTTAAAGATAATCAGGAGAATAAAGATAATCATTTGCCTGCTATTAATCATTATGCACTATGTCTTTTTTTAAGAAAAAGTCACACATGGGCCAGTTTACTAAGATATCATTCCAGATTAATTATCCTGAGCCAAAAATAAGCCCAATACTCACATTCTTCAAACCAAAGAGATGGTTCTTATTAAACATGCAATTGATGGACAGCTAATTTAAGATGCAACTCTTGTACACAAATATTTGGAGCAAGCAATACATTTGTGTCTGTTTCCTTACCTTCATGGCAAGTCACAATGAAACCTACTTCCAGGATTAGTCAATGAATAAATTGTTGAATAGGATTATAAACTATAGATTGAATCATGAACTCTAAATCAAGATACAAATACTGAGTATTAATTTATATAACTCATCAATTCCTTGAAGTGCACTTAATAAACAATAAAAAAATGCTTCTCAATAGAAAAATGTTAAACAAAAAGTTGGAGTTGTAATAAATGAATATCTGGAAAGATTTTCTTAAAAATCTTATCTGAGTTGCTTATTTAGTTATTCTAGGTAGGTATACCTTGTATTAGGCTAAAGATGCAGATTGTCTCCCATTGCCAAGAAATTATTATACAAACATATGTATGAGACCATCACTTTTTATATTACTCTAATGAGTAAATGATTTTAAATTACACCTGTTTTGACAAAATAAATCTATAAAACTCAAAAAAGGTGTTGAACATCTGTTCAAACAGGCAGAGTACAAAATAATACACTAATAGAAGTAGAACCAACAAGAAAGTCTAGGTTGTAGTATGCTTGTTGTCTTTCTTTGTTTAGCAAAATATTAGAAGAAAAATGTTCAAAAGGTCATTATAGCATAATATTTTAGACCTGGATAGAACTGAGGATACTCTAAGTTTTCTAAAAGGATTTTTCACAAAGTTTCATTATATTTATTTAAATGTCATAGATATTATAATTGTTTTTGCCATTAACTTGTAGAAATTGATATTCAGTTGAAAAATACACATTCCTAGATTTTTATCTCAATACGTATTTTCTAATTTTCCTTTTAAAGTTAATATTCCAAATATACTTTTAAAATTCACATAAAATCAGCATGTATATGGAAAAATATTAAACTATAAAATATCTCATTAGTATCTTAAATGTATCCATTTAAAATGTATTTCATTAGTACTTACAGCACTCCAAGCAATCCTATGCCCTGGTGGTACAATCATGGATAAAGTTAGTCTCTGTCACCACTGTTCACATTCTAGTGGTGAAGAAGATCAAGCAGAATTGCAAACTTAAAAAGTATTGAGGAAGTACAGAATACCCAAATTACATTTTAAAAGTTATAAACACCTAAAGTACTTAATACTTAAATATTGGGGGGTCAGAGAACCTTGTATCTGTGCTGAAATTAGAAGATCATACAGCAGAAGTGAGCAGGGGATACATCGTGGACATATTAAAGAGTTTTGACTTTATACTGAGGGACACTCCCAGGCTCTAAGTTGGGAATGACATGATCATTACTTTTATTTGGGATCACATGGTTCCAGGCAAAGGACTGCATTTTAGAATGCTCCTTCTGAGGACATCCTTAGTGTAAGTCTGGAAATAGAGAATCTAGTCCGCAAGCTATTGTCATGATCCTATTGAACAACTGCTTGGTAATCAAAATCACTTTATGTGATATACAAAAAAACCCACTAACAATCACAATTATGGAATGTGTTATTTTAAATGAGAAACAATACAGAAATTACTGAGCAGTGTTCATAAATTGAGAATGGTACAGTATGCTTCAAATAGAGATATAATTCCTGAGTCCCAAAATTTGCCTAAGGGTATGCTGAGCTCCAGAAGATGTCACCAAAGTAATGTTTTTTCACCATTTTCAAGAGGGCTATATATTCTCCTCGCTACTCTCCATCCAGTAAAATCTGATTCTCCTGAAACTGCATGACTGCAGTCTTACCTAATAAATATAATTGATTTATAAAACTGATACATTGCTGCATATGTGCTGTGAGATTGGATGAAGGAAAGTTTGATTTTACAGGAACATCCCTCTGCAGACCTGCTTAGGTCAGGTTCACTCTAGAAGAGAAGATAGGTCCCTTAGGTTAGGTTCACTCTAGAAGAGAATATAGGTTCCTATTAGGGTAGAAAGAATGATGATAGAGAGAAATTGATACATTAAAGACATATGTAGGAGATGGGATCAACAGAACCAAATTATTGATTGGATATGGAGAATAAAGACTAGAATTAATTAAAAATGATGTCCATATGTCTTTTTTTCTTGCAAAACTTGATATCATAATAATTTTCCTAGGGATACTGAAGAAAGGGAAGGCTTAGGAGCAAATTTGGTGTAACCATGGGACATCTGAGTTGTTTTCTCAGGTTAGTCAGACACATAGCTTAAAACAGAAAAATCAGGCAGAGATACAGTTATTTGGATATGAACTGTAGTCGAGAGGAAGAAGTGGATAAAAGAAGAAATAATGAGTTCAGGAAACTTTTGGACACAAAAGTGAAAGGAAGAGAATCATAGATCACAAAATGCAACCACTGAAATTTAGGAAAAAGAAAATTTTTACATGGAGACAAGGTAAATGTCTTTAGACAAAATATTGGTATGAGTGAATCTGAAAATTATCGATATTATACTTTACCTCCAAAAAAAAAGACATTTAATATCAGTCAAAATAATGGCACTCAGTGATTTGAAAAATGATAACTATTTGCACCACATGGCAAAGGCAAATTACCCTGATGTCAGCTCATTTATTATATTAATATTTGCAAATTGCTGAAAATTCTCTCCTACTCTTCCCCACCCTGGCCACTTACACATTAAGAACAAAACCAAAAATTTTGTTTACCCACATAGGTATTTGAGTAAATGTTTGGATTCCTCCAGAGTAGAGTGTGACTACTCTGGCATTTTTATTTTCTATGATCAATTTATTATCCATCCAAAGTAGATAGATATAAGACATCCTTTTACCTGCCATTTTCTCTGGCTGTTTGAGCATGTGGGAAATGAGAAAAGAATCATCTTCATAAATTAAAAATATGTATAAAATATTTAATATTCTGTTAATGATTTTAATTAAAAGTATGTGAAGATGATATTTTGGATATATTATATCAAATAAACATTACTAAAATTAACATTATCTGGGTGTTTTTTATATTTTTAAACGTGGCTACAGGAAAATTTACAATTCTATCATTTATTTGGAAGCACTGCATTACATACTCATATTTTCAAATAATTTTTCTTTTTTTCAGTGACTTTATTTTATATGTACTTTATATATTGTATGAAATTTGGCTTTAGAACTCCAACAAATAATAGTGTAAGAGAAGGCATTGTTTTCTTATTACTGTTTTAAATTATATTACCCTATCAGTTTCAATATTACATAAAGTTTTGATTATCGATTGAGGACTATAATATTTTATCATTATTATACGTATTATGTGTGCCTTTTGAAGTCTTATATTTATTACCTAGGATTTAGGTTTATTATTCTTATTCATTACTTATTTATTTATTTATTTTTGAGATGGAGTTTCACTCTTGTCACTCAGGCTTGAGTGCAACGGTGCGATCTCGGCTCACTACAACCTCTTCCTCCCAGGTTCAAGCGATTCTCCTGCCTCAGCCTCCTGAGTAGCTGGGATTACAGGTGCCCACCACCGTGCCCAGCTAATTTTTGTAGTTTCAGTAGAGATGGTGTTTCACCATGTTGGCCAGGCTGGTCTCGAACTTCTGACCTCAGGTGATCCTCTCGCCTAGGCCTCCCAAAGTGCTGGGATTACACACGTGAGCCACTGTGTCCCACCTAGGTTTACTTTTATCTGAGGGTTTCTTAGCATCAAATGAAAAGTTCGTGTATATAATTTTTATGTGTATTATTTAGTTCCTTTGACTTGATATGTAAAATATTTACAGATTTCAAAGTATTGTATATTGTTAACTTTTTATTATTTTTAGGAAAGTTTAAATAACATGAAAATTAACTGTAACTTTGAAACTCAACGATACAAATCTCTTGACCGAAAATATTCCTTAGAAACTTCTCTGTGACATAGTCTCAGTATTATTAAGCATAATTGTTTTAATCCTCTTTTCTATTTTTCTTACATTATTTCATTTTATTTCATTCCAGTCTAATGACTTTTTTTAAAAACCTGCATTTTGAAATGATTATAGATTCACAAGAAAATGTAAACCCTGTGCATGCAGTCTCTCAGACACTTCATTCAGCTAAACCAATGGTTACATCTTATGTACCTGTAGTACATTATTAATATCACACACGTATGATGACAAAACAAAAAAATCAACCTCTATAACACATTTATAGTGGAGTTCTTAACTTTTGTTTTTTACTTTGTTAATTCGACTCCCCTAAACATCTGATGAACGACATTATTAACCTGCTCCACTCTCATCTCCAACAGACATTGACAATGTTGTTTGTGTGCAATGTCAAGTGTACATAGACACCGTGTAGCTAATTCAAATCTCTTTAGAAGACAATGAACTCCATGTTAAGAACTTATAATGTATGACATGACCCTTAATTGTCACTGTTAATATTAACAAAACTACTTTTACCACAGTCCTCTTTTACCTTCTTTCTTATTTGTTTTTTATCTTTACAAAATCCTTAGAAGATAGAGATTGTAGAGGAGAAGCTGTATTATTATTTTTGAAATGAGGAGATTAGTATTCAGCATGGTTAGGATATTATCATCTAATTGGGGTAGTGTGGATGAGTGATAGAGATCTTCAGCTATTGCACTGTGTAATCTTTTTGTTATTGTAGCTTGTTGTTTTTGATGTTTCATTCTCACATAAGGGGAAACATATTTGAATTACATCTCATGGTTTCCTATACATGTGATTTTTAGACAATAATCAAGAATACCAATCAGAAATTCCAGGAACTTAACACTAGAAAACAAATGTTTATTGCAATCCTCTCTAAAGAACCACTTTGCCTTTCAAAAACATGGGACAAAACAAAACCTAACAAAGAAACAAAAAACAAAAGACATTTAAATAATACATAAAAAGAACAACACTTATTTTGCTATCCTGCTCATTTTTCTCAAAGGGTAAAAGAGGCAAATCCATCAAATTCAAAAAGATGCACTCAGCTATCATTGGAAAGCTGTGTGCTATGTATTGCTTAAGAGTAAATGAGGGCCAGGTGTGATGGCTCACACCTGTAATCCCAGCACTTTGGGAGGCCGAGGCAGGCGGATCACGAGGTCAGGAGATGGAGACCATCCTGGCTAACATGGTGAAACCCCATCTCTGCTAAAACTATAAAAAATTAGCCGGGTGTGGTGGCATGCACCTGTAGTCCCAGCTACTCGGGAGGCTGAGGCAGGAGAATCGCTTGAACTCGGGAGGCAGAGGTTGCAGTGAGCCGAGATTGCACTACTGCACTCCAGCCTGGGTGACACAGCCAGACTCTGTCTCAAACAAAAAACAAACAAACAAACAAAAAAGTGAGAAACGTGATAGACAGTTCCAATCGAAAGAGAAATAGAGCAGCCTCAGTTATTAAACGCCTATCTTTTTTAAACTCTGGCCATCCTGGGGCCAAGAATGATAACTAGCTGGAAGAAAATAGCTGTTTTTTTTTTTTTTTTTCAGTTTTCTGATGCTGTAGCACATCTAAGCAATCTCTAAAATATACAAATAAATCCATCATGAAAAAGTTACCAATTATTTTTGGAGATAAGGAATTTTTTTCAAAAGAGTAAAGAAAATATTGTATAATTTTTTCTTTTTTTGAGTTAATTTGAGTTATTGTATAACTGAAAAGAACAAAGAAAATATTGTAAAGCATAATTTTAAGATCTGTATATCTTCACTGAAACACATTTGGAGAATTTTATATTGTTTTAAAATTTTATATTTTACCCATTCTACCTATTAATAGATTTGCATTATAAAAAAAGTGAACCAGCAAATTTCATGGACAACCTTATAATCACATCACAAACTTTAAAAAACAAGTTTTACAATTCAAAGAATTTTCCTTTAATTATTTTTCAATACAAGTCTTCAAGTCTGATAGTCTGATAACCTTGATGTTAAAATAAAGGTAATACAAGAAAACGTTGCTCCTGTAGGATGATTTATTGATTGTTATGTAATCTTATTGCCTTAAATTGTGTTACTTCAAGATATTAATCTGGTTGTTTTATTAATCTAGGAGGTACTTTGAAAGATCACTTTTCTTTTTATTAGTTTTAAGGTGCTTTATTAGATAAATGGTGTCCCAAAACACCCTTTACTTTGGTTATTATTCTTAAATAAAATTTTCTTTATAATTTCATTTTATATACATTTTTACATACTTGCTGAAATTTCTATACACACAAGTAATTCATCAAACCAATCTATGAATCAGTTTACTAAAAATGTTCACTTCCTATTAATATTAGTAATAAATAGAATGTGGTTTCTGGATCTGATAAATTTTTTAAATGTTAATTTCTATGAATGCATATTGTGGAAAATAATTTGGGAAAGCTTCAACAGTACTCTTACCTGGTTAAAACATTCAGAATGATAAATATGTCACCTGTAATGGATACAGAGTGCTTGGAAATTTCTTCATTGGCAAAGTCACCCACGGTATTTACATTAAGTCATTTACTACATCAACACGAGGTACTAACTTTTATAAAGAACATTTCTTATCAACCAGCAAATATTCTTGCATATTGAGGACAGAATGACTTCTTCAGGATTTTGCAAATAATTATCTTCTCACTTATCTCTGGCCTTTATTTATTTATTTATTTATTTTGTTTGTTTGTTTGTTTGTTTATTTGTTTTTGAGACATGTCCTCACTCTGTCCAGGCTAGACTGCAATGATGCAATCATAGATCATTGCAGCTTTGAACTCCTGGGCTCAAGTAATCCTCCCTCCTCAGCATCCTTGGTAGCTGGTTCTACAGGCATTAATCACCATGCCCAGCTAATTAAAAAAAAAAAATGTAGAGACGGAATTTCACAGTGTGAAAGTCCAGTCCAGAAAGGCTGGTCTTGAACTCCTGGACTTGAGTGCTGCTCTTACTTCGGCCTCCCAAAGTGCTGGGATAACAGGTGTCAGCCATCACCCCCTGCCTGCCTTTATTTTTAATTAAAATGTATTAGTCTGCCAAAAAGTTACAGGGTTTATGTAGTTACTTGTTCTGTTGTTGTTGTTGTTGTTGTTGTTGTTGTTGTTGTTGTTGTTGTTTCGAGACGGAGTTTCTCTCTGTCGCCCAGGCTGGAGTGCAGTGGCGCGATCTCGGCTCACTGCAAGCTCCGCCTCCCGGGTTCACGCCATTCTCCTGCCTCAGCCTCCTGAATAGCTGGTACTACAGGCGCCCGCCACCATGCCCGGCAATTTTTTTTTGTATTTTTAGTAGAGACTGGGGTTCACCGTGTTAGCCAGAATGGTCTCAATCTCCTGACCTCCTGATCCGCCCGCCTCAGCCTCCCAAAGTGCTGGGTTTACAGGTGTGAGCCACCCAGCCCGGCGTAGTTTTGTTTTGAGACAGAGTTTCACTCTTGTTACCCAGGCTGGAGTGCAATGGCGTGATGTTGGCTCACTGCAACCTCCACCTCCCAAGTTCAAGTGATTCTCCTGCCTCAGCCTCCCAAGCTGCTGGGTTTACAAGCATTCGCCCATTCGCCACTACGCCCGGCTAATTTCGTATTTTTAGTAGAGACGGGGGTGCGCCATGTTGGCCAGGCTGGTTTCGAACCCCTGACCTCAGGTGATCCACCTGCCTTGGCCTCCCAAAGTGTTGGGATAACAGGTGTGAGCCACTGTGCCTGGCCAGTTATTTGTAATAGAAACGATTATTAATGTTTTACACAGCTTTCAAACATTTTTTATACAATTTGACTTTTTATCCTTTTTCTTTTAAATATAATATGTTTTATTATATATATTTTTTCTTCTTTTTGGTATAGTTACTTTTTAATATGTTTCATATTAATTCGAACACATTTAAGCTTAAAGAGTTCTGTGCTATTCCTAGGATTTATGTATTTATTAGACATTTAAAATATTTTGGCCTTAAAAAAATTATTTAACAACTTTCTATAGGGATATCTGGAAACTAATGTTGAACTATATGTAAGATTGTCTGTAGCAATTTGATAGAAATAATGTTTACCTATAAATTATTTTTAATAGTTACAATTTAAAAAACCCTCTGAAAAATTGATACCTTTTCCTAAAACATTAATTTATAAATATTTATACTAATTAAAAATAGTTGAAAAAAATAAAAATCACAAAAAAATGAGATGAAGTTTTAATACTGCCTTTATCATTATCAAAAATGAAAGAGAAAGCGTAGGAATTAATTGGACAGGTTTTCCAATTTTATTTACTGACAATTCCATCTGTATTTTCTGCAATTCCTCACTAACAGATCACAGAATCTTGGGAAATGACTGATTCCATATCTAGGACAGGAAATGTGAAAGGCCTGGCTCGGTATCAGCCTGGTTCCAACAGAGGGACAAAACCACATGATCATTTGAAACGAGGAATTCTAATAGAATTCTAAGCTATAATATCAGAGCAATCATAAAGATGTAAGGAGAACTCTAAAGGGTATCCTGACGCTCTGAGAAAATATCAGAGGACAGCCAAGCGTGGGCGGAAAGCCTTCTCCCTGGGACCAGCTTCAGCCCTCCTTGGAGGAGGTGCAGCTGCAGCATACCCTATGGAAGATGTTCACAGGTTGCCTGGGTTCACATTCTAACCCACATTCTTCAGGAAAGAAGAAACAACCCTCCAGGGTACCAGTGGGCTGGAGGATAAATATGCAGGACTTGGCGCTCACCTCACTGCGTTGCCAGGTCTGGAGCACAGTGTTTACACTCGGTGGGGGTGGGGGGGGAGTGGGTCTCAAGGCGGTTGTCATGAGCCCAGGCGGCAGTTGCTGGTTGCCAAGTGCCTGTACATTTGGTACATTAGGGTCTGTATGTGCGTCTGGGGAAAAGCACCACACAAATCCCCACACGTCCAGAGAGCTGACCATGCAGTATGACAAAGGGAAAAGCAAACATGCCACGTACTGGATCTAGGAAGAGAAGTCTTCTCCTGCAATGTTCATCCACAGCCCTCTACTGACAAGGCTCAACCTTGCACTCACCGTAAAGGAGAAAAGCTCTCCGGGGGTGGGGGCGGGGGGGTTGGGGGGCGTAATTCCTGTGCACAGCGCAGGACCTTGTTAAGCAGGTATTGAGGCATGAATGTGCGCCACGAAGCATTAAATTGATCAGTGGCAGAGCCCAGAACATATTGCTGTACCAGAAACCATGTAAGCAATCAAAGACTAACATGTTGTCTAAAGTACACAGAAACTGACATGAATGTGTGAGGATCTATTTTTCTAAACATTCTTTGTCCTTTTTATAATTCCTTTTGTGATGTAGATAGCTTATTTTTTTCTTTATTTTTATTTTTTTCCTAACTTGTGCGTGTGTGTGTGCACACATGCATGGACACCTGTAAATATTTTTTAAAACAATTATTGCGCTGCTGCTTTGGAACTTTGAAGAAGCCTGGTCCTTTTTAAAGAGTAGTGTGGACAAAGAACACAAAGTTTCAGTTAGACAAGAAAAATAAGTTTAAGAGTTCGATTGTACATAGTTAATAACAATTGACTATGGTTAATAACAACATATTGTATACTTCAAAATTTCTGAGAGTAGATTTTAAGTGTTCTCTCCACAAAAAACAAGTATGTAGGTAATGCATATGTTAATTAACTTGATTTAGCCATTTCACAATATATGCGTGTATGTTTGTGTGTATATATATATATATATATATATATATAAACATCATCATGCACCATAAATATGTACTATCTGTATTTGTTAATTAAAAATATTTTTAAAAATAAAAATAAAGAGTACTCTAGGGAAGTGGAAACAGTGAACTTTGTTTTGGGTTTCTTAATAGAAACAAATCCATGCTGAGTCTATCACCCTATGCACATACTCTTCTTTTAGTTTCTGGTATAATGAAGCTTTTTATTTCTTACCAACAGTCTCTAAATTGTGTGTCCTTCATGTTTTATTCTGCCCCAATTTTATTTTTAGCAATTCCCTTTCAGGGATCTCAGGCTGAGATTATATCAAAGAAGGTGCCACCTTTCTCTTTACTATCATTTTCTCATTCTAAGGTGGAGAGCTGTCAAAGTGTTTTTCCATTTCGTTTGTGCCACCAAGTTCCCTGCTTGAAACCTAAGAAAGTATATACTGGTTCTGGATTTTCTCTTGGCTTAATCCAGAATTTACATTATTTAATTTATCTGACACGCATATTTAACAATTTGTGTCCTAATGGTGTAGACATTTCCTTATTTTGGTGATTAACTGTTCCTTATGTTTAAACATTTTCTCTGTTTACTTCTAAATAGAATGCTCTTCAGAGTTTCCTTATCAGCACCACTTAATATTATTGTTAAGATTATGGTGAACCTAATCAAATAACTTTTACTACCCTTTGTAATAATTTTTAAAAACTACTTATACAGAGATATTGCATTAAAATAATTACGGTTCATATGCACACCATTTCAGTTACATGAGCTATGCCTTATTACCTTTGAAAGCATTTTTTTTTAGAGATTGCTTCATTGGTTTTAGTGTTCATACATTAATATTTCACTTCTAGGAAGGAGGAAGAGATTAACAGCACTTTAAAAAGTTTTTAGTGGCACTTTGGGAGGCATATATTAATGTTAGGTGTTTGGTTTTAATTGTATTAACAAAAACCTACCCAGTGAATTTCAAATCAGAAATCTCAACCCAAGTCAGTCTGACTCTATGATCAACACTGGAGGAAACACAACAGTCTTGTGCTTGTGATAGCCATAATTCCTGGATTATTAAAACAAGGCATCTTAATATATGAGAAAGTATCTACTATAATGTTATATACATTGACAGCCCTCAAACCATGTGTCCACTGATTTCAATTTGTAAACTATCATGTATACAGCAGGGTGGGAGGAAATTGTTGGCTTCTCCTTGGATTTAAATGGAGGAACATGATAGGTAGCCATATATCATTCTTTCAGATGCTTATAGGACTGAGACAGACTTCCAGAATTTGACAGCGACATCTGCACGTCCCAAAATAATTATTTCATGATGTGTGACACTCTCCTTAAGGGAAATTGTAAAATAGGGCTGACCAATGTCCCTTATTTTGAGTTTGAAGAGTGCATATCCCAGGAAGGAGTTTGGAATCAGTCAAATTGACCTTCCTTTTATTTTTGCCCTTAAAATCATAAATAGCATTCTTTCTGAATAGAGAAACAGAAAAACTTGTTTTTCATATTTTTAGTTGTGTGCATAATCTAAAGAGAGCTAGTCTTTATGATTAGCATGGAATATGGGGTAAAAATCACTATCATTCTTGGAGACAGACATAAATTTTAATTCTGGCTTACCTATTGCTACATTATATGATGTTGAGAAAGTTCCCTAAGTTAACTAAACTTTTTAAGCATAGTATACATATATGTACATTTATAAAAAGTATTTTATTTCATAGCTTTTTCCATAAAGCTTTACATTTATACTTTAAGCAGGGCACAAGAAAACTCTATGCCATTGCACCCAATAGATATTTCTCTCCTCAGTAGAGTTTAAGACTGAGAATACTTTTACAGTACATTGCAATAAACATTAGCATTTGAGTTTCCTTTGGATCAGTTCTACCTGTTTGTAGATAATGGTATTTCATTTTTGTGGTTGTTATAGAGGTACTTCAAAGAATAAACAAATATTAACTTATTTCAAATTTAAAAATTATATCTTCAATGACTATGTGGGTATGTAGACACTTTTATAAATCTAGGATACATTATGGAACTTAGTAACATGGTGGTTTTAAATGCCTTGAATATTATCAAGATACTTGTCTTGGACATTTTCATGATACATCATCATCCAAAGAATTATTTCATCATTGTGCATAAGTTTTTTTCACATATATATTTAAAAGACATGTAATTTGAAAGATTGTGTATTGAAAGTTTGTGTGAAGAATGACAATAATGAAATAAATCTTCACTATTTCATCATTCTTTTTTTTTAAAATTGTGTTGCTCAAAGTATTACATCAACTTTGAAAAATATATAAAAGAGGACTGGCACACCATCTTTTAGTTTCATTTCTATTTTCATTGACTATACATGTCCAGTAATATTTGAATAAGTGTTATAAAGATAATTTCAAAATCAGGGATAGTTTCCAAGAATTAGTTTTATTACTGAATATATAAATATGTATATATATATATGTGTGTGTGTGTGTGTGTGTGTATGTATGTATATATATGTGTATGGCAAGCTTAAATATTGAATGAATTACAAATAAATTTTTTTAAATATCTATTATATATTGGTGCACTCAGGTATACATATATATTAAGTTTTTTAGTATAACTAACAAATACTACTTAGTAATTCTATTTTGAACTATATCCATGTGGTTAGTATTGTCATTTTTGCTTATTTTTTCATATTTACAAAACATACAAAATTGTTTTTCCAGGTTGCATGTGAAATATATTTTTCTGAAAGCATATGAATTGAATACTTTTCATATTATAATCACTATATGTGCATACATATATAACTATGGAATAAAATCAAGAATCTCTGCTGTCATAAATCTAGTAATATATTGAGGAAAATACGAAAATATTAAACAGAAACGGCCAAGTGTGGTCGCTTACGCCTGCAATCTTAGCACTTTGAGAGTCCGAGGCAGGCAGATCACGAGGTCAGGAGTTTGAGAGCAGCCTGCCCAACATGGCAAAAACCCATCTCTACTAAAAATACAAAAAAATTTAGCCGGGTGTGGTGGCGTGCGCCTGTCATCTCCACTACTCGGGAGGCTAAGACAGGAGAATCAATCGCTTGAACCCGAGACAGGGAGGTTGCAGTGAGCCAAGATCACGCCACTTCACTCCAGCCTGGGCAACGAGAGCAAAGCTCCATCTATATATATATATAAAAAACAGAACTTTGTCCAATTAACATACTTACCACATGGGACATTTACAGAAATAGGTGTATAGAAGATGCAGTAAATTAAACCTATTTTTTTTAGGCTTAAAACAGGCTAATAAATGGATAATCTAAATACATTCATATGTACACTTCATATGTACATGAAATGAATGAAATAATTTACTATACTGGTACTAGAAATATGAAATATAATTATAATAAATATAAACCATAATTTTATTTATAATAATTCTAGAAATATGTTACATCTAATATGTAAATTTGATATATATTTATTAGAAAATTATAAAATTCATCATTTCAAAAATTATTTGTATTTTAAGAAAACTGGTGTGCCACATTTAAAGTATCATTTATTAGATTTACATGTTATTATTTAAAAGTTGCTTGTTATATTTGTCAATGTGTCTAAGTAATCAGATGTGTTTGAAATTCTTGAGAACATTAGCTATGTCCAATTTCTAAATATATAATCTACTTATAGTACCACGTTTGAAGAAAAATGTCTAAGCTGAATTTCTGCAGGAGCCATGGGTCCAAGTTCACGTTCATTCTGTTTTTGTGATCTCTTCTACCCTATACTGTACGCCCATACATTTCTAAAATAGTTCAATTTTGGTTCTAGGGAAAGTGCAACACAATAGAGAGCCTCTGAAATTTTTATATCCACCTTTTACTTTCCCAAATCCTTGGGTTCTAACCCATTAGAAATGAGTGCTTTAAATTTTTAAAGTCATTTGTATATTTATAACAATTCTATTACTGTTTTCAAAAACATTTTGGAAAATATTTATAGGCAAGATTTGATCATTATTTCCAGTGAAATCACATTCAAAAATACACATAGCTTAATGAAATTCAGTCATTTCAAGAAATATTGACAATTTTCACTATGTTGCAGTTTAATAATCAGTAACAGTTAAGATGTACCTATTTCTTAAGATATGAGTATTCCTCAGCATAGTAGCTAATTGATCAAATATAACTTTGGTTACTAACATTTATTGAAAGAGAAATATAATTTCTGCTTTTGTAAAATCCAAATGGTCCCTGACTAGCTTTGTTGATAAATTCAAAGCTACTTAGAATAATTGAGTTGATAGTATCTGTATAACTGTTTAGTATCATGAACTCTAGACTGTAAAATTTTTGAACATTAGTGGACATTTTTTAAAGAAAAACAGCTTATGGTATTTAATAGTCTTCTGTGTGCTCTAAGAAACCTGATAATTATATTAGTTTATTATGTACCAGAGCTTAGAAGTACACAAATAACATTCTAACTTAAGTTTCACATTTTACAAATAAAAAAGTGAGCAGCAGATAAGAAAGTGTGTGAAATAAATTGTGAAGTAATGATAATGTATTTCAAAATGAGTATGTTCTCATAAGTGTTTACATATCTAATAATTTGTACAAAACTCAGTTTTATTTGTGTTGCTATACCTGGTATAGCAATTAAACGCTACGAAAAAACATTCTGGTGTATTTTCCCTCCATATGTTTATGTTTATGTCTCATTTTACCTTTACCTGCATGATGAATAAAAAAAAAAAAACTTAAATGTGACTAACCTATAGAATTAATTTTTTTAATTGTATTGGCAAAGTATAAATGAACTACTGAATAATAAATATACTATAAAAGTAAACTACTGAATCACTATCGTTAGCAAATTTTTAAAAACATTTTAGGAATTTGAAAGTAGAAAACTTGAAATTTGCATGCTTTTAAAAATTAAAATAAAATATTATTATACAAAGCTCACAACATAAAAGCATGTAATTAATATAAATAGAATAAATTTTTTGATGTTTTAAAATAAGATGAATGCATAACAAAAATTATTACATATTATAAAGCTTATTTTATATATATAATTTGTATATATATTGAATATAATATAATATAGAATTACAATAATTATATAAATTATAATATATGAATATTAAAGATGTTGATATCTATTATATAACAATATTGTATAATATATGAAGAAATTTCATATTATGAAACAATGATATATTGTTTAGACTTTGTAATTTATAATGAGTCCTTACCTGACCAGAGCCTGCATTTTCACAAACATAAGTCTCATAGTATTGAGAGAACTCAGGAGCATGATCATTGATGTTAAGAACTTGCACATACAGTGGGATCGAAGAGATCTGTTCTATATTGTCTGCAATTTGAATATATATAATAAAAATCTAACATATTTTAATATGTCTTTAGAAGAGACATCATTAAAATTACATTAGAGGCTACGTGGTGTATTTTTATTTTACTTGAAAAAAGCAATCTGAGGACAGGATATCTATATGATTCACCTACTTATCAACAATAGATCCTAGAAAAAAATTCCATGCTCAATATATTCAAACCAAGCAATATTTATTGAGTGCATTGTATTTGCCATGGGCTGTAATAAGTGATGAGAAAAAGCAGTAAAAAGATAAAGTAAAATAAGGGTATACGGAGAGCTTGCAAGAGTCCAGGAACCATTTAAAGTTTTGTATTAACTCATTTAATTTTGATCAATATATGGATTATTATCCCCCCAATTTTACGGATAAAAAATTGATAAACCATTTAGTTTCAAAAATTACAGTTAAATTACTTGTGTAAGGTTATAGCTGCAGTGCTATAACAAAAAAAATTCTGTGAACCACTGAAATTTAGGGCGTAGCTTTTAAAAACAAATAATTAGAATCTAAATATATTTTAAAGTAAAATAGTTATAATAAAATCTAAATAAAGTTTTTATATAAACATTGAATTGAGAAGATTTTCTAAGTGAGCCAAGAAATCCAAAAAACATAATGAGAGAAAATTGTGGTTAAAACATTTAAATCTTTCAAATTGATATAAAAAAGACATTTCAGAAAAAAGTATGAAGTAGGAATTCACAGGAGAGAAAATTCGATTTATCTTATAGCAGACTTTCTCACTGCTGTCACTATTAATATTTTATACTGGATAATTCTTAGTTTTGGGAGATTCTCCTGTGCATTGTAGGATGCTTAGTGGCATCCCTGACTTCTATTCCCCGAATGTCTGCAGCATCCCTCCCATCCCAGTGTGTCAATCCAAACTGTATTCAGACATTGTCAATGTGCCCTGGTTGAAATTGGGGGCAGAAGTGTGGAGCCAAATGGCCTGTAGTGGAGACACGCCGCGTTATCATAATGTTCACACAGCCTCTCACCACAGGTAAGAAGAATGATGGTTTAGCCCATGCCATTTTTGTCATATGCGATAGAACAGCACCCAGTGATAGCTGAGTGCTGAAAAATAACAATGTAAACCGACTCTAGCAATGGATAATGAAATTTAAACTACACATATCTGTGACCCAATCTGTTAAACTTAAGCTACAGTCTAAGGTATCAGTATTTGAGTAAATGATCCGATTAAATACATTCCAGAGTTATTTGCATTACATCCAAATTATATAAACGACTCAAATGTACAACAAAAAAGAATTGGGGAGAATAAATTACAACTGAACTATGATATTATGTGGATTTATTAAAAATTTGTGAGTCTGGCCAAGCATGGTAACTCACACCTCTAAATCCCAGCGCTTTGGAAGGCCAAGGCAGGAGGATAACTTGAACTCAGGAGTTTGAGAGCAGCCTGAGCAATATAGTGAGACCTCATCTCTACTAAAAATCCAAAAAAATTAGCTGAGTGTAGTAGTGTACATTGTAGTCTCAGCTACTTGGGAGGCTGAGGTGGGAGAATCGCTTGAGCAGGAGGTTGTGGCAGCAGTGAGCTGTGATCGGGCTACTGCACTCCAGCCTGGGCTACAGAGTGAAACCCTGACTCAGATAAAAGAGTCAATGTAACACATTTTTATTGTGAGCTCTAAAACTGGATGACTTGAGTTTGAATCTTGTTTCTCAATTTGAGAAAAATACT
The DNA here is from genome assembly GCF_000001405.40 of Homo sapiens. Taxonomy (NCBI): domain Eukaryota; kingdom Metazoa; phylum Chordata; class Mammalia; order Primates; family Hominidae; genus Homo; species Homo sapiens. Next base: position 66,531,709 of record NC_000018.10, read on the forward strand.
TAACCAGAATGCCTCAGTTGGCATTCTGAAAAATGGGTGTGATAGTAGTACCTGCCTTATAGGGTTGTTGTTAAGATTAAACATATACATAAAGCAATTGCATAAATTACATGAAGCAATTACACAAATTGGTTAATATACATAAGGCAATTAAGAGTACTTAGTACATAACTGAACAATGAATGTTAAATATTATTGTTTTGTTGCATCTACTAACCAGACATGTATTTTGTGAACTGAAAAAAGTAAGTTGCAGCTATTATATTGTGTAGGTTTATTGTTTTTAATCTTTCTCTCTCTCAGGCTGTAGTGCAGTGGCAGGATCCCAGCTCACTGCAACCTCCACCTCCTAGGCTCAAGCGATTCTCCTGCCTCAGCCTCCCTAGTAGCTGAAACTACAGGCACATGCCACCAGGACTGGCTAATTTTCGTATTTTTAGTAGAGACAGGCTTTTGCCATGTTGGCAACGGTGATCACAAACTCCTGACCCCAGGTTATCCACCCACCTTGGCCTCCTAAAGTGCTGGAATTACAGGCTTAAGTCATCATACAGGGCCTCTCTTTTTCATAAAAAAAAAAGAAAGCTATAGGAAAGGTGCATACAATTAAAGGGTATAGGAGTGGGATTCTTTAGTTTGTTTTAGTGTTTTTATTTAAAATATATGTACTATTTGCAATGATAATTTGAAAGAACAAAACAAATTAAAAATTAGAGGCCTTGTACTTGTTGAAAGCAAGGGAAAATATTTTTTCTTTCCTTCCTTTTCTCAGAGCATTCATACACACACACACACACACACACACACACACAGAGAAAGAGAGAGAGAGAGGGAAAAAAAAAGCTTTGTATGTAAGTTTTTTCTTTGTCCCTTTGAAGCGTATGGAAATCTTTCAAAAGTTCAACAAGTTTCTTGGAAGCTTTAGGATCCAGGATTGTATTTATCAAGTAATGGTGACCATCTCTTTGAAATGTAATCTTCAAGGAATACAGCATCCCTATATCCTAGATGTGGGGAAGGATAGGAGACTCATTTTAGCAACGATCTTGTTCTAAGTTGTAGAACTACCTCTTGTCATAAAGACATGAAAAGTTAAGTTGTCCTTTGGATAAAACCACTTAGCAAATACAGGCGGTCACTCCAACTACCCAGTGAATATAGAATGAATTCTATGTGACAAATAGTGCTAAGTCCTCATACTTGAATATCTAGATAATATTTAACTTGAGAACATGTATATATTGGATTGCACCTGCTTGACCACATAAAAAGGTGAGATTTCTTTCCATTTTGGCAATCTCTTAGATTTCCTATGATGCAGATCACATTGTGTTTTAATGCTTTCCAGTAATAAAATTTTTCTCTCTGTTCTACCTTTGAGGGGAGGTTTTCTGGGCTGGGATGAGATTTTGCTTAAAATTGAATTTTCCCAACAATAACAGTTACAATTAAGATAGAAATTGTAATTTTCAATTAACTAAAAATTAAAATTTCTAGGATTTATTACACACACACACACACACACACACACATCCATGGCCTTTAAGAAATACAGCAACTATTAGTATTTATCATTTTGAGACTTTTCTCCATTGTGTGACATTTAGGATGAAAATAAATTAATGGAACATTTAAAAATGAAAAGGTATTTCTAAAGATTTCAAGAAGAAATTAACCAGAAAATTTAGGTTCGTATTTGTTATGGTTTCAGCGCATACATCATCACAGAATATCTTTTTGCTTAAATAATTAAATTGTATAATGTAATTCAGTTGTGAATAAACTGACAGAAAATTAATAAGAAATTCATAATGTTTTTATCTTTGTGTTCCTAAACTTTGCTTGAAATTAAGTTAAATTAAACCTTTGGTATTACTGCACAAAATGTATATAAAACTTCACAGCTTCACCTTAAAATAGTAGTTTTATTCACTTAGCTAGCATACTGATAAATAGCATTGTGCTTAATTTGGGAAGCTTTCCAGAAAAGAGACTAAGCACAACGAACTTCATTTGCTGGAAAAAAAAAATTTTTAAATGGAACATCTCTTTCCTATAATCAGTATAATTGCTATGGTGAAAGCTTTTCAAGGTAGTTAGCAAATGCAGCTAGATGATTTTTAAAACAGTTTTATGTAATGCCCTGTTTTCCACCAGTAGGTGGTTTGTTTATATTGCTATTGAAGCTTAAATGGTCAAGCCTAATTATTTTTGGTTCAATATTGATTTCACAGTAGTAAAAAAATGGCAGTTACACATATTTTCCCCAAATAGATCTAAAATGGGCTTAATGATGTAGAATTTTTTAAAATGTTAGAGAAAGAAAAAAAATGAAAATTTGTTATCCAGTGTTATAAAAGCTTGTTCCAACAAGTTTTTCCTTAAAATGAAAAAAAAAAATTGTTCTCAGAAATACACAATGAATAAAAGCTGCATTTAAAATAAACATCTTTGCATTTTCTGACACGAGAAGCCTTGACATTTCCTCTGTTACAGCGGGCATTTATTCCATTGTAACATTTGCCTCCTTTTATGGTTTAGTTAAATGGAACCTTGAAAACCCAGATTCAAGCTCTCCTACAGTGTTTCCATAGAACTGTTCATTGTATCGCAAATAATATGCGGAGATGCCTTCCACTCCACCATATCACCTGCCATCTGCCTGATAAAGTAAGGAAAAGAGAGATATCTGCTCCCTGCCTCAACAAAGAGTGAAGAAAGGAAACAGGATTATTAAAATTCTATGTAAAATCAGCTATAAGAAAAGATGCATCTGAGAATATTTTATATTTGTAATTTTAATACTTTACAATTCTAAATCTATTGACTAAGTAATGGAAATGACTTCGATATTTTATATTGTGTTATATTTATTTCTTTAAGCTTTAATAAATATAATTGTATGAATAATGGATTCATGATTTTAAGGACAATATCCAAGTGGTAAATCAGAAAAATTTACAACCCGAAAACGAAATCATCCACCTAAATAAACAAGCAGAATTTCAGGTGAATTTCATTTGTATTTTGTTGTTTCCTCAATTTATTCTTGTATGGAAAATTATTTACTGTTATAATTAGAAAATAGTTTAGAAGGTATTTAGTGGTAAGCATATAAATAAAAACTAATAAAATACGCAAGTACACACATTTACATTGAATGTCATTTAAATAATTCCAACAACATTTTAAAGTAGCCTTGTCCCCATGTATAGAAATTTGTAATTATTTACAAAATATGGCAAACAACTGTATTGGATTTCAAATGAGTACTTACATTTTTCTGTGGCTGTAATACTTAGGTTGTACCAAGCACTGATTTCACGATCCAGTGAGTTACTTGTAGTGATTGTACCATTATCATTGATATTGAACACTTTGCTCCTAGTAATAGAATACCTGAACCAAAAGGAAAGTATACCTTAATATTTTTATTCTATCTGCATAACAGTGTTAGATAATACTCTTTAAGCAATAAGACATCTTATTCAATGCATGCTCTACATAGCCAATATATAATACCGAACAACTTTTAAAACAGTATATTCCTGTATTTAAGATTCAACTCAGTGGAGATAGAAAAAAAGACGTAACATGACTTTAGATTTAAATTGATGGATGCTAAATCTAAAATTAATGATTGTGAATCTTTTTTTCCTATCAAATAAATTAAAATATATCTTCAGCCTAGACGAGTATTGATCTCTTTCCTATGTCACAGGTGTTGCTTGCGAATCTGTTCATTTTACTACAACTACTTGGCTTGATATTTAACAAATGTTTTTGTTTGTTTAAAAAGTAAATTTGATAAAAAGTAAAGTCTATATAGTAGATAGAATTTTAATTCTTTTGGGAAACCTGAAAGACTTCTGAAATCTGGAATCTGGAATCAGGAATCCAAAATATTTATATATATATATATATAAACATATATATAATACATTATATATGATATATATTTTACATTTTATAACACATGACATATTTTATTACATATATAACATATTTGTAATATTTAATACATATATGCTTTATTCTATATTACATATAGAAAATATGTAATACATAATACATATATGTTTTATGCATATATATGTAATATATGATACATATGTTTTATTATATATTACATACAATATATGTATGTATATATGTATGTGATATATTACATCACATGTATTTATTTTATATTATATATTTTTACATATAATATATATGTTTTATATATATACACACATATAAAACAAAAGTAAAATACAGTAGTTCTAATGTGCTTTTAGATTGTGCATGGAAGAAAGCCAAGTTACAAATTTCTCCCAAGGGAAAAAAAAAACTGAAAAATGATCTCCACCTCCACAATGAAAGAAGACTTCGAAATACTCAGCATGTCTCATCTATGTGGAAACAATTAATAATAAAAATTAAAGAGCAATAATAACTAGGGTTCAATAATGGCTTCTCATTGCATGTATATTCCTGAAGACTTTGATGAGATATCAAGGAAGTTTACCATAATTATATGGCAAAGATGAGAATATTTTAATTTTGAGTTCAAGTATTTCCAAAAACATTATGCTACTTTGTAGCTAGGTATTCAGATAAGGACTCAATAGAAATCACGAGGAATTAAGCTTTAGGGGAGTTCAGTTTTAACTGTACTCCATTTAAAATATTTATAAGTATTTTCCCTAAATATCCCCAAGTGGTTGCCTTTCACACCTAATAGAATTGTTGGAAAAATTATACAGTGTTTTAACAGTTGTTATTTTGAATTAAACATCTAATCCTATTTCTGTAAAATGTCATTGCACATAAAGCCCATTTAAAGTTTGACAGGATGTTATAGTCTTTAGTAGTTTAATTCACATCTGTTAGAATTTAGGAAGAAGAGCCACATAAACAATAAATTGGTTCAGTTCCCATTAATTAATTAAAACAGAAGTAAAAATATATGTAGCCCCTCTAGGATGTGATATAAGCAGTGATGTGTAATATGTATCATTTTTCTTAACCCCTTTTAGAACCACAAATTCTCGTTATGTAAGTTTTCTTTTCCCCCACTCCACCTTCACTGGACAAAATTTGTTTGGCTTTGAGGTAAGTTTTAGTTAAATTTTACATATATGTAAAATACATATATATATTTTTCCCATTTTTAAACTAGGGAGACAAACATCAGAAAATTCATAAATATGTAAACAGCTGACTTATTTAGATATGTACCATCATGACCTCAGCAAAATTTAAAATTTGGAATTTTCCCACTAATCCAATTAAAAACATTTTACAATAATTTTGGACTTACAGAAATGTTGCAAAAACAGCACACAGCATTTCTACATGCTCTTCACTCAGCTTTTTCTAATGTTAAAATCTTATATAAACTTTAATCTGTTTAATAAATTAATCGCTATAATTTAATTAATCAAACTACAAACTATAGTTGGATTTCACTGTTTTTTTTCCACTCATATTCTTCTTTTACAATCCAATGTAGAATCCAATACGGCCTTTCATTTTCCTGCGTCCTTAGTCTCCTCCACGATTCCTCAATGTTCTTGTCTCTCAAGACCTTGATGCTATTGAAGAGTATTGGTCAATTATTTTAAAGAGCGTCTCTCAATTTGGGTTTGTCTGATGCTTTCTCATGATTAGACTAAGGTTACATATTTTTGGCAGGAATAACACAGACATGATATACTTTCTTAGGCTATCATATCAGGGGAACATGATGTTCATCATATCTCATGAATGGTGATATTAACATTGAGAACTCGAATAGGTGATGACGACCCCATTTCTCTGGGGTAAAATTGCTATTTTTTTCTTCTGTAATTCATAAGGATCTCAGGAAACTATTTTAAAATGTTCTGGTTTCTCAAACATTTATCCACTAATTTTCAGTATCCATAGAGGAATAATGTTAACATTTTTTAATACTTTCTTTCTGGAACCACAAGATGCTCCAGGATGATCTTGTCGTTTCCTTACAACAGCTCTGGATTCCAGTTATCAGATGAGTTGCAGCATCTTTGATTGGAGAGTAGTATTAGAAAGCAAGATCTAGGTATTAAGAGTTCCCATTGCTTCTTGAGTTTCATTGTTTTTAGGTCCTTTGAGCAGACATCAGCAGGAAATATATGTATGTATACCCATGCGTACAAACACATCTATATTTATTTCCATGTAATTCCTTCTGTCTGTATATATATTAAGAAGGCATTCGTGCATCATACCTCAGATTTCAATCCAGTGTGACACCTTCATGTAACTTTTCTCATTTTTTATTTGTAATCATTTCTTTTGACAATAATGCATCTTAGTCTTACTATCTACAGCATATTTACTTATGTGTTCAATCCCAATATACATGTAGAGTAACACTGCAATCCCTAAATAGTATCCATGTAAAAAATATATTCACTATGTAGAGTACATTTCTTCTGAACAGCTATTTTTTTCTCTAGATTTAGAATTGAAATACTCTCTTCCAAAATTACTTAGGTTGTATTTTCCTAATTCCTCTCCTTTTGATTATGTTATTTGTCTATAATATAATAAAGTACATTTGCAATAGTTTGCCTTCAATTTTGGGGATATCTCCAAAGTCCTATTTGATTTTTTTCCAGAGTTTACACTAATTAGTATTTTCATCTATATCTTGGAGAATTCTCTGAACTTGGACAAAAGAATAGTCATGTGTCCGCCTTCACATAATGACACAGAACAATTTTATCACCCTCCTTTCCTTTGTCATATCTTTTTAGTTTAGGTACCACAGGGTTTATTTTTGTTTGTTCATTTTTTTTAATCCACTCACCTATTGAAGGATATTTGAGTCAATTCCAGTTATTGGAGATCATGTATAAAGCTGCCATAAATGCTTGCATACAGGTTTTCATGTCAAAATAAATACACTTTCTAGGCCTGCTGCAACAAAACACCACAAACTGGGTGGCTGAAAACGATAAATTAACTCTATTAGATTTATTAAAATCAAAGTATCAACAGGGTCATGCTTCCTTTGAAGCCTGTAGGGGTGAATCCTTCCTTCCTGTTTCTAGCTTCCAGTGATTTCCGGCAGTCCTTGCTAGTCTTCCACTTGTAGACGCATCGCTCTGATCTCTGCTTCGGTTGTCACATGGCAGTCCTCTCCCAGTGTCTGTCTTCTTATAAGGACACCAGCCATTTTGGATTAAAAACATACCTGCTCAGGTATGACCTTATCTTAACTAGTTACCTCCACAATTACTCTATTTCTTAACAAGGCCACATTCGGGTGTACTGGATGTTAGGACTCAACATGTCTCTTTAGGACACAACTCAACCCAAAACACAAAGTTTCCTTTATTCCTGGGTAAATGCTTGGAAGAGGGATTGCTGGGTGTTGCGGTCAATATAAGTTTAATTTATAATAATCTTGTATCTTTCTGCCTTGATAAACTCACATATTACTGGGCATTTTTGTGAATTTCCTGGAATTATCTAGGCAATAATCAAGTCATCTGCAAATAAAGAAAACTATATTATTTCTCTCCAGCTTGTATGTTTTTATTTCTTTTTCTCACTTACTGCATGGCCAGGACTTCCAATATTATAGATTTGGACTAGTGAAAGAGTACATTCCTACCTTGTTTCCAATCTTAGGAAAAAAGCACATAATATTCCATAATTAAGTATAATATTAGCTGCATTCTTTTGTAGATACTCTGTATCTGTTTAAGAATCTTCTATTCATATTGTGCTGATTGTGCTGATAGTTTTTATAATAAGTTAATTTTGAATATTGTCAAATGTTTTTTCTTTGTCTATTGAGATGTTATATGGCTTTTCTTTTTTAATCTCTCAATATGGTGGTTTATATGAAACTATTTTAATATATAGACACATCCTTGCATTCCTGGGTGCACTCCAGTTGATAAGGATATACTTTCCTTTTCACAAATAGCTCAAATTACTATTATTGTAAAGAATTTTCATATTTGTTTATGAGGGATATTGATCTGTAGTTTTCTTTGCTTGTTACGTATGGTAGGATATATCAGTGGCATCAATTTTTACTGGAACTGCTCTTTTTTTATGAAGCTATTTAACTGACTTTTTGGTGGTATATATATGCTTGTGTGTATGCATGTGTATGTATACATATTTATGAGGTTGTACATATATGGTTGTTTGTAAATGTATACGTGTGTGTGTGTGTATGCTAAGGTTATTTATCTTTTAATATCTTTGGATTCTCTCAAGAACTTCCTCTAAATGTATAGGCATAGCATTGTTCAAAGTAGTCCCTATAATCTTTTTAATGTCTGTGGGATCAATATGTGTGCTCCCTTTTTCACTTTGGTAATAATAATTTTTGTCTTCTCTCTCTCTCTCTCTCTGTTTGCCCCTTGGCCTTTCTCGATAGAGATTAATAAACTTTAGCAATATTTTGAAAGAATCTGCTACTGGCTTCATTATATTACTCCGTTGCTTTCAGTTTCACTGCTTGTGATCTAATCTTTTTATTTCCTTTTTGTCCTGCTTGCTTTGCTTTTTATTTGCTCTTTTTTTTCTAACAGGAAATAATACACCATCTTTCTCATACTTACAAAATATTTCAAAGTTTGACTTTAGACTTAATTTGAAAGGAAACTTCAATAACGTCCAAAAAGTAAATCATACCCATTGATACCAAAAGAGTAATCCCTATATCTGAAGTCCAAAAGAATAAGGCAATTGTCTTAGTCATCACAGACAGCTATTAAAAATTACCATAGACTGGGCAGCTTATAAACAACTGATATTTATTTGTCACATTTCTAGAGGCTGGAAGTATGAGATTATGATGCCAGCATGATTGGCTTCTGACAAGAGCACTCTTTCAGTTGCAGACTGTTGACTTCTGTGTCCTTACAGCCAGAGAGAGGCTTGAGAGAGCTATCTGGGTTCCACTTTAAGGGCACTAATCCCATTCATTAGGGCTCCACCTGTGTCACTTGATGCCTTATAAGACCCACCTTCTCGTACCCACCTAATACCATTTCATTGAGATTTAGGATTTCAAAATGGGACCCACCTTGTAATACCATTTCACTGGCATTTCAGATTTCAAATATGAATTTTGAGGGACGTAAACATTTAGACTTCTGAAATAATACATAGTCTTAGTGATAAAATAAAAATTTTAAGAATAATTTCTTATGAAGTTCTTAATAATTTTATGGTAGTAATTTTATTACAGATTGTTTGGGCTCCTCTAATTTTTACCATACAAGGCTCCTTAAAACAATTCTATCATCTCACTTTCAAGTCTAAATATTAAATTTTTCCATTATTTCTGTGCCCCATTTTTTAAAAATTGACATGTAGTTTGTTATTATAATTCATATAAAGGTAGATCTTGCTCCTCAAGCTTTTATGACCTCAACTAAAGCAAGAGTATTTCGTTACACCAGTTTATTTACCCCACCCAAGACGTGATGAAACTGAGTTTGGGAATTTCCATGCTTTACAGAAACAGCAGGTGATTCTTACTTAGTAGGAAAAACTAATATGAGTTGAATGAATTGGGGCTAATTTACTATGTTTAATATGTGTTAGTGTTTCTCCCACAACAATGAGACATCCCTAAGGCTAAAATACAATATCCTAATATTTTTTCTGGTTTTCATAGCTCTTACCATGCAGTGAGTATTAAAGAAGAGATATTATCAAATTAAAACTCAAATTGAAATCATTTTGCATTTTATGTTCAAATATTTTGGGGATCTTTTGCTTACAAAGAAAAAAGAGATAAATAAAGAAAACCAAAAAGAAGCCTCCTGAAATGTGCTGAAGTGGGTATTTTCATAAGCAACTGATTTTGTTTTTATGATGTATTTTGAATGTTTGTTAAATCAAGCTATATCATATGAAAAAAATCAACAATATCAACAACAAAAACTGCTGTATCCTCAGTGATCCTAACATATGTATGAAAAGCAATATTATTTAAAAGACACTTTTAAATGAAAGAACATCTGTCAAATCATTAAAACGTGTTTTTTGATGGATACAAGTTATTTTAAAAAGTAATAATTGCCAGTATAAAGGTGGAAGTCATTAGCTAAAATATTTTCAGATTGAAGTAAGTAGACACCAATGGTGATACTATAAAATACAAAACCTCTTAATATTTGGTTGTACCTTAGGTTTTTCTTCATATATATGTAGCATTTTCACATGTAGTAAGCATGCAATTCTTCATTGTGTATTATTGTGCTTTAAAATGTATGCAGTGGTATTACCTATGCATCACAAGCATCATGAATTATAATTTACTCACTTGTACTCCTAAAATTAACAGTTTTCAATACTTTATTACTATAAATGATAACATATGAATATCTTAATCATCAAAGCATTTTTTAACATTCCATATTATTTAGTGTTCCCTGAAGAACAATGAATAGGTATACAGATACATTTTTTAAAGTAAAAAATTGATATGCACTTATACAATCACTAAAATGTCTATGACTAATTAAGAACTACATATGCGTATCAGAAGGCAACATTTTATGAACTGGAACTATAATGGAAAAGTGGGAACATTTCTTGGTATCAAAAATTAAATTGAGCTTTTTCATTGAGCTACTGCAAGACCTTCACAGAGCCAAGGAGCAGCTAGCATTTTAATTAATATATGAAGGTTTCTGGAAAATAGGTGAGTAAGGAAAGGTGTTGGAGAAATCATTACGTAACAAGCTTTGGTTTTTTATGCCCAACCAGACTATACCTCAACTACTGAAACAAACAAATAAACAAAATATAAAACAAAAGCAAAATAAATTATAACATAGTAACTGAAAATAACAGACTATTTTAATAGATGGCAAATATCTGTTTAATTGTAATACAAGAATAGATTTCTAACCCTTTGAACTCCTTTAAGTGGTATCCTGTAAAACACAGGTTCCCAACCCCCAAGGCCATGAACAGCAGGCCATGAACCTGTCCATGGCCTGTAGGTGAGGGCAGGCGAGCCAGCCTTACTGTCTGAGCTCCGCCTCTTCTCATATCCACGGCAGCATTAGATTGTCATAGGAGCATGAATCCTGTTGTGAACTGTGCATGTGAAGTATCTAGGTTGAGACCTCCTTATGAGAATCCAATGCCAGATAAACTGAGGCAGAACAGTTTTATTCTGAAACCATTCCCCTTCACCCCCCCGACCTTGGAAAAATTGTCTTCCACCGAACTGGTTCCTGGTGGCAGAAAGGTTGAGGACCACTGCTATAAAAGCTTTCTCAATTTTTGAATATCATTTCAAGTAAATAGTATTTAAATAAGCCACTTTTTTGTTGTCGTTGAGACGGAGTCTCGCTTTGTCACCCAGGCCGGAGTGCAGTGGTGCAATCTTGGCTCACTGCAAGCTCTGCCTCCTGGGTTCACGCCATTCTCCTGCCTCAGCCTCCTGAGTAGCTGGGACTACAGGTGCCCGCCGCCACGCCTGGCTAATTTTGTTTTGTATTTTTAGTAGAGACGGGGTTTCACATGTTAGCCAGGATGGTCTCGATCTCCTGACCTCGTGATCCGCCCGCCTCGGCCTCCCAAAGTGCTGGGATTACAGGCGTGAGCCACCGCGCGCTGCCTTAAATAAGCCACATTTTGATCAGCTTTGTTTCAGCTCTAATTGGGGCTTTTTAAAAAACGATTGTTTTCCTCTTATCTCCTTTCCCCAATTAAGAGGGAATATAATGCACTGAATTTTAATTGGTAATTGCCTCCTTCTTGCACGTGTTTGAAATCACCAATTTTACTGCATCTTAACCGACACTGAGGTTCCCTATTTTGCTTAAATTGTTACAAATTAATTAAGACATACAGAAATATAGATACAGATATAACCTTGTTTAAATTTGCACGCAGGCTAGGGGCGGTGGCTCAAGCCTGTAATGCCAGCATTTTGGGAGGCCGAGGCCGGTGGATCACGAGGTCAGGAGTTCGAGACCAGCCTGGACAATGTGATGAAACCCCGTCTCTACTAAAAATACAAAAATTAGCTGGGCGTGGTGGCGCATGCCTATAGTCCCAGCTACTAGGGAGGCTGAGGCAGAAGACTCGCTTGAACCTGGGAAGCAGAGGTGGCAATGAGCTGAGATTGCGCCACTGTACTCGAGCCTAGAAGACAGAGTGAGACTCCCTCTCAATTAAAAAAAAGATTGCATGCAATTTTATTTTTAATCTATTTTATATTTACTTATTTATTAATGCAAAACTGACCTTACAGACATACCTGATAGGAGATTTCCTATTGTCTGGGTCTGTGGCAGACACCACGCCTACAAATGATCCCTGTGGGGTTTCTTCAAAAACTTCAAATACATAATATGGAAGGAGGAAAAGAGGAGGCTCATCAACATCTTCCACCTGGATCTTAATGAAAGTGGTGGAAGCCTCAGTGTGGTACTTCATGAGCTGCTCAGGAACATGATGGTTTTTAACTTTTGCTCTAATACCGTAGTGGTTCTGGTGCTCAAAATCCACTTTCTGCAAAGAAACACAGTATACACAAAAGAAATGGCTTTAGTAACCCAAGATACTATTTAGAAAAAAGGTTTTACCTGTTAAATTAAGTCTCAGTGGCCTTTCAGTTAGATTTTTCTTTTTATGTACATGGATCTCTCTGATATAATTGTTAATCAGGCATAACAAATCTGGGTGTATTGTCACTTACCTATTTTAATTTGGAGATAAAGTTATACTTTTGAAAGCATAAACATCTAATGAAACTGAGAATTAATTTCCTAGTATTTAAGATATTTTCCAAAAAGTTTTATTATTAGAATTAAAAAAATGTTCTGCATATAATTCAAAACACTCTGTAATAACTCTCTCATCTCTAAAATCCTTGTCTCCATAAAACATAAATTACTGGTTCTCATTTCAATTATTTAATGAGTTAAAAACTAACCAGCTACACAAAATATGTTATGTTTTAATTTTGCGCTATTCTGCAAGGCAAATAATTTTAACATGTCTACCTTTTTTAATATAACTATTCCTTCTTGAGTTTCATGATTAGTAATAATGTCAAATGTTTGCGAATCATCCTCTTCAATGCTGTAATCCATTTCTGCATTCTCTCCTATGTCATTATCATATGCCATGATTGTTCCTATAGAAGTCCCAGTGGGTGCAGATTCAGAGACAGTCAAGCGGTATAAACCTTTAAAAACAAAATTGGAGGTATTTTGGATAAATACTTAATATAGACAACTTGCAATTATAGTTTTTTGTTTGTTTGTTTGTTTGTTTTTTCGAGACGGAGTCTCATTCTGTCGCCCAGGCTGGAGTGCAGTGGTGTGATCTCGGTTCACTGCAATCTCTGCCTCCTGGGTTCATGCCATTCTCCTGCCTCAGCCTACTGAGTAGCTGGGTCTACAAGCGCCCACCACCACGCCCGGCTAATTTTTTGTATTTTTAGTAGAGATAGGGTTTCACCGTTTTAGCTAGGATGGTCTCGATCTCCTGACCTCATGATCCACCTGCCTCGGCCTCCCAAAGTGCTGGGATTTCAGATGTGAGCCACCGTGCCGGGTCGCAATTGTAGCATTCTTTATTTTTGATCTGTAGGGAATCCCGTATCTACCTTTCCCAGTTACTTGTTCTTAATCTTTCTTTATTTGTTCTCTTTTTTCTTTCTCTTTTTCCTTTCTTTCTTTCCTTCCTTCCTTCCTTCTTTCCTTCCTTCCTCTCTCTGCCCCCATATATAGTCTCTTTCCCTTTCTTTTTGAAATATAAATATTTTCTAATCTCCTATTTGAGCATCTATCATCATCTCTCAAATATATCTTAGGAAAGTCTATCACCAATATTATCTCTATTTACATGCATGTCTCCTCAATATTCATGTTTTATTTTTTATTGTAACCTTCAACCATACTAAATTAAATTTGACAGAAATAACTTTCAATTTTACTCTAACATTCCTGATACCTGAAGTTACTGAATAAATATACATGTGGAATAAAGGTGGGAGAGTCTGCATGCAAATAGTAGAGTTCCAAGAACGATAGTTTGATTTTGAGGGTCTGAGCCTGCATTACATCAGCCATCCTGGAAATGCAAGGAAATATAGATCGAAAGGAGTTGGTAAGTGAATGTAATATAAAAAACATTTTGTAGTCAAAGATGACCTAATTGATTTGGTCCTAAGAAATAATTGCAGATGTATTTAAAATACATAAATATAACTACAAATTGCTGGGCACTTTTTTTTTTATTTTTCAGGAGTAACTTGTGTAAAACTGATATAGAACTATACTATTTTTAAATTATTATTTGCAATTGCATTTTCATCCATGTTAATATATGACATTACTCATGTCAAGCGGCATCAGCAAACATGCAATATTTTAAAGAATGGAACTCCTTAGAATTCTAAAAAGAAGCACATATAATAAAATTCTTCTTTAAAGGGATTCCTAGTTCCTTTAGAAGCATGGAGGAGGCAGTCACTTCAAAGATTGCATTTGAGACCTTACTTTTTAAGTGGAATAAGTGTTAATTTTTAAGAGCTAATATTTTACTACATTTTTAGAGCAGAAGTTGAAGACTGACTATATAGTAGTGCTTTTTACATTATAGAAAAATTAAAAGAATTGTTTATGTTATTGGAAGATTAAAAATCACTGACATTAATCTGTAGAAAACAATTACATTGCCATGAACGTGAAAGCAGATGTTTAAGACTTAAATGTTATTGAGTTGATATTAAACTATTGGTCTTCAAAATGAAAAAGAACTGAAATATTTTCTTCAGTCAATATTTTGTCTACATAATTTTCCATACTTTCAAAAATTATTTTATTGAACATAATTTTTACAAGGTCCTGTCCTAGAGGCTGGAGATAGAACAGGTGACAATATACATAAAAGCTGCCACCATCAGCTCATATTCTTGATGATAAAACAGACAGTAAATAAGATACTGGTATATAAGAAGGTAGTATTCTGGTGGAATGGCTTAAAATTAAAGATAAGGTGTAAAGTATTCACTGTAGATGTGACTTTTGGATAAGAATTGAAGAAAGAAAATGAGTATCTGGGGAAATATAATTTCAAGAAGAGGAAAAGCCAGCGAGCCTGGAGTGTTCTGGGAAAAGAGAGGATAATTGCCTGGTGTTGGTTTCTTAGTAAGCAAACAGGCAGATAGAAACACTAAGATTTCAAGAGGTAATGAGACAGGACTGGACAATGGCAGATTACTTCAGACCATTAGGACTATTTAGGTGATACTAAACCTAAGGATTTTGACGTCTGTGAGGGAGATGGGAAGACCTTCAAGTGATATGATCAGACGTGCATTTTAACAAGATTATAAAGCTGTGTTGAAAATAAACTAAAGGAGAACAATGGTGTAAGCAAAGAGACTAGATGAGAGCCTATTGCACTAATAGAGACGAAATAAGATGGTGCCATGTGCCAAAGTGCTAGGGATGGAGTTGGTGAGAAGTGTTCATATTTCGGATATTTTCTAAGGCAGAGACAACAGCATCTGCAGGGAATTAAATTTTAACTCTGAGAAAAAGAAAAGTAGAAAAAGTAGCTTCAAATCTTTATGCAAGGAAGGAAGAGGGTATGCGTGTGTGTGTATGTGTGTGTGCGTATGTATATGTGTGTGTTTTGTGTATGTGCATTTGCTCCAAGAATATTGAAAGCCAGGAGCTATCAGAATTGTGGAGGCTATCAATTCAGGCTGGGGGAAAAATTATGGTTGACCTGGGTATGGCTACCATAATCTGAGTGGGATCACTAATTCTTCTAATTCTTCAAACAGTGGTGTTTATATCGAATAAGCAAGGTTTTGGCTTGAAGAACATGAAACCTGGATGTGTGGGTACATGAGATGGGAAAATCTGTTGGAAAAAGAGGTTCAGAGGAGGGGCAGCTGGAATCAGGAGTTCAGTTAAGTGTGTGTTAGGTTTTTTTTTTTTTTTTTTTTTTTTGAGACGGAGTCTCGCTCTGTCGCCCAGGCTGGAGTGCAGTGGCGGGATCTCGGCTCACTGCAAGCTCCGCCTCCCGGGTTCACGCCATTCTCCTGCCTCAGCCTCCCAAGTAGCTGGGACTACAGGCGCCCGCCACTACGCCCGGCTAATTTTTTGTATTTTTAGTAGAGACGGGGTTTCACCGTTTTAGCCGGGATGGTCTCGATCTCCTGACCTCGTGATCCGCCCGCCTCGGCCTCCCAAAGTGCTGGGATTACAGGCGTGAGCCACCGCGCCCGGCCTAGGTTTTAAATGTGTAATATATATGTGTATTATATATGTAATATATGTGCATTATATACTATATATGTGTATTATATATATTATATATGATATATATTGAATGTATATTATATATAAATATATTATATATTTGTTATATATTATATAAAATATTATATATTATATATAATATGCATTTATATGTAATACACATATATAATATATACAATGCACATTTAAAACCTAATATACACTTAACTGAGCTCCTGATTCCAGCTGCCCCCTCCTCTGAACCCCTTTATATATATATATATATTTTTTTAAAAATATATAATATATGAAGTTGATGAGTAGACAGATTTACTTTTGCGAAGCTCAAGGGAGAAGTTCAGTCTGGAGATGTATATTTAATATGAGGTTCTCAGCCCAGAGGTGGTTATGTAAAGCCACGTGTCTGGATAAGATCATAAAGGAATGAGTATAAAAGGGAAGAAAGACGAGATCAAAGGCCTGACTCACAAATGTTCCGAAGTTTAAAGTATACAAAGAAAAGGCAAGGAAGGAAAAAACAGAGACTAGTAAGACAGAAGAAAAAGCTAATGAGAATGGAGCATTAAGGTTTTCAAGGAGAAGTTGATCAATTACATAAAATTCTTCCAAGAAATCAAGTGTTATCAGAACTGAGAATTGACACTGCATTCCACTTAGGTTATTGATAGAAATGATCAGATCAGTTTGGTCAAGTAGTGTGGATGTAACTCAAACGGAGTAAGTTCTGAGATTTTGAGGTCGTTAATTGGAAACAATAAGTATGAACAATATTTTAAATAAATCTTCTCTAAAGAGAAAGGAAGAATACAAAGCATCTTTAGCTAAGTATGGAAGTGAAGGCAAGAAAGTGTTTTTGTTTTGTCTTGTTTTAGGATGTGAGAAAAAACAATAATAAACATGTTTCGATGTGATAGATATGAACCAGCAGAGGACGCTGTTCACACAAGGGAGAGGGATGTTTGAGAGATGCCTTTAATTGGGAGGGTAGGAAGTGTTGCCCACAACAGAGGGTATAGGTATTGAGTATTTACATTGAGAGGAGGGTAATGGGATTCCCACAAGGGAAAACCATGTGGACAAGAGTAAGGAGGCCAGAATCAGATTCACCCACACTCGTATATGAGTGAAAGTATTAAGAGGAATACCATCATCTCATATTCAGACTTGAGTAATAAAGATAATTTTAAAAGATATTTTAAATATTCTAATTTATTCAAAATATTTTAATATTAAAGTCAGGAAAAATCAGAGGGAAACTGAGAAAGGTAGTAGAAGCTTCAGGATATTTTATCGCAGCAAGTTCCTTGGGAATTTTCCTGTCTTCCAGAGTCTTCTACTTGCTATTTAATAATCATCTGCATAAATTTAGACCAAATTTATTTAATAAATCCAGACACTATTTCCCACATATTATATGCCAATTATTTTATAAAGTTCTGGGTATTTCATATTTAACTTGGTGTTCTCCTCTTGCCTTCAGAGGCCATATTAATGTTGTGGACAGAAGACAACATATGTATCATATACATCATATGTGACACTACACAGAGAGAGACGAAGGTGCAGACTCTGACCCCTTTGCCTATAGTCCATCCACAGAGGAACTGTTTTCTCAACCCATATAACAGTGGTAATTTTTTAATATGACAAAATTTAAAATTGTGAGATAGAGCAGAAATTAAAAAATGAGATTTGTGATATTTATTGAAAAATCAAAAGATCTGATAACCTTGCATATGTTGGCTACACTGAGTAGTTGTCTGTATCATTTAGGTGTGGGCATTTGTGTGTGCGCACACACATTAACAGATATTCTCAAGTCTGTACAACTAATGAATGGAAAATTCAGGGTTTAAAAGCAAATTTGTATGATGCCAACTTCCTGTGCTTATTCATGGACTCAACTACTGGAAGGAAGTCAGTGAAAGTAGCATTTCACTTGGGCCATTAAAAATGACATGATTTCACTTGACTTTGAGGAATGGGGCAAGGAACAGAAAAGGATGAGGAAAAAAAAGTAATCAAAAGATAGTTTTGTTTCTGTCTATAAACAATCAATAACTAAGAAATCATGCTATGGTATATATTTTTATTGGCTCTTTTCTTTGTTCCATGCTAATTAAATTTTCTTCCTAGCATGATAATTACTTATGCTTTCTGGAAGTGCTTATAAATGTATTCCTGTAGCTAAAACAGTATAACCTGAAAAATAAATTTCCTAGAAAAGAAATTCCTCCAATAATTGCATAAGAAAATTTTACGAAGCATACCATGTGTTTATGTTTAGCTTGCAGTAATTGCTTAAATTATTAGAGCAGGTGTGGCCTATTCTGGCTTATAAAGTAAAAAGAAATACAAAAAGTCATTTTTAAATGATTATCTATGGTTTGCAGAAGAAGGACCCCACAAAGATATCTGTGTCCAAATTCCCCTGAACGCATAAATATGTCACCGAAAGTGGCAAAAGAGAATTAAGTTTGCAGATGGAATTCAGGTTGCTAATTAGCTGACCTTGAGATGGGAACATTATCCTGCTTTATCCAACTGGGTTCGGTCTAATTACATGAGTGCTTAAAAGTGGAAGAGGCAAATGTGTGGGTTAGAGGGTTGTCAGTGTGTGAAGTATGTGACACTCCTTGCTGCTTCTGGGATGTGTGGGCTAAATCAAGAGCCATAAAGAGGCCTTCAGGAATTAAGGATGTCTCCCAGCTTACAGCCATCAATAAAACAGAGACCTTAACTCTATATACATGTAAACTGAATTCTGCTAACCCTTAAATGAACTAGGATCCTACAGCAAGAAATGCCTCCCTGAATCCTTTGATCATAACCCAATGAGACCCATAATACATTTGTTTTAAGCCATGAAGTTAGTGGCAATTTATTACAGCAAGAATAGAAACTAACACATTATTCTTTCATTTGTATTTAACATTTAACATGAATTAAAATAATCATACCAGAACAATTGACAAATTTATTTTATATAATTTTAGTGTTAATGTAGTGCTTTTAGAATGAAAACTATATAATCTACTTATATTTAACACACTCATATTTATAATGTAATGAAGATGTAGAATCCTTTTTACTTACTTTCTTTAAATATAGGCTTATTGTCATTAACATCTGAAAGTTTAATTAATACACTTGTTGTTCCAGACAACGCTCCTGGCTGACCAATCATGTCCTTGGCTTGAATGATTACCCAATACTCATCTTGCAGTTCTCTATCCATTTTAGAAGATATTCTTATGACTCCTTTAAAAATATAATAAAATTCCAATTATTTCATTATTAATCATGACAAAGTTCTAGTTAATTTCTTAACCATTGCAGTATACATTATTTTGCTATATGTTGAACCACTGCAATGTGACAGAGACTTCACTAGAGAAAAATAATAAAAAATAAATTAAACATCAACACTGCCTAGAGTCTAGAGTGATCATCACAATATTAGGAACACTGGTAGGCCCTTAATAAAATACTATGTTAAGATAATCCACAGGTAGAAAAAAAAGAATGTCTTGTTTTTACTTTAACCTATTTTCTGCTATCTCTTCTAACATAATATCGGCTTGCTACAGTTAACTTTGTCCCCGAAACTCTGAAGTTAGTATATTATTGATAGATTTGTAAATTATAATACCAAATTTATGAAATAAATGTCATGCCCTTATTATTTTGAAGTCTACTTAGAATTATGAGATCTGAAGAAGACCTGGTTGTTGACCCAGTTATTTTATGTGTGTGTGTATACACATATATAATATATTCAAACTCAAGATAATTAATGATAAATATTGCAATAAATGCTTAAATTCTATAAAATTATTTAATATACATTTATTAACTATCACTGAAAAGAACCTAAGAAAATCTTAAGACAGGTTCATAAGAGAGGACTCAACATTTCTAAAGATTTGGGGAACACATAAACAGTCACAAAAAATAAATAATACCCAATACCCAAATATATCAAGGGCAAAATATTCATTAAAAATTGTGATATTAATGAACATAAAGATGGAAACAATAGACACTCAGGACTACTAGAGAGGGGAAGGAGGGAGTGGGGGAGATAGTTGAAAAACTTCTGATTGGGTAGCATGCTCACTACCTGTGTGTGACGGGATCATTAGTACCCCAAACCTCAGCATCACAGAATTTACCCATGTAATAAACTTGCACATTTACGCCCTGAACCTAAAATAAAAGTAAATTAAAGAATACAATAAACTTGTGAAAAAAATGACATATGAGTATAAAATGCACACCTGATTTCAAAGACTGAGAACAAAAAATGTGAACTATCTCCATAGTTTTGTATTATTTGTTGAAATGGTAGTATTTTTGATTTATTGGACTAAATTTAATATAATATAATTTTTTAAAGAATTGTTATATGAACTTTTAAAAGATAAATTAGACCATAACATGAGGGGATTTTAGTTGCGGACTAAAGTGTTTCACACATGTAATCAATTATTTGAATCCAATGGAAAGCATTCAATATGTTGCACAAGTGCTGCTAGCGTCTCCCTGTATGTGACTCAGGGGAGAGGGACCTAGGAGTCTTTGTTCCCCATTAACTGTGCCTACTTTGCTTTCAACTTTTCCTCTCAGCCTTTTGACTGAATAAAGGATATGTATTTCTGGATCTTATGCACTTCAGAACTTATGCTTTCAGTAATTTAATCCATGTTTGTCGTTGTCCATACCAACGCTTCTCCAGCAATGCAAGTAATAGTTTAGCTAACCTGCTCAGTATAGTTAAAAAGTCAGTGTGCAGGGTAGGGGCTGGGGGTGGAAAGAAAACATGGTCACGAAGGCCTGGTATGACCCAGCATGGGTTTGTACTCTAGACACCTCCCTTTCTTCTCTCTTCTGCATTTCTCCACACTGGTGTTCAGTTATTCTAAGAGTTTCAACTCTTTCCCACCTCAGGAATTTCCCTAATTTTTCCCATGCCCTGAAATCATCTTCCACTCTCCCTTCCTTGTCTACAGACTCAGCTAAACTTTCTGATTTCCGTGTATTCTGCCTTGACCACACAACATAAAGTCAACCTGACTTGTTTTCTCCCACTGAAACTTTTTGGTTTTACTTCATAAGTACCTACAGTGGAATGTATGTGTGTATTACTATTCATGTTTAATATCTATCTGTAAGTTCCAAGAAAGAAGAGTCCATTATTATATCTTGTTTTTGTTACTATTATGTATTGTTTTAAATTTTGCAATTTGTACCTTTATAAATCTAGCAAGTTGTATAACATTTGGTACATATTCAGCCTTTCTAGACCTGAATGTGTGAGGGAATTAAAGTCTAATGTTTTGAGGCATTCATTGCATATAATAAAATAATTTTTCTTCCATACATTTGAAAAAATAAAGGCCATGTACATTCCTGAGAGAATTAAGAACATAGGTACTCAAATAATATTTTTTAGAATCTGACTCTCTCAAGAAACCCTAATTGAAAAAGGCTGAGACATTCAATATTTGCTGAATGAATAAATAAGAAATGTTTAAAGATCCAACACAATACTTTAATTCTTTAAGGGTTTTGATATAAGCTGGAAATAGTATTTTCCTTGTATTAAAAACCATAGAATTTTACTTCTTTGGCACTTCTCACGTTCTTGGGTGATTAGTTATATATATATATTTTTTCAGTGGAGACTATAATCTTCTAAAGGAAAAAAAATTACATGGGCCTAATCTTTGTTTAAAACACAAAAATTAATTTTTGTTTAATGAATTAGGGTCATATGATTGTTTAAAGAAAAGAGAAAACTGTGTTCTACTTATTTTATATTCAATTGATTAATGCAGATTGGTAGAGCAATATTACAAAAAGAATCAAATATTGTATTCATGTAAATCAGAAATCTGTAAAATACAGAATTATTTTTAGGTGAATGTCTCATATCAATGTGTACGCTTAGCCTTATACTCAGACTTAATCTCAGTCATTCTGCAGGGTTATGCAGCTGTATTTCATTGTGGTTTTAGTTTGTATTCCCTGATGACTAATGAGGCTGAGCATTTTTAATATGCTTACTGGCTTTCTGTATATTGTTCTTTGTCAATTGCTTATAAATGTTTTTTCCCTATATTTTTAAATTGGGTTGCTGGTCTCTTTTTCTAATTCATTTAAAAGAATCTTTACATATGATTTAAACCACATACATAAGTAATTTGTGCTATGGACATGAAAAATCCAGTCTCCTAGAAGTATCAGCTAAAAGACTAAAAGTAATTAAATGCTTAGGAATTGCAATCTTTTTGCTTATTGACATATCAGGACTACTGTAAAACATGTTTCTAAGCAGATAATTTTTGCTGACAATTGCCTTCTTTAGAATCATGTTAAACTTTGCTTGTTTCATTCACAAATACCTGTTGTTGGTTCAACAGAAAAATATGGCTGGCCTTGAAGTAAGCTGTAGAGGAGACGAGCATTATTACCACTTGAGGGATCGTCAGCATCACTTGCTGTCACCTGGATAACTAATGTTCCTAAAGAGAACATAATACAGGAAATTAAGATTGTGGTTTTATTCAGGATGAATTCAGTTCTGTGAAGCGGTCTTTCTTTACCAAGCAAGATGTTGTTACAAAATGAAAGCTCAATTCACCTCCTTGTTCTTAATTGTAAAAGTAATGTATTTTTTTGTTGTTTTTTATTTTTTTCAGGCAAAAGAATATAACTTTTAATACAAAATATTCCTAATTCCTGTATGCAATATGGAATTTTAAACATGTAGATTGATGGCCTAATAAGATGTAGCTATTAAACAATTCATTGTAATGTATAATTTATAAATCATAAACTTTTCCAAGGTGTATTATTAGTGGAGAAATTAAAAGGAACTTGGAAATGCTTTTCACCAAAAATTATAGTGTAGCCTGTACCTTAAACAAAGTGGAGAAGGTTGATAAATATTTACAAAGATTATTGAATTGAGCTTGAAAGAGTATCCAGTTGAGGATAAGGATGGGCATAATTATTCAGCTCCTTTAATTCTCTTCTCTAATATACCTACTTCCTTTGATGAATTTTTTAAAAAGCAAAGTAAAATCTTGCAGATATTGATAACATAAGCATTCTCATTAAAATTCAGTAACAAGAAATAAAATCATATGGAATAATTATGTATACATTTAAAATTAGTGCTCAGATTTTTAAAATATTTATTCAAAAATATTGAGTTTTCAAAGTATCTTTCTGTAAACATGGAATTGAATGTTATGGATCTTATTTGAAATATGTATTTGTTGAAACACTGTTTACTGTGTCAATAAGAATAGCAACACGAATGACACAAAATCAAATAGCTTCTGTGGTTTTGTTTACAACTAGCATCATGAATTTTCTCATCGTAGCCCAATTTTATAAACTGATACACTCTAATAGGAATCCATTCTATACTTCACTAACATGAAACTTTTGCTGTGGCCCTAAATAGTACATATTCTTTGCTCTTTTGTCTTAATATTTTTATAATGCTATTTAACATTTGTTTTAATATCATACAGCATATTCTATTGAAGTAGAATTTCTTCTTATTCACATAATTTTATGGGTAATACTTTTACCTGATTCAAAATGAATCAGGAAAACTTTTTGCCTCTCTTTTCCAAAACTTATTGAATAACCACTCAATGTGTAGACACTTACTAGTTTCAGATGTTTTAAAGTGAATTTATTTAGTAATTTGTGAAAGTTTTTCCAACAAAATAGTTAACAGGGACCATCACTTTCATTGATCCATATTGCGCAAGACTTGTTCCTTTAACTATCCTTCTATGCACCGATCCACTTACTTATCCCACATTTCCTCATTATAATTCTCTATCATTTCTTTCCATAAGGGGTTCCCATCCCTGGTTTCTAGAATTATATTTCCTATCTTTGGCTTCAGATACAATCATCAAAATCATACCATTTTCAGAGTTGACTGAAATAAATTTTAGTAATATCAGTCTTTAGAGCCCCTAAGCTAGTACTATACAAATGAGAACCAAGAAGTCCAGAAAATGCAATGACTCACAAAAGGTGACCTCACACTTTGATGATAGAAATATGTCATACAGTTAGGTTCTTTTTTCCAGTCCAGTTTTTTTAGCATGCTTTTTCTATAAAATAAATTTTATTATATATATTTAAGGTATGCAACATGTTATGCATATAGATAGTAACATGATTACTATAGTAAAGCAAATTATATCTATCATCTCACAAAGTTACCCATTTTTGTGTGTGCATGGAAAGAGCAAGTAAAATCTACTCACTCATCACAAATCTCAAATATAATACAATATTATTAACTATAGTCCTCATGTTGTACATTAGATCTCTAGATTTGTTTATCTTACTTATCTGATACTTTGTATTCTTTGACTTACATACCTCCATTTCCTCCCTCTTCATATCCCCGACACATTATTTTATTCTCTATCTTTCTATATTGAACTTTTTTTAGATTCCACATATAAATAAGATCATGCAATATTTTTATTCTGTGTCTGGCTTATTTCACTTAGCATAATGTCCCCCAGGCTCATCCATGTTGTGGCAAATGGTAAGATTTTCTTCTTTGATGAGACTTAATAATATTCCACTGTAAATATATGACACAGTTTCTTTCTTTATTCCTCTATCTGATAAGGGATTTATTTAAGAGAACTCATACAACTCAATAGCAAAAAGCCAAATAATCAGATTAAATAATTGGCAAAGAACCTGAATAGATATTTCTCCAACGAAGACACACACAAATAAATGGCCAATGGTTATATGAATGGGTTCTCAACATCACTAATCATCATGAAAATGCAAATAAAAACTACTATGAAATATCACTTCACACTTGTTAGGATGTCTATTATTAAAAAGACAAGAGAAGGCAAGTGTTGGTGAGAGTATAGAGAAAAGGGAACACGTGCACTGTAGGTGGGAATGTAGATTCATGTAGCCATTATGGAAAACAATATGGAGGTTCCTAAAGAAATTAACTATAAAACTACTATATGACCCAGCAATCCCACTACTGGGTATTTATTTAAAGAAAATGAAATACACCACTAGTAAAGATATCTGCATTCCCATGTTCACTGCAGACTTATTCACAATAGCAAAGACATGGAAACAACTCTCATTTCTCTTGATTTCCCTTTGTATCTGATACCAGTGTGTACTCCTTACACACACCTGGATTATTGTGCCTGCTCAGTAACCTACTGTACACCTGTTCTCTCAGGTCTCCTCTTGATCACACCCATAGAAAGCAAAGAGGTAGTGACATGCCAGAGCAGGTGAACATTTTTTACTGATGCTTCATTTACTTGTAACCAAAAGTTACTTCTTCAGTGTTTTTCTCCTGTTGTCTACTAAGTGGAGAATCTAATGTATTCTGTTAATAGATTACACAAAATAATTTCCCTGAGTGTGTAGAAAATCTAAAAGGTCAAATTCTTAGAAATTTTAGTGGAAAAAATCTGTGATATTATAAATATTCAGAATACCACTCACACATGAATTTGATGGGGATTTTAATTTCTGGGGAAATATTTGTTATTCTTTCTTATGACACTTGTGGCATTTTAAAAGAACCAAGGCTATAGAATTGGTGTAATTCAACAATGTTTTAGAAATGCTTACTTTTTGGTAAGGACTATCAATGAGTATTAAGTGATTCACTCCTTACATTTTTTGTGTGTGAGAAGATGTTTATGTGTATATATAGGCATATATGTATACAGGTAGATCTAAGTATGGTGTATTTACATATGTGTATATATACATGTATATATACACACATATATTTTCAGTAAATGTGTGTTTTACATTTACTGAAAAGGTTCCCTGATGTTCAGCTCTGCCACCTTCTCATGAAGGGGTTCCCTATATTTGTATAATCTTATCTCTGATTCTCTAGTTGGCTCCACTAGCTATTCATTGCTCCAGGGCAAATATTCTTGTCTGAACTACTGTAGTTTTGTCCTAGGCGTTTGCTCCTTATTAGTGCAACTCCTGTAGGTATTTTTCTTCAATAAAATTGCCTTGCAGAGGTTGCAGTGTTCAGACATAGCGCCATTGCACTCCAGCCTGGGCGACAGACATGTATCTGTATCTAATCATATATCTTTATCTCATATATATATATATATAATATATATATTTAAGAGGGCAAAAATATGCAGCAGTATTTCCAAATATTTAGTGCTTGTAGTTTTTCTCTTAATTTTTATTCATGCCTTGGAAATGTTGGCTGTAAAATTTAGATGAATCTTAGCAATGCTCGATTTTTACAGGACCCTAATTATCTTTGTTTATTTTATTTAGTTGTTTTCTACTTTCTTTTCCCTCTTTCAGTTATTATTGACACCATGATTTATAAAACACAGTTTAAGCAATTTTAAATCCTCTTGGATTGTTTCTATGTTTTTAAAGAGAATTAAGCCTGTATGTTTTCCTAATGAGTAACTTGTATTCGGCAGAAATCCTCAAGAAATAGTCAAGTAACATAAAGAGATCACAATAATAATTAAATATAAAAGCAGACAGCAATACAAAAATATTTAACACAATTGTAAATATTTATATTTTTATAAAGACTTGTTATTTGTAAGCAAATCAATTTGTACATTCACCTGTAGTTAGGAATTAGTTTTATCGTCCACATAAAATTGAAAATATTACTATGAAACCAATAAAGTGTCTTTCAGTGGAAATGATCAATTGTCTTATAGTGCCCCTTTCCTAGTTAAATATAGGTTAACTAACACTTGTTGGTTTAGACAACGAATGTTTAATTCCTACATAATTTTTTATAAGAACATATGTAAGTATTTCAGCATTTGTCTGTAATATCAGAACTGTGTCATGTTTGAGTCATAGTGAATACCACCACAATGCTCTTTTCAAGTACTGGAGGATTTCTAGGCTTATGTAATTACTTCCGTTCATGTCCTGATTATTGTTTACTGTCAGAATCACTCCGAAGAGGTTTATGAGAAATGCGGCTCCCATCCCCGGTCATCCCATTTCCTAAAAACAACCCACTCATCACTATGAATTGCTGTTGTGTTCTAAAATATTATGGCTACTATTCTACATAAGGACCATTGTTTACACAGGCCATATCTGTAACCTCTTGAAACTTTTAAAATTGTATTTCCATGGAAAATATATTTCAATTTTTTTATATAAAGGAGAAAAATAAAAAAAACAAAGTACATCTAAAAATCAACTTACATTTGCAATAAAAACTTTTTAAAAATTAAGAATAAAAGGAAACTTTCTGAATCTGATAATGAATGCTTTTAAGCCTTGACAGTAATTATATTTAATTGTGAAGAGTTAAAACTTTTCCTCTGCAATAATAAAAAGAAAAAAATGTTTTTCTGTCACTATTATTTTTTTCGGCATTGTACTGAACTTCCTAGACAATGCAATGAGGCAATACCATGCAGTTATAACGCATTTATAGACAGGTAGATAAATAAATATTGGAAAAGAATAAATAAAACTAAATAATTAAAGTTAATAATATTTTCTGCTAGAAACTCAAAATATGCATATAGTTACAGAAAAACATTAAATTCATAAATTTAGCAAGTCAACAGGGACACAAATGTTATATAAAAGTGCATTTTTTAATATATGAATATATATATGTATATACTCTGGCATATATATATTCATGAAACCTATTTTAGTTAAATATATAATATATATGAAAAGAAATAAAATATTCAGGAATATCTAAACAAAAACTGTAACCTCTGCAAAACAACTAAAGATAAATTAATGATATAAGTAAATAGATGAAAATACTGGATTTAGGAATTAGATGACTACTTAAAAATAAAAAAATACACAGCTTAAAAGCTAGCTCAATCAAAATCCTAGTGGACTGTATAAATGGTTAACTTGGAAAGACAATTAAAAAATAAGTAAAATTTGTATGGAAAAACAAGGACCAAGTATGGTCCAGGCATTTTTTGTTTGTTTGTTTCTTTTGTTTTGTTTTTGTTTTTTTGAGAGGAAGTCTCACTCTGTCGCCCAGGTTGGAGTGCAATGGCGTGGTCTCTGAACACTGCAACTTCCGCAAGGCAATTTTATTGAAGAAGAATACCTACAGTAGTTGCACTAATAACGAGCAAACGCCTAGGACAAAACTACAGTAGTTCAGACAATAATATTTGCCCTGGAGCAATGAATAGCTGGTAGAGCCAACTAGAGAATCAGAGATAAGATTACACAAATTTAGAGAACCCCTTCACCAGAAGGTGGCAGAGCTGAACATCAGGGAAACTTTTCAGTAAATTCTGCAAGGTCAGCTTGATATCTCCATTTATCTGTCCATCTATCTAACACCAATTTTGTGATATAAAATTTGGCACCTGCTTTACACCTTTCACAAATATCAGCTTAAAACAGACTGTAGATCCAAATGTGAAAGGTAAATAATAAGAAAAATAAGAATATAAATATTAGAACAATAAAACTTTCAGAAAAAAAGAAAAATAGAGGGGGAAAAGCAAAAATTTCAGAATCAGGGCAAATATATGTATATAATATTTATGGAAAACATATATTTAGTCCTGGGGAATTTGATATTTTTCTCAAAGCCCAAATCTCTTTTTCAATTTGTTAAACATATTTTTTATTACTCTTCCCAGCCTGGATTGGTTGTTCTTACTCTACTGAAGAAGGGTAGCATATTTAGGGTGCATTATCTGATAAGAACATGAAGCATGGTACAGGTCATATATACCTAACCTCTTTAGTCTCTCTTCATTCATTTGATGAACATTTTATTATGATAGCATTAATACTTGCAAAGTGGGTCTTACTCCATTGGTGGATCAAAAATTAAATTCTACATTTTATACTGGAAATAGGTATTTCTAACAAAAGACAAATAATATATATGAACATTAATAAAATCTTTTTTAGAGAAGATTTTAACATTAAATATAGCACCAGAAGAATATTCTTCATAAGTATTTACATCATTTAATGAGTTTCTTAGTTTAACTATTTTATCATACAGTGCCTTTGGGTTATCCCTTGTCCTCTTTCAGATTTAACTATATCTTAAGAGAAGTCTATTTATTGCTCATTTGTCTGACAGACTGTTTCTCACACTCCATGGAAGAAGCTACAAGTACAAAGTAAATGTTTGAAAAATTCACTCTGGCTTATTTTAATGACTTAATAATAGTCATTTTGTAAAACAGAAAATCTGGGACAAATGCTTCTAGGACATGATGACAGAAACATAGAAGTAAAGCAGAACTGTCCTGGGTAAAACTGAAGATCTGGTCACTCAATCTACCTTAAAACAACAGTGACAATATAAAGTGGCCACCAGGATAGCACACAAAATGAAAATAACGTAGCACGAGTTGTGTATATTGAATTGCCACAGCCTTAAGTCCTATTATTCCCTGCAATACACCATCCAGTAAGCAGAATTGGGTAACTACCAAATGATGGGAACTCTGAAAAGTTTAAATTAATGAGATCCTTGAAATCAAATTAGCAAGGAATGTAAACAGAGAGTGAAAAAATGCTTTTTGGGGGACCGAAGGGTCCAAAGTTCAGCATGCATACCTGAGTGGGGTCACTGTGGCTGGATCAGAGGTGCCAGTGGTATTTGGAAATGCAAAGAATCAAAATGACTTGTAGTTTGTATCCATTCTAAGTGAACAAAAGTGTGCTTAGAAAAAAAAATTCTCTTAGAATCATACTTTAATTAGAGTAGCTTATCAGTTCACTTATTCTGATAATAAACATACAAATATAATTACTAATGTAATCTTGGGTTCCATTATTGTGTGGACAGTTGACATTGTTTGCATTACTCTGGAGAGACTTTTCATAATTGCAAATTTAAAATATTAATTATGTCTTTCTAGCTAGTTTCCAAATCTTGGCAACTTTTCATAGCAAAAGGTCTTTATAAAAATAAGTTCAACACAATATTTGACTTTGCTTATTTTATCAATCACATTCTTTGCAGAAACTTATTGTAACATAGGTCAGTGGTCCTTAACTTCTTTGGCACCAGGGACCAGTTTCGTGGAAGACAATTTTTCCATGGTCAGGGTGGGGAGTGGGCATGGGGATGGTCTGGGGATGATTAAAGCGCATTACAGTTATTGTGCACTTTATTTCTACTATTACTACATTGTAATATATAATAAAATAACTACACAACTCACCATAATGAGGAATCAGTGGGAGCCCTGAGCTTGGTTTCCTGCAACTAGATAGTCCCACCTGGCAGTGATGGGAGACAGTGACAGATTATTAAGCATTAGATTTTCATAAGGAACATGCAACCTAGATTCCTCACATGTGCAGTTCACAATAGGGTTTGCAATCCTATGAAAATCTAATCCCGCCACTGATCTGACAGGAGGCGGAGCTCAGGTGGTAATGCAAACCATGAGGAGCGGCTGTAAATACAAATGAGGCTTAGCTCTTTTGCCTGCTGCTCACCTCCTGCTGTGCAGCCCGGTTCCTAAGAGGCCACAGACAAGCACCAGTCTGTGGCCTGGTTGTTGGGAACCCCTGACATAGGTGACACAGGATGTACACTTGTACCACGTGCTTGAAAGGAAAACGTTAGTTTGGTCATCTCTGGAAATTGCATTTACTGATATATTTTTCATTTTTATGACAGAAAATTTTAGTGTGATAATAGTATCTTAACAGAAGATAATATATTTGTTGTGTGTGTGAAATGAAGCATTCTTGTAATGTTTAAAGGTGCTAACCTGTATAAAACTACATAGAAATTTTAAAGATTGAGAGCATTAATGAAAGCATCAATAATAATTTATCCAAACATCAGATGTATTCTGCCATCACTGAGTAAAACCTGAGGTAAAGGTAGTGTAACTCTGTCTCTGTTGAGTTATGTAAATTTTATTATTAACCAGGAGTTATGCAGAGGATGAAACTATTCTCATGCAGATGTTTAACATGGCTTACAACTTTATTAAATGATGTTCTTTCCTGTGTCACATAGAATGCTTTATCCACTGGTGATTATGGGAAGCATATAAACAAAAAATCATAAAAAGTGAAAAATTTTCCTATGCAGACTAATTTAGATATTATGTAAGCAATAGAGAAATTAGCAACCTGTGGCGAGGGCATTTTATAATTAAAGCTTACATTTATTATGGAATACTAAAGTACAGGTGCCACAGTATGCTATAGTGTTTGAATGCCAAGATTCCAGCTGTAGATTTCAAAATGACATTTACTTTAGAATGTTATATTTTATTCATTTTGAATTCAATAGTAAGGAGATTAACTGTTCTTTTCTTACAATGTAGATATAAATTTAATGGAAAAGCTATTTTTACATCCAGTTTTAGTACAAGTATACTTTGATTAATCTGAAACAAATTTATTGAGATGTTGGGTTGTATAATTGTCAACTTCAATGTTATACAGATCAAATAATATTATAGTGATCCACACTCTGCATATGTAATTTCTGCAACAATAAAACAGGATTAAGATGAATGAGGTGATCAAATGATCAAATACATGACATAAGAGTTGTATAGGTATATCTGCTCACTCCTTCACATTGGGAACTTATTTTATTAGTACAAGGATAATTATTTTTCTACCAGTACTGACTGACCCATTCTTGCTGCATTTATACTTGAGCTGCAATTACTCTACAACCTAAAGTCTCGAAGTGAAACTCAGGAAACAGATAATATTTTCTCACTTGTCATCTTAACTGGGCAAAGTGTTCTTCAAATTTTTTATTTTTCTGTCCATAGTCACCTAAAAACTAGGTCATTTTTATTATTTTTGTGCTGCATTTTTGACACCTCTACTTTTTATAATCTGAGATAATGGAATTTAAGTAAAACAAATTAGACTGTGTTTAATAAATCAAACAATATTATATTTAGAAGAATAAGAAGAGAAATTCATCCCAGTCTCAGTCATGTTCAACTCATGTTCCCAAAGGCAAGAGATTTATAGAATCTAATTCACAAATGTGATAAATTTTGAAAATTCATGATTTTTTATTTTCCTGAGTATTAACTGAAATTAAATTTGTATAGATTTTCCATACAAAGCTTAAGGTGAATTTAATATTTCTATAAAAGCTCTCCTTTATGACATATTGTACCATATTGTTGATGAAGAATATTAAATTTTCTATATGCTTTTCCAAAAAATGCAACTTAAAATATTGCATAATAATTACAGAGATCATTATAACATATTATATTTGAATTTAAAATCTGAAATGCCAAAATAAGCTTCCTTAAATAGTAAGGTAAACAGAGTCTTACTCACTAGTTATCCCCATTCATTTTCAAAAGCATCTGGTTTTGAAAATAAAAGGAAATGGTTATTGCAAGTGGAAGGAATGTTGGACACTTGATAATATTAAAAATGATGCCCTCAGTGACTACAGATATGAAAAATTTGGTGGAGGATATTTATTTGGAAAAGCTCCAAAGAGAGTGGATAGTCTTTTTACTAGACAATATATTCTCCTTGCTTTTATTAGGCAGAAATATGTGAAACTAAATTTTAAGGAAGTCAGATTTTAAATTTTCCTTTTGCATTTGCACATACACAGACATATAAACAAAGTCTATTAACACTAATGATCATTCATAATGTGTACAATATCAATATCTATTTATTATGGTTGTTTTCCACGTAATGTGACTGGCTAAAGCATGTTTCACTTTTAGCAGGATTTTGTGCTGATTTGCAGAAGATAAGTTACCCGACTCTGCTTTGGTTTAATTGCTTATTAAGTAGTATACTACACGTATTTTAAATGCCCCTTCTTTTTTTTTTTTTTGACATTATAAGGTTTTAGGTAAAACTAGCAAATATTACTGAAATGGAAGATTACATATTTGATAGGCTGGCTATTCAGATACAATTTCAGAATGATTTCCATGAATTTCACATCTCCCGAAATCTTCTATTTATATCCTAAACTATTCTAATCACTTATTTAGCATTTTTTTGTCCACCCATGTACTCACTCATTTATTTATTCAATCCTTCCAAATCTCAGTCACTCTATGACTTGTGGTCTAATAAATCTTATATTTTTGGATGGCAGAAAAATAGTAACTTTGCAAATCCAAAGTGACAATTGGGAAAGCATAATGTTTTATCTCAACTCTACTTGAAAGTTCTAGTTTGAAGTTAATTTCATTTCAAACATAAATGCAGTCAGTAAAAGCCCATCATTACTTGTAAAGAAATGTGTGTTTAATAAGCAACAAGTTAATAATTTTCTTGATTTTATCTCATGACATAATGAAATATGGATTCCCTTCAGTAATTCAAACCAAATTCTGAGTTCAAGTGCAGATTCAAATATAATAATAGGCAGTTCACTTCAATACAACAGAAATATATGTAAGAAAAAGAAACAGCAAAATGTTTGCAATAGTTGTTTTTGAAGAATAAAGTAGCTGGCTAGGAAATTTGGAAGTAAGGTCAATATTCAAAAACTTAAATGGCCGTGGATATAGAAAGATAATGAAGAATTGAAGTTATATTTAGGTAATAAAACCCGCAGTATTCATTAATTTAATACTGAGATTGAGGAAAAAAGATAAATCACATATAATTTTATTAATTGATTTATTTACTTCACAGTCAACACAAATGCAGGAATGCTTCAGAAGGAAACCGTTGCTAGAAGTTTGGCAAAGCAATAGAAATATTCCCCTATTTCCATATTATATAACACTTCTAATAGCAACTGACCATCACTCAGCTGGCCTCTCCCTCTCATGGAAAGGTTACACAAAGTGCTCATTAGTTCTTGCATGATTTCATACAAAGCCTGGACCCTAACTGGCACTCACACAGTATGTATTGATTACACAAATTGAAAAGATAATTTGTACCTCTATCTCAAATTGCAATGCACAAAGAGATTTGTGCTTGCTAGATATTGCACAGACCAAACCATCTTTTGCAATCTCTCTGAACATCTACAGTGGGGCTGCACTGATACCATGATACCAATAATTCTCTCATGGGTTCACTACCCAACTCTGTAAAATGGCAGTATTGTACCTCCTCTTCTCTAAAATTTTACCCATGCTCTCTCAATTACTGCCTTCGCATTATGCTTCACTGACAAAATAGAAACGTTTATTAACTGATTGGTTATGAACAAATATGTTAACATATAATCTGTCCCTTCTATAAGTACAATGGATTCCATGACCCTTTCTTTTTTTTTTTTTTTTTCAAGAACAGTGTTTTAGAAGTTATGTCCTTTTACTTTGCTTCAAATAATATTATTCTCTGGAATCATTCCCCATAGTATATAACAGTGCTGTTCAATTTCCTTTCTTAAAAAACAATTGAATAGTCATAAACAAGCAAAAAGTCCTCTTGACCTTCATCTTTTTCTACCTAGCATCTCACATTTCATTTTCTCCCTGTGGCGTAACACCTTTTAGACTTGGCTTAAATCATTATTACTTCCTCTTATTCTTCCTTTTATGCCATACAATAGTCTTCAGTGTGCTGTAATAGCACAAATTAAACTGTTGTACTTATCAAAAAACCAGGGGTCTTCAACTTACCAAATCAAAAGTCACCACTCTGTCTTAATCTTAGCCTCACAGCAGCATTACACACGGTTGAGGGATTTCTTCTTTTGGAACATCTTTTCTCATATTTTTCCCTTCTTCCTACAACGCTTGCCAATCCCACTCATTCTAATTTGCCAGCCGACTGCTTTTTGCTTAACAGTCAAGTCAGCCTGGATGCTTTTCTCTTCTCCAGCTACGTTCTCTGCCAAAGGGATCTCATTCATTGCCATGCCTGACATACGTGTTATATGTTGATGACTTCCATATTGATGTATACAGCCCTGAGCACTCTGCTATGGATTCTTTTTTCCTAGAATGTGGTATGGATGGCCTCTTTGTATAATTCACCTCAAATATCACCTCCTAAAATGTCCCGTTTCCTCCAGACAATTAATAATCATCATACCTCACCCATACATAACACTTTTATACTATACATGATCATATATTACCTCCTTTAATTAAAATAACTATTTCTTATTTGTATATAACTAAAATGTGTTTCATATTAGCAGGTAACTCCTTTATCTCCTTTACAATTTTATCTATAGTTTCAAAGGAAGATTCCTAGCATGTTACATCATAATATATGCAAGAAGAAGAAGAAGCAGTGGCAGAGGAAGAAAAGCAAGAAGCAGAGGGAGGAAGGAGGAAGAGAGGGAATAAGGAGACAGAGGGGAGGGCAGTAAGGGAAAGGAGTAGAAGGTGGAGAAGGGGGAGGAGGAGAGGGAGGGATGAGGAAGGTGAACTGTTTCTTTGCCTACCTACCAAAATAGAGTAATTTAAAGTGCTATTTACATCTCATAATAATTTGTCTTGATATATATTACACAGGCAAATTTGTTTCTGCTGTATTTAAAGACCTATGTTCCAAACAATGTAGAAATACATCTTTAAATTCCTACCTGGAATGTTAAAAATCAAGAATCAGAAAATTATATGATGAAATATGTATTTTTGGAATCATTGGCTAATGAATCAAGTAATGAGGTAAAGTAGTTATAAGCATGTTACCGTAATTTAAAATGGCCATTATCAAGTCACATTTATTTGTCACTGTTAAGTAAATTTTTGAATTAAACTTTCCAGTATATTGTGCTACAAAAATTTTTTGAGTGAATAACTGAGAGAAGTTGTGCATAATCACAATTTCCCCTTTACTGGAAAGACATTTCTAATTTCCAAGACAGTCAATTCTTATATCTTATGGAAACCATTCTCTCCTAAATGCATTATATTTAAAATATTAACAACAACAACACTGGGTTTTGAAAAGTATCTTTGAATAAACACAGCCACACACAGGTGTTCAACCACTTAGTTTTGTCTTAGTGGTTTTTTCTTCATGATTTTGATGTATACAATAGAGTCTAATAAATTCACTTTTCCTATTTTTATGCATATCTTGCAGGATTATCTTATTTGCTTTTATGAGATACAAAAATATATTTTGTTTTGAAAAAGAAATTCTTGTACTTAAGAACCTAGTAAATGAACAAGGTCTAAAAACTTACGAATTGCTCAAATAAACATATCTAAACTTCTTTTATTCCTGTGAAGGCTGAGATATTTTAATAACATTAATATGTAGTACCCTTTTCTCAAAATTTTGATGCATAGTCTAATTTTTCAAATATTTTACTTAAACATATTTGTAGAAGGAAGTTCTAGTATAGACCCTTAAATCATCTACTTCCAAAACATATCCTTCAAATTTTAAACCTGCTTCATTGTTAATATATCTTTGATGTAAATTAATATGCAATACCTTCTGGAGACATCTCTGGTACAATGGCCTCATAAGGTTCATCTAGGAATTTTGGTTCATTGTCATTGATATCCGAAACTTTGATGACAAACTCAGACTCAGGTTCCACAGCCCTTCCAGTAGCGATGTCTATTACCTGGGCTCTTAAGATGTAGAGGGATCGCTCCTCTCTATCAAGCTTCTGTATGGCATATATGTCACCTGTTCTTTCATCAATGATAAAAGTACTTCCAGCTCCAGCTCCCAAAAGCTTGTACTGGAAAGAATTGTTTCCATTGTCTAAATC
This sequence comes from Homo sapiens, assembly GCF_000001405.40. Lineage (NCBI taxonomy): Eukaryota > Metazoa > Chordata > Mammalia > Primates > Hominidae > Homo > Homo sapiens. The sequence continues at coordinate 66,568,702 of NC_000018.10, forward strand.
AGATCTTAGCTGCAAATGGAAAGAGGGATCATTTAGTTTCCAAACATCTGAAATGGACAAATCAAAATCAAGATTTTCTTTTTATGTATGTTAATTATTCCCCAAGTTAATGATTTTATATTATTTCCACATTACATTAAATGAGGCAAAATATTAATATCAAGATTAAAATCTATCACCAGGGAGAAGGAAGAGTGAATATTTAGTGTAAAGAACTATACACATTTCATTATTCTAAACAGAAACAAAAATAATTGGATAATAAAGCTTCTTTTGTAAGTTATGCACAACATAGTTGGTTCAGTTTTTATTTATAATTAAATTCTCAGTCACTAAAACTATACTCTCAAATATTTATACTAGATTGGGTCCTTGAGATAGATAGAAAGACAATTTAGTGACATTTAAACACTGATGTTCTATCTCTTGCATGAATATACATGGAAACAAGAAAATATTAGGATGAAAATTAGGGTTCATAAAGATAATGATAATCTTGACTGTTCATTAGGTATTTATTACATGTCATAAAATCTATAAATTGCTTTATATTAGTGTTCTCAAGTAATTCTCATATCAATATTATGAAATACATATTATTGATATGATCAATTTTTCTATAGAGAAGAAAAGTGAGATTTTGTTTTACAAACTTTTTTCAGAGTCATATGGTCTTTGTGTAGATATAGAATTTACACCACGAGGCTATCAAATCTTCTATGAGGCTGTCAAATTTCAGACTGTCCACTGACAACAACTCAGTTACATCTTCTTTAGCCCTTGGGTTTTAGCCATAAAGTATAAAACTTTCTTCTCAATATATTCTACCTAATTCTCAAATACACACTTTCAGCCTGTGCACTCATTTTCATATTTTCAAAAAGCAAAGTAAATTAGTTCATCATTCATACTGTTGAGGTATTATTTAGAATTTTTAATTTATCTGTAAAAAAACCCGTCTAATTCTGATATAGTTAAAATGATCACATAGCTTTTCATATCAGAATTATTTGTATGTAAGAGAAGAATGTCATGGTTCCCTAATCATTGTGAATCCACATTTTCTTGATTCACCATTTATGAAAATGCTCTTATTCACAGTAAGAGTTCCTCTGAAAATTTACAAAGATAATCATGAAATCAGTTGTAAACAAATTCATGATTTTTCTGATGGCTTAAGTTATAATTTCTTATACTGGATAAATTAATACACTTTCTTTGCGGTTGTGGAGAAAATCTGAAGGTACTAGTAACTAATTTTGCATTTTAATAACATGCCGAATATCAATGCTATGTAATGAAAAATAACATCCAGATTGTCTTTCTGGTAATACTTCTTTTGATAGTTCTTAATTATTCCTAAAAGAAATTCTTCATGCGATGATGTAAGAAATTGAGGAACAAATTATACAATCAAATCAATATATCAAGTGAGCAATGTATGGTTCATATTTTTAAATTATATCATTTCAATATGATTTGATAATTTATTTGATATTATAATGAAGATAAATTAAGTTTAGTAATAAGTAAATATATTGCAAGTATATGTGCAGTGTAATTTTCAAAGACAAGTAAGCTTGACATTTTTAAGACCCAGATTTAAGGGAAGACAGAAACAAAAACGAAAAAGCTTACTTGAACACCAGCCTTTTAATGTCATAAAATGCATATGTTAAACACATTTCAATCAAATGGCCTGTAGTATTATACAATTTTCTATATTTTTATTCAAAAAATATTTTCCTAATTAGGCTGCTACTATCAATTTGCTAAACAAATATCACTTCAAATTTTCACTTAATTGTACTTCCCAATCTTAATCATTTTTCAAACAAATGGATCAAAGAGAGTTATCTTGAACGCAGCAGCTAAATTGTATATTTACTAACTCTTTTGACAAGCACCTAAACATTCATTATTGTTCTTTTTGAAATCAGTGATTCACTTGTTTTTTAAGCCTGATGAGTTTGTGTAGCAGAAAAACATTTTTCAGAGTAGTTTCATAAATATGTCTCTGAAATGAAAAAATAGGCAAAACCAATCACTGTGAGAAAGGAGGTAAACAGAGATTCATGTGGGGAGTAGAAACAAACAAACTAGAAAATGTGACAGCCCCAGAGGTGGCCTGTGTTCCAATTACACTGATGCACTTCCCTATAACACCTTATTTACTAAAAGCCAATAGCTGATTTTAGCCTGTCACCCCATTCAGTGATGGGAGAGTATATGGTGTTCTGTGCAGTCCACTGTAAAGGTAGCTAGAGACTCAGTTACTGAGTCGGCACCTAACTGTGGACCTTCTTAGTGCCAACTGTGCGTATTATTTACCTGTAGTCTGAGTCGAAAATAAAAGGGGTTGAGAAATATTTCTTGTAATGTGTGTGTGTGTGTATGCGTGTGTGTGTGTGTTCACAATACACCCTCCTCCCTGCACGTTTGGAAATACTTGCCTAAAATCCTAATCTAAGGCTTTGGTTGAATGTACTCATATACATTTGGCTGATAACACAGGTGAAGTTCTATGGAATCCAGATACCATGCTAACACTGCAGCTCTCCTGAAAGGGCTAGAAAATGAGAGTTAATAAATTTTGAGTGCTTCACCCTTTGGGCCCAATTAAATTTTAGTGCCAGTTAATTAGCGGTTAAACTTATTTCAGTTCATTTATCTAGAGAAAAAGCCTTATGGAAAAGGACATGATATTGTAATCACCTTTGTTTAAAGAAAACCAAATAATAAAATACAAGCCAAAAACATAAATAGGAGATGCTTTGTCTCATTAAGGAATTGTTCTTAAAATATATTCTTTTAAGAAAGTGAACATAATTATTCCTTTTACTTTAACTTTACTAATCAATTTAAGTGTGTAGGCTCCTGAAGCTACTTAACTGTAGGAGAATATGGTATTAACCTGCTTCATTAAAAATGAACGAGGGGTAAATCAACAGCTACTTAGCGTAACAGAAAATCGGGCTAAATACTGTTGGTAAATGATATTTGTCTCACTGTGACTGCTTAGATTCATTACCAAAAATAACGCAATAAAGTTTCCAGATGTTGAAAATGAGGGCTGCATTTTCATACGGGATACTGAAGTGAAATTTAAAAACCAGAGCTATCCCTCTTCAAGATTTTAGTGGATGTTTTAGGTGCTTGCAAATCTGAAACAATTATTGATGCTGCTGTTTGAAGCTTTTCAATGGCTTCACTGTAAAAATGTGGAACTCATCAAATCTCCAAACTTCTCCAACATATTTATTTACATTGTTGTGCTATTTACTGTAACATTTTAAATAAATAAGTACCTGGCCGATGTGATGACTAGTCGTATTCATTTCCTCTGGTACAAAAAATTGGTTCCACACCCAGCCACGCTTCACTCTCAAATGAGATCGCACTGGCTGCTTGACTTTCTTTGTTTGAGAGTTTTCTGTTGCTCCAAGACAAGGCCATAGGAGAGGAATTCCCAACATAAAACGCAGCAGTAAATAACAGTTCATTGCGTTGACTCTTTTGATTCCAACTATTACTCTTCAGAGGAAACAGGACGTCACTAACAAAAATCTTGCTTTCTTTTATAATCTTTTCTGATTCTGTGTACCTTCTATATACCTAAAGCGTCAGAAACAAAACAAAATTTGACATTTTAAAATAACATTTTCTCACATAATTACTAAAGACAGGTTACAACTTCTGCATCTGACAAAAGTGGAATAAAAATAAACATTTAATTTATCTTCCAATTAAGCTGGCTAATTATGATTTGTAGCTCAGCAATAATTTGATTAGAATAATTATAAATTTCCACTCAGGCACTGCTAGTTTTAAACTGCAGTCATAAATCTGCCTGAAAGTTGAAAGATTGCTCTGGGAGTCTCCTGGATTGACAGCTGACATTGAGATAGACTTCCTTTTAATTTGACTTGCTTACTTTCTCCATTCTTTCTCAGTAAAATACAAACTATCTCATTAAAGCAACAGTCAATCCAGGAGGAAAAAAGTCTTATTTTTCCTTTTTATATTTGATAGAGATAAGCTTCCTCATCCAATTTCCCAAATTATGGTATTTTATGTAGTAATTAAATAGACAAAATGACAATTCAGCTTAAAACTGGTGAATTCAATAATCAGTTACACTGATACTATAAAACACTGAATAGAAAGCTTGCATAAGATATTTACTCTTTTTTAATTTCAAAGATATGGGGAAGAAGTGTTTATCAGCTTAACAAAAACAAAATCCTCTTAGGACAATAAATACAAAATGATTGTTCCTGGGTAAGAATGGGTGAATGTTTGTAATATGTAAGAATGATATGAAATGTATCTTCTAGTATTTAAATATTAAAACAAAAGACTCTGGCTATTGAGTTTTACATTTAAAACTTTCCATTGACCCAAGGCTCTCTCTTCATGATGGGTACCTCTAATCCTTATATGTAACTTAATAGTTTTGCATTTCCAACATCTACATCCAGCCAAATTTGATTTATTTTATGAAGAAAAATAATTTTGTAAGATTCACAATGGAGTTTAATGTCATATAATCAACAGAAAAGCCAGAGTTCATGTTAGGACTTTTTCTACATGATTGTGTTTTGAATCTTCTGCATGTATTTTTGAATGACTCCTTAGAGATTTTTTAGGTCTTTGGCTCGTGTTAAGAGGAGTTGTTAAAAAACACCTAATTAAGAAAGTACACAGGGATTCTGTGGTCCCGGTATACTCCCTTTAAGCAGATGTATTCCTTGTTAAAAGTTTACTTAATGAAGGTCATAGAGAAATTCAACTGAGGTGAAATTTATCTTTATGTTACGTATTTGAAATTCAGATAAATCTGCTCTTTAGAAATTGCTAAAATATATATTTTTGGTAGCTGATGAATAAAAATATTTGGAACTGGTACAATATTATTCATGAAAAAGATTTTTTTTATAAGTTTGGCAAATTATTACCAACACTGATATGAAGTTAGCTGGCTGTGTTTCAGTGAATATAATTTTTGGGAACTTTATATTATGGTATTTTGATACATATAAAGATAAATAAAATAGTGTAATGAACACCTGGATATCATTACCCTGTTTCAGTAATTACCAACACATGGTCAATATTGTGTCATTTCTACACGTGCTCACTTTTTAATATTAAAACCAATTTCAAATTCATATCATTTTAACCACTGAAGCCACACACACACACACACACACACACACACAAGTATACATGTTATGTAAGTGTGTATACACACTTTTAAACATCAAAGCTTAAAATTAAGAAAAAATTTTAATATAATAAAATATTCATACAGTGTTCAAATTAAAAATCTTTATCTTTGAATTAAGATTTAAATATGTCCACACAATGCAGTTTTTTGGTACATTTCTCAATTCTCATTTGGTCTACAGGTTTCCTCCAATTTTTCTTTCCGTTTATATGCTGAAGAGTCAAGGTTATTTGTCCTACAGAGTTTCACATAGTCTGAATGTTGCTAATTGTATCACTGTTGTGTGATTCAGTATGTTTCTTTATCCTCCATATTTTTTATAAATGTTTAGGGGCTTGATTAGAAGTAATATAAAATATTCATCAAAAATATTCATAGCCAATCCTATTGCATGACATCTTTAGTAGACTAGGACACAAAATATATGTTCAAGAGACCAGAAGAAATGTTGAACGTGTTAAGCAGAAAAATTGAAAAAATAAAATAAAGATTAAACTTTTAGAGAATAATACTACAATGTCTGTGATGAAATACACTGCATATGATTAATGGCATATTATTCACACTGAGAAAAAAAAACAGTTAAACTGAAGACAAATATAAATCTTCTGAAAAAACATAATGAGAAACAAGTTAAAAAATTAAAAATGAACAAACTATCATTGAGTTGTGAGACAATTTCAAACATTCTCATTTATGTATAACTGCAGTTTCTAGAACCAATGAAATTTAGAAACTCATACATCCAAAATGTTTAACAAAACTTAAGCACAGGTGTTAAAAAATATTATACCAAGGAGCATCATGATTAAATTACTCAAAACCATTAATAATGAGAAAATCTGAAAGGTAGACAACGATATGTTATATATAGAATAACAAAGATAAAGTTGTTAGCAGATGTCTCATCTCAAACAATGCATGCCAAATGACACTGCAGAAACATTTTTAAAGTATTGAAAATGAAAAGAAATTAATCCAACTGAGAATTTCTCAACCAATCACAATGATTTTTGTAAAGAGATCAGCTGAATTGAAAGAGAAGAAACTGAGCTGTCAGGTATTGGAACAGCTAATCCAAAGAACATGTAAAAAAATTAAGAGGTAAGCCTTTAGACACTTAGTGCAATAGTATAAGCAAGAGGCTAAAACAAAAGAAATTGTTGCATCTCCTTTTTTCATTTCCTCCATGGAACAGCACTCTAATTCAGAGGATAAGCACAGACCTGTGGATCATTTCATTATAATGGTAGTGCTACAAAAAACTAAGTCATTTTTTATGGACTCTGGGGTCGGGGGAGTGCAAGGGGAGTGTTAAGAGTGAAAAAGTACTAAGTACATTGTCAGAGTGGGAAACTGTCTTCAAGGTTTCACCCACTTTACTCAATAAGGAGACCTCATCAGAAATGCTGGAGAAAGACCTCTGCCCAAGGCCACAGATAAAGCCCTCTTTACACTTTAACACTGGGGCTAGTAATGCAAATATGAGAAGAGCATGACCTAACAGAAGGGACTGTGTCCTTGACTGCAACTCCCTTCAGAGAATGCAATGCACTGGTTGTGCATCAAATCTGGTGTGACAAGGGAATGTTTTCGCAGTGACTACTGTACTGCCAGGTCAAGTCTTTATAGCTGCCTATCACCAGGCCTGAACAAATCACAGTTGTTACACCAAAGCCGTATTCCTAATCTTCAATAAAGGAAAGTGGGATGAAGACTCTTTCTGGTGTACAGCATCAGCACACAAGGGGAACTACAATACGATACATGATTAAATGAGTCCTTCAAGAAGAAATAAAATAATACTAGAAGGAAATCTGGATCTATGCAAAAATAGAATCACCAGAAATGGAAGGTATATCAGTAAATAGAAAGACCTTCTTTAAATTATAATATCATTAAAGGAGAATTGGCTGTTAAAGCAAAAATAATAACAAAGTATTGTGGAGCATACATCATTTACAGAAGTAAAATGTATGAAATTAACAGCATAAAGATTAGGAATATGCTATTTTAAGCTCCATAAACCATATATAAAGTGGTATGATATAACTTAAAATAGATTATAATAATGGTACATGCGCATATAATAAACCTAAAGCAACTACTAAAATAAAATAACAGAGTTTACTACAGGCTACAAAATAGATAAAACTGAAGCCTAAAGAATACTCAATCTAAAGAAAAAATAAAAGAAAAAAGTGAGCAAAGGACAGGTGAAAAAAACATACAAGTAGCAAAGCAGTATGTTTAATATTAACCATAATAATAATCACTCTAAATATTAATGGGATAAAAAAATCAAAGTATGAGATGAGGATTATTAGATTTTTAAAAAGACTCAACTATATGTCTTTAAAATGATTTAAAATATAAAGGTACAGTAGGTAAGAATTTAAAGAATGAAAAACATATATCTTGCTCAACTCTAGTCAAAAGAAAGCTACAATGGCCATAATATTAGATAATGTAGATTTTGGGACAAAGAATATTAGCAGTGATAAATAATATCATTTCATAATTATAAATTTCATAATTATAAGTGATAAACATATCATTTCATAATTATAAATGATAAACAATGTCATTTCATAATATAAAACAATATCATTTCATAAGAATTATGTCAATTCATTAACAGGGCACAACTTTTCTAAATGTTTATACACTTAATAACAATGCCTCAAAATAAATGAAATACAAGATGAAATAAAACCTTATTGTATTACAAGAAGAAACACACAAATCTATAATTCAAATTGATTCATTTCTATTCAACATTATACTGAAAATTCTATCCAATGAAATAAGAAATGAGAAGCATCTAGATTAAAAAGATAAAAATATGTTTATTTACACAGGGCATAAATACACATATAGAAAATCTTATGAAATCTATAAAAATACTGGTAAAATCTATAGGTAACTTTAGCAGGGTTGGAGGATACACGGTCAATATTAAAATCAATTATATTTCTATTTACTAGCAACGCATAAGCAAAATTTAAAATTTATACAACAGTACATTTTATAATAATATAAATAATTCAAAGATTGGGACATAAATCTAACAAAAATGTGCAATACCTCTCTATTGCACACTATAAAATACTGCTAAGAGGAATCAAGAAAAATCAATATGATTGGAGATATTTATGATGATACTGGATCAGAAAACTCAAAATGGTTAAAAATGTCAATTCCCTCCAAAGTGTTGTATAAATGCAATTTTAAAAATACAATTAAATTAAAATTAAAATACAAAATAAAATTCCAAACAGGTATTTTTATAAAACTTACATGCTCATTCTATAATTATATATGCAAAAGCATGGGGCTTAGAATAACTCAAAGAACATTTTAAAAGAAGAGGAAATTTGGAAGACTATGCCATCTGACTTTAACACATAATGCTACAGTAATCATTATGGTAAAGTATTGGATCAACAAATAATTTAGTAGAACAAACCACAAAGTGTACAAATACACCTACATTTATGTGATCAATTGATTTTTGAAAAAGTTCAAAAGGTGAATCAATGGAGAAATAACAGTCTTTGTGCTAAAACACCTGAGTATTCACTTGAGAAAAAGATACTTTCATCCATACTTTACCGTGCATGAGGTCACAAAAAGTGAATACAAATTTAGATGAAATACTTGTAATTTCTTTGGCAAAGATTTCTTACAACAATATCAAAGTGCACTTGTTAAAAACTGTTAAATTGGACCATATCAAAATGGAGATAATCTCTGTATCAGATCCCATTGCTACTGTAAAGAATTCCCACAACTCAGTGTCTTAAAATGATACACATTTATTGTCTTACAGTTCTATAGGTGAGATGTTTAAAATGAATTTCACTGGACTGAAACCAGGGTGCCAGAAAGGTCATGCTTCCACCCAAGTCTCTAGAGGAGAGTCTATTTCCTTACATTTTCCAGCTTCTCAAAGTGTATTCTATTCCTTGCATGCCTTGGTTCATATTCCACCTCTAGGCCAGCAGCAGAGCATCTTCAAATTTCTCTCTACTCTATCTTCACATTGGCTTCTCTTTGTTGTGTTAAATTTACCTCTTCTCCCTTTATAACGACACTTATAATTTCCTTTAAAGTCCACTTGGATAATACAGGATAATCTTCCTACCTAAAGACCATTAACTGAATCTCATGTTTATCTACAGAGATCACAGTCTTTGGTTTTAGGTGTGAAGACCTTGATATCTCTGCGAGCCATTATGTGGTCTACCTCAGATGATAATTACATGAGGAAACAAGTCACAGACTGAGCGAATATTTGTTAATTATATATCTTGTATTCAGAGTGTACAAGGACTTTCAAAACTTGGAAACAGAGATTCATCACAATTTTTTTAAATACGCAAAATATTTAAAGAGACATATCACAAAGAGTTGACATGTAAAATAAGTTAAAAAATGATAATCAACACCTTCAGTTTCAACGGGTAAATGCAAATTAAAACTACAATGAGATACCAGTAAACTCTTACTAGAACGAATATAATTAAAAGACTGACCTTATCAAGTACTGAAGAGAACATAGAGCAACTGTACCTCTCATACACTGCTAGTGTGAATGTAAAATCGCATGACTATTTAGAAAACAGTTCTGCAATTTGTTAAAAAGTTAAACATATACCTACCATATGATCCAGCCATTCTAGATATTAGCTAGATATCAAGGATATCTATCTAGATATCTACCTAAGACAAAATAAAATTATATTTCCATATGAAGATGCTTACATGAATATCAGAGCAGGTTTATTTGTAACAGAAAGAAACTGGGAAAAGTCAAATGTCTATCAACAAGTCAATGTACTAAGAAAGTGTAATATGTCTATGCAATGTAATGATACTCAGTAGTGAAAAGAAATGAACTACTGATACAGTAATATCCAAAATAATAATGAGTAAAACAAGCCTGCCAACAAATTCAGGTTGTGTGTTTCCTTTTGCATCTAATTTTAGAAAATTTAAAACAATCATAGTGACTGAAATCAGACTAAGAACTGTGGGAAAATGGGGGTGGGAGGAAGATCAGGAGGGAAGGATGATGAAGGGACATGAGGAGACTTTTGAGGGCAGTGATGATTGTGCTCATTATCTGTATTGTGATGAAAGTCTTAGAAGTAGAAATATGTCAAAAATTCAATTCAACTTGAGTATATGCAGATTATTGTGCCAATTATACTTCATTAATGTTGTTAAAAATCTTGACTTGTCAAAACCTAGAAAAACAAATTAGACAACTAACCGTGGAACAACAGATAATAGATGTTTCTGATGTGTTATGATATGACCTTTATAAAGAACATTGCCTATAAAGTATTTTACCAAAAAAAGTTGAAAGCTAATTTTCAAGTTATGGGAAATTAACCTGTAATAAAAGAACAAATTAAACAGGAAACAAAGTAAACAAAGTAAAAGGAAACAATCAAACAAACCCAAATTGTGTCTTTCTACAGATTTGCTACCCACAGTGTAATCTGTGGAATAGCAGCATCTTACTACAGATGCGAAATCTTGAGCTTCTTCACAGATACCGACTTTGAGTCTGCATTTTATCACACTCACCACAAGGTCTGAATATACAATAAATTTTAAAAAAGCATTGATCTACCACAAAATTGATCTAGTTTATTTGACATGTCAAAAAAAGCAGGAGTATAGGAAAGATATTGCTCTAGATTAAGAAAGATTTAAGATATACTAGAACTAGTGTAAAATGTGGGCATTGTTTGGGTCATGACTTTACAAAACTGTTTTTATATTTGCATTTTTATGGATTTATAAAAAATTTAGTCTGTATAAGGTATAATACATACTAATGTAGAGATGAGCAATAGATGATAATGAGAAAGTATTGCCAGTTTTTTTGGTCATTGAATGTTTCTTTCTTGTTATATAAAAACACGCCCTATTTTTAGTCGTGTATACTTGAAGCATATTGGTATTAGAAATGACAGGGTGTCTTGAGAAAAAGTATATTTTCTTTAAAATATCTCAAAAAAATGGAAGATAGGCAAAACCATTGTGGTAAATTGATAATAATTGTTGAGTTCGGGTCACGAGTATTTGGATAGTTGTTCTTTTATTATTCACTTATGCTTAAAATATACGTATTAAATCAACAACAAAAATATACAGCAATTCGTACTTTTAAATCAATATGTTAAACAAATACAAGTAATTACTGTAATACCAGCTATTGATGACAATGTATAGAAAGCAGAACTATACAACACTCATAAAATGGAAAATTTGGACACTATTTTGGAGAATAATTTGGCCAAAAGCAATAAATTTTACAATGTGTATATAAAGTAGCAGTTGTATTTTACTATTTTATACCTAGAGAAATATTCAAATTTTTCCACTGGGAAGCAAGTATAAATTGGATTAATTGAAAAAAGAATGTTTAAATTAGGATACCATATGATAATAATTATATAAGTGTTTCACAATTACAAGGCAATGTCCCATAATACTCTTGGCATAAAGCAATTAGTTAAGTTAGTAAGTCTAGGCAGAGAAAACTGACAAAATTTGTCATGGTAATTACAATGATTGAAATAAGTGAAATTTGTCTAAAAGTTGAAACTTAGAAGTTTCTGCAAGATTCTCCTTCCTCGAAAACAGTTTAAAGTAAATATGACAAACAACAACACTCATGACATCTGGGTCATTTTTCTACCAAGTGCTATTTTTCCCTATTAAATATATGATTGAAATATTTCTCAATTCAATTTAAAGTTAAAAATCATCATTTATAATTCTAAGGAAAAAGCCCTTTAATTTGAACACTCTTAGATAAAACATTCAAGAAAAATGAATGGTAGCAGTAGGTATATCTCAATAATGAAATACTGTGGCTTTGTTTATACTCCTCTATATTCCAAACTTTCTATAATGGTCATACATTTCAGCAGAAGTGAAAAACATTTCACATAATGCTCCACTTCTGATTGAAGACTGGTGGCAGCTGTCAGCATTGCTAGACTGAGAAACACTCTGGGCTGAAACCAGGCAAATAAGAAAAAATGCTCTCGCCTGAAATGGGCCCTGGATAAACCAGCAGTGGCATTTTGCCCTGCATTTCCAATCTTGTTTATATTTTCCAATCAGATGAATATGCTAAAAAATCTACCTAACATTTCAGTATGAAGAAATGCTAATACTATGTCTTATGTTAGTGTGTTTTTATATTTTCTCTTATTGCTAATACCTGGGAATGTTAATCCATATTTATTTTCAAAGTTGTAAATATATTTCAAAATAAAAGTGCACTTATATTAGCACAATATTAGATACTAAACTAATTATAATCATATTTAAATAGCATTATTATAAGAAGAAACAACATATTATGGCCAAGTAAAATTGCGAGTATGTTTGTGATGATTAATATTAGGTGTCAACTTGATTGGATTGAAGAATCCCTAGATAGCTGGTTAAGTATTTTTTCTTGGTGTGTCTGTGAGGGTTTTGCCAGAGGAGATTAACATTAGAGTCAGTGAACTGGGAGAAGAGTCACCCTGGTTGTGGTTGGGCACCATCCAGTCACAGCTGCCAGCATGGCTAGAACAAAGCAGGTGGAAGAAGGTGGGAGAAACTGGCTTGCTGAGTCTTCTGGCTTTCATCTTCCTCCTGTGCTGGATGCTTCCTGTCCTTGGATATCAGACTTTAGGTTCTTCGGCCTTTGGACTCAAAGTGGTTTGCTGGGGGCCTCTCAGGCTTTTGGCCACTGAAGGCTGCACTGTTGGCCTCCCCGCTTTTGAGACTTTGGGACTCGGATTGAGCGACTACTGGCTTCCTACCTCCTCAGCTTGCAGAGGGCCTATCTGGGACTTCACCTTGTATCCGTGTGAGTTAATTCTCCTAATAAACTCCCTTTCATATATGCATATATCATATTAGCATTGCACCTCTAAAGAACCCTAATACAATATTTTATTTAATGTGTTAATTACATCCCATATGCTAGGACTTATATTCAGTAATTTTAAGTGACCTGTCCTGTAAACAAATGTATTCATAACTACTGATCTTAAAGACATCAAGTGTATTCTATACACTGTACTTTATTGAATGGAAGAAAAAAATGCATAAATATCTAACACTGTGACATCTATATCTAATGGTTCACTTTGTTTACATTGAATAAAGATCTATAAATTACATTTTAACGTTTGGACCATTCTTCAAATGACAAAATATATGTTTTCTATTATCTCTTCTTAGTATATAATTTTTCCCCTTGTTCTAAAGATTCTTGAGGTCAAGTAAAAAAAATAAGTCAGAATGATGGATTTGATGGCTGTGTGGGGGAAGACATAAGTTGAAGCTGGGAAATGTGGATGGGATAAATTTAGAAACTTAATCCTGTTTGTGATCTCTTAAAAAATCAAGGGAAACTTGGCAGCTTCACAGAATGACACCATGCATAAAAAGACTTTGAAATGGCTTTCTCAGAACCACTAGTATGAAATATAAAGAAATGTGAGTGGATACAGTTTGCATACATAAGTGAAAAGGAAGCAATATTTTGGGGCCAAAAATTTTAATAACCCATGTGTCAACTCTTTCTCTAAACATTCATTGCACAGCACTAAAATGTGAAAGATCATTTTCTGTTTTATTTATGAACTCTCATTAAGCATATAATTTGCATACTTACTGTCACCAAAAAAAAAAAAAAAAAAAAAAAGCCCTCTGGGACAGCTACAGCAGTGTGAGTCAGAATAGCTATACTGGAGCCTCTGATGCCCTCTTTGACATTACACAGCCTTCCACATTCACTATTGATGTGAAATCCTAAGATATACAGCAACAAGTGCCATTTCATTTTTGGGCTGGATATCATGAACTTTATTCAGGAGCAGTGGTAGAGGACTGTGGATTAATGAGCAGCATATGTGAAGTGGTAAGCACTGACAACATTAAGACTGAGTGTGCAAAAGTTCTAAAATGAAAAGAGATAGATTCCAATTGGTTAAATAAATGCTGGTGAAATTTCATATTCTTAGATACAGTATTTCACTTTTTATTCCCCTCCACAAACTATCAGACCATGATTTGCCCTTATTTGTCAAGGGTAAATTTTTGTATGCTCCTGTATTGAAGATTTGCCTAAAACACCTTTATCAGTATAGATCTTAATTATGTCTTTACCATCTTTGCAGTCTGATTTTTTAAAATTATTGTACTTTTTTATGAGCCTTTGGTGCTCTCAGTGTTATACAAAAATAAACATCAGACATATAAGCATTGATAATTATATTCTTTGTTTAAAAAACATAGTGACAGGAATAGAATGAAATGAAGGGCATCTGAAATTTATAGGGTTCGTGTGAGAAAAATAGGAATAAAAACATGATTTTCTTTTTTTAACTTTTATTTTGTGTTTGGAGGTACATTTGCACGTTTGTTATATAGGAAAACTCATGTCACAGGAGTTTGTTGTACAGATTATTTCATTACTCAGGTACTACGCCTAGTACCCAATAGTTGTTTTGTTCTGTTCTTATCCCACCTCCCACCCTCTGCCCTCAGGTAGGGCCCAGTGTCTGTAGTTCCCTTATTTATGTTAATGAGTTTTCACCATTTAGCTCCCACTTATAAGTGAAGACATGTGATATTTGGTTGCCTGTTCCTGAGTGAGTTTGCTAAGGATAATGGCCTCCAGCTACATCTATGTTCTCACAAATCACGTAGACCAAGGAAACAGAATACAGAGCCTAGAAGTAAGACTGCACACCTACAATCATCTAATCTTTGACAAAAACAAGCAATGGGGAGAAGACTCTCTATTCCATAAATGGTGTTGGGTAACTGGCTAGCCATATACAAAAGATTGAAACTGGACCCTTTCCTTACACCACATACAAAAATCAATTCAAAATGGATTAAAGACTTAAACATGAAACCCAAAACTATAAAAACCCTGGAAGACAATCTAGGCAATACCATTCTGGGCATAGCAACAGGCAAAGATTTTATGACAAAGACACCAAAAGCGATCACAACAAAAGGAAAAATTGACAAGTGGAATCTAACTGCTCTTAAGAATCCCTGCACAGCAAAATAAACTATTAACAGACTAAACAGGAAAACTACAGAATGAGAGAAAATATTTGCAATCTATGCATCTGACAAAGGTCTGATATCCAGCATCTATCAAGAACTTAACAAAAATTTACAAGACAAAACAACCTCATTAAAAAGTAGGCAAATACATGAACAGACACTTTTCTAAAGAAGACATACACTTGGCCAACAAGCACATGACAAAAAGCTCAGTCTCACTTATTAGAGGAATGAAAATCAAAAGTACGAGATACCATCTTACACCACTCTGAATGGCTATTATGAAAAACTCAAAAATAACAGATGCTGGTAAGGTTGAAGGGAAAAAGATACACTTACACTGTCGGTGAGAGTATAAATTAGTATTTACATTAGTTCATTTATGTCATCATTGTGGAAAGCAGTAAGGCAATTTCTCAAAGAGCTGAAAACAGGACTACCATTCAACCCAGCAGTCCCACTACTGGGTATATACACAAATGAATACAAATAATTCTATCATAATGACACATGCATTTTCACTCATGCACACATGAATATACATACCATAAAGGTACACGAATGCTCATTGCAGCACTATTCACAATAGCAAAGACATGGAACCAACCTCACTGCTCTTTAGTGACAGACTGGATAAGAAATGTGGTACACATATACCATGAAATATTATGCAGTCTGATTTTAACTTAACCATCACATGAACACAGGCTATTTCTTATTACTTTCCTGTGTGTTTGCAGTCAAACCTGTACAATATTTTCATGTTTTTCTAAAATGTGTTTTTTCTCTTAATGTTCTTATGACAAGATATACTACAGAAAAATAAAACACTGTTTTACTTCTAATATCTAAACAGGTATTCTACTATTCCTTTGATTATTTCAGAAGATAAACTCACATAAACCTGTCTTTATTTTTAGTTTTCATGTACAATTAAAAAGCACTGTAAACACTCTCAATAGCCAAAATCCATTCACTGGGAGGAGGTACATAAAATTGGTCTCACAGTTGAACAAACGACCAACCGTTGAATACAAACATTAAAAAATTTATGTCAACATGTTGTTACTCAGCAGCCACATAATTTGGTGCCATAATTGTCAAGTGAAATAAAGAAACGGAACACATACAATATAATTTCTTTAATTGAAGGAAAAAAGTTGTAGACAAATGCAGGGAAGAAGTCCTGGATATATATAATATAAATTGATTTTATATAAATAAATGTTATTTTGCACCATAGTAAAGACCAAGAGAGTCACTCTCTACTGACTTTCGGGTTATTTTCCCAAATAGTTTGAGATGGAATGTTCTAAAGACAGTTTGCTGGAGATAAGAGTAGCACATGTGGAGCAAGGATGGCTGAATAACTAACTCAACACCAACACTTGCTAGTTCCATCACCTTGGACGAATAGCTCGACCTCTGGTTGTCTCAGTTGTCTCATGTGAAAATTGAGGATAATTATTATGCCTCTCAAGGTCTGTGTTCTTGATGAAATGAGTTGCTGCATCCAAAATACTGTCCGGCACGTATTAAGAGTTAAATGTTTTTAGTGAGCTACATGAAAATAGCTATTGACAGGTGAATAATAAGCATCTAGTGATTTCTGCATTTCTCAAGGTCGAAATATTCAGCTATTTTCATTTCTGCTAAAAATATACACACATAAAAAGCTTTGTAAATGACTATTGCAAAAATACTTTAGTATATATTTTCCCTGATGTATATGTTCCACATGTATTTTCAAATTATTTGAATGTCATTATTTTTTTTCTAAGCATGGTTAAGTGACTATGACAGATACATATTATCATGCTTGAAGCAATACATGATATTGCATGGACATATATAAGCTGAAAATGAGCCCAGTGTGACTCAGAACAATTATATTTTCAAAGAAGACTAATTACGACTTAAGGGATGAAAAATATTATAATCTATGCACTTATGCAGTTTGAAACTGAATCTAATTAGAAATTGTCTTTTCTATGACCTCTTCTTGGTTACATAAAGCTAATTATTCCATCTGTGAAAACTTGTAAAAATATAATGTATTCCGGAAAGCTCATGGAAAGCTGAAATATTGAGCTCAACTAAGCCCAGCTTCTCATAGAGAAAAACAGATGGCAATTAATATAATGTCTCCATTTTTAGAAAAATATTGAGTAGGCGTGGCCAAAATGATATATCATAGACTTAGAATTTGTGGTGATCAGAGAGTTCCAAACCTTTCCCAAAACAAAGAAAAACAGAAAAACTTAAAGGTTTTGAAAATGCTACTAAAAAATAAGAATAAGAGTTTCTCTTCATCAATTTAAAAAACACATCTTACCTCTCCTCTTGGGAAGTGAACACATGAAGCAAGCAAATACTATAAAGCCTTCGTGTGAAACAAATAGGAACACATGGCTCTGGGGGACTGGAGTGGTAATATTAAAATGGGGAAGTAGTTAGAGAATATTACCTATCTTTCTTCTAATTTGAGAGATTCTTTATAAAAAGGAAAAAAAAAAGAAGGAAGCCACAAAGTGTCTATAAACAGTCCCCTTTCATTCCAAAAGCACCTCTGTAGTACCATATAGAGGAGTTAACATGGAGAGTTAGTGGCAGATTTTACACTATGTGGTGAAGTCTATTTTAAAAAATGATACTAACATTGTCTCAATGCTCATTTCAAAAAGGTACTCTGTATTTTTGTGAATTTATTTAAATCTTGTCTGTGTAGT
This sequence comes from Homo sapiens, assembly GCF_000001405.40. Lineage (NCBI taxonomy): Eukaryota > Metazoa > Chordata > Mammalia > Primates > Hominidae > Homo > Homo sapiens. The sequence continues at coordinate 66,586,771 of NC_000018.10, forward strand.
TAAACACAGAAGCAAGAAAATTAATATTAGAACAATGTTAAGAAAAAATAAATCCCCTTCTTGAATTGTTGTGGCTGGAATATCTTTTGGAATGCGTATTACCTATTGTCTTTATTCCCACTTCCATGCCTATCCTTTTATTTAATCTATTTTTATCTTATATTAACATTTTAATTTTATTAGTTAGTTACAATATGATTTTAGTCTTAAAAGAAATTATTTGGATCTTCTAATCAGTGCTTAGAAGCACCTGCATTACCAGGACATTGAAATAATTGTTCTGTTTCTCCATCAAACACCCTAGATCCATGACCTTCTATTGCCTTCTTGAAGGTGATATTTCATCCCAGCACTCTGACTAATCCTGCTCTTCAGCAAAGGACAATATAAGTAAGAGAATCAATAATAACATGGAGGCAGAATTGACAAAACTTAATGACCAACTGGATGTCAAAAGAAATTGCCTGTGTTAGGAGTGTCAAATGAGAGTTGGGAAACGCAGAGGTTAAGATACCTTCAAAAATCACAAGTGACAATGCTAACTGGTGCTGGTTACTCCAGACTCAGAAGGAACTGCGATTGCTATCATGATATTCTTCCTTCCACTCCATCACTCTAAGAAAAGCTTAGGTTCAGATTTTTAAGACCTCATAAACTGTCCCTAAATTCTGAATGACTAATCGGATGAAATGGCTATGACTGGTATATAAAACAAATAAAAAAAAGAAGAACTAAAATGTTTTGGTTACTGTGGTAGACATATAATTGTTTACCAATATGTCTCTTGCAATTGCACAAGGTTACATGACTGGTTTTACTAACAAGATATGAGTAAAAGTGATGTACACCATTTTCGAACTGAAACACTGAAAGGCCTATGAATAATTGTCTCGTCTTTATTGCTTCCTAGTTTGGCAATCAGTAGTTGAAGGATGGTGGAGCCTCTACCAAGCCTGCGTCACTGAGTGACTGTGAAACTTGGATACACTTCCCCCACTAACTTCCACCTGATGTTTGTGGTAGGAGGTTGCTGAGAAATGGAAGGTTAATTGGTTACTGTAATAGCCTAGCTCCCCGACTAACAAAATCAACTGTGTCTCTAATGCCATAATGGTACTCATCTGTTCTCTTAGTAATTTGTCTCATAATTCAATGGTACAGTAAATATTATATTCATTTCAAAAGAGAAGAAAGATCAAGGTGAGCTTGTACAACAACTCCTCAAAAAATGTCATTTTGTTGAATTTCATTTCAGTGTAATATTGATGAGAAAAAAGTTGATTCACTGCCAGAGCCACTATCTGTGTTGAGTCTGCACATTCCCCCCATGTCTGCATGGGATTATCTGGATCCTCCAGTCACTTCCCACTTCCCAAAGCTGTGCACATCACGCTGGTTGTTCATCTACAAGGCCCCAGTCTGAGTGAGTGTGACCATGTGAGGGTGATCCTGCAATGGGATGGCACCCTGTCTAGGGTTGGTTCCCACCAATCTCCCTGGGTTTCTGGGATAGGCTCCTGTCACCCATGGCCCTGAACTGGAATAACCAGGTTGGAAAATAAACGAATACAAATTATTGTAAAATGAAGATTTGTAAAGTACATGATCATCATACAAATGCAGGACAATAAACTATGCTGGGTAGGAAAGAGTTCAGCGAGCCAGCTGTTATTTGTTAATTCTTGTGTTTGAACTTCATAGTGGCCAGAGGTGATCCTGACAATCTTTGTTTTGCCAACATTCATTTCTTGATTTAACCCATCACCACAACTGCCAGTCACTCACTGATTCGCCCAAAATTGGGTAAATAATGATCTTACTCATTTTTACTAATCATATATATCTATATCTATATCTATATATATATAGATACAGCTCAGATTTATTTCAGTGTTTAATATTAGAAATGTTTTGGTCCTTATTTATAAGTTTAGTGAAGTTTTTGTTACCAGAAATATGTCATAGGGACTAAACTCTCCTTTATCTCAATTAGCCTCTGATAAAATTGGTTTTATTACACAGTGTTTCACTTAAAGTTACAGTTTGAAGACTGAAGTGGAATATATGCAGATACACCACTAAACTACTGATTAGGGAATCATACATCCCAGGCTTCTTTTGATGATTAATGAATTAACAGCTTTTTAGAAAGCAGAGAATAAACAAATAATGCTTCCTACTTCCAACAATAATAACAACACAAGAAAAAATTTAAAAAGTAAAAATAAAAATCTTTAAAGGTTGATGAATAAGGTAGACTGAAAATTTCATGAACCTTCAAATAAATCATGATGGTTTAACAAAACCACCAATTACCATACATGTAGAGTGGGAAATTCCATAGTCATAAAATTATGCAAAGACTATTTTTTCCTAAAACATTGTTCAGAATAATGATCAAACATTATGTTAGTTAACCATGTTTATCACGTAAATTATATTTGACAAATTGAATGAATATACATATTTGAATATATATACATATATATATATACACACATATATATATATATCTGTAAAGGCAACATGAAGGATTACATATTTTTCTTCGAACCAACAGTGTATTTCATTTTCCCAAGAATTTCTAACAGTATTTATTTCTTTGTTCTTATGCTTTCATTAAGAAGATATAGTTTCACTTTGCACTTGTTGAAACTCTTTTTAGCCACTGCTTAGTATAGTAAATAAACCATTGTATTCAATTTGACAGTTTTTGCTGATGTTGTGATAGTAGCTACATAATACCTAGACAAACATATCATCCAAATGTTCCTTTCTCCAATTATCAGTTGTCCTTTCAGCACATCTCTCTATAACTGTAATATCTATAAATTTACTCTACTATCAAAAATAATACTTAGTAAGCACCACTGCCAAATGGTATAGAAAGTACTATTTTGTTATGGAAAAGATATAATATAAACATGATTTTATAAAACACAATCCTTCGTGAATGGAAAAAGAAAACTAAAGTCATGCACTTTGTTAATTTGCCTTTCTTTATGTATATATATGTTTGTGTTGTGTAGAATCAGTACAAAATCTAAAAATTAATATAATTATATCACAGAACCACATAAATCTGATTCACATGAACTGAGTGAAATATAAAAATCATTTGATCCAGGCCTGCAAAAGCACTTTATTTGACAATAGCAGTAATTATGACTTTAACAAATGAACAAATATGACAAAACTATTATTATTTTGTTAGACCTCATTATATTTAGTTTAAAATTTTATTGTGAATGTGGAGAATACCTCAATCTTTAAATAAATATGTAGACAAATAAGGGTTAGTTTGATCCCTCAATTTCAGGGAAATTGTTTCTACAGAAACACAGAATCATTTCAAAAGCTTGACAAAACAGATAATCCCACTCCACAGCTACTGATTCATGAGCTGGGTATTTTTTTTAACAAGCCTCAAAGATGACTTTACGGTAAATATTTTCAGGAAATATCATCACCATCATCATCTTGTCAACCATACTGAGTGTTTACTCTGTGATGATTACTATGCAAAGATAATGGCATTCCTTAATTGACTTGTCTTACAATAATTCTATAGTATATGTTCTATTATGTTGCTATTTTATAAATGCAGATACTGAGCATATTGAAGTTAAGTAACTTGTCTTAGCCATAAAGCAATTGGTGGGATTGGAATTAAGACAAAGAATTTTGCTTTCTTTAGAGCTGGTACCTTTAACCAATGTCTTTGCAGAAGCCATTTTCTGGAATACGTATATCTTTAAAAAAAAAAAAAGAAAATGCATGTAGAAGTTGGTTAACACTTATTTATAGAACAGTGTTTTTCAAACTTTTCATAATTTATTCTCCTATCAGAAAGAAATACTGCTGGTGAACCCCAATATTTGTATATGTATTTATATACTAATGATTCACAAACACAAATGTTATCACTATGTAAAGTATTTCCTAAAATGAACTCAAAATTGAAATGCAAAAGAATGAAGTAAAGCATAAATATAAATGAAATTTCTCATATTTTTCCATAGTTCATTTAAAAGCATGGTGAGCCTGCTGTGTTATATAAACACTTCCTTGCAGACTTCCTTGTAAGATGAAGGAGCATGGCATAATCATGTTGGATTTTGCGGGTCTGTATCTTCCACCTAAGCCTGTTTGGGGTCTATCATTTTCCCTTTCTTCCTCAAGAGGATAATCAGCAGTGATTTTTTTTATGTATTACTTTTTAAGTTCTCATTTTGTAACATTAAGTCAATGTTGACCCGTAAGTAGAATCTGCATAAAATGTAATGATTTGTACCTCCATGATACCATAGTTTCATGACACTAGTCAAGATTCTTAAACAATCTCAGATTGAGTATCTTCAGCTGCAAGACGATTTAATAAATGTAACCTCTAGATCTTCTGGATAAATCCCATTAAAAATAACAGAAACTGTAGTTAGAATATATCAAGTGTTTAATAAAGGTCCTCATGTCATATAAACATGAGATTTATTTAAATACTTATAATGTCTGACTTCTTTAAATAAATGCTTATTAATCAGTTCCTGGAGTGCATAAGATAATCACTGGTAATCACCCATTGCTACAAGAATCATCAAAGGAGCAGCTCTCAATATAAATGCTATTTAAGCCATGCAGGAGAGGGCTCCTTCCAAGTCAGAACGATTGAAAACGGGAAATATTTGCTATGATCATTTACAAATGATTTTAGGTGTATACACCGAAGATTAGTGTGCACAGTTTCTATTATGTAAAATTTTCAGAGTTGGCAGTAGACAACAGTACAAATCTATCATAAATACTTATAAAAACTAAGAGAGTTTAGATAGAATTTTAATTTAGCAGAAGGTTAAAATTCTTACCTTATATTGTCACTGTCACGTCCGAATATAGATTTTGAAAATCATTGATAATCTAGCAACTTACAAGTGGAATTCTATTTACCTACTTTCCTATTTACTTTAATGGAAAAAACATTCCTGAAAAGTCATATTGGTATTTGAGGAAAATTAAATCTTGGGGTTCTATTTTGAAGACATTTTTTGCACATTCTGGACATAATATCTTCAGATTATGTGGCTTCAGTGAGTATCTGCCTACTGCATCACAAAACAGTCTAAGCAATCCATATTTATCTCTTTTCTAATCTCCAGACCTACAGAACTACTTTCCACGAGGCATTTCAAAGTGCATACTGAAATTCTTACTTTCTATTCACTCTTCCACCTAATCGTTATGTTCCTTCTTTCCCTTAATGAAATCAGCATCCTGTTGAAAGCTCACACTTGAATAAAAGGTTCTTCTCTAATGTTTCCTTCAGCTAACCTCCCATATACATACATTTGAGCATGAAGCCTGACTAGAGATGAACTATGATTAATTCTATGTCTTAAATCCCTCAAGTAAATTCATTTACCTCCTATTACCTCCAAGTTCTTAATTCATAATAATTTTAAAATCTTTATTTTGTACATATTCAAATATGAACAAATAATTGTACATATTTATGGGATACAGAGTGATATTTTGATACATGTATTCAATGTGTGATGATAAAATCAGGGTAATTAGGACAACAATCACCTCAAACATTTATCTTTGTGTGTATGTGTTAGGAACATTCTGAATCCTCTCCTAGCTTTTTAAAAAGTATAAATTAAATTATTGTTAACCATATTCACTGTACAGTGCTATAGAAAAGACGAATTTGTTCCTCCTCTCTAGCCATAACTTTATATCTATTAAACAATCTTTCCCCATTTCCTCTTCTTCCATTCTTTCCTTTCTCTAATAATCATAATTCTTCACTCTATTTCTGTTAGCTTAATTTTATTCTAGCTTTCAAATAACAGTTAGAACTTGCAGTGTTTATCTTTCTGTGCCTGACCTATTTCACTTAAAGTAATGCAGTCCAGGTTCATCCATGTTGCTGTGAATGATAGAATTTCATTCTTTTCTATGGCTGAATAGTATTTCATTGTGTATATACACCACATTTTATTTATTCTTTTATTTCTTGATGGACACTTAGTTTTCTTCCATATATTGGCTATTGTGAATTGCAATACATATATTGCAATACACATTGGAATGCAGATATATTTTCAATATACTGATGTTCTTTCATTTCAATAAATACCCAGTAGTGAGATTGCTGAATCATATATTACTTCTATCTAGTTCTATTTTTAGTTTTTGGAGAAACCTTCATACTGTTTTACATAATGGCTGTACTATTTTACCTTCTCAGCAACAATGAAGGAGTTCCATTTTCTCCACATTCACAACAGTATTTTTTTTTAGACTTTTTGATAATGGACATTCTAACTGGGGTGAAATAATATCTCATTGTGATTTTGATTTGCATTTCCCTGATGATTAGTGATGTTGAAAATTTTTCCATATACTTATTGGCCTTAGTTCATAAATTCTTGTTATAAATTGTTTATAATAACAGCAAAATAAATAGGAATTGTATTTTTGAAAGTAACCAATAATGTTTCTGGAGTGTTAAATACTGAAAGTCATTTTATTTTCAATCTCACATCTGTGACTCTATCTTAAAGAAATAAATTGATATCTAAAATGTTCTTATACAAAAAAATTTATCAATGTATTATTTATTGTGTCTAAACTTAAAACCTAATTGCTGAGATAAGCCATGTACTTTTTGACATATAAGTTCTCTTAAGTGTTTAAAGATGTTGGATAGGATTATGGCAAAGATATTTGGAGACTTGCATAGTAGAAAAACTTAGTAGTCGAAAAAACCTCAGGGTATCAAGAAAGTAGAGTTCTACATCACATTGTATTAAAAAATAAACTAGTGTTAACAGATGAACACAAAAATATATATATTTTCTAATTTGTCACTGAAAGAGACCACAACATAAAGAATAATTCTGGTTATTTCTTCCACTAATGTACACCATAAGTTTCCAATTCTGATCTTTTATATCGGCCTTCAATTAAGAAAAATTAATAATTTGCTGTATAGCTGAAGAGAAGTTTTAGGAGTGAATCTCAGGAAACAGAAATAATGAATTGAAGGGTAACTGGAGGTTAAGAATGAAGTTCCACAATTCAAAGTAGTCTTTCAAAGAAGTTGCTGAGAGAGGGAAAACAGAGAGTTGGGATGATAGCAATGAGAGGTTTGGAGTTAATGAGGATTTTTTAGAAGATAGATAATGTGCTGAATGAAAATGGGCTAAATGCCCCACTTTTTAAAGACCCAACTGTGTGCTGAATTAAAAATATCTGTTTCATGTACAATGACACCCACAGGCTCAAAGTAGAGGAATGGAGAAAGATCTATGAAGCAAACAGAAAACAAGAAAGAGCAGGAGCTACTATTCTTCTTTCAGACAAAACAGACAACTATCAAAAACGACAAAAATCGGCATTACATAATGATAAAGGGTTCAATTCAACAAGAAGACTTAATTATACTAAATATATATGCACCCAACACTGGAGAACCAAGATTTAGAAACCAAGGTATTGAAGACCTACGAAGAAACTTAGATAACCACACAATCATAATTGGGAGACTTTAACACCCCAATGACAGTATCAGACACACTAATGAGTTAGAAAACTAATAAAGATATTCAGAACCTAAACTTGACACTTTACCAAATGGAACTAACAGACAACTACAGAGCAGTCCATCAAACAACGGTAGAATATACATTCTTCTTATGTACGTATGGCACATGCTCTAAAATCAACCACACACTTGGCCATAAAGCAATTCTCAACATGTTCAAAAAGCCCAAAGTCATACGAATCACAGTCTTGGAACACAGTGCAATAACAATAAAAATAAATAACCCAAATGTCCAACAATGATACACTGGATTAAGAAAATGTGGCACATATACACCATGGAATACTATGCAGCCATAAAAAATTATGAGTTCATGTCCTTTGTAGGGACATGGATGAAATTGGAAATCATCATTCTCAGTAAACTATCGCAAGAACAAAAAACCAAACACTGCATATTCTCACTCATAGGTGGGAATTGAACAATGAGAACACATGGACACAGGAAGGGGAACATCACACTCTGGGGACTGTTGTGGGGTGGGGGGAGGGGGGAGGGATAGCATTGGGAGATATACCTAATGCTAGATAACGAGTTAGTGGGTGCAGCGCACCAGCATGGCACATGTATACATATGTAACTAACCTGCATATTGTGCACATGTACCCTAAAACTTAAAGTATAATAATAATAAATAAAATTAAATTAAAAAAAAAAGAAAATCACTCAAACCATACAGTTACATGGAAATTAAACAAATTGCTCCTGAACGACCTTCAGGTCAACAATGAAATTAAGGCAGAAAGGAAGAAGTTCTTTGAAACTAATGAAAATATAGACACAACATACCAGAATCTCTGGAACACTGCTAAAGCAGTGTTAAGAGGAAAGTTTATTAGTCTTAAATGTCCATATCAAAAAGTTAGAAAGATCTTTACTTAATAACGTAACATCACACCTAGAGGAAATACAAAAACAAGAGCAAACCAACCCAGAGTTAACATAAAAAATAGCTAGCTGAGCTGAAAGAAATGGAGACATGAAAAACACACATAACATCAACAAAACCAAAGTTGTTCTTTGAAAGAATAAATAAGATTAGTATAGTACTAGAAGACTAATAAAGAAAAAAAAAAGGATCCAAATAAACACAACTGGAAATGTCCAAGGGGACATTACCACCGGCCCCACAGAAAAAAAAAAAAAAAAAAAAAACCTGAGAGACTCTATGCACACATAGTAGAAAACCTAGAAGACATTGATAAATTCCTGGAAACATACAACCACCCAAGACTGAATCAGGAAGAAACTGAAAGAGATTAATAGTGAGTTCCAAAATTGAATCAGTAATAAAAAACCTACCCAAAAGGAAAAGCCTTGGACTAGACGAATTCACAGCCAAATTATACCAGATACTATAAAGAAGACGGGGTATCAATTTTACTGAAACTATTTCAAAAATTTGAGGAGGATGGACTCCTTTCTAACTCGTTCTATAAGGCCGGCATCATTCTAATACCAAAATCTGTCAGAGACTCAATAGCAGAAGAAAACTTCAGGCCAATATCCTGGTGAACATAGATTCAAAAGTCCTCAACAAAATACTAACAAACCAAATACAGCAACATATCAAATTCAATCCATCATGATAAGATTACCTTGTTTCCTGGGATGCAAGATTAGTTTAACATATGTAAATAAATAAATGTGATTCATAACATAAGCAGAACTAGAAACAAAAATCACATGATCATGTCCATACACACAGAAAAGCTTCTGATAACATTTAATATCTCTTCATATTAAAAACCCTGAAAAAAAGGCATAAAAGGGACATACCTGAAATATAATAAGAGCCATCTATGACAAATTCACAGCAAACATGATACTGAATGGGCAAGCGCTGGAAACATTTCCCTTGAGAACTGGAACAAGACAAGGATGCTGACTCTCACCACTCCTATTTAATATAGCTGTGGAAGTCCTAACCAGAGAAATAAGTCAAGATACAGAATTAAAAGGCAAACATATAGGAAGAGATAATGTCAAAATATCTCTCTTCACAGATAATATGATTCTATACCTAGAAAAGTCTGCCCAGAGGTTCCTAGATCTCATTAAAATTTCAACAAAGTTTTGGGATACAATATCAAGGTACAAAAATCAGTAACATTTCTATATACTGAGAACGTCCATGCTGAGAGCCAAATCAAGACCACAATCCCACTCAAATAGCCACAAATAGAATAAAATACCTAGGAACACAGCTAGTCAGGGAGGTGTAATTTCTCTATAATGAGAGTTACAAAAGTTACTGAAAATCAAAGAGGACACAAATAAATGAAAAAACATTCCATGCTCATGGATAGGATTAATCAATATTGTTAAAATGACCATAATCCTCAAGGAATTTACAGTTTCAATGCTATTTTTATCAAACTACCAAAGACATTCATCACAAAATTAAAAAAAATCATACTAGGCCGGGCGCGGTGGCTCACGCCTGTAGTCCCAGCACTTTGGGAGGCCGAGGCGGGCGGATCACGAGGTCAGGAGATCGAGACCATCCCGGCTAAAACGGTGAAACCCCGTCTCTACTAAAAATACAAAAAATTAGCCGGGCGTAGTGGCGGGCGCCTGTAGTCCCAGCTACTTGGGAGGCTGAGGCAGGAGAATGGCGTTAACCCGGGAGGCGGAGCTTGCAGTGAGCCGAGATCCCGCCACTGCACTCCAGCCTGGGCGACAGAGCGAGACTCCATCTCAAAAAAAAAAAAAAAAAAAAATCATACTAATGTTCACAGGAAACCACAAAAGAGCCCAAAGAGCCAAAGCAATCTTAAGTTAAAAAAAAAAAAAAAAAGCTGGAAGAACCACACTACCTGACTTAAAAGTGTACTACAAGGCTACAGTAATTAAAACAGTATGGTACTGGTACAAAAACAGACTCATAGACCAACAGAACTGGTTAGAGAACCTAGAGGCTGCATATCCACAACCATCTGATCTTCGATGAAGCCATCCATAATAAGCAATGGGGAAAGGACTCCTTTTAAATAAGTGGTGCTGGGATAACTGGCTAGGCATATTCAGAAGATTTAAACTGGACCCCTTCCTTCCACCATATAAAAAAATCAGTACAGATTAAATACTTAAATGTAAATCCTACAACTATAAACACCCTAGGAGAAAACCTAGGAAATACTATTCTGGACATAGGCCCTGGCAAAGATTCCATAACAGACTCCAAAAGTGATTGGAACAAAAATTAAAATTGACATGTGGGACCTAATCAAACTAAAGAGCTTCTGCACAGCAAAAGAAAGTATCAACGGAGCAAACAGACAACACACAGAATCAGAGAAAATATTTGCAAACTATTCATCCGACAAATCCAGAATCTATAAGGTACTTAAACAAATCAGCAAGCAAAAAACAAACAACCCCATTTAAACATGGGCAAAAGATATGAACAGAGGCTTCTCAAAAGAAGACATGCACACAGCCAACAAGCCTATTAAAAAATGAGAACACCTGGACACAAGAAGGGGAACATCACACACCTGGGCCTGTCATGGGGTGGGAGGAAGGGGGAAGGATAGCATTAGGAGATATACCTAATGTAAATGACGAGTTAATGGGTGCAGCACACCAACATGGCACATGTATACATATGTAACAAATCTGCACGTGGTGCACATGTACCCTAGAACTTACAGTATAAAAAAAAATATTCCAAATATCACTAATCATTAGAGAAATGCAAATCAAGGTCACAATGATATACCATCTCACGCCAGTCAGAATGGCTATTACTATGTCAGAATATAACAGATGCTGGCAAATTTGCATAGAAAAGGGAATTCTTACACACTGCTGATGTGAATGTAAATTAGTTCAGCCACTATGAAAAGCAGTTTGGAGATATCTCAAAGATCTTAGAACTACCACTCAACTCGGCAACCCTAGTAGTGGATTATATCACTACCATTCAACTCAGCAATCCTAGTAGTGGATTATTAACTATATATTTGAAGGAATATATAGTTCTACCATAAAGATATATGCACAAATATGTTCATCACAGCACTTTTCACAATAGGAAAGACATGGAATCAACCTGGATGCTCATCAACAATGGACATAATAAGGAAATCTGACACATTTACACAATGGAATACTATACAGCCATAAAAATGAGATCATGTCCTTTGCCCCAATAGGATGGAACTGGAGGCCATTATCTCAAGCAAACTAATGCAAGAACAGAAAATCAAATACTGCATGTTCTCACTTATAAGTGGAAAACTTAACATTGAGTACACATGGACAGCACAGTAATAGACACTGGGGCCTAACCTACTTCAGGGTGGGGTGAGGAGAGGGCGAGAATCAAAAAACTATCTGTCAGGTAGTATTATCACTACCTGGGTGATGATATAATTTGTACACTAAACCGCAGCAACATGCAATTTACACATGTAACAAGCTAGCACATGTACCCCCTGAAACTCAGAGTTAGAAAGTAAAAATTTAATTGAAGCTATAATAAAATATAGAATACTAAAATGGAAAGTACACTTCAAAGACATGCTATAAAAGGTAAATAAGAATATATTATTATTTTGATACAAAATATTTTGGAATTCAATCTCAAGATAAGAATTATTTTAGTTTCAAATTGTATAATATAAAATTGAATGTTTAGCCTCTTTCATAAAGGATATAATGTAAAAAATTGTATCACTTGTTTTATATTTATTTTTTATATTTTCTGCATATTAACTTAAATTCATATTTGTAAAACTTTATTTTGTTGAGTTTATTCAGAGTATTTAATCATGAAAAGGTATTGTCAACATAAAACGTGGTGCCAGATGGACTAGGTTAGCACAATGTTTAATGCTATTATTGCATATTTTGGGGATTTTTTTTAATTGTCTGCTATGAGCTGTGTATGAAGAATGACTAAGTAATATTCAGCCAGCACGGAAAGAGAAATATCACATTTTGTCATCTTTATGTGGAATCTAAAACAATGGAACTCATAGAGGCATAAAGTAGACTGGTATTTACAGAGGCTGGTGGGGTGGGGCAGATGAGGAAATGAAGGTCAAATCTCAGACAGGAGGAGTATGTTTCACGTTTCAGAAGGGGTTCTATTAGACAGTGTGGCGAATACAGTTAATAGTAGAGTATTCTACATTTCAAAATTCCTAAGAGAGCAAAGTTTAAATGTTCTCACCACAAAAAATGTTAAATATTTGAGGTGATGGATATATTAACTAGCCTGATTTAATCATTCCACATTGTTTTCATGAATTCTAACATCAGTTTATGTCTCATAAATTTATTCAATTATAAATTGTCAATTTTCAATAAAAAATAAATATTGAAAACATCCTATAAACAGATTAATAAATTGTTTTAACATTAATGGCATGAATATAGGATAAATAAATTTCTACTTTTTAATTCCCAAAATGAGAAATTCAAGAATATCACCTTAATTATAAACAAAAATGTGTATGGTATAAAACAAAACAGAAGTGTTTTGAGTTTTTTAAACACAGAAGACAGTAAAGTATACGTCCAAGGGTTGTATGTAATGGGTTAAAAATATGTATCAACTTAAGGAAGGAAAACAGTCATGAACGTTTATGAAACAGTCGTGAATATAGTTAATTCATGTTACAAGCTGGATTTAAAAATAAAGATAGATAGGATATCTTAAGTATGTAAATCCTTTGAAATTTGTGCCAGATAGAATAAACATACTTTCTTTTAGTACTTAAATGTAACAGCATTTAGTATAATCTAAATGCGTGACTGGGATTATTGAATAAATAAATGTGACTTTATTCCTAAAATTTTAAATTATGTGGACTCTGAACCTGCACCAAATTGTCAATAAGTATACAGACAGCTAGAATATGCTGTTGAAAGGGATGATGTTTTATATAAAATAATTCCTTACTTTATTTTTTAAAAATCTGGCAACCCTAAAGTTCTAATGTTTTGTTTCATAATATTTAAGGGTCAGTTAAGTAATGTCTTGCTGAGATTTTTAATATTTAACTCACTCTCTTAAAAGTCTATTGCTTTTTCCTTTTTTATGCACAAAAAAATCTCAATGACATGATTATAATCTCATAAAAATCATATTTGTGAGTTAAGAATTGTATGTTTTAAACACTGGTTTAAAAATGCAATACACACACACGTACACAAAATGACAACATCGCTTTGTATCTTTAAAAATACTTTAAATTAAATTTCATGTAAGTGGTTTTATTAAATCCATATTGTATAAAATGACATGAAAGTTTTATAAATAATTCACATGGTCTTGAAATTATCAAAGGAGTATACACATGCATTCAAAATTATCTGTTAATAGAGAAATGTGTAGCCAGGTACACATATGTGTGTGAAAACATCAATACGCTTATTTATTATTAACCAATAAATTTGGAGTCAAATCCTCATATGCCTACAGGGTTGGGTTATTCTATAAGCATTCGATAAAAGAGAGAAAATAATCAAAAATAAACCAATGTCTTACATAGTCTCCCAAAGAAAAGTGTTATTTAGAAGAAGGGGAATTATATCCACCTGACGAGTGACATTATAGCCCATTTATTTCTCATCAAATACTATGGGGGAAGAGTTACATTTTGCTTTACCAGTTCAAGAGCAATTTCAAGCACTGTCAAGAAGTATTTGCTTAGTGACAAATGACACTACTCTCTTGAAAATTCAGAGATGCATCTATACCTTTTCTCTTTGCCTTTATTATTATTCTAGTTACATTTTATGTTTATCTTTATGTTTAGTAGTATTATCTCTACATCAAGGAAAGTCATATATTCTCCACCAGGCCTTTTTAGGAATAAAATAGATGGCAAACTCTCTGACACAATTTAACTATAAAACAACTTAAAGTCAAAAAAATAGCGACTTCTTTTCTGTGATGTATTTATGATTTGCTCATTTCCACAGGAATGACATTTCTAAATTTTGCACACAGATAAAACTGCCTAGGTTATTTTAAGACATGACTGATGTGCCAAAATTATCCCCACTTTAATACAGTATCTTGCAAATTTGCAAATTTCATTTATCATGAAACTTCTTAGAATTAAAAAACAGCTAAACTGGATCTACTGCTCTGGTATGTTGAGAAACCACTGTCCTAAAATAACATTTCAAATTTCACGTGTTGTGCCAAGGCAGGATTTTTAAAAATGATGTTTTGCTTTAATCTTAAGACATACTTGGATGATTCTGAATATAATTATTGAGTAATTAATGTGACACATTTTGACAAAGGTATGTATTCTAGAGTATGTTTTAAATTCAGACAAGCATTCTCTTAACGAATCATATCAGCATATTCAAGAGGGCAGGCATCATTTGAAAAGGAAATTGATCTGTTACACATTTTGACAGGCTTTAGAGCATTTAGCTGTGTTCTCTCAATTGAAAGGTGGTGAGAGTGGGTAAAAAAAAACGCTGTAAGGGTACAGTTTATCTTGTTTTGTTTTGATTTGATTTTAAAGTGGCAAACATCTTTCTAGTCACTTTTGCAAAGACACTCATTTTGTCAATCAGGGGCTGTCTTCACCATTGATAGAAAGGATTCCTGTGGGATTATTATTACGTTCCATACTTAGTTGTGTTTCAACTTCAATCTGTTTCACCAAAGCAAAGATACAGGTGATAGAAGATCATCGATGTTAAAGGAAATCGTCGTGACAACAAATTTTTCTTATTCACCAGCATGGTTCTCAAACACTTGGTTAGGAGCAATAAATTCTCATGTAAAGAAGGTATATAGAAAGATCAATATCTCCTTTTAAACAGTTTAACACATTTATTCCTAATGCATTACTACTCACTAACATGCTGAATACTGCTATGTAATGTTTTAAACATAACATATATTTAAGAGTACATGCTAAGATCATGAGTGGCAAAAATGATCAGTTGATATTTAGTTATAGATGATATGTATCAGATTATATGTAGCTGTATTAGGAGAAATTCCTGAAAGATGGATCTGGTTTCTTAATAATGCATAGGAGGCATCTGTGCACATCATTTTAAAGCATCTTCAATTTATGATAATTTAATCAAAAATTTTTTTATGTTTCTTGAGGAAATGTACCTTACAAACATTCCTAAGTGAAAAACAAAACAAAACAAAAAATATAAGTAGAAGACATATGCTTTTCGATATATGCAGATGTGTCTGTGTGTGCCTAAAATTATAAATATTTCACTGGAGCCTAAGTAAAGAATTTACTAATGTGTAAGACTGTAAAAATCAGATATTTATATAATGATATGAGCATTTCGTTCACTGTTATAAAGGCTTGGTAAAGTGGAAAACATATGTAAAGGAAAGGAGATCTGGTGGTTTCTAAATGACATAAATTGATTGTTTAAAAATTTTGAATAATTGCAGACAATAATGAAATGCTTATTCCTTTTAAAAATAAATTGTTAGTTATTTTATTTGGTCAATATAAATGTTCACATTACATTGAAATTTAAATTCTTTGAAATCAAAAATTATAGTAAGTAGGCATACTGCTGATAATTACAATATTAAGAATTT
The DNA here is from genome assembly GCF_000001405.40 of Homo sapiens. Classification (NCBI taxonomy): domain Eukaryota; kingdom Metazoa; phylum Chordata; class Mammalia; order Primates; family Hominidae; genus Homo; species Homo sapiens. The sequence continues at coordinate 66,602,940 of NC_000018.10, forward strand.
GAAAAAAGAATATATTAATGCATATAATTTTACTTAATATTGTAACTACATCTAAAACATAAATATATATTACTAAATTTTCAAATATTTTATCTAAATAATGTCTTTCTTACAGATATATTAATTCAACAAATGAATTAATAGAGCTAAAATATAAATTGACATAATCTAAAGAAAACCTTTGCCACTCTATTTAGGTATTTTTTGTTGCTAAATATTTTATGTTTTTATATTTAATAGATTTATTAAATCCCTTTGGTAAACTTATTTTGAAATATTTTATTATAATTAGTTATTCAATTAAAATTGCATGTACCAAATTAGAATTGAAACAATATAAAATGTCTTTTACAGTATGCATTTTCCTAATTTATACTTTTCTTAATTTATACTTTCATATTTGAGAAATTACCTTTTGTGTTATGTATAAATGTTATAATACATATAGGTAAATTAATATGCCTGTACAATTTTAGGCATATATGTGTTTTTATTCATAGCAATGCTAATATTTTAATTTTTTTGGAATTATAATATACTTAAAATTTTTCATATTTATTCTGTATATATTTTTTCTCATATACTTAATGATGACAACTCTATTGTTCATATTACCTGATATACATGGTAAATACATGATAAATAAAAAATAAAACCCTGAACAAAGAAAAAAGTGCAAAGAAAGACATGCAAAGAAAGGTTGATTCATTTATTCTAAGAAACTTGAGAAGTTTTAAATATCCTAACATAGGTGTAACTTCCCCCCAACACCAACAATCTGTATTACAGAGATGGAGAACTGTTCTCACAAATACGTGTTTTGAGAAAGTTCAGTACAAGTACACATCATGGTTTTAAAATTTTTAGAATATTTTCCTTATTTCCTATGTAAATATTTTCCTTAATATTTTTAGAATATTTTCCTAGCAACATTTTGTCATGTACTTTTTGACCTATTGACTCATTAAAGATGATGCATGTAGTTTATAATATGCCTGATTATCACAGTCTTACCTTTGTAACTTCAACTTCTAGAAGTTCTGTGAAAACTGAACAGCAAACTTCGTGTTGGACACATAAGGAAGAGTAGGAAAAACTTTCTTCTTTTTGCTTCACAGTCTTCTCAGCAAACTCTCGATGTGCCCCATTGCCCAGAGTTACAGACGCTTGTGCTTTTAGTACCACAACACTGTCAGTATGTCACTGCTTACTCAATGCTATTTTGGGTTCTCTGAGTAGAGTCATAAACACTGAGCCTTTTGTGCAAAATATCATAAGGGCACTCTGACGCTCGTTCATAGTCTGGAATTAAAATGCAGACAGCTACGCAAGTAGTATGAGCTGATTATCTTTGTTTTTTTTTTTTTTCCCCTAACAACAAGCAAAAACAAAATAAAGTACTTATTGGCCTGAGTTGATAAAGGGAGAATTCAACTTACATACAAGAATTTTGCAAGTAGAGCGGACGTGCCCTCTGTTTGGGGATTAGCTGATGAAACAAATGATCAATTTAAAGCAGACCCAAAACTTACTGAAAAGAGAAATGATTTTCCACTGTGTGTCTATGCCTCATGGCTGTTTCTTAATTCGGTCATTTCTCCTCAGAAATCAAGTAAAGACATAATGAGAGAGAAATGTCTAAACTTTAATAAGTCCTTTTCTTTTCCTTGGTTTATTATTATGTAAAATCTTTTATTTTATTCATGGTTATAATTAGATTTTGATATAAGCTATTATTATTTAACATAAAATACATATGTATTTTCTATGCTGTTTACTCAAGCTGTTATTTACTTAAAAACCATTTTTGAACCAAACTAGAGAAACATTAAAATATTAAAAGTTTCTTAAATTATACCTATATAATAAGAAAGTCTATGTGGGGCAGGATTATTCAAGCATCCTGTTAATTCTGATAGATATTTTGGTCACTATCCTCTTAGCTTTTGAGGAAAGAAATGGCAAAAGCTATATGGGCAGTAAAGTAGGACACTCAAGCACACACATATACACACATGCACATGTGCACACATGCATACACATACATGTGCACACACATACATATGCACACACACGCACAAATGCACATCCTATGAGGTTGTGAATATTAGGAGGAATCAATAATTTATGAACAAATCTTGAAGAGATGAACCTGGGAGAATAGATCTGTGGATAGCAGGAACAGTATAATGTGGAAATATTTTATTTTTTCAGGTAGAAAAAAGCATTCAGCTAGAAAAAAACACTTCTAAGTGTTTCAAGATGTTAGTAAATAGGGAAAAAATAAATTTTACAAAGAACCTCTGAAGTATTCTTATACATTTCCCCCTTCATATTTTTTACAGTATCAAAAAAGGTGGAGATACCTGTTTAAAATATTTATTTACATAATTCACTGTTCTGTCTATGACCTAGTCTAGGATTTCTGTAAGAATCTAACATTTTATGAGATGCCAATTTATATCTTGATGTTTATAAAATATCCAGTTGCACTTAGGATTGAAACCACAGTTTAGAGCCTCAGTGTACCTGTAAACATGATGTCCCAAAGGCTTATTTTAGAGCCTAAGGGAGCAAAGGTGGGTCACAATTTGCTGCCCTGATTATTACAGTACCAATAAAGAGCAATGGCAACTATAGAAACCACAGTGAGACAGGATTAAATTTTCTAAAGAAGGTACAGTGTGAAACTACATGTTTTATGTAGAATATCATTAACAGCAAACTGATTTTATTAAATAGATAATCTATTATCAAACACGTACAGGAACTAGTTGCTGTAAATTGCTTAAGAAATGCATGCCCTTTCTGGAAGAGGATATAAGATGAACAGCCGATAGCCAAGGATCCAGCAAGATTCATCCGCTATGCCACAACCAAGAATGAAGACTTGGAAGTACTTAGGGGACTGGTCATCAGATAAGCTTAGTGATTACTTCTTTTTTTTTTTTTTTTTTTTTGAGATGGAATCTCTCTCTGTCGCCCAGGCTGGAGTGCAGTGGCGCAATCTCGGCTCACTGCAAGCTCCACCTCCCGGGTTCACGCCATTCTCCTGCCTCAGCCTCCCGAGTAGCTGGGACTACAGGCGCCCGCCACCACGCCCTGCTAATTTTTTTGTATTTTTAGTAGAGACGGGGTTTCACCATGTTAGCCAGGATGGTCTCGATCTCCTGACTCGTGATCCGCCCGCCTTGGCCTCCCAAAGTGCTGGGATTACAGGCTTGAGCCACCGTACCCGGCCCAGCTTAATGATTACTTCTACGTCATTTTCTTTATAACAAGAGAAATATATCTGACTAATTTTTCATATATGGGGGGGTAATACATAGTAAATGGAACATGACTGTGTAAGAACAGAAGCTCAAAATTAAATACACTACTATCCATATGTAAGTCAGAGTTATCATACTCAGAGTTATCTGAGGTCCCCACAGCAGTAAACATGTGGCAGGATGGACAATTCCCGAAACACAAGTGATGTTTTATAGCTGCACAGTGACATTCTGGTCTATTTTCACATGCAGTCTGGGGGAATTTCACAGTTATCACCTGCCAGCAGGCTAAGGAACAGAGCTTGAAGTTGCAGAAGCCAGGATTGTATTGAGTTACTCTAAATAAAAATTTGAATTCAAGTATTATAATTCAGAGCCACCAATTTTTTAAACCAGATAATTAAGAAATATATATCTAATGACTAACCGCAGACAAGACTGGCTAATGAAGTTTGAATTTAACTGAACAGGCAGAAATGGAAAGTCAAACATTATGCAAGCTCTGATCTGTCCCTTGAAAATAGACATTTAACCAGAAAGTTTAAGTCTACCTACTTTATATCATAGGCTATACATGTGCCTTCAATTAGAAATTTAGGCCTTGTCCAATCAGGTGTTGTCAGGATAGCATAATCTAAGGACCACATCCTTCTCACATGGTCTGGAAGCATTTTAGTTCTTAAAAATATATTTAAGTTGTTTTGGGAAAAGCTTATAATATGTTAATACAAGAACATTTAAAACAGATATTTACTGTATGCTATCACTATATCAATGAGAAATCTATTGACTAGCAAGCAGATAGCAAAATCAAACAAAATCAAATCCAAAAATGAATAGAATAATGAAGAAATTCAATGTATACATAGAGAAATAAAGTAGGGTTAAGGGTTAGTTGATCCAGTGGCTTCCTACTGCAATCAGTTATCTAGGTTCTTGGGCTCTGTTTGGTTCTCCAACTTTTCCTCAAGGCCCTCAAAAACACTGTCACTTTCGTCTTATTCATCAAAATGATCACTTGTCCATGCATGAACAAAGAATGGCAACAAGAAAAGCTTAAAGTAATTGTCATTCCTGAACCTGAGAGAAAGAGTTAGTTGATAGAAAAACAGATTCATTTCCCCAAATTAGAGTGGAGTGGTTGAATCTAGTTGATAACCAACTAGACGTCCAGTGTTCACTTCAGATATTCATGTAAAATAGCTTTTAAAATGCTGAAAATAAAAATAATAATTTTCTCCATGGATTGCCATTAAATGGCATTCTTTTCCAACAGTCCAATTTGCTGTGTTTTCCATTCTGTTTTTAACATTGAATATATATCACAATGATAAATATGGGGAAATAAAAAAATGCACAATGATAGAACAAACAATAAACAAAATATTCACTAATCTATATACTTCTAACCATGCTAAAATACTTTGTATCAAAATTACACAAATTTTGCTCAGAGTAAAGAAATATTGTCTTGAATATGGCAACAATTTGTATGGTTTGAAGATTTATCTTTTAAATTCTAGTTACAGTAGCCACTTGTCTAATATAATAAAAAATTTTATTGTCATATATATGTCCTTATTTTCTTATTTTTGTATTCATTCTTTTTTCTTTTTCTTTTTATATTTAATTAATTAATTAATTCATTTATTTATTTGTTTGTTTGTTTTTTGAGACGGAGTCTTGCTCGGTCACCCTGGCTGGAGTGCAGTGGGGCGATCTCGGCTCACTGCAAGCTCCGCCTCTTGGGTTCAAGCCATTCTCCTGCCTCAGCCTCCCTAATAGCTGGGAGTACAGGCACCTGCCACCATGCCCGGCTAATTTTTTGTATTTTTAGTAGAGGCGGGGTTTCACCGTGTTAGCCAGGATGGTCTCGATCTCCTGACCTCGTGATCTGCCCGCCTCGGCCTCCCAAAGTTGTTTTGTTTTTATTTTCTTTTGTAAGAAGACTTTTCTCTGGAGCAGTATATTTAAGAAATATATATATGTATGTATATTTGCCAAGCCGCAACATAATCTCCATGACGGAAGAAATCCATTATAGTAATTAACAATGAATAAATGTATAAATAACAAAAAAGGCTCATTACAAGAATAATTTAGTAATTGTCAATATGCAAACAAACAACCCAAAATACTTAAATTCAGACATAAACGTGTAGAGGTATGTCAGCCTTGTTTTCTGTTTATATTACCAGAATTTATTAGAAACATCTCACCTAGGCACCAACCTCTTTGAAACGGTAGATTAACTTTTACTTTTTCTTTCACCAGGACAATATTAATATGAACATTTAATTTCTGGAAGAGTTTCCATGTTTTTATAAAATTTTGGTTACTTCTTAAATTTATAGATCATGCACATCAGCATTATAAACATTCTCTCTGGCATCATTTAGAATTGTAATATTATAAAAGATGTGAAGTTATCTGTCATCTATCATCTCTCTAATCTATCTATGTATCTATCTATAGTCTATCATCACCTATTATGTTTATGCAATGTATTGTTCTACAAGTCATAATGATACAAAGACAAGACTCTGACCAACCACTTATTTGACTACACATGGTTGACCAGCGTCTTGTGTTTCTATCATTATAATCCCTAGCCCAATGTATTACATAAAGTAAATTTTTATTTAATTAAATTTTTATTGAGACGAGAAATCACAGGGTTATTGTAATAATGTAAGGGAGTTACTTTGCATTGTTCTTGACAGATAACAACTCCTGTATTTTTATTACTACTAAATAATAACTGCTATTGTTACTATGCTTAATGGTAATAATAAAGACAGTAGTAGTTGGTAGAAAGATGAAAATCATATTTCCAATAAAATAGTAATTTAAATCAAAACAATAGATTTAAATAATATATTAAAATAATATATTTAAATTAAAATAATAGATTTAAATCAAAAGTAGAGAATAATGCAATATTAATATATTAAATAAGCATAGTGTTTTAAACTATTTTTACTCCACATTATTGTAAAACTGTATGTATATGTGCATGTATATATATATATATATATATATGCATATATTACACACCATGCTCCCACATATATATGTGTATATATACATATATATATCTCACCAATCTTATTGAGCTTTTCTTCTAGTTTTAGAGTTTCAGGTCTACGTTTAAGTCTCTAATTAATTTTGAGTTGATTTTGTATAGTGTCTTAATTTTTCTGCATGTGGATATTTAGTTTTCTCATCATCATTCATTGAAAAGACTATCTTACCCATTATGTGTTTTTGAAATCTTTGTTGAAATTCAATTAACTGTAAATGTGTGGACTAATTTCCGGGCTCTCTATTATGCTCCATCAGTCTATGAGTCTGTGTTTATGCTAATACCATGCTGTTTTGATTACTGTAGCTTTATAGTAGACTTTGAGATCAGGTAGGATGATGCCTCCAGTTTTTCTCTTTTTTCTCAAGATTGATTTAATTATTCGGGGTCTTTTTTGGTTCCTTCCAAATTTGGGGGTTCTTTCAATTTATCTGAAAAACATATTTGAAATTCTAATACAGAATGCATTGAATCTGTAAATTACTTTGGGTAATATGAATATTTTAACAATATTAACTCTTCTCATCTATGAACATGGTGTTGGTCAACAGACATATGAAAAAAAAAATGCTCAATATTACCAATCATCTGGAAGATGCAAGTTAAAAGCTCAGTGAAATATTACCTCAGACTTAGATTGGGTTAGTTTAGATTGACCATGAAAAAATACAAAAGATAACAAGTGTTGGTGAGGATGTGGAGAAAGGGAACTTTGCACACTTTTGGTGTGAATGTAAATTAATTCAGTCATTATAGATTGCATTATGGAAGTTCCTCAAATAACTAAAAATAGAAATACCATATATTCAGCAAACCTAGTACTGTGTAAATAGCCAAATAAACAACAAATCAGTATGTGGAGGAGACAGCTTCACTCCCATGCTCATTGCAAAATTATTCACAGTAATTAAGATATAGAAAAAAACCTAAGTGTCCATCAATGGATGAAAGGATAAAGAACATGTGCTATATATACATAATGGGATAATATTTAAAACAAACAAAATCCTGTCAACATGGACAACATGTTTGCAACAACATGAATGAGCCTGGGGTATACTATGTTAAGTGAAATATGCCATGCACAGAATAAAAAATACCCTAAAATATCATTATATCACAGGATATAATGAGGAATCTAAAAATATGGAATCTAAAAACATCAAACTCAGAGGCAGCATAGAATGATGGCTATCAGAGGTTTGAGGTGGGGCAATTTGGGAGATGTTGGTCAATTTTTTTTTTTAAATTCAGTTACAAAGGTGGACTATCCCCAAGATATATATTACATGTTATGGTGACTATAGTTAAAAATAATATATTGTATATATTATTACAATTTTTACATTCTCACCACAAAAAAATAATAGGTATGTGAAGTAAGCATGTTGATTAGCTTGACTTAGTCATCTCACAATGCTTACATATATCAAAACATGCTGTATGCCATAGTTATACAATTTTTGACAAAAATGAATGAATAAATTGGTTAATATAATACTCATACCTAATAAAAATAGCTAATATACGCTTCCCCCCAGAGAAAAGTTCAATATATTTTTACATATTACTTGGTTTCTCCTTTTGTTACATTTCACCATTTTACTAATACAAAAGATAGTTCACATCTGTACCATTTCGGCAAATTTTATAGCACCATGAAATTGTCTTAAAGGCAGATTGAACTCTGCTAAAACTCAGTGTTGAGAAATTTAATTTGAACGAACCACTCTACCCTATTAGCCCCATCCTAGGGACATTTATCATGTCCAGGTTGTATACCTAAATTTAGTTTGGTGATAACTTTGGGATCTAGAGCTTGATAAGCAAATTTGAGATTATGTATTTGTAACCAACTTCATTGAGGTAGCTGAAGTTCCCAAGCATTTCATCATTTGTTTTTGTTATCTAAAGCAAGACACATAAGAAAAATCTGTTATTATTAATTGAAAAGAGATAAGAGGAGTAACTAAACTGTCAAATATCACTGCATTAATGCAATAACAATAGAGAAGAGGGAGCAACACAAAGAATAAGGAGGCCGGAAACAGATTTATGCATGTATGAGATATGAGACATGACAAAATTGGTGTTTCAAATAACTAGGGAATGGTTAGTAATAGGAAGAAACATTTTCTATACACACAATTTCTTACACCAGATTTTTTCACAGCAACAACTAATTTTTTTCCAACTGAGGATACCAAATGAGGGTCCAAAAATTCCATTTAATTCTGACACTGTCTACATGGAGTTAGCTTCAGACTCACAAGTAAAGGGCTCAGTCCCACACGACTGTCCCCACTTAAAACTGTAAATCACCAGTCCTGGGCGTCACATACATATGACCAGCTTAGCTGCAAATCACAGATTACCACAACCCACTCTTCATGTTCAATAATTTGCTATCATGGCTCAAACAACTCAGGGAAACACTTTATTTACTATTACTGGTTTATTAATGAATACAGATGAACAGCCAGAGGAACAGGTACATATAATGAACTATGGAAGGGTCTTGAGCACAGAAATTTCTGTTCCCTTGGAGTTTTAGGGTACCCCCATCCCAGCACATGGATGCAATCACCTGGAAGCTCTCTGAACCCCATCATTTACAGGGGTTTTATGAAGTTTCCACTATGTAAGCTTGATTGATAAAATCACTGACCATTGGTAATTGGACTCAATCTTCAGCCCTCCTTCATGCATCCTAGAAGATCTTTTGTAAGGAAGTCAGGACTGAGACCAAATAGTATAACAAAAGAAGTTTTCGTCTTTATTAGTCAGGGAATTACAAGTGCTTAAGAAACTCTGTGTCAGAAAACTGGAGGGAAGATCAAATTTCTTATTATACCATAGTTTGGTCATTTAATAAATGATGTTTGAAAAAATTATGGTAGAACTCTATATGGAGAAAAATGCATTTAAATTTCTGCTTTATATAATAGCAGAGAAAATTCAGGCAGATAACATTAAATGAAAATAAATAAAAGTGTGAAGAAAATATGAGTCCGCATTTTTAAAATACTGGATATGAGATATGATATCTAGGACTGGCACAGATGACAGGTACTGTAAAGATAAGCAATGTTTTTTATTTGTCCTAATGCTATCCCTGCATGCGGGGCTTAAAACCTGGATGACAAGTTGATGGGTGCAGCAAACCACCACGGAACATGTATACTTATGAAACAAACCTGCAATGTCCTGTACATGTATCCCAGAACTTAAAGGAAAATAATAAAAATAAGACAAGCAATGTTACATTTTTTACTATATAGAAATTTAAAATGGCAAAATAAATAGAAACCATTAATTTAAAAGCCATGTCTGAAAAAAAAAAAAAACATAATACACAGACCAGCCGAAATTACATCTGTCATCTATAATTACACCCAAATAAGAAAATCAGAAGAAAATAGTAGCAAAATTGAACAATGATCTCCAATAAACATATTAATACACCTTCAATACAAATTATAGTAATCTGAATTAAAAACAATAACTAGTAATTTTATTTCAAGTGTCTTCTAAAAATTACAAAGATTGACAATATTTTTTGTTGCCAAGGGAGTAGATATACACTTCCATCATACTGGTGATAAAAAAGTTGTGGAAGACAATTTGACAGTAAAAATTTCACTAAACTTTCCTGTAGAAATAAAATCTATTATAAACCCATATGTAAAAACACATTTATTACAGCATTTTATTAATATAGATGATCTAGTCACAATTAAAATACCTATCAATAAGGAAATGTAATATATGCATTTATGTTTTGTCCATAGTGTGGCAGCCTAAAATGCAAATAAAAAGACTGAGGTCATTCTATAGGCACAGTCATGGAGGGCTACCTTAATAACAACTACATAATGGTATTTGATAAAATAACTCCAACTTTCAGTGGCTTATGTGGTGATTATTTTTAATGATAAAATATTACTGGTGGTTTGTGTGTGTGTGTCTGTGTGTGTCTGTGTGTGTCTGTGTGTGTTTCACTCTTGCTGCCCAGGCTCGAGTGCAATGGCACCATCTCTGCTCACCACAACCTTCGCCTCACAGGTTCAAGCGATTCTCCTGCCTCAACCTCCCAAGTAGCTGGGGTTACAGGCATGCGCCACCACACCGAGCTAGTTTTGTATTTTTAGTAGCGATGGAGTTTCTCCATGTTGGTCAGGCTGGTCTTGAACTCCCGACTTCAGGTGATCCACCTGCCTCGGCCTCACAGAGTGCTTGGATTACAGGCATAAGCCACTGTGCCTGGCCTGGTGTTTAATGTTTTAGAAGGACTTCTTTAAGTGAACTGGCCCTAAGAGTACAAACTTTGGACTTGTTCCAGGATCTGGGTAACCCAGAGCAAACAACAAAAATTAAAAGGAAGCAAAACAAATCAATTTTAAAATACATTTTTAAAACTATAATGCCACTTACTTCCAATTAGTTTATTCTCTGTGATAAATGAAGAATTTTAAAAATAATTTAGCATATTAAAATTTACTGATGTTTTACTAATAATAAGAAGGCAAGTAAATAAGCCCTTCAATCACTGTACTTTTCCTTTCATTGTCTTGTCTACTATATATGAGAAATTATTTAAGTTTCCCTTAATATTTTATTACCTCATGGACATAAAGAAAGGCAGGAATTCATAGTCCTTAAATCTATCTTGGGCATTGCTACATTCAGCTGGGCTTTCTAAGGTAGTTTGGTGCTATATGACTTGCTAGTCATCAGAAAGCTAGCTTAGAGCTGCCATACAGTACAAATCTGTTTTTTTGAATGCATATATTTCTATCTTACAAATACAAAATAGGATAAAGTTATTTGCATATCTGTAAGAGAGGGTATTAAAATTGATAACCAAAAACTATAAATCTATATATTTTGCAGACAATATTAAAGTGAAAATTTGGCCAGTCGTGGTGGCTCACACCTGCAATCCCAGCACTTTGGGAGGCCAAGGCGAGTGGATCACCTGAGGTCAGGAGTTCAAGACAAGCCTGGCCAAGATGGTGAAACTCCGTCTCTACTAAAAATACAAAAATTAGCTGGGCGTGGTGGCGGGCACCTGTAATCCCAGCTATCTGGGAGGCAGAGGCAGAGAATTGCTTGAACCCAGGAGGTGGAGGTTGCAGTGAGCCAAGATCACGCTACTGCACTCCAGCCTAGGCAACAGAGTAAGACTGCGTCTCAAAAAAAAAAAAAAAAAATTCAAGGGTAACAACTCCCAGTGTTGAGCTGACCCACACAGGCATTATAAAGATTGGTTTCACTTAAAACCATTTTCATATTATCCTTGTATCTGGATAAATCCTAACAACGTAATAGTGTTTTGGAGTAGATCATACCTCAAAAAAATTAATTTTCATATAATAAAATGTGATTTTCTCATTTTATATAAAGAAAAAATTATGAGAGAGAAATAAAGAACTGTCTTGAAATTGGTTCATGTAGAAAACATACGTTTTCTAGCAAGCTATTTTATAAATGTCAATGGTCTTATGAAGCTAGCAAAATGCATTAATAGAAATACATTGAACTCAAATTCCTTAGATGTAAGAAGATGTAGAAGGGTTACCACGTAAAGAGAAGTTAGACTTCCTTTATATTTTCCTATTTTTCTGTCTTGCCATGAATAATTTTTTGGGAGGACCTGATCACTATTCTTTTCATCAACAGATATTAGCTCTCAGCAGCCATGATTGGGATGTGTAAAACCTATGCTTAGCCATAGCTGATGGAATTAAGAGTTTGACTTTGGCCTCAAATTGTGTCACTCACTTTTCTCTCTATTAAATTATGAGTTGAATGTGTTAAAACCTAAGTAATAGACAATATTTTATAAAGTTTTGCATATTCTATCTCATTTAAACAACTACCAATACCCAGGAAGGTATTCATTTCTTCTTCTTATTTTATAAATGTGGAAAGTGAAATTCAGTGAAGTTAAATAACTTTTCCCAGGGCCCTAAATCTGAACACTCTGTTTCTCTATATCCAAAACACTTATCTTTTCAGCAGTATCATACCAAAGCTTTACAGAAGGTTGTCAGAGCCAGCTGGCTTGTTTACTGCTTATTGAAACATCCTGTTTAAAAACATGTCAGCAGTTATTTTGAGTACAAAATGTAAGCATCTTCTCAATGAATGAAAATTTAAAAACTGATTCTTGTGGCTGTTTTTAAATTGAAATAATACTTAAGGGAGAAGAGCAAATGTGACATATATAGATATCACACACAACCATGTATAAATTACCTACCAAATGGCCTTAAAACTTAAATGAATATATTGTCTTAATTATTAGTTACATATAATTTAAATCCCCTAAAATTAATTTGACCAAAATGCATTATCTAATTGTCATTTGATAAAAAACATTTAACTACCAATCAAATACAATACTCAACATTATTTATATTTTCATTATGTTTTTAGCATTATTATAATTATTTTTCTTGACCCTAGAAAATTACCATTTAAAAGAGAAGAAAATTTCCTAATGCATTATAGCACTATAGCAATTCCAGTATTGGAGCCAACTTATTAACTCACTAATGTAATTAAAATAAATTACCTTTTTTACCCCAAAGTGGTAGACTAGAGGCTTTTAGCATGCCTCAGCCACTTGGAAATAGCAAAATAGTTTATAAAGATGAATTATTTAGCTTTAATTTGAGAAGTATTAATGAATGGGAATCCACTGGTACCGTGAAGGACAACCCAGATTCCCAGGAGTAGGATGCAGGTAAACAGCCCCATGACATTGTCCAGCTGATAAAAAGATCCTGGAGCAAGGGCACCCGCTCCACTCCACACCTAGGCAGATCTCCAGGCATTTGGAGCACCCACTCGCCTCAACCAACAGCCTGGGCCACCCCACCCTGTGCAGAGATTGTGGTGCAGAGGGGCCTTCTCTGCTTGACACCTAGGCAGATCTCAGACATTGTGGTGAAGTGAGGCCCTCTTCACTCCGCACCCAGGCAGATCTCCATGTGTTCAGAGCACCTGTTTGCCCAGATTGGTAGCCTGAGCTGCCCAACACTTACTGCACAGAGATAACGGTACAGCCATACCCTTTCCAATCCACGCCCAAGTACATCTCGAGGCAGCCAGAACACCCTTTCCTCTGGATTACCAGCATGAGCTGCCCCGCCCATGCTCTACAGAGACTGTGGTGCAGTGGAGCCCTTTGTGCTTCATGCCCAGGCGTATCTCCAGACACCGAGAACACCCAATCTCCTAGATTAGGAGTTTAGGCTGTCCCCCACCTGCCGGTGCAGTGGACTTGGGGCCAAGGAGTTTTCCCAGCTCCACATCTAGGCACACCTTGGGTGCTTGGTGGTCACCCACTGGATTCTCTCTCAGTGCTGATGCTAGTGCATGACCTCAGGGCACCTGTAGGTGGGCCTGTCCAGTCCAGTCCTGCCCACCTTGTGCCCCACAACCTGGGAGCTGAGCAGGGAACTCAGACCACTGTGCACTGCACTGATCACCCCACTGACAGAGGCAACAGAGACCTTCACCTTGTAAACAAGGATCAAGTATATACCCTGCCACATTGGCAGCAGCCGGCTCTTACATATAAGTGCCACCTACTGGCTTTCAGGTGGAACCGCACAGCCCTATATAAAACCTCCCAACAGAAGTGCATAGGGCAAAAGCAAAGCCAAAAGACCCTACCCAACATTATCTTCAGTCACACCCACTAGAGAAAGAGAAAAAGGAAAAAAAAAAAAAAAAAGCACCAAATAATATTATATAGAAAGAAAAGGAAACGAAAAAATCCTACCCACACAGAAAATAATTACAAAAATTAGAAATGCTAGTATCTTCAGAAGGAAGAAAAGCAGTGAAAGAATTCTGCAACCATGAAAAATTTGAATGTAGTGACACCACCAAAGGATCACACTAGCTCACCAGAAATGGTTTATAAACCAAATGGAAACTCTGAAGTGACAGATAAAGAATTCAAAGTGTGAATTGCAAGGAAGCTCTATGAGATCTAAGACAATGTTGAAGATGAATACAAAGAAACTTCTAAAGAAATCCAGGAAATAAAGGAAGAGAAAAGCATCATAAAAAATCAGTCAGAGCTTCTGGAGGTGAAAAATTAACTTATGGAATTTTAAAATATGAGATATCTCTAAATAGACTGGACCAAGCAAAACAAAGAATTTCAGAGCTTGAAGACCAGTTTTTAAAACTAACCCAGCCTGACAAAAATAAAGAAAAAATAATTTACAAAATGAAAAAAAAATCAAAGATAGTAGAACAAATAAATAAATAAAATTGGAGTGGAACAGAATTAAATTGAGACACAAAAATCCATACAAAAAACCAATGCAACCAAAAGGTGGTTTTTTAGAAGGAATAAGCAAGATCAACAGACCGTTAGCTAGATTAATGAAGAAAAAGAAAAAAGATCCAAATATGCAAGATCAGAAATGACAGAGGTGGCATCACAACTGATCACACAGAAATACAAAAGGTCCACAGATATGATTATTTACACCTCTATGCACACAAGCTAGAAAATCAAGAGGAAGTGGACAAATTTTGGAAATACATAGCCTTCCAATATTAAATCAGGAAGAAAAATAAAACTGACTAGACAAATATCAAATTATGAAATGGAAGCAGTAAACCACTAACCAAGAAAAGACCCAGACCAGGCGAATTCACAGCCAATGTACAAGATACACAATCTACCAGATGTACAAAGAAGAGTGGGTATCAATTCTACTGAAACTACTTCAAAAAACTGAGGAGTATTGACCCCTCCCTAATTCTATAAAATCAGCATGACCATAATACTAAAACTCAGCAAAAACCCCCCACCAAAAAATAAAACTGCAGGTTAGTATCTCTGATGAATCTAGAGACAAAAATTCTCAACAAAATACCAGTAAAGCAAATTTGATAGCACATCAAAAAAGTTAATTCCGCAGGATCGAGTAGGCTTCATTCCTGGGATGCAAGGACAGGTCAACACATGCAAATCACTACATGTGATTCAGCACATAAACAATTAAAAACAAAAAACACACGATTATCTCAATAGATGTGGAAAATGTCTTTGATGAAATCCAGCTTCCCTCCAGTCTTTGATAAAATCCAGCATGATTAAAACCCTCAACACACCAGGCATCAAATGAAAATACATTTAACACAAAATAATGTAAGCCATCTATGAACAACCCATATCAAACATCATACTGAGTGGACAAAGCTGGAAGCATTGCCCTTGAGAACTTGAACAAGACAACAATACCCATTCTCACTGCTCCTATTCTACATAGTACTGGAAGTCCTTGCAGGAGCAATCAGGCCAGAGAAAGAATTAAAAGTTATACTAATAGGCAAAGAAGAAGTAAAACTATCTGTCTTCTCTAACAGTAAAATTCTATACCTAGAAAGCCCTAAAGATTCTACCAAAAGGCTCCTGGAACTGATAATGACTTAAATAAAGTTTAAGGATACAAAATCAATGTATAAAAATCAGTAGTATTTTTACACACCAATAACATTCAAGCTGAGAGCCAAATTATAAATGCAATCCCATTTACAGTAGCCACAAAATAATTAAATACCTAGGAATACATCTAACCAAGGAGGTAAAAGATCTGTACAAGGGCAATTATAAAACACTGCCAAAATAAATTAGAGATGATGTAAACAAAATGAAAATAAAACCATTTAGTGCTCACTGATTTGAAGAATCAATATCATTAAAGTGGCTATACTTCCCGAAACAATCTATTGATTAAATGCTATTCCTATTAAACTTTCAATTTTTTTAGAGAATTAGAAAAAAACACTATTGTAAGTTTAATATGAATCCCAAAAGAACCTGAATAGCCTAAGTAATAAAAAAAAAAAAAAAAAAAGCCAGAGTCATCGTATCACCTGACTTCACACTGTACTATAAGGCTACATAATCAAAACATGGCACTGGTACAAAAACAGACAAATAGACCAATGGAGCAGAATGGAGAACCCAGAAATAAAGTCACACACTACAGCCATCTGATCTAACACAAAGTTGACAAAAATGAGCAAAGGGAAAAGCACTTCCTGTTCAACAAAGGATGTTGGTATAGCTGACTAGCCATACGCTATACCTAGGAGTACAGCTGATGGGTCATATGAAAAATCTGTGTTTTAAACTTTTAAGGACTTGCCAGAAGATTTTCAAAATTTAATGGTTGTATCATTTTTTATTCTTGACAGCAGCGCTTGAGTGTTTCAATTTCTCCATAACCTTTGCAAAACATTATTATTCATCTTTTTATTATAGCCATCCTAGTGGACATGTGGTGGCATCTCATTGTCATTTCAACTTGCTTTACTCTAAGAACTAATGATGTTGAGCATCTTTTCATATTCTTATTGGCAATTTGTTTGCCTTCTAGATACATGTCTATTCAGATACTTAATTGCTGTATTTAATTAGATAAATTTTCTTTTTCTTATCAAGAATTCTTCATATATTTTAGATTTAAGTCCCCAATGAGATATATCACTTGAAAATATTTTACCCTAGGTTTTAATTTCCACTTTCTTCATAATGTCATTTGCAGGTAAAACATTAATTTTGATGATATTATCCAATGTTTCTTTTTTTTTTTTTTGCTTTTGTGCTTTTATTATCATTCTTAAAAAGGATTTGTCTAACTCCAGGTGGCAAACATTTACTATAATATAATATTTTACAGTTTTATGCTTTTAGTTCATATGTTTAGATATAAGATCCATTTGAATTAAGTTTTGTGGAACTTTTGAGATTGAGACCCAACTTCATTCTTTAGCAAAAGTTAATCCATTTGTTCAGCATCATTTGTTGAAAAACCTATTCTTACCCCATTGAATTGTTTTTGTTGCCTTTTAGAAAATTAATTGAATGTAAATTTGAGGGATTTTTTAATGGATCCTCTATTCTATCCCATTGATTTCAATATGTCATTATGTCAGTACTACTCTGTCTCCATTTTTGTAAAGTTTGAATTCCAGAAATGTAATGCCTCCAAATTTATTCTTCATTTTTTAAGATTGTTTGGGCCTATTAAATTTTCTTTTGAATTTAAAATCATTTTCTCAATTTAGGCAAAGAAGCCATCTGATATTTTAATAGGGATTTTACCGTTTCTATAAATCAATGTGCCGAGTATTGTCGTCTTAAAAATGGTATGTCTTCCAAATCATGAACATAAAATATCTTTAGATTTATTTAGGCCTGCTTTAATTTTTAACATATATGTATAGCTTTTAGAGTATAAATTTTATGTGTTAAAATATAAATAATTTTTATTTTTATGGCATTCTATGGAAAACGATGTCTTAATTTTACTTTTTAATTGTTTCTTGTTAGTATATACATATACAGTTGATTTTTTATATAGATTTTGTACCCTGAAAGCCTGATGAACCACTAGAAGAAATTGAAGGTGATGTGACATATATTAGTAATATTTTAATAATAATACGATTAATTTTACTCATAATTATTGTTTTCATGTGGATTCAAATTATTGTATGCGATCACTTGTTTTCAGACTAAAAAGTTTCTTTAGACTTCCTTATACAATGTAACAGATTCTCTGAACTTTTGTCAATTATCTGTTAATTTTTTTCAATTTTGTCTCAATTATTGGAGGTCAGTATTTCATGATTTTTTTTAATAGTATTACTGGATATAATATTCTTGCTTGGCTGCTTTTTAATTTTATTTTTTCTGTCCATACTTTGAATATCTCACTACCTCTTATCTCTATTATTTTTGGTAAGAAAGCACATGCTATTCTTATCGGGGTTCCTTTGTCATTGGTGAGTCATGGCTGTTTTGTGCTTTCAAGATTTTGGCTTTATTAACTTTCAGTGTTTTTACTATAGTGTGCCATGGGTGAATTTCTTTGCTAGTGGAATTCTTAAGAGTTTCTTGTTGGTATATATCCATGTTATTTATTTTTTCCAATTGGGGATTTTTCAGTCTTTATTGCTTCAAGTATTTTTCAGCCAAATTATTGTCTCCTCTTCCTTTGATACTCCCATTTACATACGTTGTTTTGCGTTGTGGGAGCACCACATTTCTCTGAGGCTCTGTCCATTTCTTTTTATTTATTTTTTCTCTCTGTTTTTGAGATTGCATAATCTTGATTCTTCTCTTTTTAAGTTTATGGATTCTTATTTCTTACAGCCCACATCTACTCTTGAGGAACGCTAATAAATACTTTATTCAATTTTTGTAGATCTTAAGTCCAGAGTTTCCATTTGGTTCTTTTTTAAACAAACAATTGCTCTCTCTTTAATGATATTCACTATTTGGTGAGACATTGTCATTGTACCTTCCTTTACTTTTTAAGATTCATTGTCATTACTTCTTTGAATATATTTTTAATGGCTGTCTTGAAATCTTTGTGTGTCTGCTAATTCTACCATGCAGTCCCTCTCACTGTCAGTTTCTGTCACCTGTTTTGCCTGTCTTCCCTTCCCAGGTACTTTTCACACTTCCTTATTTTTATGCATGTTCCTTGATTTTGTGTTAAAAACTGGACCATCTAGATAATATTTGGTAGCAACTCTTCACACCAATCTTCCACGCTCTCTCTCTCTCTCTCTCTTTTTCTTGTTTACTTAGTTACTAGGTTGGACTATTTAGTGAAAGTTATTTCCCTACAACAGGAAGAGTCTGATGTCACTCATAGCACAACTCCTCCTGGCTGTGTATTTCCTTGAACTCTCTATTAACCTGTCTGGGCCGGGCGCGGTGGCTCACGCCTGTAATCCCAGCTCTCAGGGAGGCTAAGAGGCGGGAGGATAGCTTGAGCCCAGGAGTTCGAGACCTGCCTGGGCAATATAGCGAGACCCCGTTCTCCAGAAAAAGGAAAAAAACAAAAAACAAAAAAAAAAAAAGACAAAAAAAAAATAAGCGTAACTTCCCTCTATTAACCTGTCTGCCTCTTTTGATAATACACCCAGCTCTTAAGCTCTGCTAATTGTCTGCTGACTGTGCTATTGCTTTCCACTAAGCTCTTGGAAATGAATTGTTCTATAGTCGTACTCCACTAAATTCCAGTCACTGTGCAGGATTATCTGGGATGGCCAGGCTTTGAGGTTTTCTTAACCCTAAGAGGAATTTTCTTAGCTGTGACTTTATCTGCTTATTACCAATCAACTAGCTAATCTCTTGTTGATCTTCTTGCTTTCACGGAGCTGCCAGCCTTAATTTAATTTCTTACCAACAAAGCCTACCTTGTTTCAAAAGTGAACCTATGTTTCAACCTTCCCACATCTATGTAAAAAATAAATCAGTAACTATGACAAGAGCTTCAGAACTCTCTGCTTGGATTCCAATATACACTTTTCATGGATATAATCATTCCGTTTTCTTGGTATATATGTAGAAGTGGATTTTTTACAAGGTAGGTGTATTTTTAACTTGGTAAAAACTGCCAAACAATTTTAGAAGCAGTCCTAAAAATATATTCCAAATTTCAGTGTTTCATAGTTTAAATTGTTCTACATTCTCACCAAAATGTAGCATCCTCTATAATTTTATTTTAGTCTTTTTGTGTATGGATACTAGTATCTTATTGTCATTGTGATTTAGATTTTTTGACCTAGCTAATGTAAATGAGCAACCTTTCATATGCTTATTGTATGAATTGTTCATTGTATGAATTGGTATATCATACAAATTTGCTTAATAAAGATTCCGCACATTTTTTATTGATTTTTTCCGTTTTATTTTTGTTTTGGAGTTCTCTAAGTATTCTAGATATTATCACTATTGTTGAATAAATGTATTGCAAGAATCTTCTCACAGCCTTTTTGCCTTGCTTTTAAAATCTTTTGTGATGGCTTCTAAGGACGTTAAAAAATTTAATGTAGTTAGTCCAATGTATATGTATTATTTGTTTATTTACTTATTTATATGGTTATTGCTTCCTGTACCTCATTCAGAATCTCATCCTACCAAGAGTTAACAAATGGGAATGTGCACGTGTACAAGTATACATGTGTGTATACATATACATGATTGCTAGAAGCTATCTTTATTTTTTTTTAAATTTGAATCCTTCTGGAATTTGTTTTTGACAATTATGTACTATGTGTAAGAAGGTAACATTAATTTTTCTCTCATATAAATAGCTAATTGACCTAGCAACTTTCATTGAAAATGCCACAATTCTTCCAAAAACTGCGAAGTTACTTTTGTTGTAAATCAGTTGAGTGCACTGTTTATGGACCGTACATTCCATTTGTCTTCTAACACCAATATCTAGCTCCTATAGATCTGTTTGTTTTGTCTGTATTTTTCAATCCTATACATTTTTTAACATTATAAGTAACTATTGGCTATAAACTGTACATTTATATTAAGAAAATGTAGGTAATTGGGATGCTATTATCTTTAGGTTTCATGCTTTTTTTTTTTTTTTTTTTTTTTACTGCTAGGTAGTTAGAGTAATGACTAATCATTAAAGATTGAGCTGCTGAATTGTCCACTTAGGCACTTCCCATTGTTCATTTCTGGATGCTAATGTTTGATTCATTATAGCAGCAAAACTATGAAAAAACATGCTTTAGCTTTGAAGCTTCTCATCCTGAAAAGCTTCTGAATTTGGAAAAAGGCCTAAGAAATGGACAATGTTTTGAGCCCTTCAAGTCTTCTAGTGAGGTCCTCACCCAACCCTGCAAGATTAACAAGAGTTCTGCTATTTTTTCCTGCCCTCTGAAAAGCGGTTCTTAGCCTTTTCCTCTTTCTCTAAAGAGGAAGGAACTATAAATTACATATGAAATATTATTTACCAATAAATAAAAGGTGTCCAAGACAAAAATTTAATTGTTATTTTCTTAGATTTTTTAAAAATTCTAATGTACTTGTAGTATGTTTTTCTTCTTTGTAAGAAAACCATCCTATGTGGTATGTGATAATCTCAGACTATAGCAGACATGTCGACAGAAATAGACTCTGTAAAACACTGCAAAAAAAACTCACAATAGAGTGAAGATTGACAACCAATTTGGTTAAGGTAAAATAATAATTCAAGTCTTTTTTCAAATATAAAATCTAAATTTAAAAGCATACATATGTTACCTAAAAATAATTTTCAATGCACTTTGGTCAACAAATAATTACTTAATATTTTTAGGGATTGTAAAAAGAAAAACAAGCATAAATTAGGCCATAGTTACACAATCTTATTTTGAACAACATCCAATGTGTTATATTCTTGTATTGTGTTCACAAATATATCAGTTAGGGATTTTTTGGCAATAGGCAATAGATAACCACCCCAGAGAAGACTTACACTAGAACAAAGTTTATTATCGCATGTGTCAAGATATCTAAAGTTAGGGCTCTTCAGTACACTGGTGTGATTTAGCCCTCCATCCTTTCCATTTTCTGCTCTGCCATCCTCAGTATTTTACTTAGTCCCATCAACATCACAGAATCTCTGTGAGAGTTTCAGTTATCCTTTTCTCACAAAACAAGTTAACGAAAAGAATATGACTCATCCTTATTATCTTTTTGAGAATGGAAACTATAAAATAGACACTGCTTGCATCTTCATGGACAACTTACATTTTAGGGTCCTTTACACAACTAGAGCTAGAAAAAGACAATGATCAGCACAGCTGGAAAAGATTAGAAAATATTCACGATGGTTCCACAGAGAATTCTAGCCTTCAGGAACCATAAGACTATTAGATACCTGAACAAAACTGTAATTCTCTGTCAAGGACATAGGCAATATATATGGCAATTAGGTAAACAGCCACAATAAGTAAGGGATCAAGGTGATATAAATCAAAACAATGTACAATTATAAGTGAAAAAATAAGATTGTATAGACGTAGCTCACGAAATGTTACGTAAAGTACAAACACATTCATAACCCAATATTATTTTAGGCTTACTTCAAAAAACAGAATGCAGCAGAAAGCGTAAATATGAATATAGTACTTGCCTTCTCACTTGGTAGCTTTTATTCCAGGTAAATTATTTAAACTTTCTGAAACTTGGTATTCAGATTTCCTAAAATAGAATAATAATCCTTGTTTATTTGTTAAGGTTTCTGCAAAAAGCAAATGTAGTAGCTAATGTAATCATGCTGTGAAATGGTCCCATACAGATTTGTTATTATAAAAAGCACATGTAGGCTGGGCACGGTGGCTCACTCCTGTAATCCCAGCACTTTGGGAGGCCGAGGTGGGTGGATCATCAGGTCAGGAGATAGAGACCATCCTGGTTAACACAGTGAAACACCATCTCTACTAAAAATACAAAAAGTTAGCTGGGCCTGGTGGCACGCGCCTGTAGTCCCAGCTACTTGGGAGGTTGAGGCAGGATAATCATTTGAACCAGGGAATCAGGTTGTAGTGAGCTGAGATCACGCCACTGCACTCTAGCCTGGAGACAGAGTGAGAATCCGTCTCAAACAAACAAACAAACAAACAAACAAAAGCACATGTAGAGGACATATTATATATAAAAGAGGGTATAGTTGCCATTGAGGAATGTAAAAGATATCAAAAATGGTATACTATTGTAAATAGTATCAAATGTAAAAGATATCAAAAATACTATTGGATAAAATATTTACAAACTATGCATTTGACAAAGGTCTAATATCCAGAATCTATTAGTGATACAGTTTGGCTGTGTGCACAACCAAATCTCATCTTGAATTTCAGTTCCCATAATCCCCGTGTGTCATGGGAGGGACTCAGCAGGAGGTAATTGAATCATGGTGGCAGTTACCCCCATGCTGCTGTTCTCATGATAGTGAGTGAGTTCTCCTAAGATCTGATGGTTTTATAATGGGTTTTCCCCCCTTTAGCTGGGCACTACTCATTCCTGCCATTATATAAAGAAGGACATGTTTGCTTCCTGTTCTGCCATGATTGTAAGTTTCCTGAGGCCTCCCCAGCCCTGTGGTACTGGGAATCAATTAAACCTCTTTCCTTTATAAATTACCCAGTCTTGGATATGTTCATAAAGCAACATGAGAATGGATTAATACAATAAATTGGTACCAGTAGAGTAGGGTGCTGCTCTAAGGATACCTGAAAATGTGAATGTAACTCTGGAATTGCATAACAGGCAGAGGTTGGAACAGTTCGGAGGGCTCAAAAAACAGGAAGATGTGGGAAAGTTTGGAATTTCCTAGAAATTTGTTGAATGGCTTTGACCAAAATGCTGATAGTGATTTGGAGAATGAAGTACAGGCTGAGGTGGTCTCAGAAGGATATAAGGAACTTATTAGGAACTGGAGTAAAGGTCACTCTCGCAATGTAAGAGACTGGCAGCATTTTGCCCCTGCCCTAGAGGTCTGTGGAACTTTCAACTTGAGAGTGATAATTTAGGGTATCTGGCAGAAGAAATTTCTAAGTGTCAAAGTATTGAAGAGGAAGCAGAGCATACAAGTTTGAGAAATTTGCAGCCTGATGATGTTAGTGAGGCTGCAGAGAAAAGGGAATGTTTACACATGGTTGATAGGAAAGTAAATTAGTTCAGCCACTGTGGAAAGCTGTTTGGAGATTTCACAAAGGAATTAACAGCAATCATGTTACTGGGTATATACCCAAAGAAATTTAGATCAGTTTTCCAAGAAGACACATGCACTTGTGTATATTCATCACCACTTTATTCACAATAGCAGAGGCGGGGAATCAGCCTAGGTGCCTGTAAGTGGCGGATTTGATAAAGAAAATGTACACATACACTGTGGAATATTACACAGTCATAAAAAGAATAAAATGTACTTTGCAACAATGTCAATGAAACTAGAGGACATAA
Organism: Homo sapiens; assembly: GCF_000001405.40. NCBI lineage: Eukaryota > Metazoa > Chordata > Mammalia > Primates > Hominidae > Homo > Homo sapiens. The sequence goes on from NC_000018.10 coordinate 66,627,106, forward strand.
TTCTAAGAAAATTAATGTAGGAACAGAAAACCAAATACTGTGTGTTCTCACATGTAAGTGGGAGCTAAACACTTGAAAACAAACATGGGAACAACAGACACTGTGGACTTCTAGAGGGGGAAGTTTGGGTTGGGGAAGGGTTGAAAGTCTACCTGTTTTGTATTATGCTCAATACTAGGGTCTAATATATCCATGTAATAATCCCACACATGTACCCGCTGTATCTAAAATAAAAGTTGAAAATCTTATAAAACATCTGATCATGGGAAAATTCTAGAACACAACATTCTTTTTATGGACTGTACTATACTTTCCTGAATATTGCTAAAGTGCTCTGAAATATAGTCATGTCTCTAAAACATTTCTGCATTCTATGGAATATGTTGCATATATCTATGAAAAGAAAAAATCCTACTTAAATAGCATATATTTAAATTATTGGAAATAATTAATTTGGGGTTATTAATGTTTTAATGTTAATTAAATTACAATCTTTCTTCACATCAGGGTATGCAAACTAAGGCTCATACGCCCAAATTCACGAAGCCGTCTGTTTCCATAAAAAAGTTTCTTGGACCCCAGACATTCTGATCTGCCTACCTATTTGTCTGTGTTGTCTGTGGCTGCTTTTGTGCTATCATAGCAAAGTTATTGGGAAAAACACTCTTGGTCTACAAAACCTAAAATATTTACTATCTAGCCATTTATGGGGAAAGTTTACCAACTTATGCCTTATAGTTACATGATGTAGTTACTTTTAGTTAATATTTTAGCATAGTTTACTTGAAAATTGAATTATATATGTGATCAATAAAATATATGTAGAAACACACACATAAATACACAAACACAAATCTATGTAACAGAAATCATCTTGTTCTACATTACCTTGTCTGACAATATGTCAATTAATTAATAGGATTTAATTAAAAATTAGGATTTTTAAAAGATATTTTAATATTTTTACTTAGTTAAAATATATATGCATGTTAACTTTTTATGTAGGCTCTCAAGATATTTTCTTCAGAAAGGGATTCTGCATATTCTTTCATAAAGCTCATTCATCATGTGTCTATGTTTTCCTGTTTGTTTGTTAAGAATGAAGAATAAATGTAAATAATGTGAATTAACCTTGGTGTAAAATCCTAGTTTGTTCATAGACTTTATTTTTTAAAGCTATTTATGTTCACAGCAAAAATGAGTGAAAGATACTGAGATTTCCCATATATCTCCTGCACTTCCCCCTAACTCCTCTTTCTTTACTATCAACATCCAACACTAATGTCATATATTTGTTACAATTCATGAACCTACATTGACATATCATTATCACCAAAGTACATAGTTCACATTTGGGTTCACTTTTGGTTTCATACATTCTATGGTTTTTGACAAATGTATAATGACACGTATATTAGTGTACTTTTCACACTGCTGATAAAGACATACCTGAGACTGGGCAATTTACAAAGGAAAGAGGTTTAATGGAGAATTCACAGTTCCATGTGGCTGGGAAAACCTCACAATCATGGCGGAAAGCAAGGAGGAGCAAGTTACATTTTACTTGGATGGTGGCAGGCAAAAAATAAAAAGGGCTCATGTAGAGAAACTCCCATTTTTAAAACCATCAGATATCATAAGATTTATTCACTATTATGAGAACAGCATGGTAAAGACCCACTCCCATGACTCAATCACCTCCCACCAGGTACCTCCCACAACAGGTGGGAATTCAAGTTGAGATTTGGGTGGGGAGACAGCCAAACCATATCAACATGTATTCATGACTATCGTATACAGAATAGTTTCACTGCCCTAAAATCCTCCATCTTTCCTTTATTCTTCCCTCCCTTCTGTTAACCCCTGGCAACCACTGATCTTTATGCTGTCTCCATAGTCATACATTTACCAGATTGTCGTAGTTGGAATCATACAGTATGTAGTCTTTCCAGATTGGCTTCCTTCACTTACTTATATGCAATTAAGGCTTCTCCATGTCTTTTCATGACTTGATAGCTCAACTTTAGCACTGAAAAATACTCTACTACTTGGATTTACTATAGTTTATTTATCCATTCACCTGTTGAAAGACATTTTGGTTGCTTCCAGGGTTTGGCAAATATGAATAAAGTTGTAATATCCATATGCACGACTTTGTGTGGACTTGAATTTTCCACTCCTTTAGGTAAACACCAAGAAGTTTAATTGCTGGATTGTATGGTAAGATAATGCTTAATTTTGCAAGAAACAATCAGGCTTCCAAAGTGGCTATTCTGCTTTCCATGTCCATCAGCAGTGATAAGGAGTTCTGATTTCTCTACATTCTTGCCAGCGTTTGGTGTTGTCAGTGTTTTGGATTTTGGTCATTTAATAGGCATATAATGGTCTCTCCTTGTTGTAATTCCCTAATGATACATAATTTTGAACATTTTTTCATATACCTATATGCTATATGTATATCTTCTTTGATGAGGTGTCGGTTCAGGTCTTTGGCCTGTTTTGTAATAAAGGTTGTTCATTTTCCTATGATGTAATTTTAAAAATTTTCATCCATGCCCTTTAACAGTACTTTTGGCAGCTTGATTTTAACGTGCATTTCTGTAACATTCATCTTAGCGTACATAGAAAAATAATGCCTTGTACTTTTTAGTTATATTTTGAAACAAAATATGTTGTTATATTTTGTAAACTCATCATTTTCTATAACAAAAATTGGCATGGCTAGTTTTGCAAACAAACACAACTGACCCCTTGGTGACATGTATTTGCATGGTTGAGAGCAAAAGTGTGCAAGTTCAGACTGGTCTGAATATGAGGAAGCAGGTTTTGCAGATGAAATGGAAAGCTTATTTAGTCCATTTTGTAGCACATATGAAATGCCTGTACTATGGTAGAAGTTTTACATGCATTATCTCACTTAATCCTCGAAAATTTCTGCCCCGTTGTTGTCGGTCCCCTTTTATATTTCAGTAAACATCAGAGACAAATAGTAAAGGAAGCTCTTGAACCCACAGAAGATTTTTGATGCCAAATCCAATATTTTTCTCACAAAACACACTTTCTCTTTACTGAAGAAAATTTACATTTTAAAAAAAATATTTCTTTTAAAAATTTAATCAACAATTTCATAATAATGTTATTAAGTAGCCACCATTTAATGACGGAACATCAAAGAGTCCATTATGGCTGGAGTGTAGACAGGTGGAGAATAGAAGATGAGAGATGTGTGTGTGAGTGTGCGTGTGTGAGTGTGCATGTGTAAGTGTGAAAGAGTATGTGTGTGTACACACAAGCAGATTGTTTAAGGCCTTGCTGGGAATTTTTGGTTATTTGCCTTTAATAAATAGTCAGATGGAAAGCAATTGAAGAGTTTTAAGCAAATGAAGTTGTGATTTAACTTAGATTTAAAGGTACCAACCGGCCGGGTGCGGTGATTCACGCCTCTAATCCCAGCACTTTGGGAGGCCAAGGCGGGTGGATCACGAGGTCAAGAGATCGAGACCATCCTGGACAACATGGTGAAACCCCTCTCTACTAAAAATACAAAAAATTAGCTGGGCGTGGTGTCAGGCTCCTGTAGTGCCAGCTACTTGGGAGACTGAGGCAGGAGAATCACTTGAACCCGGGAGGCGGAGGTTGCAGTGAGCCGAGATCGTACCACTACTGCACTCCAGCCTGGTGACGGAGCGAGACTCCTTCTCAAAAAAAAAAAAAAAAAAAAAAAAAAGATACCAACCTAGTTTTCATGGGTAAAGAACAGAATGTCAGGGGCCATGATGGAAGAAAGGGTAAACATTATAAGAGCTGTTGAAAAAAATTCGCAATCAGCATTCATCTTCTTGATTATCAAAAAACTCATAAAGCAGGTGTTAATTGGTCAGGCTAGTTTGAGTGCAAGTAAAACTGACTCATTGTGGTTATGCTCAAGCATAGTTTCATGGAAATAAGGAAGAAGAATCATTGCATGGTTATAGCAGATTTAGAGATGTCAGTGTAGGAGTTCAGAGTTTTGACTCCAGGACTACAGAAGTGGCTTCACTACTCTTTCTGTACCTTCTTTATTTCTACTTAATACAAGGCTTTATGATCACATTGTTTTGTGTATGGTTTTCTTTCCCTCAGAGTTGCTGCTTATTTATAATTTGTCTTACTTAAGGCAGATTGCTATACCTATACAGTCTTTGTCACAGATTTTTAACTTCCACTACAAACTGCCCCTATTTTCTTGCTATTTTACCCTTAAAACTTATAAGAACACAAAGTGTTCTATGAACATGAGTAATAATCTGATGTTTATCATCAGTAGTAATAGTAATTGATTACTATTAATTAGTCATCTTAAGGTCACTTATGTGCAATATTCAACCTAAGTAATAACCTTGTAGTCACTTATATTTTGGATTCACACCTCTTGTCAAATTTTTCTGTGGTAAATGGAGTAGATAGTGTTGTGTGCAAGAAATTGTAATTCTCTAGGGCATTCCCTTCAGAAGCAGTGAGACAGAGAATGTTGTGACCCTTTTAGGGAATATGAAATTGCCAGGCATCATGATATTTGTCGGCTGCCTTTTTTTTTTCCTCCTCAAATAAGTCATGAGGAAACAAATGCAGATACTGTCATGCAGTTAGTACATTTTTGCAGCCAGATTTCAAGCTTCCATAATTTACACTCTATCGCACTGTCTTATATTCAGGGATTCAAGAGAAACTTACAACTATCTACTATATTTATTTATTCACAGAATGTTTATCGAGTTCTGCTATGTGTGATGCAGTGTACTAGAGAGTATGTAAAAACAAACAAAATCCCAGTGTGATGCTTATCTACAGCAATCACATCTCTTAGCTAATAGATCCTGCATATTCTCTACTCTGATAAGTGCTATGATATAAAAGGGCACAGGAGAGTGTGACTTAAGCTACTAATATTTTGCAGGTGGAGGTATGAAGTAGTTAGGAAAGCATTCCAAAAACGGTTGGTGGTTAAATTGCGCTTGATGATGAAGCAGGCCTACTTGCACCAAGAAAAGGAGCTATCTGAGCAATACCACAACATATAATGACATCTTAATAGAATGCCCAATAAACTGGCACATTTGGATTTTATAGTAGATGTTGAGAAGTATCTGGAGTTAATCATGAAAACATAAAACAAGAACAGGAAGGTGTTTGAATACATCAGAGTTTTTACGGAGGGTATAATTTGACTAGATTCAAATTTCAGGAAAATCATTTTGGAAACATTGAAAAGGATTGAGGTTCAAGAACAAAGGCAAGTTATTCAAATATGAATCTAGTATATTAATACTCAAGCCAAAAGCATAAAAAATAAAGGTATGATCAAAGACATTGGTAAAGGAGTTTAAAGTAGCTTGTCAACATATTTATTATTTAAGTTATCCAAGATTTACTGACTAACTGCAGGCAATTAGAAGGAGAAGTAGGATTTTTTTTTTTTTCCATGGGTTTCTGGGTTGTCCAGTCGTGAGAAGAGTTATACCATTCAAAAAGGAACGGAATAAAATAGGACAATTGAGGGGAGTAGATTTTGGATGTGAAGAGAGAAGAGAATAAAATACAAGATATGGGAAGAAAAAGGGATAGTATTTAAGAGAAGAAATATCATTAAATATATAACCAATATGGGAATAATTGACAGCATAGCAACATTGGATCTTCCAACCTGGAAAAATGGTATAAACTTCCATGTATTTGGACTTCTTCAATTTCTCTCAGCAATGTTTGGTGGTTTGGTCTTGAATGCATTTTGCTAACTTCTTCTATAATTTCTATATTGCTCTAACATTGCATTTTGGAATGTTGCTGAATTCACTTCTTAATCATAGTGAAGATGACTCACTAAGCAATGTCAGGATTTCCTATGCAAGTGATGTCTGTGAGAACAGAATTTTGCTCTTTCCTTTCAAATCATTGAATACTCCTTTTCTGAGACTACTGTACTGTATGGATCTTCAGCACAATGTGGAAAATGAGGGTGACAGTGAACATTCTTGTTGTGTCACTAAGGGGAAAGCATTCAGCTTTTCGTGATTAGTTGAAAATGTTCCCTATAATTCTGAGTGTGCTAAGAGTTTTTACCACGAATGGATATTGGAATTTGTCAGATGTTTTTCCTGTATCTACTGAAATTATCAAATGTTTATTCTCCTTTATTCTATTAATCTGATGAGCTACTTTGATTTTTTTCCAATGTAATACTAACTTTGCAGACCTAGGACAAATCTCATTTATTCATTATGGGCTAAGACTTTATATACTGGGAGATTTAATTTGGTAATATTTTGTTAAGTACTTTTGTCTGTTAATGCCATATAGTTTTGTCGTACTATTTTTTCACACGTGGATGTCAGAGTAATACTGACCTCATAACACGAGTTGACAACTGATTATATATTCTCTATTTTCACGAAAAGTTTGTCTATGCTTGATGCAATTCAACCCTAAATGTTTACTAAACATCACTGATGTGACAGGATTGCTGTGAATTTTTTTTTGAGGGGGGCTGATTTTGAATTAAGAAACATGTTATTAGAGATTAGGCAATTCATATTTTTTTGTTACTTTTGGCATTAGATTGAATAATTTATGTATTTTGAGGAATCTGGTACATTTGTTGAATTTATAGGCATACAATTTTTCGTAAGTCTTGGTTATTATCCATTTCCTGTCTCTAGAATCGATAATGACATTTCCTTTTGTTCTTTGATATTAATAAGACTTATTTATTATTTACTTTGATACCACTCTTTCATAATAGAGGTTCACCTATTTAACAATCTTAAGAAAAACACATTTGTTTGCATTGATTTACTCTGTTGTTTGTATTAGGATTTCATTAACTTTCATTGTTATCATTATTATTTACTGTTCTCAAATTACTTTGGGTTTGGATTCCCATTTTTGGGGAGAGAGCTTCTTAAAGGGGGCACTTACACTGTGAATTTTCAACCTTCACTTTTTTCAATATGAACATTTAAAGCTATACAATTTTTCCCCTAAATAGAGCTTTAGTTGCAGCCAATAAATATGGATATGTTGTCTATTATCATTCACTTAAAAATACTTTCTAGTATGTTGCACATTAATAACTTGAAATAATTGCACATATCTACACATATACACATACTTTACATAGTTTATATATAAATAATAATAAAACTGGACTCATATACACGCATATCGTAGTGTTGTATTTTCTATATATACTATAATTTAGAATTATTACCTGAAGGATATTTGCCTAATCCTTTAATCCTGCTAGTACTGCAAGCCTGGCACTTAAAACTTGCTTATATTTGTATAAGTACTAAATGATATAAGCTGAAATATATAACCTAATATTTATCTACCTAGATATTCTTATCAATTCCTTTCATGATATGTTTTAACTAATTCTAATTAAACAGCTCCATTAGGTAGATACATTTTTTCCATGTTAAAGTTGAGAAGTTGTAGGTTAGAGAGGTTAAGTAACTTCCTCAAGGTTCCATACATAGCAGATGGTAGACTCAGAATTCAAGTTTGATCACTGTATCTACAATCTTAATCCACTATCTTTGGAGGTTTTACAGGGGGTGAGTAAGGAGTTATGTGCAGGAGGAAGTAAGAATGAATAAAACAAGTCTAGGTTTCCCTACAACTAACTGTCTATACAAATGATCAGATAGAAGAAAAATCTGGATACAGGTCTTAAAAATATATGTAGGTTGTGGAATAATAATAACAATGATTTAAACCTATAGTCAAATCTGAAACTATAATTTGTTGCTTTAAATACAATATCCCTTAAGGTAGCTATAGATACAGCCAAAATGCTCTATACAATTTCTCAGGTTGTGCACTGAGTACCTTGGAGGCACGATCATATTAAAATTCTCTGAATAGAGTCCCCTTGGGAGTGTATGACACTTGTGTACAGTACTGTGCTGTCAAATTCCAATTCCAGTCCTTATCATAAGCATCAAAAAAGTAAGTTAAGTTTTTTGGGGTTTTTTGTTGTTTTAACACTTTCCTCCACAAAACACATTATGTGCGGTTAAAGATTAGGTTACGTAGCAAATCAAAATCAGAAAAGAAGAAAAGCACAGATGAAGACACTACAAATGACACAATAGTAGCATATGAAATATTTCCAAATTGGCTGAAAGCCAAACTCTCCTTTTTAGTAGTGGAGATTTGAAAGGAGCCAAAGTCTCCATTTTTAAAAAGTGGCTAAGTGTGGGTAGTGTGTCTGTGTTCATAATTCACAACATTTTCATTTTCTTCAATCAAAAACAATCATTTATTAAAATAATGCAATAGCATTGACTGAGGGTTCACCACTGCTCATGCTTTGAGCATGCTTCAGAAGGCTTCTCTTCTCCCCACAGGTGGATGATTTCTGCCTGCCCCCAAGCATGAGCAAGCACTGCAAAGTGGAACATGTCCCCTTGGTCAGCTTCTCCTGGGACTCAGCTTCCCACAGAGTGATGCTTTTCCTGCCAGTTCCCACTGATCATTTCCTCTTGGTTGTCCAACTTTCTCTTAAAAGTTTCTGTTGATCTTCACTTATCCCCTCCTTCCCCCACTTTTTAAAAAGGCTCTTTTCTGTTTGATTCAGAGCATTCTTCCTATCATGATAGACTTCAAAATAGTCATTTCTTATCTAAGTCCAGACTTGCTTTTATTTAATAATGCAAATCCTAGTCCTATCCTACCTGGGATAAGAATATGAGAATACCATCTGGCCCTGGTCTTGTTCAATCAGTTGATGCCAGTGGGTCGTCTTCTAACACTCTTTCTGAGCATTTCCTTAGATTTTTAATATAACTGCTTCCATCCAGCTTTTCAATGCTTTATATATCCTCTCCTTTCAAAGAAAATAATTACACAAATTCTTGCATTTTTGTAGTAATTCTCCCTGGGGTACTTGCATTTTTACAATGGATTACAAGTATAAGGCACTGGAAGTAGATAGAAGGATATATTGAGATATGAAAGCATCCCTTGTTTTTTCAAATATAGCAAAGCATAACATGCTGCTGTAATTAACTTCAAATATTGGTTTAAAAAAACAGTGAAAAATCTGTATTAGTCTGTTCTCACACTGCTGATAAAGACATACCAGAGACTGGGCAATTTATAAAGACAAAGAGGTTTAGTGGACTCACCGTTCCATGTGGCTGAGGAGGCCTCACGATCTTCGTAGAAGGTGAAAGAGATATATTACATGGCAGCAGACAAGGGAGAGTGAGAACCAAGTGATAGGGGAAACCTCTTATAAAGCTATCAGATCTCATGAAACTTATTTACTACTATGAGAACAGTATGGAGGAAACAGCCACCTTGATTCAATTAAATCCCACTCTGTCCCTCCCATAACGTGGGAATTATGGGAGCTACAATTCAAGATGAGATTTGGGTGGGGACACACCCAAACCATATCAAAAGCAATGTCCTAAAATCTTAAAGAATAAAACTGAGTGGAAGAGGGACAGAAAATGCTGATTTTTCCTAATTACCCATGAAAGGAATATATCTAATGTCCCGGTAAATTCAAAATCCTGATTAAAGAAAGATATAGCCTTCAGTTTCACAATTTCTTGTAATCGACATTAAGAAAGCAAATCATACACCTCAGTATCACTGACCAAAACATAATACTGTGTTGTCAATTTTGATGAATATATATTCTGTATTGGAGGCTATTGGAGAGTAGAAAAACCTGTATCACTATAAGGGCTTTTGTGAGCAAGTTGACTTTCCAAATTTAGTAATAAAGAGACTAAAATGAACTATCATTTCACCTTTCACCTATTATGACTATTCTATCAATTTATTTTCAAGAATATTGCAAGATGCTGGAAAAAGCATCACTGTTATTGTTTCTTGGAATGTATTCTTACTAAACTGCAAGACTTCTGGAATTTTTAGTTTTACATGTCACAAAACTTTGGGGGAAAATCAAGGAAATAATTCTGCCCTTCTGCTTCTGTATACTTTATGAACATTCTACCACAATACTATCAAAGAATGAGAGTGATTTCGTGATTGAGAAGGAAATAAAATACATCATGACAAGTACACACACAAAAAATATATTCTAAGTACATTTTGAATTGAAATGTAACAAGAAGGGATCGCATGCTAATGTAAGACTTTTCAGTGTGGCAATAGCAAATATTAATATTTATAATGCTTTTCTCTGCCCAAAGCATGCTTCCTCTGTAGTGAATTGTTCATTTACAAATTTCTATGTTTAACCTTATGTTTATTTTTGTGATCGACTGGGGATATATGGAAGAACTGGATGTTTATCTTACCTCAAGTTATATCTTTAACTTCTTGCATTATTCAGGATTAACACAATTTGGCAATATTAACTTAGAAAAAAATGAAGACAAAAAATGAATTAAATGTTCTTTTGTAAAACACAAAGGAAACTGTTGCAGATATGAAAACACTTCAATACTTCGTTTTCTTAGCAGAGGTGGATTCTGTCTGTTCGAATGACTAGCCACACTGATTCTCACCCACTGCAATACTAAGAAAAACTTCGATCTAAGGCACCAGATTATCTTTAGGATGCTGCAAAGAATCAAACTAATTCCTCTCATTAATTCTGACCTGCTTACAAGTTTTACAAAATTTACAGTTTACTAGAATATGGCTGAGACACTCAGGGAATAGGAGTAAATTTCATTTTCACTACTGTATTTGAGACACTCAGGGGAAACAATAGTGAAAATGAATTTCAGTAGTCAGTTGGTCAACTAAATAATTTAATGCCGAAAACAAAATAAACAAATTGCAGGTTCTATTTTGTACAGGCAGCATGTGTTTTTTCTTATTTTCATCATATTAAATCCATGGATTTTATTCCCACTGTAGGGAGAAAGTACATGTATGAGTCAAAACCACATGTTTTGCACCAGTATTACGTAAACATTTATGTATAAGTACTGGTTTCCATATTGGTAGCCATATCCTCCATGCTGACTGGCTTATCAATGAATTTCTTATTAATAAAAACTGTTTGTTTTCTGAAAATTGTAAGCAGTTTCTAACTACACACATTACTCTTAGCTGCAACTCCATGTAAACACATTATATTTCCATTTCCTCTTGCTTCTCCATGAGCATGTGCCCTGTGCAGTCCCAAAGGGGCCTGTTCTTAGAAGGACCCCACACTTAATATAATACTTTGCTGTAGGCATCCTTAAATTTTTAATAATCTTTGAATTTTCATTTTCCACTGGGTTGCACAAATTATGTAGCTCGTCCTCAGGGTATAAGATTATTTTTACAAACCACAATTCTGATACTTTCACTATGTGTCCAAATCTGTCAAATAAAGTCCTAAATGACATCTTTTCTGTTTCCTTATCTGATTCTCATCTTGAAGAGCAATTTCCCTATCCCAATTTGCCAGCACTGACTCTGCACTGAATTTTTGCACATAAATTTCTATGTGGCATTGGAATATCTATCAGTAATTGTACACAATAGGAGGCTATGCTAAATGTAAGAGGTTTTATTTCTTGCTCATCCCACAGCTCCCCTAAGCAGCTGTCCTCCAAGCTTTGTCCTGAAAATCCAGGATGCTTCCCTCTTGCATCTTCACCTTCTGGAAAACTTAAGGGACTTGTTTTTGACATAAAAGAAGGAGAAAGTAGATAGCAATGCAGAGTATTCTTTAACATCCAACCCTGGAAGTGGCTTGTATCATTTCACTTACAAGTATTAGTCTATGTTTGGTCATTTGACCCCAAAATAATTGAGGTAGAGGCTGAAAAATGTAGTCTCCCTGTATGCCTAGGAAGTGGAAATCATGTAGTTAATTCATAGCAATGCCGCTGCCAAACCTGGAGAGAGAATCTAATTCATTTTTTCTCTTCTGCAGTACCTCGGCCATATCTTTGGATTGTAGGACTTAAGCCAATATTTGTTGAATGTGTGATTCAGTGTACCTAGCATGCTAACTTCCCTGAAGGTTCTTGAAAATTTCATTATTTCTGTTTACTTAGCCAAAATCATAGTCTCCAATATAGCAATAGGGCTTCAAAACAATCATTTTTTTATTACTTCCACCTTAAAAAGTTTTATGAAGGAAATAGAAAAAAAAGTGTTGAAAGAAAACAGAGGAGACACTGTAATGGAATTATCTTTTTTATTTTCTGAGAAATTATGGAATCTATATGAGAATATTCAAGTCATTTTTCAAATATAAGAAAATAAGTCAGAATGGTAGATAAAACTAGGTTGAACAGTTAGCTTATGACTCATAAGCATAAGTTATAGAGGAAGTAAAATAGGATGAAGTAGTAACTTATGAGACCTAACGTGTTAGAAAAAGGAAGTAGACTATGAGCATGTTCTGAACATAGATATGAAGACATGAAAAAATCCATAAAACCCTAGTATGATAATATGCTAAACACACCGGAGGTACCAGAGGCTGCGATATTCATGATGTACTTAGTTTATATGAGGTACATAAGGCACTTCAAATACTCAGTGTTTTTAAATCATCCATCCATTGGTGGCACTTATATTTTGATAGACAAAAGAATTAAATTAAACAGATTTAAAACAAAACATTTTAACTTAATAGACTAAAATTCATTTGGGATGAAAGTTTAAATTTTGGCAGGGAATATTCTTTTTTATGACGGAATGCCAGCAAAAACAAGTATATAGTAAGGATTGAGATAGAAAATTTCTAAACACAAATATTATAACTGACACAGGCAGGGGTGATTAATTGACGATAAAATGTTCAGAGGAAGAACATTAGAATATTGCAGCACTATTCACAATAGCAAAGACTTGGAACCAACCCAAATGTCCATCAGTGATGGACTGGATAAGGAAAATGTGGCACATATACACAATGGAATACTATACAGCCATAAAAAAGACAAGTTCATGTCCTTTGCAGGGATATGAAGCTGGAAACCATCATTCTTCGCAAGCTATCACAAGAACAGAGAACCAAACACTGCATGTTCTCACTCATAAGTGGGAGCTGAACAAGGATAACACATGGACACAGGGAGGGGGACATCACACACTGGGGCCTGTTGGCGGGTGGCGGGCTAGGGGAGGGATAGCATTAGGAGAAATACCTAATGTAGGTGACGGGTTGATGCGTGCAGCAAACCACCATGGCACGTGTATTCCTGTGTAACAAAACTGAACGTTCTGCACATGTACCCCAGAACTTGAAGCATAATAAAAATAAAATAAAAGATATAAAATTTTAAAAAGAATACAGAATATTTGTAATTTTGCTTGACGTACCTTCTATTCAAAAAAAACAAGTGCAAGTCAAGCTAACTGGCTTATCTTGGAGACAGGTTTCTGTATCACTGCATCTCCCTTATATAGCAAGTGTGTATATTAATCCCAAGCACCTTCATCCTTTCAATTCCCTTGCTCAGTCCTCACCGCCAGTCCTCATAAGCACAATACCCACAAGGGAAGCTCACGTGGCAGAGACAGGAAAGGAACAGGGCGTGGGAACTGTAGAAAACATGACTCAGCTCATGTGCTCCTTCCACCCCACTGGCAGCCTCCCCTGACCAGCCCCATTTCTTTCTCTTTGCTTCAGTCTGTGCAGTTTAAATACAGTCAATAAAACTTGGAACTTTGCAATCTTAATTTTGTCTGTAAGGGTTTCCATTCACCGAGGCTACCATAAAAAATACCACAGATGGGATGGCTTAAGCAACAGAAAGTTATTTTCTCATTCTTCTGGAAGCCAGAAGTTCAAGATCAAGTTGTCTTCAGGTTTGGTTTCTCCTGAGGCCTCTCTCCTTGGTTGGCAGAGGGCCACCCTCTCACTATGTCTTCATATGATATGAAGTGACCTTTTCTCTGTGTGTGTAAAGCCCTGGTATCTTTCATGTATCCTAATTTCCCTTCTTATAAGGACACCAGGCATTTGGATCATGACACATTCATGGCCTCATTTGGGTTAATTTCCTCCTTAGAGACTCTGTCTCTAAATACAGGCACATACTTGGGTAATGAGGGTTAGGGCTGCAATATATATTTTCGGGAGGGACACTATTCAATCTCTGACTGTTACTCTTTTTGACCTGGATCAGCTTAAGCAGTAATGTACTTGCAGGCTTTGACTGAGTCATGGTAAGGTTCCACATATGACTATAGTTAGTACTATATGCAACCAGTATTTAGGAAGTCGACGTGTATCCCAGCTTTTTGTAAGTTGTACTTTTTCAAAAGTTTCTTAAAATACTTGCTCTATTCTATGCAGTTTTGGATACTCTTATTCTTTGAATGATAGTCACGAAATTACATATTGGGATGGAACTTAATCTCCTATTACAGTTAAAAGATTTTACTCCCTGAATTTTAAATGATAAGCCTATAGCAAGCCAGATTTATTTACAGTGATAAAGCAAATAAATGTCTTTGACTACAAATATGAAACTTTCCTATTTTATTTGTTTGTTAAAAATATTTGGAACTGGCAAGGCGTGGTGGCTTATGCCTATAATCCCAGCTCTTTGCGAGGCCAAGGCAGGTGGATCACTTGAGGTCAGGAGTTTGAGACCAGCTGGCCAAAATGATGAAACCTTGACTCTACTAAAAATACAAAAATTAGCTGGGCTTGGCGGCACATGCCTGGAATCCCAAGTACTTGGGAGGCTGAGGCAGGAGAATCGCCTGAACCTGGGAGGCAGAGCTTGCAGTGAGCCGAGATCGCACCACTGCTGGGCGACAGAGCAAGACTCCATCTCAAAAACAACAACAACAACAACAACGACAACAACAACAAAAAAGAACTATTTCAGGCATAGCTGAGATAGTCTGGGTATATATATATATATATATTTTGGCATAAATTAACTTCCATAATGAAGATATTAGAGAATGATATTTAAGGATTTTGCAGAACCATATCAGAGAACTGACAATTTAAGAAAGCCTATAAAACTGAAAGCCAAGAAAAAGTCATAAATTTAAAAGAATGAAATTGATAGAAAACCTTTTATTGAATGGAAAATTATGAAATAAAATCAGGGGAAAATGATTGTCAATGAGCAAGAAACCAATCTAAATGTAGTGTGAATTCAGTTTGCTTTTTCAAAGTTGGGGAAAAGGACAGGAGTAAACTGGAAAGAGCATTTCAATCTGAAAAAAAAAAAAAAAAAAAAAAAAAAAACTAATTGAAAGAAAGACAGCCCAACCATTTTGACTTAAAGCAAGTAAAAAGAGAGAAGCTCCCTGGAAGACCCATAAAGGTTTTTTTATAGTCAATGAAGGTTCAACTATTCAAAAATCAAGGTCAGTTAACTTGAGGAAGTGTTGCCACCTATTTCCATCGAACCACACTATAGTGAGAGCTGATCTAGTCAGTTTCAATGCCAAAATTTTTTTCCTAGAATTATCCAAAAGGGAAATACCTACTAAGAACATCTGTTAGAAGAGGATTTTTAAAAATTTTGGAATCTAATTTATTTACATGATCAAAGTAAATTTGACTATGTTACTGAACAATGGAGATAGTTGCTAGTCTGTACATTTATGTCACATTTCCTTGTAAATTTCACAATTTTCCCAAGCCAATTATTCTCCTATTGTTAAAAGACTGTATAAAGAAATGTGGCCTTGACTTATTTTAAAAATGAAAGAAAATTATATTCCTGGTAAATGTAGTTATGTGAAAGCGTGTGCTTTGTTATAAGTAAACCATTTTCTTATCACAATACACACCTGTGTTTATTCTAACATTCAAATACTGTACGATCAAATGTGGGATGTTTTCAATTTTGAAATGTTACATATAATACTACAAAGATAAGCTTGTATGTATGTAATTTTAAATTTTTCCATAATAACCCTGGAATAGTTTTCTAAAAGTGGGATTGGAGTATCTTGGAATATGGTTAATGATTAGATAGTGTCAATTTTTCTATGTAATTACTTTGCTCTAGCAGTACATGGGAGTCCGTTTCCCATGGCCTCTCAAAGTCAAATCATTTTTCATTCAATTTTTGTGCATTTAAATATATACGTGTGTTTGTATGTGTGTATGTACAATGCCTTTTACTATATGTGGGGCATGTGTGTGTTTGTGTGCGTGTTTCTATTTAGGCTGTTTAGTGCTTTTGCTAGTTGTCACATATATATATAAATACCTTTCCATCATATACTCAACATTTTTATTAAATCCTGCCTATTAGTTCCATAGTGTGGATAATAATATAATTATTTTATTCTTTCCCTCATCTTCTCCCTTTCCCTATCCTTAAATTATATTAATTACTCTTATTTTCCTTGAATTTTATCTTTGTTCTTAAATTATTTTAGCACACTTGATTTTTCCCCTTCAAATGATATGATGATTATAGCTGAACCCTATAAAACAATGAGTGAGATAATTTTACTTTCTACCTATACTTTCCCTTCACCTTCCATGTAGTTTGTATTAATTTTACATTTAGTGTTATTTTCATGCTCTCAGGTTTCATATGATTTACAGACTGTATTAGCCTGTTTTTTTTTGCTGCTGACATACCTGAGACTGGGAAGAGAAAGAGGTTTAATTGGACTTACAGTTCCATATCGCCGGGGAGGCCTCAGAATCATGACGGGAGGAAAAAGGCACCTCTTCCAGGGTGGCGACAAGAGCAAATGAGGGGGATGCAAAAGTGGAAAGCCCAATAAACCCATCAGATTTCATAAGACTTATTCACTACCATGAGAACAGTATGGGGGAAACCACCCCCATGATTCAAACTATATCCCACTGGGAATTATAGGAGCACAATTCAAGATGAAATTTGTGTGGGGACACAGAGCCAAACCATATCACAGACTTTTTTTTTCTTTTTGCTTTTTATCGTATTTCAGGTTTGGAACTATTTATAAGCTATTTACATACAGAATTGTGATGTCAATCTCATTTTCTTTTCTTTCTAAATGAGTTGGTCTTCCTGCCTGGATTACCAAAGATGCTTCTTTAGTATTTAAAAGTATTATATCAGGATATTGTTCTACTTTCATAGACTGCATTGATTGGTATTTATTCATACATACAATGAGTCTTTTAAGTATATTTAAATATTTTATTTAGAAAAATTATTTTATATTACATATTTTTTGTTTATTTTTCTCCTTTTTTGGTTTTATTCTTTTTGTACTTTGTACATATATTCTTTGCCTGCCATTCTCATACATCCCTTTCTCACGAATCCTCATTCTCTTTCTTTATTTCTGTTTTCTTTCCTTTACTTTTTACTTTACCTTTCCTATTTCACTTACAGTGTAGGCTGTGCTGTTTAGTAACTCTCTTGGATTTTTTTTTTGTTGTTATTGTCTTTGCTTTTGAAATATTTTCTTTGTTCTCTAATTTTATCTAGAGATCTGACACTTCTCAGATTCTTCTATTTTACACAAATCTCAGATTTTCTCACTGATTTTCTCAGAGTTCACTGATATGCTGATCTTTTCAAACATTAACAATGTCCTCAAAATTTAAGCCGAATTTTAGGGATTAATAACAATTATTAATGTGCCTATTTCCACAGCATTTTTCCTGGTATCTTTACCTTATATGTTACCCTGTTATTTAGTGGTTAAGACAATAAAACTCATTGACACAAAAGCAGAACTCAATATAACAGTCCTTGGATGACTGAAGGTAGCATAACTTCTGTCCACATTCCACTGGCTGATATTCATCAAAACGACATAGATGCAAGAGAATCTAAGATACATAGTCTTTCTGTGTATCTAAAATTAAAAATATGATATAAAAATGTGGAGAATAGAATTGTACTTACCACATTATTTCATCTGCAAGATTACCTTAAAAATCCTAATTGGCAAATGAAACATGAGTTATCATATCACACTTAGAGTTTCACAGATTAAAAGCACTAATCTCAGAAGAATCATCACCCTTTAAAATATTTTTCTAGGCAGCTATTAACATGGCTTCTATTGAATTATGTGGATCAATCCTATATGACAAAAATGCTGAGATAGTGACTTTATGTTTTGGCCCATTTTCTTACCCAACAATACAGGCAAAATTTATGCAACTAAAGAGGAAGCATGGACATATATATCAACCCGTATCAAAGGATACAGAATTGGAAGACAAAGAGTCAAATTATTGCAATGGTCTATATGAGAGATGATGGTAGCAATACATACGATATCGCTGATAAAAATAGTGACAAGTGGTCAATCCAGGATATATTTTAAGATATAACTGACTATTTGCTGAAGGATGAGACATCACATGGAACAGAAACAGAGATAACTTTACTTTCTACCTATACTTTCCCCTCACCTTCCATGTAGTTTCTATTTGTATTAATTTTACATTTAGTGTTATTTTCATTATCTCAGGATTTATATTATTTACAGACTGTATTAGCCTCAATATCTCAATATTTGTCCTGAGAAAATAGATAGATGAAGTTGTTATTTACCAAGAAGCAGATTGGCTGTAGAAAATATAAACTTCTGGAGAAAAGAACACTATGCGTTTTTTAATGTTATGTTTGAGATACCTATGAAATGCGTTAATGGGTATATCAAATAGATAAATATATCTCTGGTATTCAGGAGGAATATCATGGCCAGAGATATATTAATATAAAATAGAAAATAAAAAATATCTTGGGAATTTGGGGCTTTTCAGCAATATAGTTTGCAAAGGTTAGGAGAAACCACCAAAGTGTCCACTAAGTTATAAGATGTTAATAAAAAGTGAATCTTGAGTATTCAGTGAAACACAAGACAGTACAATTAATGCTGTTTGTAGACTGCATTCATCCAAAGCATTTTTGATGATCTTGAGATATGTCCATGGCATGGCGGGGCTGACAGCCTGACTGGAGTGAGTTCAAGAGGAGAGTGAATATAAATATATCTTCTGATGAATTTTGCTTGGAGAAAATGGAGAAATTGAGTGGTAATTTGAAGAACACATGTGGCCAAAGAAGAGTGTCAATCAACTGCTATTAGTAACAGGATAGAACAGATGGGACTGAGGGTGTGGACCTGCTAATTTTAGGCCTTAGTTTGCATTGTTATGGTAAGCCTACATTTCAATTTAACCATTGAAAATTTAGCATCTGAATCAATGTAAGCTTGGTGCAAAACAAAAGGTGTTTTATTCATTTTTTTCTATCATAGAGATCGTCCTATTCTCTTTTTACATAAAATTTATTGTGTATAGTGAAGGTACATCACAACATGATGTTATGTGATACATATAGATAGTAAATTGGTGACTATAGTGAAGCAAATTAACATAGCCATCACTTCACAGTCATTCTTTAGTGTGTGTATAACAAGAGCAGTTAAATTCTATTTATTTAACAAAAATCCAAAATGCAATTCACTGTTGTTGCCTATAGTCCTCATGTTGTACACTAGATTCTAGATCTCCTATGTATCTCCTACTTTGTATTCTGTGACCTGTATCTCCCCATTTCCTCTGCACCCTCCCATTTTATCCAAGTACAGTATACTTAGAGTGGAATGTTTGGGAATTATTGCTACATGTTAAATCACTCATTGCCACTTACTGAGAAATTAAGAAAGACATCTACTATATTGCAGGATCAGGAATATGGTTTCTGAGTTGAAGACAAACAACCACCTGGCTATTGAAGCTCCTTTTTTTCTCCTATATTGGTCATTTACCATAATTCTGACTCAGCCAGTCTGAGTCATATCAGCTAGAGGACAGGCCAATTCCAGCCCCTTAGCACTGGAGATCTCTTTTGAACAAGATCACCTCCTCAATCAGGAACCTTCATGTTGCATAGTTACATGGATGTTCCCTTTCAATATGCAATGCATTATGGCAGAATGATCTCCCAGTATTCGCGGGATGGCCATGGTGTGCCCAGTCCAGCTGTGCCCAGCCTCAGCACACCCTCTGCTCTCCTTTTCTTGTAAGTTCTTATTCCCTTCTAATTATCTTAAAGAAACTATGTGAATTACTCATTTTCAAAATTGTCAAGATCCTGGAAGATATGTTGCTCCTGGGCAAAAATTATTCTTCCTTGTGATTCCTCAGGAATCCCTCTAATTGCTGTCTAGCCTGCTATTGCTCAGACTGTATGCCCTGCCCCAAAATTCAGACTTCATGAGAGATCAGTTAGAACATCGGATCTGATATGTCAATATATTTAGTAGCCTGTAACCCAATATCTGACAATAAAAGGGTCAGTATTCCTCATATAATGTCCAAATCTACTTTGTAATGGATAATATGCACTGGCCAAAGACAGCCTTTCCTTTTTTAAATTCTGTCTTCTAGACTTCTGTGAACTTCTCAAAGTACAAAACTATCTTTATTTATTCACTTCTATTTACCACTGCAACCAATTCCCACAAGCGATAGCATGAAGAAATAATTATGTTCAATATCATCCTCTATCTGTTCTCAACAAAGCTGGGGTATAAATGAAATATCCTGTTTTTCCAGTTGGTTTTGCTGCATAACAAATCACTCCAATTCAGTGGCAACAAACAACCTGTTCACAGATCATATGGGCCAGGAACTCAGAATGGGTTCAGCAGGGAAGGCTACAGGTAACTAGGAGGCTGTGTACTGGACTTATTCAAATCCTAACTCACATACATATTGACAGTTGATGCTGGCTCACAGCCCAACTCCTAAAGGTTGACTGTCACACTTAGACATTGCTTCTCCATATTGTTTCTGTGCATGATCTACTTTGGAGAAGCTCACAGCATGGCAAATGACTTCCATGCATAAGCAAATCAAACAAAACAGAACAAACAAAGAGGAAGCTATACCACTTTTTATGAACTAGTATTAGTAGTCACATAATGTCACTTCTGTCTGGTCAAAAACTCACTCAGATTCAAGGGTGTTGGACCTAGACACATAACTTTTCATTGAATCACTCAATATCACACTGTAGGAAGAGCGTGTAAAATGAGATAAATTATTGCTGCCATGCAAAATATTTGGAGGATTTAACAAAATAAAATAATACTAATTATAAATCATTTATCAAGCCCATAACATATCCATGGCTCCACACTAAATACTTTACAATCAACAAATTATTAAATAGCCACACCCTCTCTTGTCATATAATTTTCCCCCATTTTTCCTATGTGGATTTGAAATTTTGACAGGTTAATAAATTGACCAAGATCACACTGCTGGTACATTGAAGTAAGCAACAGATTTCAAATCTAATCTGTCTTACCCCAAAGATTTATAACTGTCCTAATATGGTTCCTGACATTCATATTTTCCTCTAAAGTATCATTGGCTTACCTATCATGAGAAAACTGTTCCTGGTTCTGAAACTATCTCATGTAGCCCCTGTGCACTGAGGTGAGATCATTTAGGAAGTGTTTTGAATGCCCAAGAAAATTAGTGTCAGTCATAAAAGATTTAAGAATAGTGGAAAGCTGTAATGAATAAGCCCCTTGCCCAAGAGATCCATTTGCTCATAACTAACTTGCCTTTGTTAACAAAATTTCACACTGGTTTCATGCACACCTGCATCTAGCACCAGAATAAGCCATGCTGCAGGAGATGGCAACAGGTTATATTTGGAATATACAGCTGAAAATTGCTCTTATGAAACCTGGAGAATTTTCATTTTAAATCATACTTCTATAATATTCTCTACTGTGAATGATTTGATCTCGCTAAATCCTCTAATGTTAGCATTCTTATAATTTCAACTGAAACTGACTTCGAATCTCTAATGAAATGTTGGACTCAAACAGTTTCATACAGTTCACATTGCCAGTTGAGTTTGTTAATGTAATATTTGTCTTTTCTAATTGCATTGAGGTGATATTTTACTTTCTTAGTTGATTCATTTTTATTTATGTGGTTCAGGTGTTGAATATATTTAAGGCAATATAGAAGCAAAGTTGCATTCTTCTACACATGACATGCATAATTCTAAACTAAGAATTTATATAAATAGGAAAATTAGAACCCACCAATACTTTTCATTTACTGCAACATTTTAGGAAGATTATCAATCTGAACTGCCCATTCCCTTCATTTGCAAATATTGCAGAGACTCTGAAACTCCTACATAAAAAGAGGTTTAAATAAGGCATTCTGAGTTGGACAGGGTTGGGCATCTTAACAATGCTTTAAGAACTTAAAACATTATTTGACTAGTAAATATTATCTGCTATTTTGATAGATATGTGCATTTTGAGCTGGTTTACAGAACTGGAAAATTCTCCAGGCTCCTTGATGCTGCCATTGAGCATAGCACAAAATGTAGAATATTGACCTTGTATGTGACCCCTAACCTACTTGGTAAATCATTATTACTATTATTATTATTATATTTTCATTGCAATTATTATAGTCAATTCTCCTCATCTATTTTTTAATAAAAGAGGGATTTTTAATGTAATGGAACTATGTTTTATATTCTTCTGTGGCATTATCACTTGTTTTGTTTTATTATGACGTGTCTTTTTATATATCTAACTAGATCTTACATTCTTTGGAGTCAGGAAGCCAATATGTTAGCTCACACAGTGTATTGTGTGTAGTAAATGATCTGTGAATATGTGTACCTTGATGATAACCCCAGACAGCATTCAAGTGCACTCTACATTTTGGTATTCACAGTTTTATATAATCTTTTTTCACTGAATGTAGGTTGGACATAGTAATTTAACTCTAGTTAATTAAATAGGAGAAAGGTGATGGAATACCACTTTAGTTACTGTGTTTCAAAAGACTGTCATTTCCTTTTGCTAGCACTCATTCTCTGGCTTGAACTCCTTTTATTTTGGCTCTTCTTGTTGCTTGTTCTGGTAAGTATACTGGAGAGTCTATGTGGTCAGATTTGAGTTATGCCTCTGAAAACCTACTGGTAAAGAACTAAAGCCCTTAGTCCAACAACCCTTGAGCACATGCATCCTACCTACAACAATGAGAGCCCTCTTGGAAAAGAATGTTCCCCTAATCAAGCCTTCAAATGAGGATAAATCCTCTCGCTAAATCCTCTAACTTTAGCATTCTTATAACTTCAACTAAAACTGACTTCAAATCTTTAATGAAATGTTGAACTCAAACAGTTTCATACAGTTCACATTGCTAATGGAGCCCCAGCTACTGTGGTTTGAATATTTGTGTCCCCTCCAAAATTCATGTTGCAAATTAATCTCCAGTGCAACAGTATTAAAAGGTGTGGTCTTTAGAAAATGGCTAAGCCATGAAAGTGGCTTATTATTGAACCCTTATAAATAGATTGGTACCCTTATGAAAGGGCTTGAGGGGATGAGTTTGCTCCTTGCTTCCCCTCAGCCATGAGAGTACATAGCGTTCATCCCCTCAGGAGGATGTAGCAACACGGCACCATCTTGGAGGCAGAAAGCAACTCTCACCAGACAGGGAAGCTGCCAGTGCCTTGGTCTTGGACTTTCGGCCTCCTCAACTGTGAGAAATACATTTCTGTTGTTTATCAACTGCCCATTCTCAGGTATTTTGTTATAGCAGCTGAATGGACTAAGACACCAGCCAATACCTCAACTGTAGCTTTGTGAGAGACTCTAAAGCAGAGTGTACAGCTGAATCACACCTGGATTCCAGACCCACAGAAACTGGGAGAAGATGGATGTGTCTTATTTTAAGTCATCGTTTCAGGGTAAGTTGGGTAACAAAAGATAAATAGGACTATAACTATCTGCCTGCTTTACCATGAAATCAAGCTCTACTTACAGATGTATTTTGATCACACTGCTTCTGAGGCATGTATGATGAACATATGGAAAGTGCAATTCTTAATTCATTTCAAATGTATCCCTATTCTATCGATTGTTCAGGTCTTTAATAAACCTTACGAATATCAGTGACTCTATGTTTTATTCCTATATTAATTCTAATATATTATAAATATTTATTAAAACTATAATTTTCAACATAAAGTATTTCCCTTCCAATAAGTACACTGTCTTTTTGGTATGGGTATTGGGATTCAGAGTCAGACATGAAGAAGTCAGTATTAAAGGCCAGCCATAAAAAGCAGCTGAGAGTATCCCTGAGGCAAGATCGTGTTTTAAAAGTAATCATTTATTTGAGAATTTTTTGAGTAGTTCTCAAATTAATGTTAAGAAAAAAAAAATACATGTAGTGGGATTAAATTTTAGAAACTAGAGGAAAAAGTTGCTAAGTGCAACCAAGGTTATTTTAGTATAAATATTTAAGTTTAGCTTCAGAAGTTAAAATTCAGAACTTTGACATAATATGAACCATGGAGGACACTTTGTGAGATAACCTAACAAAGGAACTTTCTGTCCTCAGGATGCTGATTAATAAATGACAAACCAATGCCTCCTGTAACAAATATTTCATGGAAAACACTTCTTTTGAAATTCTGTGAAAGTTTGGTAACATATTAAAGTGTTTCAAGGAATCTCATTTTGACCTCTCATCATCTTTGCCTTTTAATAATTATTTTTAGAACATTTTCTCTTAAAAAATTATCACTGCCATATTTGTGAAGGGAAAGGGTCACATATAGTTTTCCCATGTTTTCCCATGTAGTCCATTGTCTATCAAGTAGCTAAAAACTCTTCAGAATGTATTTATGCCTTTTTTGATCACTAAGATCATGAAACCAGCTTTTTGTCTATTTAAACTTAAAATCAGTAGGTAGAAGCACAGCTGAGGAAATGACTAATGGGGAATTAACCAATCTCTGAAATATGGTAGGACAGAGTGGAAGAGCTTTGGAATATGTTATAACCACATTTCAACTTTAGCTCTTCTGTATGTAAGATGTGTGATTAAAGGCAACTCACTGTATTTGTTATCAGTAAAATGGATAGGATTGCCATGAATATTTGACTCTATAATATAAATAAAATTGTTACAGGCACCTTACTCATGCTGACAAACTGTCGCTTTTTCCTTGGCTAAAAGCAAACGTTTTACCTGCCAGTACTATGAAAAATTGGATGACGCTACAAATTGACTTAAGCCATTTAGTTTAAAAACTTTATGAGGTTATGTTTTATATATGTTCTTCCATGAGAAGAGGAGGGAAGAGATATGTTAATAAGACTACACCTAATCCAGATTCTATGCCTCCAATAACAGGACCGAGGAGAAAGCCTTTAAATATCTATTACTCTAGATGATGGCCCCTCCCTCAGCCTGCACAGTACCATTGGCCCTGCACAGTATCATTGACATCCCAGAATGCTTGCCTTCCCTGGAAAGACCTGGGCCCTCCCATTTCCCTCTCACAGCACTGACAACCTCAGCACCACTGGCTGCCTAGGGGTCACCAGTCCAACCTCAGATACGTGATTCAAACCTGCTTATATCACAAGAACCCTAAGACTCCCAGGTCATCCCTGTTACCTGACTTTTATCACCACAGAGCTCTGCCTTTTCAGCATCTTTCATTGACTCAGAGTCACTCATGAGCAAAATTCCCCAAACCATCATTTATTTTTAATTGTTTTCCTTATCTTCTAACACCTTGTACCCAAACCATCATTTGTGAGTATTTTATTTGGTTTCTTGTTCTAAACAAACTTAGCTCTCCCTAAGCATACTACTTCACAAGTAGCCTTTCAAGTTTCTTTCTTCTTCTCATGCCACTAGAAGTGAGAGGCTCAAAGTAAAAAGGCTTGCTCCTTGCTCCTTGCTCCTCACAGCCAGTCTAGACCCAAGACTGTACCATGCAGGACTCCCTGATACAGTCATCTACAGGATCTGGGTCCCTCTCCCTTACCTGATTAACTTTTTACTATACCAACCACTATTCTCTCAAACAAGACTTTCTAGGTCTCTGAAAGAAGAGAGTCTTCTAATTTTCCTTTTTTTTTCTTTTCTTTTCTTTTTTTTTTTTTTTTTGAAACAGTCTTTCTCTGTCACCCAGGCTGGAGTGCGGTGGCATGATCTCGGCTCACTGCAACCTCCACCTCCCAGGTTCAAGTGATTCTCCTGCCTCAGCTATCCAAGTAGCTGGGATTACAGGCGTGCACCACCACGACTGGCTAATTTTTGTATTTTTAGTAGAAACAAGCTTTCCCCATGTTGGCCATGCTGGTCTCGAACTCCTGACCTCAAGTGATCTGCCTGCCTCAGCCTCCCAACTGCTGGGATTATAGGCATGAGCCACCGAGCCAGGCCCTAACACAATCTTTGTACATTGAAATCCTTTCCTCCAATAGTCTTCTCCACTTTATGTCTGCTGTTTATCATGTGCTAGAATTTGCCATTACCAGCAACTATTATCATTGTTAGAAGCTTGTTTTCAAATATAATCTTTTATTACGTTGGTGCGAAAGTTATTGTGGTCTTTACCATTACTTTGAATGGCGAAAACCACAATTACTTTTACACCAACCTAATATCTTTCTAGCTCACAATTTTGTAAAATTAAGTTACCTAATTCCAACAATTTTTGACCAAAGAAGGCCTGCAATCCATGTAAACACCATATTCCCCTTAGACATGACACTCTTGTTTGCTCCTTTCTCTCCAACTCCACTGGTCCCTTGCTGTTGTCACAACTACAGGCACCCTGCTGCCTCAGGGCATTTGAATTTGCTCTTCCATCTGCATTGCATACTTTTCCTCTTGCAAGCCACATAACAACCTGAAAAAAGATATGCAGCCATGCAAATCCAATTACAATTTAATGCAAAATTAGGAAATAATATAGTAAAATAAGGAGATACTCCTCCATTAAGTTTGGGGTCATGATGCATGGGACTAACAGGTATTATAAACGTGGCATAGCTCTGAAAAGGCATTGCGTTTCTGGGCTAACAACAATCATATTCTTGTCTATATCAGGGTCAACACATCAATATATTCCTTCCAGCAAACTACAGTTCTTAAATGTAATTCATTTCCAACTTAATGAACTATTGAAACATAACTAATTTTGTCATGCTAATAAATGAACCCTCCCATGAAGGTTTAGATAGCAATCTTTGATGCACAGTTCATGACCACCACAAAATTGCGAGCTCCTATTTAGAATGTTTCAAATACTGATGGAGGGTGTCTAAAGTAAATATTTCAAACCGGTATTTCAAAAGTTAACCACCAGACAGAATTTGAGTATTGATTAAAGAAAGTAACATACACATGGATCACATGGTGTATTATGCAGTATTTAATGGCAAAAGAATTGATTACATGCCAGACAATTTGCTTTTATCTATACTAACATTATATGGAATCACCTATCAGCAATGAACAAGAAAGTGGATCCTATCATGTTCTTGCTGAGAATATACATAATTGTGTTGGTTGGCATCTCCCAAGAGGCAGACAGACCCCAAGATGAGATTATAAGTACAAAAAGTTTATTGAGGAATGTGCTTGGAAAGCATAAATACATGGAATCAGAAGTAGACAAGGGAGAACGGTCAGATTAAAAACTCTAACCAGATGCTTTTGAAAAGGGAGTGGGAAAAAAGAAGGATAAGATAGATCTAAAATTGTCACACTATTCTTGTAAATTTTGGTTGAGCTTGTGGGAATTCTTTGAGTCCAAACACTCTGTAAGGGTAGTCTCATGTCCCATTGAGATGGGCTAGCACTAGTAGCCCTGTCATGGTCAATCATTGGCTGGGAGCAGCCTGGGGAAATTATGAACTTGGAAATCTATGGTGGTAGATCCAGAGACCATAGGGATGCTCACTGGGCTGTCAACTATACTCCCCATAGCAGGTCTGTCATACGGGGGATTCTCATGGCCACCGCAATAACCATACCCCCAAAACGTTTGTAAAAGGCTGATGTGTGTGTGTGTGTGTCTGTGTGTGTGTGTTTTGCCTTATCAAATATATATGGTGACTTAAATTGAATGTTGAACACCAAGCATTATTGTTAGTTCATTTTTGTAAAAGTAAGTCATGTATTTTACCACCATTCCACTTGTAATTTAAACATCATGGGTTAAGGAATGGATGATCAGAATGCATTCTCATTATTGTCTAACTTACACGTATTGTCTCCTGAATGCTTCACCAGGAGAGTGGTTCTTCCACTGTTGTCTTTGCTCTCTGCCACTACTGATCATCCCTTTTCACCCAGCACTCTAGGGTAGCAACTGGCTTATCTCTGCTTTTCTGCTGAGCATGAGGGGAGTAGTACAATAAAGGTTGCGTTTTCTTAAGCCTGATTAAGACTAAACATATAGATGCATATACCATGAATATGTCTTTGCTTAAAGAGTGATTTTAGTATGGAATTAAAAGTTTAAGAATGATAAACATTAAAGATCTAAAAAAACTTGCTATTTTCCTTAAAGGTTAGGATGGTAAGCACTTAGATTTTCCTAATTAGGCCACCTTATATTTCTTTCACTTCTCATTGAGCTCTTTCATTTCTGAGTTTTGTCTATGATGCAGTTGTATATTTATCTTAATTTTGTTTCATAGCAAGTATTGTCAAAAAGCACTCTCTCTACAGTCAAGGGTACTTCTATCAACTTAACTTGCACTTCATGCTAATATGATGGCAGTGCACTTCACACAGGTATGCATGACCAAGTTTCTGCAAGTGAAAATGAATGTATTAACTCATTAGTTGGAAAGTTTGTACTTGAGCTCTATAAATAGGTAAGAGGAACTTCATTTGGTTGGATGTCACAAAGAATTAAATTGCTCTAGTGGCATCAAGATATTTAATAAAGTATCAAAATATGAAAACTTAAAACATGTGGAAAAGGAAGCTCTGTATAAGAAATTGTGACACTATTAATATAAGCTTGCAGTGGGCCATTTGAGCACTCCTGCTGGGAAATATTACGGGGTAATCCAACATGATGCATGTTGAGGCTTTCTAACATTCTGTGATTGTTTTCAAGTTATTTCCATACTAATGTTACATATGATGTGAATATGCAAGATTAGAAATAAAATTATTCTTCAGAAAAGTATTTTGAATGTATAAACACTGCAGAACATTTTTCATTAGTATTCAAATGAAATTGATGTTTAGTTTACGCAAAAACTGAAATCTGAGATATAATTACATTCTTATCCCAATCTCATTCACATGTAATCATTAGAAATACATACTGAAACAAAAAGCATTTGAAGAGCTTTTGATGTTAAAAATCTAGTCAATTAAAATATTATTTGTCATATTATTTTATTGAAAAACACACAAAATCATTTTAATTACAAAGCTAATAGTATCTCAATATACTAAATTTAACTTCACCACTCAAATGTTTGATCTGTCTCAGCAGATTTTGCATTCACTATGTATAACAAAGAATAAATCCAGTTCCTAGGAGGAAGCAACTTACTTCTTCTAAAGATCGGTTTATGTCCAAGCACTCCAAGCACTTATATTTTCTTTTCACTTTAAGCATCTTCTAGAAAATCCCAAGAACACTTTTATGTAAATAAAATCTGTAGCAAAAGTATTTCTAACCTAAACCAGTGAATAGTAGTTGCTTTTTGCACCAATAAAATTGATAGTTACCATGCAAGCTACATTTTTTGTTCTGTACTCTCTTGGTAGGTATTTCTTGAAACAAGATAACAATTGCTTCACTGATTGCTTCTCACTGGGAAAGACTCTTAAATGAAAAATACACTAGGTAGTTTCTGTGTCAGAAATCAACACTGTCACTGGGAGGAAAGTATGCAAAATGTATTACTTTGGCATTTTTGTAAAGTTATATTGTCCTACAGGGGAACAAGGATGCTTGTTTGCACTAGGATCCAAAATACACTAGGCTTTGCTTCCTTTTATAACAAAGTTTTGCCTTCACTCTATTTTTTTAAATATTAAGACAAAAAAACTGAATCCCATGTTAACAATTTTGTTTACATGTAATGATAATGGAGAAGGCATATATAAAGTTATTGTTAGCCTTATAACTAATGCCTAAATTAATGAACATGAAAAATAGTGCTATATAATTTTGTTTTCCTACGTTAAGTGAGTTACAGTCAATGGTAGTATCAAAATAGACTAAGCCAGGCTGCCGTTAAATGTGGTTAAAATGTGTGTGTGTCTGTGTCTCTGTGTGTGTGTGTGTGTGTGTGTGTGTGTGTGTGTGTGCGCGCCACAGAGCCTTGGTGGCTTAAAGGCAAATGATTATTTCTTCCCAACCTACAGATGATAAAGAAAGGTTAGGATTCTGTTTTGTGTCACACACTCCAGGACTAAAGCCAACAGGGCAGATACTGTAATGAATTCATGCCTGTTGTAAAGACCCAGAGAAAGAAAAGTGGATGGGTTGTCCACTGTTTCTTTAAATTTCTAGGCCTGACAAATGTCACTTCTTCTCACATTTTATGGCCTTTCAATGGAGCAGGGCAGTGAAATAATATTAGGTTCCTAGAAGGAGAGCCAGCAATATTAGGGGGCAGTCCCAGTGATGACCACAGCCTGACTATCTGTCTTCCAAACATTCAACTCTTCTCCTTACTACCTGCAGACTCACTCACTCCTCTAGGGGACAACACAAAATTTTCCTTCAGTCACTTCATTATAGCTCAAATTCCAGGAACTCTGATTGATATCTGTTTCATTTTTTCCACATCTAGATGTGGCTACTCGATCTAGAGACCTATATATTAGAATGACTAGTTTTCCCAAAACTGAAACTTGCAATGATAAAATGGGCACAGAGCCCTCAATATACTCTTTATTTGGAAAGAATACTAGGTCGATTAGATCAGTCACTGATAGGCAGCAATTCTGAACTTTCCCACCCAGGCATGGCAAGCATCCTTTCCCTGGAGACAGAAAATGCTCCTGGGTTAGGCATTGATTCTGCTCCCTAGGAGGGAACATCACTCAATTTTTCCCCATAACTGTTGGCATCACTTTCTGGAAGTTTCTTTTTCATCAATTATTGGAAAGGAATATGCACTTCTGTGAGGGACTAGGCATTTTTTTTCAGCCTATTTCCTACCTTTAGTCACCTGGAGACCAAAGAGACATTTTAAGTCTTAAATAGTCACAGTGTATTTAGATCCAGGGAAGCGGATACATTGGCAGTGCTAATGTCTCAAAAACCTTAATGGCCTCTGTGTCTTTCCTTTCCCACCAGCACGCCAACCTTGAATGGGTGTATGTGGTGGGCAGAATTCTAAAATATTTTTTCAGATAATGATTTGATTTGAATACATGTGAATTTAATTGAATACATATGTGTTTATATTGGACAATATCAAATAGGCAGTCAGGAGTTAACTTCATCAAGTACCAGAAACAAATGAAATGTCTTACGATTACTTAGGTTTTACCAAATTTTCACAAATCAGGAAAGTGAAATTGTGGTTGTTGCTCTTGTTTTTTTTAATATTGTCATAATATTTGGTTCAGGTTATATAAGGAGATAAGTCTAGTATAGGATTTTCTGAAATTAGCTGCTTGATTTTAACTGAGAGATTTGCAGTTTTGGATTTCAGTATTTTGTCTTTCACCCTATTGCTGCAATCACAGTTTGAACAGGTAATAAAAATGGGAAAGATGGAAAGTTTTTTATTTTGTGTTTTATACAAGAAAATAAAAATGTAAATTATTTAATTTTAAATTAAGCTGGAGGCTGAAGGATTACAATATCAGTTGCATACACTACATGACAAAAAATGGTGAAATATTGATCACACAAAATGTCTTTATTTAAATAAGTTATTATCATTATATTTAATTACACTATTTTGCCCCAGATTTTATCAGGTTGTGAGTTTAATTTGGCAGGTAATCTTCTTTGACTCATTATAGCCTTGTCGCTATTTCTTTCCAATGAGTAAACAGAAACCATAAACTTCTTTAAAAGATTGAGAATGCAATTTAGAAAGAGATGTTTTAAAAAGTATTGAGAAGATGTGGAAAAATAAAACTGAATTATAACAATGTTACAATGATTAGATAAAATGAGTGGAGAAGTATTTGACTCTCTTCAAAATTAAGCAAAGAATTGTGTAGAATTAGGATTATTTCTGTGTTATTTGATTATGGAATTTGTTTGTGAAACCATATGGCATTGGCATTTTTTGGAAGTTCTTAAACTAAGAATTACATTTCTCTAATAGATATGGGACAATTCCAGTTATTCATTTTATCAGTTGATTTTGATAGCTTGTGTTACTCAAAGAGTAAGTGTTTAATTTATTGGCATGCAGCTTCTCATATTTCCTCACTGTTAAAAGGCCAATATAATATTTCCTTCAAAGGCTAAGATAAATTTGTAAATTAATGGATTATAAATAAATGTATAAAACCATAAATTACATACAAGCAGTAGTTATTTCATATATCACATATCTGATAAATTGGAAACTAATAATTATTTCTTCAAAGCCAGGGTTCTCAGATTTGACACAATTGCCATTTGGAGCTGGACAATTTTCTGTTGAAGGCAGTTGTCTTGTGTACATTTTTTCCTGCTTTGCAGCATCTCTGGCCAGTATCCATACATGGAAGTGGCACCCTCTCTTCCCCAGGTGAAAAAAACAAAAAAGCTCCAAGCATTGCAAATGTACTCTGAGGGGCACTATCACTCCTGGTGAAGAGCTACTGCTTTAACACAAAGGATGAGATGTCTCATCTCCCTCCTAAGGTCATGTGTACATGTATAATTAGATAAGAGGTGTATTATTCTTCCCTTTAATCCATCTTCTTCGATAAACAAAAATGTTCAGTATAAAGGCAAACCGATAATTCAAATACGCTATTTACAAAGAGATTTGCATTCTAAATTGATGTGGCTTTGAACAGACAAATATTATAAAAGAAATTGTGTTTGTATATTATGCTAAGGATGAGACACTTTTTTACAAATAATAAGAGTTAAATATTTGAACAATTAGCACTGTTCTCTTTGTTCTTAGAATGAACTTTCAAAATGCCTACATATATAACACATTACTACATAATTTTCAAGAAGGAATAGGAATCTTTAATGAAAGATAAACTATTATAGAGCAATATAATCAGAAACAAAATATAGGATATTAAAAATCATACAGAGAAGCAAACTAAATTTATGCAAGTAAATTGAAGAATATAGGTTTTAAAAAAGGGTTTTGTTTAGGTACAAATTAACACAGACACATTAGAGTGATGAATATGGAATTGTGATTTATGTAAACAAAACATCACATAAA
Organism: Homo sapiens; assembly: GCF_000001405.40. Lineage (NCBI taxonomy): Eukaryota > Metazoa > Chordata > Mammalia > Primates > Hominidae > Homo > Homo sapiens. The sequence goes on from NC_000018.10 coordinate 66,660,238, forward strand.
ATATATGACTCCAATTATTGGTATTTCATTTTATACCTATTTTAAGAGATTTAGGAATGTGTGGTTTTGGACTATCTCATTGTTTTATGCTCCAATTTAATTTAGATACATGATTTACATTGTAATTTTAAATGTTTATGTTATGTGTAATACAAAGAAGAAAGTAATATTAGTCAATAATTGTGTATTTATTTATGTACTTCAAAAGCAAAGAACAATGAACCTAAAATGAACATGATACATTATCCTTTGGATAACATTTACATTTTCTTTCTCAAACAAATTATAATGACAAGCTCTTGGATATATTTATAATGTAGATTGTTAAAATTTGGAAAAATACAAGATTTAAATGCTTTTACAGCTAAAATAATAATATGTTAAACTGTTCTCGGGGATTTTCCAAGATGAAATGATAGGATCTGGATTTATTCTAATATCTGAAGCAACTAAAATTAAAGGACAAAATATATGAAACAATAACGTTCAGATACGGAACATCAGGCCACACAGGACAATGATCCTTAAGAGAGAGGAAGACGTGAGGAAAGTCCTACGATTGCCCCAATATCATAACTGAGGGTCCCATGTATCTTTAGCTGAGGACTGATAAGAATACATGTGAGACAGACAACCTGTTGCCAGGCAAATAATCACCCCAAAGGAGCACAGAACTCACAGGAATATATCGTGTCCATGGGACTTTGGATAGAGGACCCCAGTGGGTATTGTCTCCCTGTTAGTATTTAGCCCTTGACTAAAGGCTGCTTTGGTCGAATCTAAAAAACCTAGAAGCAAGCACTGATTTCCTCTAACCGTACACTCCAGAGCCTGATCCTCCATACCTGATCACAGACTTAACACTAGGACTTAGAGTTAAAGTGACCTTATCCCGCCTAGAGTCTTCTGAGATAAATTGTTTTTCTACCTGTATTACTTGCTATTTGCTCTTAAACCTAGGCAGCATTTCAATTTTTTTTCTTCTTTTTTTGAAATGGGTCTTGCTCTGTCACCAAGGCTGGAGTGCAGTGGCAAGACCATGACTCACTGTAGCCTATATACCCTCAGGTTCAAACAATCCTCCTGCTTCAGTCTACCGAATAGCTGGAACTACAAGCACGCACCACCATGTCTGGCTAATTTTTTTTTTTTTTTTTTTTTTTTAATTTAAAGAAATGGATCTTTCTGTGCTGCCCAGGCTGGTCTCCAACTGCTGGCTTCAAGTGATCTTCCCACCTCGGCCTCCCACAGTGCTGGGATTACAGGCATGAGTCAACACCCCCAGCCTCAATTACTTTTTTCAATCTGCCTGACTCTGTTGGTTTACAGGGTTTAAAGTCCTGACAATTCTCTTTACTTCTGCATCATCCTTTGCTTCTGAAAGAGACATCAGTATAAGTGTCTCTATCTGTTATTTTGTTCCTGGTTATAAGCAGTGGAAGGCTTTATTGTGTTAAGCATCAAAAACGGAGCTGAACGTGCGATGAAACAAACTGAATACAAAACTAAAACGTACCATCGCAAAGTAGCAGCCTAAGAATTGCTCACTTTCAGTACCTGTGGCGAATAAAAACCTAATCTCCTCCAAAATAGTTATCGATGATGACACTGCATGAATACCAATGAAAGAGCGCTGAATCGATTTAACCATCTGCTTTATCACATTAAGGAAGACGTCAGAGCAAATAATGATGAGCAAAGATCAACAACAGCAAAAGCAATGTTAGTTGTCACTACCACCACACAGACACCAACATGACATAGCCGAGTCACAGATGAGTACAGTTTGAAGCAATATCACGCATAACTAAAAGAGGTCTTCTATTGTGTCTTCATTTGCTTGCCTCTAATAAAGTTTATGTTCCTGAAGAATTGAGGTTGGAATTTAGTACTACTTTTAGAAAATTCTTAAAGGCTGATTTTAGGTGAGGACGCCAAGACTGAAATTTCTAATATGAGAAACAGTGTAATCCCAAGGTTGCATACTTCAGTCCTGAGCAGGAGATAAGAACATTAATTTTACTAATTAATCATTAGGGGAAAGGAGAGCGCACTTAGGACCTCCAGCAAGAATGATGTTGAATCATGTATTTAGGACATTTTAATGTGATTATGCTATGACAAACTTTCTTTGTTGAGCTGACAAGGACCACCTAAATTCCTGAGTTGCAATAGATTAGAGCTTTGCAATGTACATGCTGTTGAGACTGTGACCTGTAGAGAATTGTAGCAATCCTATGAAAGCAGCATGACTCCTTCACTATTGGGATTGAAAGCCCCAGTGACAGGTCACTTCCTCCATCATACCAAAGTGTATGAACATATTCTAATACACTAAGAAATCTTTATTAGCCAATGTTCTTTGCTTTTCTCTTACTTTTTTTAATTATTGAAATTTAATAGCAACATATTTTATGGATTTAAGTACAAACTGTGATAAGTTATAGAAAATATGAATATATTCATAATGATAGCATGCTCACAGTTTTCCTCTGTATACTTCCCCTATTATAGCAGCTTAGTGGTGCTGGTTTGTTTTCCGTAGTGTAAAATAGATGAATTCAATGTGACCTTTCCTACACCATGTGTTCAGCAAATATGATACGCTCTGGGGAATTAATGACTCATCACCACCATTACCCTAGCAAACCCATCAATATTGTAATTTGTACAAACCATAAACTGGGCGTTGGAAGGATACTGAAATTAAATTGACATTGAATGAAAGTTAAAATCGCAGCCCCCTTCACATATGCAGATGTGGCTTCCTTCATTTTAATAAGGCATTACAAAGGAGTTTCCTGATTGATAGATAGTTGATATTTATGGACCATCTAAAATGGGTAAAGTTGCAGAAAAATTATTCAAAATGATTTTTCTAACTTTTTATAACTTACATTCATTGATGCACATGTGAAACTTTATGTGTTGATGAAAACTCAATTGACAGTCTGTCAACTCACTTCATGTTGTTTGTTTTTAAACTTTTTTGGGAATAAGGGCTGCCTGTTAACTTTCTAATCCCATTAATCCTAGTAGTTTGGAGGCAGCAGATATTGATGATATATTCACATATAAATGTTTATTACATTTAAAAGATTATTTTTAGTTATTATTATTTGATTTTGTATTTCTATTTAATTTGCTTCAAAATACAATAGAAGGATTACCTTTCTTAGTAAAAACAGACAATAATCACTTTGGTCTAATGTAACACTGGCTGTGATAGAGTAGCTTGTAACATGTTCATGTTCCTTCAATAACCATGATGGAAGCTACATAAAATAGTCAAGTAAACACAAATGTCATGGAAGGCATCTAAGCCTTGAAAGATCAAGATTTTGGAGAGACAGAAAGAAGGGCTTACTGAAGAGGGTCTAGCATTCTGCACGTCTTTTCTTCCTCTGGGTATTGTCTAGTAGTTGGGTATAGGAGAGAATCTAAGAAGCCAGTTAGAGCCAGATAGCCAAGAGGCAGAGAAACCAGCAAAGCTTTCAGAGATATCATAAGATACAATGGCAAACAATGCTGCTTGAAAGGCCAAGAACATGGAGAAGAGAGAGGTCCAGAAATTTTAACTTGATATAAGGCATTTGTATTAGTCCATTTCCATAATGCATAAGGAACTGCCCAAGGCTGGGTAATTTATAAAGGAAAGAGGTTTAATTGGCTCAAAGTTCAGCATGGCTGGGGAGGCCTCAGGAAACTTAACAATCATGGCGGAAGGTGAAAGGGAAGCAAGCCACCTTCCTCACAGGGCAGCAGGAAGGAGAAGTGCTGAGCAAAGGTGGAAGAGCCCCTTATAAAACCATCAGATCTCCTGAGAACTCACTCACTGTCATGAGAACAGCATGGGGGAGACCACTCCCATGATTCAATTACCTCCACCTGGTCTCTCCCTTGACATGTGGGGATTATGGGAATTACAACTCAAGATGATATTTGGGTGGAGACACAAAGCCTAACCATATCAATATTGTTGAGGCATTTCAGATTAAGTTGTATAGGAAAAGAGGCAGTCAGGCAGAAAAGCAGCTGAAAATCAAAGGAAAATTGTTCATTTTAAAGTGTTGGAAAAATTAAAATTTGAATCAAGAAGCTTCTAAGGAAGATGGACCCTGCTTATTATCACAGATTCACTGTTTATTCTCCAAAAGGTCTACATTGGTGTCAAGGTGAATCAAAGGTGGATCTAGCCAAAAACTACATATTAGACTGGAATAATTTCAGTCCCTAAAAGATTGAGAAGATTTGTCCCTACTCCAACTGCACATCAGACAAATCTACCCTGAAGGAAGATAACTACATCCAGAGGCTTTATGAATTTTTCATATATAAGCCCTGGCATTCAATAGAATATTCAATTAAAAAAAACAAAGTTGTACAAAACATCAGTAGAAACAAACCCAGAGTTAATCTATTTATTTATATTATTACAAATGGACTTAAAGAAGTTGTACTTAGTAAATTGGATAAAATGTATGACAAAATAGAGAACTTCACCACAAAATTCAAACCCATATAAAAAAAGCATTAATTAGAAATTATACAATGAATAAATATAATGACTGAAATTGAGAAGTTAGGTAGATAATAATGGATTTGACACAGCTGAAGAAAAAAAACAATAAAAGAGAAAGTAAGTCAGAAAAAAATAATCTCAAGCATGGGCAACAAACAGGGTGGAAAATATGAAAAAGCAGGTAAGGGCTATGTAGGTCAGGATGGAAAAGTTTTTCATGAATTTAATTGGATTTCTAGGAAGGGAGGAGAGAATAGGCAATCCATCACCATCTTTGGCGTGGATCCCTCTGTCATAAGGAATGCTCACTGATTTTCTAGCAGTCTTGCTCACACTGACATTTTGGGGTTCCTGTGTTTGTTTGTTTGTTTGTTTGTTTGTTAGGTCTTTTATTGGCTTCCAGTAGTCTTCTTTCTGTGTCCTTGCATTTTGGTTTGCATCTGCCTAATACTGTGGGTCTTTTTTCTTGAGTTTTCTATTAAATTAGTGTCTTATTTCTCAGGTTGTTTGTGTGTGTGTGTGTGTGTGTGTGTGTGTGTGTTAAGACAAGCATTTGTTATTTTGTCTGAATTTTAAGCAAATTAATTTTGGGCTTAGTCAACTTTCTAGATTCAACTCAAGTCTTTTCAAGTTCTTGCTTATTTTTTGCATGCACTTCAGTTATTTTAAGAGTTAAAAAAATATATATATATAGTCTCAAATGATTAATTCACATGTCACAGTGTGAGGTGCATTGAAATCCCCTTTGACCAGAAATTTAGAATATGGACCAAAACACTTATTGAATATATATAATGAAGATATTTGTTGGGCTCTAATAATTATGATAATGTGATGTACATTTTGTCAAAACTTATAGTGTTAGTTGTTTAACTCATTAAAACCAGACTGTCTTAGATGAATATAATTATAAATCTTGCTAAAATATGTTTAAAATTATTTTATCTGGATACCAGGTTCACAAAATGTGTCTTATAATTTTTTAGTTATTTTAATTTCAGTTTTATTTGGAATGTTCTAATGTATGTATCTAATCTCCTCTCTTGTTTTTTCAATAACACTTGTTTGATATATAAATTTAGCAAGAAGCAGTTAGCTTGAAATTATTATATTTCTAATGTCTCATAACTTAAAATATATAATTATTCAAACATTTAAGCTGGCCTTAAATAAATAAATTTGAAAATCTTATAGGTAAACTTATACTGTTACTAAAGCATAAAAATTTACATAATAAAATTTTAGAATATAGTACTTTAATGGAAGACTAGGCAAGTCACTATGGAATGTTAATAATTTAGATGTCATCACACGAATAGCAAACTATTTTTGTAAAGTTTAATCTTTTTTAATGTTAATAAATCAGTGGAACAATTGTCATTACCATATAAATTACTGTTGCTGTTAGCTTTAAAAATATGAATTGGCAAAACTTATGCAACTGAAGAGAAAATTGTAAATTTTCCTGAAATTTAAAATTGCAGTTAATTTACAAAAACTTTATTCTTTTTATCCAAATCATCAGCTATAAAATTATAAGTATGCTTGATGTTCATAAATAAACATTTTAATGTATATTTGCAGAGATACATTTTAACAATACAAGTAATACTTTCTTTAAGATATATGTTATATCCATTGACATCTCTCCATCACTGGAGTCTCCTCTCAAAAACACATTCATAGGGAAAGGAAACAGAGAAAAATGAAATTCTTCAAGGTAATTTAAAACATAACGATAAAAAACAGAGATGTATTTTCATTACCCTCAGATTTCTACAGGCAAATCATTCTTAACTGGCAAAATATTATTTGATTTCAATTCTGCCACAGTTAACAGCAATAACAAAAAATTAAAGATAAATTCATCGCCAGAACTACCACTAGTTCTTCCGGTTCCCTACAGTACTTTCTTCAAGTTGGATTTTAAACTACAACTAGCTAATATTACCCAGACCCTGAAACCAGTTATCTTATATTGCCTTACTCATAGCTTTCCTGTGTTTTGCATTTGATTTTAGTGTGCTCTATAGAATTATCACTTATGCACATGTAAATAAAAATATTTGCCATTCTAAAACAGAATAATGCCATGTGAAGTAATAAATACTTACAAAAATAATTTATTTCATTACCTGAATGTTAAATACTGTAAACTTCTCAAGAGTGTATCTGATTTAGAACATTCTAAATGAAACTGAAGTGAAAAAGAACTGCACAATTATAAGACATACTTTGTGGACTTGATATCCAGATAAAATAATTTAAAACATATTTAAGCAAGATGTGTAATTATATTCATCTAAGTCAGTCTGGTTTTGATGAGTTGAATAACTAATACTCTTATATGTGACAGGAAATGGAAATAAAAGATAAGTTCCAAGTAGGGGAAAATGTCGTGCTAGAATCAGTACACAGAAAACATCTTATTTTGAATGTAAAGGTTAACACAATTTGATTAATAGAAAATGTTGTTTCATTTAACCACAATCATTAATGTTGAACAAATATTCTGTGGCTTTGTTTTTGAAGAACATGGTTTTATTAGCTCGCCTATTACCCCGTAATTCTGCTGCCTCTTTCTAATCCAAGACACTCTCATTTCACATCATTCACAACTCTCATTTCCCAATTATTAATAGCCTCCAAACATATCTCCATGCTTTCTCTTTTGTTTCTTTCTCACACTGCCATGATCTATCTTATAAGCTTTACTGTCTTTCTGTTTTGAATTAAAAGCAAAAATAGCATCTGGTCTCCCCCCCTACCTTTCTGGCCATGTTCACTTCATTGAATGCCACTCCCTAGTGAGTTCATTATATTCTTATCCTGCCCTTTATCAGCTTCTTTAAAATGTCCAACTTTTTCCCAAGTCAGAGTAATTTTATGTCAATTTACATTAGCCTAGAATGTTTGTTTCTTATACCTACATCTTTCTCGTCCCTTACCACCCTTCAAGAACACATATGATTTTAAAAAACTTTTATTTTATTTTATTTATTTATTTATTTATTTATTTATTTATTTATTTATTTATTTTCGAGACAGAGTTTTGCTCTGTTTCCCAGGCTGGAGTGCAGTGCTGCAATTTTGGCTCACTGAAATCTCTGCCTCCTTGGTTCAAGCGATTCTCCTGCCTCAGCCTCCTGAGCAGCTCTGACTACAGGTGGGCACCACCATGCCCGGCTAATTTTTGTATTTTTAGTAGAGATGGGGTTTCACCATGTTGGTCAGGCTGGTCTCAAACTCTTGACCTCAGGTGATCCACCCACCTAGGCCTACTGAAGTGCTGGGATTACAGGGGTGGGCCACCACGCTTAAGTACACATATTTTTAATGTCTACTTCCTGCATACCCTGGAGATTTTAGTTAAAATGTTTCCTTTATAAGAAGCATCTGCAGAACTCTCTTGTTCAAAGGTATGCATCTTTCTCCTGCTCTGATTTGCAGAGCCATGTTCAACTTTTTAAATTGCTCTTGTAATAATGATAAACAGAGATATGTTTGTGAAAAAACTCTTATTTTCTCACTGGATTCTGAATCTGGTGAGGGAACAACATTATTCAAGGCTAAAATAGTGTGAGTACTTAATCACAATAAGATTAAATGTCCATTTTAAATTTAATTGCTATTTTAACGTTTGACATTACAAGGGAAAACACTTCAATAAAATGTTGATTGGAAAAATATATCAAAGAAAGCTGTATATTTTTCTTGACATTCTGTGAAATTGTTCATAATCATCAGTATATGCAACCTAAAATTATAAATTAGGCTGAGATTTATATTAGAACTTTAAAATGGAGAAAAATGTGTGCTTTTTGAAATCCTGAGATCTTTCTCTCCTGGATATTGTCATTATTTTCATACACACATAAAAAAAGTGGCTTCATTTTGAAAAATATGTGAAAAATATTGTTTCTTCCTTGAAACTTTTAAATTGATATTTTCACATTTTTTGGCAGTGAGCATGTTTTTAAACATTCAGAAAGACTGAACTCTATTCAGTTGTAACTCCACAGAGTGCTAAACTAAATGTAATTGTTCATAAAGAGAAAAACAAAAATTAAGATTTAGAAAAGGTCAGGTTACCTGTAAGTCAGCAAGCTCATTGATATTCAGAAGCCACCATTGTCCCTGGATCTTGCATGCTCCCAGCACCCTACTTTGCTAGGCATCATTTACATGCAGGCCACAGCAGATCTCTAAAGTGTATTTCATAGATAAAGAGTTAAGAGTACTAAATTTGTATGAAATGTTGTGAAGCTTAATTTTTCTATTTATTTCTGAGGATTCCATTATCTCAGTGTTGAGTATGTTTGTGAATTACTGTTTTTTTTTTCCACTTACAATTTTCCAAATCTAAAGATATAATATCCACAATCAAGCTAACACCATAAATAAAGCATTGCACAGTGGCTCACACCTATAATCCCAGGACTTTGGGAGGCCTAGGCAGGTGGATAACTTGCAGCCAGGAGTTTGAGAACAGCCTGGGCAACACGGTGAAAAGCCATCTCTACTAAAAATATAAAGATTAGCCAGGAGTGGTGATCTGTGCCTGCAGTCCCAGCTAATGGGGAGGCTGAGGTGGGAGGACTGCTTGAGTCCAGGAGGCAGAGGTTGCAGTGAGCTGAGCTCCACTCCAGCCTGGGCGACAAAATGAGACTGTGTTTCAAAAAATATATAAAAAAGTAAAAACAAAGAAAGGCATTGGCAAGTAGCTTATAAGAAAATTAACTTGTTTAAAGCACCATTTCTGAGTGTGAGTAAAGATTGTGTGCTCTGTGTGGCCCTGCCCTGCCCTCTGTCCGTCATACCCTACAATTATTATTGTGCCTTCTGAAACAAGATTGCCTTCTCTTGAAAGAAGTTAACTCTGATCATAAAGAAAGTTTTGAAATGGCAATGATAAAATTAAATCTTAGAATTAAAGAATACAGCAATAATCTAATCTCCAATCTCCACCCCTATAACTCAGAGTATTCCTTACTACCTCCTGCTTCTTGATCTTTCTTCCTGTTCCTTTAACACTAAAAAGACTAGCATTTTATATTTCTCCTCCAGTATTGTCCATCTCACTGTATCTCTGTGCATTCCTATCCTTACAGCTTTGGTACTTAATCCCAATTTCCTTTATCCTTTCTACCACTTATGCATCAAGCTCTTCAGCATCAGCAAATACCTTATATTCCTACTCACCTGCAAACTCCCACTCAATTTAAGTTTAATTCTGTGCCAAGTTTTTATAAACCTCCAAGTAAATCTGAAGAAAACATTTGCAACTAAGCTGACTTACCTCAAATTAAACTCATCACCATAGTTCCAAGGAGACCATTCTTGATACTCATGAATCATACCCTAATTCCAGCTGTATTCCCACCCATTCTTCTGTCTCCTCAAATATTCAAGCCCTCCTCCTCCATCTCCACTCACAGCTGATGAGTTTGCTTCCTATTTTACTGAGTGTTCAGGACTCCGCCCCCGCTCGCTTTTCTCCTCCCTCTCAGGCCACTACTTTTCATTCTAATTTGCCAGTTCCCTTTGTTACCCTGACCATCATTAAGGAGTCTCAGGTATCAGCCATTAATATAGTATCATATTGATCTACTTGCTTGTTGATCTCTTCTAGAGTTGTGTCTCTAAGTACCATACATATGCTGATGATTACAATATTTATGTCTCCAGACTAAACTTTTTCCTTGGAATCTAAACATTATATATACAACCAGCTACTTGACCTCTCTAGGTGGATATCCAAAAGCCATTTCAAATATAACATTTGCATTAGTAAGCTCTTAATCACATCTCCCAAACTTCTTCCCCATCTCAATTAATGACAACTGCTTACTTCCAGTTATTTAGGCCAAGAGGTTCAAGTCATCCCTATTTACTCTCAGTTTCTTCAATACCTAATTCATTCAGTCAGTAAGTCTGTTTCCATTACCTTGAATAAATATCTAGAATCAATTTTGCTTAATGCTATGAACCAATGTATACACTGCAGAAAATTCCTATCCATGTGCACCAGTAGACAGACCTGGTACATGTAATTAGAATGATGATCATTATCAGAAGAATCATCAGATCTGCATGGAAACTGTAGATACTGTGACTGGAGTATATATGTACTACTGTATATTAAATATCCATACAAGAAAATCTGTAACTTTTTATTTCAGAAAACCTAACTTTTCTGAATATAAAAGAATGCTATATTTGTTAATTTATTCAAAATATATATATTAAACTCACATAGTGTAAAGCAAAATTCTTGATGTTTGAGATTATTGGTAAACAAAATAAAAATACCTGCTTTAGTGAGACATTCTTATGAGAATATAAAGAAAATTTTAAAAATCAACATAATAAATATATTAATTATGTGAAATATTAGAGGGTTATGAAAGCAATAAAAATGGGGAAAAGATGAGAATGATAAGTGGCAAAGGAATATTTCAAATTTAAATAAAGTGATCTGTAGATAATATGGTGGGATACTTTGTAGCAGGGAACAAATGCCCCCATTCACAAATCAAATTTGCTGAATCTTATATATTTAATATTGATTTGAAAAAGCAGGATGCAGAATCATAGAATTTACAATTTGTATACAGCAAAAATCATATTCCCCATGGATAAAATATATGCTAAAAAACTACTTGAGAATTTTTTAAAATGTGGTTGGTAAAATAATTAGGATTTCCCATTGAAAATTCATTATATACTTTCTTAATCTGTGTGATAAATTAATGGATGCTAATTTTGTTGTCTTTTTAAATAAATTTTAAAAATATGCCTTTTGTTGCATACATCAAATATTTTGCTTTTAAAAGTTACAATATTTTTCATAATAATGTGCATAGTTTTATATTAGCCCTTTGCAAACTATATTGTTATACACATTCATAAGTATGAAAACAGAAAAAAAAATCTAGAAATATATAACTTTAAATTGTCAAATGTCTTTTCACCTTCTGACCAAATTGTAGGTTACCTGGAGCTGACAAATGTTTCTGTCAAGATATATATTTTTTAATAATAAAATTAATAGGTTTTATATGTAGAAAGAAACAATATTTATTTGGAAAAAGTTACATAACTTCATAAGTAAAAGCAAAATTCTCAATGCTTCAGCAGGCCCTGAGCTCATTCCTCTTCTTCTGAAGGAGAAAGCCAGGTGCTTCTGCTTTGGATTGGAATGATTGGGCTGCTCCAGGTGGTGTCTGTGAGAATGTTTCTGGAGAAGATTAGCTAGCGGGCAGGTGGACTGAGTGGGGAAGATCTGCCCTTAGTGTGGGCAGACACTATCCAATCAGCTGGAGGCCTGAGTGAGGCCAAAAGGCAGAGGAGGAGAGAATTCTTGCTTTCTGTCTTCCAAAGCTGGGATGCCCTTCTTCTCTAGCCTTCGGATGTCAGAAATCCAGGTTCTGGGGTCTTTGGATTTATGGACTCCAGGACTCACACCAGTTCTCCCGTTTCATGCCCAAACTTTCAAGTTCTAGCCCTGAGAGTTGCACCATCAGTTTCCTTGGTTCTGAGGCCTTCAGACTTGGACTGAGCTGTGCTACTGGCTCCCCTGCTTCTCCAGCTTGCACATGGCCTATCTTGGGACTTCTCAGCCTCCATCACCAAGGGAGCCAATATCCCTAATTTATGCTATGTTGTTATGATTATGTTATTGGATTATGTATTTACTATATACCTTTTATCATTATTTTAGGGTACATTCCTTCTACGTAAGCAGGACCTTCAGGAGAGATTCCCAGAAGGCATTGTTATCACAGGTGATGACAGCTCTAAGCCTGTTATTGCTCCAAAAGACCATCCAGTGGGACAAGATGTGGAGGTGGAAGAGAGTGATGTTGATTATCTAACTCTGTGTAGGCCTAGACTAATGTGCTAATTTGTGTGTTTGTGTCCTAGTTTTTGACAAAAACAAAAACAAAAAAGTTTAAAAAATAAAAAATTCAATAAATTTAAAATAAAACAAAGAATATAAATTAAAAAGTTTTGTATAGCTGTACAATGTGTTTGTGTTTTAAGCTAAAAGGAATCAAATTAAACAAAATTAAAAGGTTTACAAAGTAAAAAAGTTATAGTAAGCTAAGGTTAATTTATTAAGGAAGAAAACTTTTTAAAATAAATTTAGTGTAGCCTCACTTTATAGCGCTTCTACAGTCTACAGTAGTGTACAGTAATGTCCTAGGCCTTACGTCCACTCGCCACCCGCTCCCTGTCTCACCCAGAGCTACTTCCAGTCCTGTAAGCTCCATTCATGGTAAGTATAGTATACAGGTCTACCCTTTTTAATCTTTTATGTAACCATATTTTTATGTACATTTTTAATGTTCAAGTATGTTTAGTTACACAAATACCATTATTTACCATTGCCTACAGAATTCAGTATAGTAACATGCTATACAGGTTTGTGTCCTGGAAGCAATAGGCTCTACCATATAACATAAGTGTGCAGTAAGCTACACCATCTAGGTTTGTGTAAGTACACTCTTCAATGTTCACACAACAAAATCATCTAAAGACACAGTTCTCAGAATGTATCCCCTTCATTCAGTGATGCCTGACTGTACATATATGCATTTCAGAAGTACTCAGTATGAACCCTGTGTAAACTGAGGTAAGGTGATAATTTTTTCATTCAGAACGTTCTCAAAAATGTTTAATATTTCATAGAAATATGTTAGTAACAGAAACACCACAGGTGTTAAAGCAACATGCTTGATTCTGTACGCATCTGTAACTGATAAGTACACTAAATTTAGGTGCAGGTGAAATGATTCTATGTCTTTAAGGTCATATTTGAATATTTTCATATTTAAATTTATATATATATATTATATATATATGGAAAGAGAGAGAGAGAGAATCACTTTGTCACACAGGCTGGAGTACAGTGGTGCTATCTCGGCTTAATGCAGCCTCAACCTCCTGGACTCAATCCTCCTGCATCAGGCCCCCAAGTGGCTGGGACTAGAGGTGTGTGCCACCACACCCAGCTAATTTTTTTGTATTTTTTATAGAGATAAGGTTTTGCCATGTTGCCCAGGCGTGTCTCGAACTCTTGAGCTACAGTGATCCACCTGCCTTGGCCTCCCAAAGTGCTAAGATTACAGGCATAAGCCACCATGCCCGGCCTGAAATTTATATTTTTTATAAATATCGTTTATTTATCCTTTTTATGATTACTTTTAGATCACTTTATTGATTGACTTTATTTTTTTACATGTTTTGGTGAATTATTTCATTAATGGATTTTGTTTCAAGATACAAAATGGTGTTGTAAAGTTTTTGTTTCAAGAGTTTAATATCACCAAGAGAAGTATTTCTCTTTTCCTTTGTTACTCATGGATTAAAGTTTAGTTGTTAACCCACATCATCAGGGCTCGTCAACCAACCAGATCATGAGGGATCTCCTTAGAAATGCATCATCTCAGGACCCTTCCACAGGCCTGCCCAAGCAAAACCTACATTTTAACATCTGAAACACATTCACAACATTATTCGAGGGACACTATTCTAATCCATCTATTTCCCCCCTTTCTCTCTGCTAATAGTTTAGTCCTTTATAGTTCATTAAAGTATCTGCAGGAGGTTTAAGTGTTTTCTGTTTATACTCCCCTTCTACTAAAAAGAAAAGAAAAAAAAATCAAATCTCTCCTATGCCTTAGCTTCTCTGTAATCTGAGGAAAACATTCACAGCCTTCACCATAGATAAGCCTTCCTTTTAAAAAGACGTCTGTGTGATCTAGTAGCAGACAACTTCAGCGAACCCCTCCTGGACAAATCTGAATGACTGTTAATTTGACACTGGGACTTTTCTGTTTATCTATGTGCCATGATCTTTCCTGTTTCCCAGTGTGCAAGCACTATGCATGTCAACAATTGTTTTCCATTTATGATACAGTTCCTTTTATTTTGCTAGTTGTTATGTTTTCTTCAAATTTGCACTAAACTAGATATCTAAAGAAAAACTTTCTTTAATCATTATTGCTGACATTTTATTTAATTAGTTGATGTGTTTAAAAATTATTTTCTTTTTACAGAGAGACTAAATATACCAATGGATGGTAGTCAGGCCATGTAAGCCAAGGAGACTTTGACTCAGTCTCTGTAGCCATCATTCAGGAAGCCAAACGGCCTCCGCAGCGATCGGCCCAGAAGAATCAGAGCTTGGTTAGTGACTTAGAGCTTTCCTAATATTTCCCCCTGCTTCCTACTTAGGAACAACCAGAGAAAGTCAAATATGTTCTCAGAAGAGTAAATGAGGATGCCCCACTTCTTAGTAGCCAACCCCAGCTTCCCCATACCTTCCAGTCCTCTTCGACACAGCTGCCACGACTGCCATCTCCCTTTTTTTTGCTATGAAACCTTCCTATCCCTCTACGCGCCTTTGAGTTTTTCCCAAACTCAAAGGCAGAGGATAGTGGCTGACTCCTTTGCTAGAGCAAAATCTAAATAAATCAGCTTTGTTTGACTTTTCTGTTGGTTTCTCATTTGGGTCATCTTTGTTTATTTCCACATTAGTAAATTAATGATTTGAAACAAAAAATGTCTTTATCTTGGATGAAATTCATACAATCTGGTAGAAATAACAATTAAACAAATACGAGGAGATTAGCATATTATCTGTGCTTTTCTCTCAAAACTAAGAGTTCCCACTCCAGATTTAGAGTATCTATTTTTAAGTACGAAATACATTTTTGGTTTAGGTGCCCAGAAGCATAGACACATTGACATAATATTATGTTCAGAAAATGTTTAAATTAAGAAAAGTATCGTTTCACTCTTCCAGTATATTTTTTTTGGTCTATCTTTTAAAATACTTTGCCTTGGTTTATATAGCTAGATTGTGGAACAACAATTAACAAAAGTATTTCTAACCTGGGGGCAGTCATTTCTACGAAATTAATTTCAAAATAGTATGCTATTGCATTGCATTTTTATGCAAGCCACTTTTATAGAAAGCTGTATCCCAGTGCATTTGACAGAGTTAAATAATACAATTATGGAATAAAGTAATAGAAGTTGAAGAAAAAGATATGGTTTCAGATGAGATTTGAAATGGCAGCTCCAATAATGCAGAAAGATAGAGAAAGCCTGTTCCAGATGTCAATCACTGCTGCTGAGAGGACTGGCAGCAATGATTTTGCGTGAAGTAATACAGAAAGGATAAATGAGTTCTATGTATTTTGGATGCATCAATTTTTATTATGCAATTTCAAGCAATGAAATTAAGGTTGAGAAAAAACTTGTTAGATCTGAAAGCATAGTTTGATTTGGATTTAGACTCTGGTGATATTCATAGGGAACCTACTAAGCACTAGACAGCATACCAGAGTTTGCAACAGGTTATTGTGAGTTGCTAGAAAACTCCTACTCTATGATTATATAAAAAAAATTAACTATGGGTGAATGAAAACCCAAGATGCCAGAGTGCACAGCAGTAATTATAGCTATATTTACAAAAAGATCAATTATGTTTTCAGGTTTAAAATTAATATTTTCTGATTATAATTATACATATATACACATATATATGTGTTTAACATTTACGTGAAAATCAATATTTTCTGATTTTAAGTATAAGATATATATATATATATACATCATATATGTATTAAACATTTACCTGATACAGAAAAGTATAACTCATACTAATAACTCATGCTAATAACCCATACTTTTCTGATACAGAAAAGTATAACTCATACTAATAACTCATGCTAATAACCCATAATCCCACTACTCATAGATAACTACTCCTAATATTTTTATTGACTTTCAGATTTTGTCTATGCATTTCCATACCTAATTTATATATGCATACATATCAATAAATGCACATGCACAAATTTATAAATGGAAATATACTATTCATAGCATTTAATATTTTAAAATTATAATTGCATCTCTTTGAGATAAAATACAGCAAAGAATCTCTCATTTAAAATGACAGACATGAATTGAAGTGATTTGTTTGAAATAACTCTGCAATTCACTGGAGTAAACATTATTATTAAGGTTTGATTAACAAAACAAAAGGGCTAATCTATTTCTGTTGTCCCATTCCCACATGCTGAGTCCCACCTGCCTGGTTCCACCTGGGTTCTTCTGTCCTGATTAGCCTGTTTTAATCAATGGATATTGGCTACTGCCCTGCAGTCTGGCTTTGCACAATGGTGATCGTGAATGCCCTTTATTAAAGCAAACTTGAACCACGTACGCTTATTCAGGGGGAGCCAAGATTGTCCAGCGGCCTCAATATTCAGTGCCTTTCAAAAGTTAGTCTTCTTTTTTCTGTCTTTTGGGGTTAAAGTGAATACAGCAGCTCTTCTGGCTGTGCAGAAGCCGTGGTAACCTATGGAAGCCCTACCTTTTCTAAGAAAGTAACCTGTGACTTCAATACTTCAATTTTATACCTGAATATTTGTTTTTCTTTATTTCAAGCTTTCCTTATAGCAGATGCCTAGTTTGGCATGGCTTCCTTGAGAAGCATTCCAAATCCCTCTACATTATTATCAGAATATACTTCTTAGTGTCTCAACTTCAGGAGAAAGATGACTCTCCTGTTTTTTTTTGTTTTTTGTTTTTTGTTTTTTTTGAGACGGAGTCTCGCTCTGTCGCCCAGGCTGGAGTGTAGTGGCGCGATCTCGGCTCACTGCAAGCTCCGCCTCCCGGGTTCACGCCATTCTCCTGCCTCAGCCTCCCGAGTAGCTGGGACTACAGGCGCCCGCCACCACGCCCGGCTAATTTTTTGTATTTTTAGTAGAGGCGGGGTTTCACTGTGTTAGCCAGGATGGTCTCGATCTCCTGACCTCATGATCCGCCCGCCTCTGCCTCCCAAAGTGCTGGGATTACAGGCGTGAGCCACCGCGCCCGGCCGACTCTCCTGTTTTAACCAATATTAATACTTCTCCCTCATCTCAGCTTAAATCAAATCCCACAACTTCCATGAAGACTCCTGACTGTCTCAAGACTTTATCTACCTCCTCTGAACCAGTGGGAAAGGTTTTTCAGCTCTTATACAAAGACACTATACTGATTAACTGACAATCAACCTTTATTCAAACTGTCTCTCTAATTAACTCATAACACTTAGAAGGTGGATTCTATATTTGTTTACCCAAGCATCCTGTGGAATTTCTCATATACAAATGTACTAATTAGGATTTTCTTTGCTGGTGACTGAAACCCCACTAGGATAAGATTAAGTAATTATTTGTTCATAATGGAAGACAGAGTTGCAGTTAGCCTCATTTTGAGAATGAGATAACTGTCATTTCATCTCTTTCTGTGGACATTGGCTCTATATTCTTTTGTTGCAGATAGACTCATGTATTTTGGTGTGTATGAGAAGGTGAGCAAATATTGCCATAAATAATATTCATGTGGACCTTATAATATTCTTACAAGAAAGTTTTTTTTTTCATGGAACTCAACCTAGAAATTTCCAAAAAAGAATTCAACTTTCACATGCCCATTCCTGGATTTATTTCTAGGGTGATGGTGAGAAGGGGTATTATTATTAGCTTTCCTATATTATTTGTCTATTTGAGTAGTCATAAAGTATAAGCATATGATTCACATCTTCCAACAAAATCATGTATTTGTTTAGAGTCAAAATGGTTGCCAAAAGGCAGTGCTAAATGATTTCCTGATCATATTAAAATGTCTTATTCAAGTTGACTATAAATCTATTATTAGTAAATGTTAATAGATTACTGTAGCATTCAATGATGATAACATATATGATAACAAAGACTTCCAAGATGAGAAAAAAAGCCTTACCCAATGGTGGTAATTTCTTCCATCATTATGCTGCAGTAGAAAAGATTTCTGTATGAGTGTTGGTTTAGAGAAAGTCTTCATATCCTAAAAATACTTCCTTCTTCAGGAAAGAAAATGAAAGACTGAAACAAGACATTAAAGGGCAATGAGAAGCACGATTTTAAAAAGTATTATGTAAAAAAAAAGTCAATTATGATGTGGGATTTTTGCTCCTTAGCTCAGTGAGGTCCAGGTACTTGTCTCATGACCAGGAAGAATTAGGCACGTGGCCATCGAAAGCTCTCAGCAAAAAGAGGGGGTGGGAAGGGTGGATCTCCTACCTGAAGACAGGACAGTTTCCCAATATGGGTGAGCCCAGGGTTTTTTATGGGCTCAGAATAGGGAACGTGTGCTGATTGGCTTGTGAGTATGCAAAAAAGTTCCAAGCAAAGTCAGCACTCAGAAGTGAGCACAACAGTGTAGAAAACCAATTAGGAAATGGTAGCTATATGTAAAATAGGTGAAGGGTGGGGCTCAATCAGGCTCAATCAGAGGAAAGTGCGCCAAATGAGAAGGTGGGTTCTCTATCTGGTCCAAGAGTTTGCATGGGACAGTTTCTGGCTTAATGGTTGGGTCTCACCAGGGACCTGCCGCTATCTGCCAAGGCATTTGTCTGCTTCCTACCTCTATCAGTTGTTAAGTGCAGGTTAGCTAGGGAATATTTTAAATGCAGAAAATAATTATCATTATCTACTGATTATTTTGGAAAAAAAAATGTTCTCTATGAGATTTAACTGCATCACACCCGAACAATTTACTGCATGATCGCTGTCATCCACAATAAATAAACAGTACAAAAACACTTTATAAAATTAACATTTTGATGAAATATACAAATTATTAAATTATTTTAAATTTAAGATTTACATATGTTATTTGATAGCAATATATCCTGTGAGAAGTGTAAGATAGCTGTTAACATTCTCCTTTTCATTTTTCAAGTTTTTTTGTGTGTGTATGTGTTTGCGTGAGAGAGACAGTGTCTCACTCTGTGGCCCAGGCTGGAGTGCAGTGCTGTGGTCTCAGCTCACTGCAGCCTCTGCCCCACAGGCTCAACTGAGTCTACTCCTCCCACCTCAGCCTCCAGAGTAGCTGGGACCACAGGTGTGCACCACCACATCTAGCTAATTTCTTGCATTTTTGGTAGAGATGGGGTTTTGCCATGTTGCCATGGCTGGCCTCGAACTCATGGCCTCAAGTGCTGTGTCTGTCTCGGCCTCCCAAACTGCTGGGATTACAGGTATGAGCCACTGACCCTGGCTACAATTTCAAGTAATGTGTCCAAATAGCTATGTTAGGTGATTTTTATCATTAACCAAGAATCTAAAGCTTACTGTTTGGTGTAACACTGTGGAAGTACTTGTAAATAATTATATCTGCCAGGCCAAGCATGGTGGCTTCTGCTTGTAATACCAGCATTTTAGAAGGCTGAGGCAGGAGGACCTTTTGAGGC
The DNA here is from genome assembly GCF_000001405.40 of Homo sapiens. Taxonomy (NCBI): domain Eukaryota; kingdom Metazoa; phylum Chordata; class Mammalia; order Primates; family Hominidae; genus Homo; species Homo sapiens. The sequence goes on from NC_000018.10 coordinate 66,680,061, forward strand.
CAGGAGTTCTAGATAGACCTGGGCAACAAAGAGAGACCCTGTCTCTATAAAAACCAACAAAAACAATGCAAAATTATATATGTAACATTTACAACCAGTAAAATTTAAACATCTTAAAAAATTAATAGTGTAGATTCACTCAACTCTTTGAGATTGCTAATCTTATGCATTGAAATAAAACAATGCATTCCAATAAAACCTATTAGAATATGTACTGTCTTCTGGGTGTGTTCTCAAATATACCTTATAGGATATATACAAAATAGGAAATATTAATCCTGTTTCATAGAGGAGAAAAGTTTCAAGAGGTCAAGTAAGCTACACATGGTCCTAAAACTGACACAAAAAAATAAACACCAGCTTTGAGGACTCCTTTGCTGCTGTCTCTGCTGGGGCCCTGTCACTACATCTGTGGCCTATACATAGGTCAGTGTTCTCCAGTAAGTGCTGAACAAACTCCAGAACATGCTGTCAGACACTGTGGAGGCACTGAATGAGTCAAGTGACATTTACATATACATTATCAATGAGTAGAATTAGATATGCCAACTATGAACATTGAGTTTTCTGGAAGTTTCCAATGTCTTTATTTAGAGCTTATTTCTTGAATATTTGTCATTCTCAAGGAAATTCCAAATAGAAGAAATCAGTACAGAACGAAAATAAAATCACCTTACAAAAATATTTAAAATCTTAGGAAAATGTAAGACACACTTGAGTCTTCTGACATTTTGGAAAAGAAATTGTAAAAAGAAACAAACTGAGTCCTGGGAAAAATACTTTCAAAACACATATAAAGATTAGTTATTTTAAATATGCAAAGAACTATTAAAACTCAACAATATAAACAAAAAAATGGACCAAGACCTCAACAGAAACCTCAACAAAAAAGCTATATAGATGCAAATAAGCATATGAAAAGATAAATTATATATCATATATCATCAGGTAAATGCAAATTAAAACATCTATGCAATTTCACCATACACCTGTTAGAATGGCCTAAATGCAGAACACTGACAACACCACATGCTGGCAAGCACATGGGGAAGCTGGAACTCCCATTCACTGCTGATAGGAGTGCAGAATGGTACAGACAATTTGGAAGACAGTTTGGTGGTTTCTTACAAAACTAAACATAGCTATACCATCCAGCCAATTGTATTTCTTGGTATTTATTGAAAGGAGTTGAAAAATTATTTCCACACAAATCCCTGCACATGGATGTTTACAGCAGTTTTATTCATAATTATCAAAACATGGATGCATCCAAGATATCCTTCAATTGGTGAATGGATACATAAACTGTGGTACATCCAGAAAATGGAATATTCAGCACTTGAAAGAAATGAGCAATCAAGTCATGAAAAGGGGTGGAGAAATCTTGAATGCATATTAGTAAGTAAAAGAAGACAATTTCAAAAGGCTATACATTACGATTCCAACAATAAGACATTCTGGAAAAAGCAAAACTATGAAGACAGTAGGAAGATCCTCAGTTGCCAGGGGTTAGGAGACAGAGAGAAGTGAATAGACACAAAGAAGAGGATATTCAGGGCAATTAAACAGTTCTGTATGATACTACAGTGGTGGGTACATGACATTACATACTTTTCCCGACCAGTAGAACATACAGTACCAAGAGTGTGAGCATCAGCTATAGACTGGGTGATTATGATGTGTCAATGTAGGTTCATCAATTGTAACAAATGTACCACTCTGGTGGGGATATTAATAATGGAGTGTGTGTGTGTGTGTGTGTGTGTGTGTGTGTGTGTGTGTAGGTTAGGGACTTTTATAGGAATTCCCTTTACTTCCCATTCATTTTTTTGGGATCCTAAAACTACTTTAAAAAAAAATATTAATATCGTTATAAAACAAAACAAAAATCAACCAAACAAAAAAATCCCACAGCTGTGATTACCCTAATTACAAACAAGTGTGCAGTGGGACTTGTGTATTTTACGGACAGTGATCCTTGAGAAAACCTTAAGTTTCCTACTGACCTTAAATTTTATCATTCTCAGCATGTGAGGCAAATAGTGAATAACTACAACTATAAAATAATTTTATATCTTTATCTACATGTTCAAATTTTATTCTATGCTTCTTGGATGGCAAAGAGTTGGTAAACAAAATAAATAGCTAATTCCTGTTCTCTACAATTTCTTACTTTTCCTGAGAAGAACAAAAAACATTTATTTTCTTAGTAAAGATGCTATTTCTTTCCTGGGACTGTACCTTTACAAAATAAGATAAATATGCCTGCTGCAACTATACCACTTAGAAACAGAACCAAGAAAACATAATCACTTAAAAATTTTTCGAATATAAATGTCATTACAAATAGAAAAACAGTTGCCCAGAACCCTGTGATCCTGTAGGAAATCAGTTAATAAAAATGAAATTTAAATGCACAGACATGAAAATCCTGTACTAGTTGATAGACTTTATCACCAGTTTGTGTTCTTATCAATAGCAGCAGACATCTGACTATATTCACTTTGGTTTACTCTGAGCATATTTTTCAAATTTAAACCTATTTTAACAAGACAAATGAAGTGACAAATGCAATAAATTAGAATGCATTATACAAGCAAATACATTTTTAGCCCTGTAGTTACAGAAAAAAAAAAATAAAAGAGAAAAACAAAACCTCACACCTATTCTTCATCTTTACTAAAGGAAGATGCCAAATACCCAGTTGGGGGGAAAGCAATTTTGAAGCAGTAGCAGTCATTACAAAGAAGATGACTCTGTGAATGTGGAGGTTACAGGTTCTTTTCTTTCCTCCTTTCTCTTTCTTTCTGCCTTCCCCCCATCAAAACACAGCTTAGAGAACAGTAGCAGATGTCCTCATTCCAGGGAAGTGCCAAGCAGCCATCTCTCTTTTGCTGTGACGGCTTCCACAGAAGGGAAGCTGTTTGCCCCGTTTCGTTCTACATGTTTGTGAATATTTGATTTTCACAGAAGACAAAAAAGGGCAAGAGCTTTGGAATTCAATAGAAGGTCAGAGTGGCAATCTTTTTGCCTGTTCCAGCTTCTTTTTATACTCTGACATCTGGCGCCCATTACCAGAACAAATTAGAGCAATTCCAGGCAGCAGCAGAGGAAGAGGACTTCCTGTTCTCAGACAGCACCGTTATCAGTGTGAGCACAGAAACTAAGGCTCAAAACAATGCAGCCATAGAAATAGATTTGTGGCACTTGTTTTGCAAGTGTAAAGCATAGCCCACAGCAAGTGTAATTAAGGATGTGCATTTCATCACAGAGCAATGATACTATTGATGAGGTTCAATTTAATTTTCATGTTATTATGATATTAAACCCAACTGTGTGGAATTCCACTTTCAAAATCCAAACATAACTATGCACTCAGGTTTTTAGTTTTTTGTTTATCAAAGCATGAAAATCAGTCATAAAAAGTATTATAAAACCCAACAACTTAACTCATTTTTAGGATGCTACAATGTGTCTACGTAGGTCATTCAGAAAATTCTTCATTTAATAGGTCTGTCTCCTATTTAGTTCTTTCCACTTTCTTGATCACACATACTGGGTGTTTTGCCAAATACCCCTTGCAAATACCTCTAAAAATCTCACTGAAAGTAGCTAAACTCCCTTAATATTTGCTCTACCTCTTTGGAAGCTGTATTTGGCTTCCTTTAAAAAATCATATTTTTTCAAATAAAAATGAACTCTTCTAGGGAACTGCACACAGGAAAGGAGCAAACCGTATTGTTCAAATAGAATACAGAAGTTAAACTTCTCAATAACTTGCTCAGTGGCTATGGCAGTTTTTCATCTAAAATTTTTGTGATATTGGGTATGCAAATCACAGATCTGAGCCACTAAATGGTAACTTAGGATGGAATGCATGGATCATTAAGTGATTCTGTGATGTCTTTAAAAAAATATTTAAGCTGGGCATAGTGGCTCTCACCTGTAATCCTAGCTCTTTGTGAGGCTGAGGTGGGTGGATCCTTTGAACTCAGGAGTTTGAGACCAGCCTGGGCAACATGGCAAAACCACTTTTCTACAAAATAAATATAAATAAAAAATTAGCTGGTTATGGTGGCATGCACCTGTAATCTCAGCTACTTGGAAGGCTGAGATGGAGGATCATTTGAGGCATTGAAGTCAAGGTTGCAGTGAGCCAAGATTGCACCACTGTAATCCAGCCTGGGTGACAGAGTGAGACCCTGTCTCAAAAAAATAAAATGATATAAAAGTTAAAAAAATTAGAATAAATTATGATAGTCATTGAATATGTGTTGTAATTACGTGTATTAAACCATAAAAATAGCTTTGTTCTAATCAGTGGATGGAACAAAATATAGTCTCAGAACTTTACATTTATTCTTGATTATATACATATACCTACATTTTCTTCATTTATTGTCACAATGTCCACTTTTCTCTTCCCCAACTTCCTCACTATAATTATATGTTGATTTGTGTTATTTATGTAAAGTCTTGACGTCAAATTTTTATCATATAATTTGTGATATATATTTGTGTATATGTACACATATGCATACACTTGTATTCTATATAATATAATGGGGATTCACTAAATATTAAATGACAAATTACCTGTCCCCTCTACTTAAACACTGTGATTTGCTGTGCTTATTTAGTACAAATTTTGGATTCTTTCCAGTACTATTACATGTTGGTTTTAAATTTACATGTAGAATCTAAATACTAATATTATACCTACACTTAAGTGAAAAATATTACAACAGAAGAGGCAGAAAAAATTTGGTGAGAGTTGAATGCTTTGCCTAATTTGTTCTTTTTAAAAGAATTATGTTTTCAATAACATGGCAAATTTGTTGGCTTAAAAAAGAGATTTCTGCACTGTAGAGGTATAATAAATAGTAGAGCTACTGCATTTGTTGAGAAGCTCATGGGCAATTGGAATGGACAGCTCTAAGATATGTGCACAATGAGTAAGTAGTTGAGACTGAATGCTATGCATTGCTTTCTCACTGTCTCATTCTGATAGTTTTAAAAAACATTTTGTCTCTTTTGTTGTTGTTTGTATTTGTCTATTCAATGCTTTTCTAGTTGGGTCTATGATAGCAGAAAGATGAAAGATTCCCCTTGAATGCTATTATAATTTCTGTACATAATCCATAAATGAAAGAAAATACTTTTCCATAATAAGAAATGTATTTTGCATTTGGAGTAGAAATTCAATTTTTTAAGTGAAAATAATTATTAAGTATTTATTATTAAGTATAAGAATTATTATTTCATCTTTCAAATATCAATATTTCCATATAATTATATTTTCTCATAATAATACGATTAGTATATTTTGTCTAGTTTAAATAGTTAGATTTTATAACTCTCTTCTACAGGATTATGTGAATGATAAAATTCACATATCATAACCAATTTTGAGAAATGAAATAAAATGTGAGTAATTTTTACTTTGTTATTTTATTGTATAACTGTAGGGATATCATTATTTATATATATATATTTATGTAACTAATTCACATATTTTACAAATGTGTGTATATTCTAAATTAAATGCCAAATGCTTTTTAAATAAAGTATGATATAATTGTAATTTTATTAGTTTCCAAGAAATTTAAATTTACAATTAACCAAAATGGTCTAACTGTAGTTAAATTTTACAAGATTTTTAAAAATCTATTTATTTTTATTATTATTGTTATTTTTGAGACAGAGTCTTGCTCTCTCGCCAAGCTGGAGTGCAGTGGTGAAATCACAGCTCACTACAACCTCTGCCTCCCGGGTTCAAGCAATTCTCCTGCCTCAGCCTCCCAAGTCATTGGGATTACAGGCGCCCATGCCCACGCCCAGCTAATTTTTTGTATTTTGGTAAAGACAGAGTTTCACCATGTTGGCCAGGCTGGTCTCAATCTCCTGACCTCGTGATCTGCTCACCTTGGCCTCCCAAAGTGCTGGGATTACAGGTGTGAGCCACTGCAGCTGGCCAGAAAATCAACTTAAAAATCACTATACATTACTAAATTATGTCCCTTAAATACACAACTATTTTACTTCCACTATGTGAGAAATGCAGTTAAAATACACTTGAGTCAATAATAATAGTGATACAGGTAGCAGACAGATAGATGCTAGGCAGATGGGTGAGGTTGCCTAGAGAACCTCCAACCACCCATGTCATTGCACAGGGGACTTGCCTAAACACGTGCACAGTGAAAACTTCCTTCCCTTGACGCATGTGAAGTAAGGGAAATAAATCAATGTGGAGTGGCTCAGATCAAGGGCCCACATACACACTGGAGGAACTGGGTGGAGCCACCAGGAATTTGTGCCTTATGGTGGGGAAGAATCTGGCCCCTTCAGCTTGTGTGTGGAAGCCCTGGTATTGTGAAGTGGAAATCTTTTTGCAGGACCCCTCTCTTTGCTGAGAGCTTTCCTTTTGCTTAATAAATTCCATCCTCCTCGCCCTTCAATGTGTCTGCATGCCTAATTTTTCCTGGTCGTGAGATAAGAACCTGGATTTAGCTGAACTAAGGAGCAAAAAATTCTGCATCGTTTTGGTAGCCCATAAGAGGACACGAGGAAGGATGAGTAAAATACAGATCCAAAAATCTTTTTTCCCTTTTGTTTCTGCCTTTCTCACCTTCAGATTTTTTCTGAAGGCAAGGGAAACTTCCCCCAGCCGCCGTTGCTCTCAGGTGTTGGGAATGTTGGCCTTGTTTCAACCCAGTCTTTTCTATTTTTTTCTTTTCTTTTTTTTTTTTGAGACGGAGTCTTGCTCTGTCGCCCAGGCTGGAGTGCAGTGATGCCACCTTGGCTCACTGCAAGCTCCACCTCTGGCAACCCAGTCTTTTCTATGGCATTTTCCTTCCTTTGGGGGGCGCTGTAATGGCACCTATCTTTTCTTTTAAAATATGGAGGTGTTCCACCCTCACCACAATGTCCATAGGTGCCCTAGCAAGACAGAAGGATGAGTGGCAGCTTCCCACCCCCTTTCTCTCCTGGCTGGGGCCCATGGTCATGTCTGCCACATGTGAGTGTGGAGTCCAATGGCCACACAAGGTGGGAATGAGCCACAGCCATTGCCCAGGCCCCTAGATGGGCTCAAGAGCCCAGGCCTCAATGACTCAGGCCTCGCTGGCCAGTGTTCCCCATGACACATCCACAGAGTCTTCCCCCTGGCCAAAGGGGACAGCAATTAAAAGTTTCTCTCCCTATTGTAGAAATCCATTTGCATAAGAATAAGAGGTTCTTCCCCTAGACATTCTCCCCATCCACAGTTAAGTTTTTTTTTTTTTTTTTCTCTTGGCTGTTGGGAGTTAACTTTTATGTGATAGGTTTTTTTCTTGAAAGGACAAGGACCCCAATTCACAGGAAACCCTTTTTCCCTCCCTTCTTTGAGAAGGACCCAATTCCAAGGCTTCACCTTAGCAGTCAGCTTATGATAAGGAGGCAACAACCAGTCTGGCAAGGGGCACCTGGGGCTCAATGAGTCCATGCACCTAGCTGAGGCAGCTCTTTTGTCCCAAACTCAACTCCAAGTTTCAGGCCGAAGCCCTAGAAAAAGAAAACTGGATCTGAGGGATACAGAGGCAAATGACAATGGAAGTTAAAAGGCATAGTACATGTGAGCTAATTCCTACCAGTTAAGCCAAGCTTCCCTTTTCATGGACAGAGGACATGCCAATATCCATGGCATAAATGAGGTTTAGGGAAATCGAAGGCTACTGCCAGGTGGGGGAAAGGCAGTGCATGGGTAAGAGCTGATAATCCTACCGACTAGGGCCCCTGTTAGCATGGGTGAAAGCCACACTGGCAACCATGGGAGTCACCCTGTCCAGGTCGCTGGGACTCGGGGATATAAAGTCAAAAGAAGTAACGAGGACACTTTTTCCTTCTCTCCCTCTCAATCCCCAGGTATTTTCTAGGAAGAGAAAGGAATGAGGGATATCTGGCTCCCTCCTTTCTAGATGAGTAGCCATTCATCTTCAGTCTTTCCCCTTTTCAAATGCATCCTTAACCCTGAAGCTCCTTTGAAAAAAAATCCCTTCGTTTTTCCTTTTTCCTTCTCTGTCCTGTCTTCACATATGGGTAATTGTGTGCCCAAACTACAGGATACTTCCCTTAGATGCATTTTCCAAACTGAGAAAAGTTAATTTCCCAAACCTTAAACTGGTTGGCTTAGAAATGAGATCAGTGTAAGGGAACCCAGAAGCTTGACATGCTGGAAAAAGGGTAAAAGTTTTTGTTACCAGTTGGACTTTGGACCTCCCTCTCCTTATGCAAAGCAGTAAAAGGAATGATAAAGATAATTGTTTATTTTATCTGTAAATATATATATATATATATAATATATATTTTTTGAGATGAAGTCTTAGTCTGTCACCCAGGTTGGAGTATAGTGAAACCTCCACTTCCTTGGTTCAAGCAATTCTCCTGCCTCAGCCTCCTGAGTAGCTGGAATTACAGGTGCATGCCACCACCTCTGCTAATTTTTGTATTTTTAGTAGAGATGGCGTTTCACCTTGTTGGCCAGGCTGGTCTTGAACTCCTGACCTCAAGTGATCCACCCGCCTTGGCATCCCAAAGTGCTGAGATTACAGGCATGAACCATCACACCTGGCCCTAAAATTCTGATTAATGAAAAATAATCTATGAGTTTGGTATTAAGCTTTAGCCAATCTGGTGTGCTTTGTGTCTCTTAATTGAGGCTTGTTGGGTTCACCTGCTAGGTCATGTTTGATAAAGTTCAAAGCCAGCAATATTGAATGCTTGGAATGACTAAAGTCAGGTAATAAGGGATTTAAAAGGAATTTCTTAAACAGTGTCCAGCTTATTAAAAGTGGATATCCAAGTTATATCTATATTTAAAAGGCCTTTGTGTTTTTCTCTTCTTGGATCTTTTTTTTTTTCTGAAAAAGGTTTTTTCTCAGTCAACTGAATTACTTTTCTCCACCTAGTATTGTCACTATTAATGCATGCATGTGAGGCTTAAAGATAATTTCTGATGGCCTGGGGCTCCTTGGGAAAAACAGAAAAGGCTCCATGGATTCCATATGGGTGAAATCTCTGTTTTTCTTGTGCAACCCCAGGAATTAGAGGCAAAGAGGTCCTTCGCAAAAGCTGTTTTTGTCTTACAGCTATACCTGTTTATTAGGCCCTAGAAACTGCATGCTTTCCTAGCCCTGCTCTTAAAGGGTCCCACCTGGAGGCCAATAATCCAATTAGGAGATTGGCAAAGGAAAAATCTTACAGCTACTGGATCTTCTTCTGTTTGTCCATGTAGTCATATATGTGTTGTGTGTACCTATAAAAAAGAGCTTGAATTAATTGGCTTAAAGAAAAATAAGCACATTGATTAAATTTTTTTGAAGGAAAAGTAAAAGCTTTAATGGCTTTAAGTTCATGTGACCATAATATTTGAAAAATAAAAACAGTCTTAAAGATTATTGGTAAAATGCAGATGCCATTAAAATGTAAATAGATGGTCTAAATTATGCAAGTCAGATACTAGGTTTGCTAAATGTTTTAAGGTTGTAAATTGCTTCTTTGGCCTTTGAAAACTGTTCAACTTGCTTGCTTTACAACTTGGTAAGACCTGGGGACATACTGGAATTAACGACACCCTTCACTATGGTGGAAGGTGTTAAACTTTATCAGTGCCTAGTGCATAATTGAAACAACTTACCAGATTTTACATTAAAGTTAAAAATTGCTGAAAGTTACCATTAAAACATGTAATTGAGTCCACTGAAAACAGATTTACATGCAAGGTAGGTAAGGACAGTAAACTGTGTTTTTAGTAAAAAGATATAAGAAGGCATGGAAATGTAAATTTTTGCCTAGTGGTAAAATATTGTTTTAAATTAGATAAAATAAAGCTAAAGGTTTAAACAAGTTGTAGAAAGTTTCTAAAAATCAATCATGCAAAAGAATTCTGTGTGTGAACATTCATTAAATTCAAAAGAGTATAATATATGATTTTTCTATAAATTGAGCATTGGAATAAAAGCACAGGACTATTCCCTTAAGGCACAATTCTGCTTTTTAGCAAAATTTGTCAAGGGTTATAAAAGGTTTACAAGACTCTTACTTCATGGTCAAAATGGTTAAGATTGGATAGAATTGTCTGTAAGTTTTCATTTGAAAATTGGGGTTGATATTAATAGTAAACTAATATAAGGATAACATTTGGCTTTCTCTCTCTTGTACAAGATTTTCATGTAATAGTGAAGGGTAATGAAAGATTACCATTTGCCCTGCAGATAGACTGCCAAGGAAAATAAAGAGAAGACAGGAGACAAATTCCTCCCTCTTAATGAGTAAAGATTTTTGCCTTTTTAAAAATTTTTGAGTCATCATTTTGACAAAATAAATAACTTATGGTAATCTGTAATTGTATCTCATAATGTCAAGTGTTTAAAGCTCTAACATATTTAACAGGCTTCTCAAAATCAAACTTCAGTTTCAAAATTGTCTTTCCTGGACCCTATCTTTTGGATGCTACACGGGGCCCCTGGAGCATCCAGAAGGAGTTAAACTGTATTATTAGACATGTTTAGATATGTGGGATTGCCAAAATGATGTTTAATCTTCTTCATGTTATATTTTAAGGAATAATATTAATATATGTTCCAAAATTGCATGGGATTTCTAGAAATTCTAATGTCTGAGTATATGCTGTCAATCATAATTAAGGTTATGTTAAAGTATTGTAAACCATGGAGATAAACAAAATTATTTGTCAATTGTGTTTTTAACTGTAACTACCCTGGACATTTTGTCATTTGGGGACAATTCGTGTCTTGTTTTGATCCTCTTCAAAAGATGGTTTATAATCAGCTATAGAACTTTGACAGGTGTTCTCAATGTGGATTTCTGATAATTTTGAGGATTGTGAGGTTGGAATAAAATTAAAACATACAGGACTCATGAAGAGATGAAATGTTAATGAATATCAAGCAAAACAAGAGTTAATGGAATGGACTGAAGTAATAGAAAACTCAAGTAATCTTTTTTTTTAAATGTTTTGCTTGAAATATTGCTGATCCGTGTTTTGTTTTTTAGAGTCAAGGAAGCTTTTATTTTTAGCCACTTATAGTCTTTAATAATTGAGTAAGGTATATTCCTGTGAACTGAAGCATGTTTGTTTCTCTCTGCCTGATTCCTCTAGAATTTGGAAACTATCTGTTAGTATTCTCGACTTATGGAAATATGGCTATTTGCATCAGTGCAATAAGAATACATTTTCTTTTGCAACAGGAAGCAATTAGAGATCCAAGGCTTCGAATAGAAGAGTAGCTTCCCTTTCAGGAATCAGTCTCGACTTGCATAGCTGATAAAAACCCCTTGGGAAAACTGGCCTCATACTTTGTCCACACAATCCCTTTACAAGTTCCCTAACCTGTGATGAGTAAAGAATGTCACTTTCTAACAGGTCCAGGAACCCCATATTCTTGGGACCTGAAGAAGAGAGGAATTCACGCAACTCACAGATATTTGAGGGTACAAACCCATGCCTGTGTTTGGCTTTAAAAAGTCCTATCTGAGATTCCTTGTGGAACAGAGTTCCATCAAAGCCAATTTTAAAAGCCTTTGTAAAAATAATTATTCTTGCTGTACTTTAGGTGAATAATCAGGCCTAATAGAAGACCATTTATTTTGCAAACAACTCAGTCCTATCATGATTTGCTTTTAACAAAAATGAGGACTGGAGAGAGATAAATTATGTTTCAAAGCTTATCATATTTGTCATTAAATTATAGCCCCATTAGTTGTTTTTAAGTTTTTTGCCTACATTTTGGCATAACCCTGCTTATTCCTATAAACCAACCAGTGATTTCCAGCTACAGCTCAGAAGATACAAAAGGGATGCGTACTGCAAAAATCTGGATTAGTATTCTAGTTCTGGGCAATTATCCTGCAAATCCTGCCAGGTGATGGGAGTAAATAGGGTGCCCATAACCCAGAGGTTTCTTTTTTGGGAAAATAAAACCAAGGGAGCTAATCAAAGCCAAGCCCCATGTGCCCAAATCTTAGCAAGCGTAACTATAGCCACAAGTTATCTAAGCATGCCCATAGCCCTGGGATTTTGGGGCTGTCCTTACCCCACCCTCCTTTTGTTTCTTTTTAACACATGTCTTCTAATAATCTGGTTTGGCTCTTCTTGCCTTCAGGCTATCAAATTCCAAATGGTCATGCAACCAGAGCCTCAAGTAATGGCCACGTTTTATCAGGGACCCTTAGATAGGCCTCTGAGGGATATCTGACTGCCGTTCCCAAAAGAGCACCCTTTGTCAGCAGGAAGCAGTTACGATTGGTCATCATCCTTATCCTTATATTAAATAAGCATTTTTTTCTTAGAAATTTTAGTTCACTCCTCTTTATCATAGTCCATATTTCTATATAATATTTTTCAGCACTACCAGTCCCAACCATCTCTCTGCCTCCCAGGCTGTAAATGGGGAATACTAACAAGAAAAAACCTCCAGCTCTGAGCTCAAGTCCTGAGAGTTTTTCTAAGTATTTCTGTCACATTAATTAAAAACAATCTTGTCCAAATTGTAATTTCCACATAGGAGGAAATAGGGTTGGGAGAGGAACAAGTCAAATGCTCATTATTATTTTTTTCCCCTCAATTTAGAGAACTAGTGTCGATTTGCCAGTGGACATTTGTCTTTCCCAAGATTTCCTGTCTTTTACTAACCTTAATATGTGTTATCTGTCCTATTCAAGTTTAAGGGATCCGCTAGGGCGCCACACTCCATAGAACTCAGCAAGTTTACTTTAAGAGCATGAATCAGAAGAGAGTGATACTTACCTTTTGGGAACTAGAAAAGGCATGAGACTTTGTTCACTCCACAGCCTGCCTCTAGACAGAAGGAGTTCACAATCTAGGGACACACTGATGAATGAAATGCCAATAATATCCCTGGCTGTTCTTTGAATTTTGCTTTGAACCATGGTATAACTGACATGCAGTAAACTGGAAATACTTACCATGTACAACTATATATACATATATATGCATGCTTGTGCGTGTGTATATACACATGTACATATACACGTATATACATGTATATACACATGTATATATACACGTATATATACATGTATATATACATATACACACACATATATATATATATTTACACATACCTACACAATCTGTGAAACTACATTCAAGATAATAAATGTATCTCCATGAACAAATTATCTTGTGCCCCAAATGTAATCATGTTCAGTAGCTCCTAAACTTCCAGGCACAAAAAACACAGATAAGCTATCTTTCCCTACAGGTTAATTTGCATTTCTTACAATTTTATGTAAATGAAGTCATACTAGAAGTGCTTTTGGTAGGGGAGGGGCAGAGAATTACTGTCTTTAACTCAGAAAATTTGAGATGCATACGTGTGGTTGTATGTATCAGTAGCTAATATGTTATTGTCTAGCTTCGTTTAACCATTTACCTATTAGCAGATATTTATGTTCTTTCCCGTTTTGGCTACCTCTAATAAAATTGCTGTGGATATTTGCTTATTGCTTTTTGTGTAGATATGTGCTTTTCACTTCTCTTGAGTAAAAATGTAGGAGGGAAATAGCTAGATCACATGGTAGGTATATGTTTAATGTTTCAATAAAGTGTAAAACTATTTTCCAAACAGATTTTGCCATTTTACATTTCTACCAGCAGTGTATGAGCCTTAATTTACTTCATCTCCTCCTGAACATTAGGTATGATTTAACTTTTTAATTTTAGATATTCAAATAGGTGTGTAATGGCATGTCATTGTGGTATTTTTTGTCTATTAATATGATATATTACGTTGATTAAATTTCAAATGTTGAATCAATCTTGCATTCCAGAGGTAAAACACATTTGGTCACTATTCATTGTTCTTGCAATATATTACTGGATTCATTATGCTAAAATTGTGCTAAGAAGTGTAAGACTCGCTATGTCAAAAATTTAAAATCTTTCAAGACACATACTTTCATTTATTTCTTAGTTTATTTTTTAATCACAGTATAGCTATTTATTTTATTATCTTTGTCATTGCCACTATGTGATTAATAGGAAGTCATAATTTGCATTTGAATGGCTGCATGCAAATTTATGATTACCTACTTTTTCCATTATTAAAGTTAAGACTGGAATGTGGACATTCAACATACTTTCATTCTTTGAACAATTTTCATGCTATCAATTACCCTATAAAAATGGTATTTTTTTATAAATCTTGATGCATAGTCTAAGACAATATATCAATTTATAATGTTGTATGACAGACAACCTAATAAATATTGGGCATTATTCTTCTTTTCAATAATTTCTTAGCTAAATGGAACAAGTGAATAAAATTTCATCTTGATAATACATTCCCATTTCTGGAGATTTTTTTAGTCAAAATTATCTTAAATGCTTATTTTCCATTACTAAATTTTATTTGTAAGCTAAATGTTTTTATCAATCTTTACTTTTCCTTATAAGTTGTTAGCTAATTGGAAAAAATGTACACATTTATTATAAACATTTTCTCTGTTTTGTCATTTTTGTTGCTGTAGCAAATTTAGAGGAAAATAGAATGCTTTATTTATATGGATGCAGATAACTTTTATCTATTGCTTTGTGTTTCTTGTATTTATATTAATTTTAGAAAATGATGCTTTGTCCAGGCTACTAGTATTTAGTTTTATGTTTGGCAATTTTATCATCTTATGGTGATGTAATTCCTATTTTTTAAGTCTAATCAATTAATTCTTCAGCTATTTGTCAATGTTCTGAAGAGTATGTACTAAATCTATTAATTCTTTCATTTTTAACCAAACATCTTAACCCTTTGTATTGAATATAACTTTTTTATAGCAATTTTTTTATCACTTTTTATCATAGTGAATTTTTCTATATAAGAATGTTTTTCAGAGCTACTTTGTCCCTACCAACCATCTGTCTTTGCCTCTGCTAGTGACAGATGGTTTTAATTATTGTTTCATTACAATTAGCACTTTGTAATGTTGATAAATATCTGTCAGTGTAAATACAGAGAAAAAATAACTAGGTTATAGAAAAATAACTATGTTAAAGAAAAGTTATTCACGAAAAGCAAAAAAAATTAGAGTGTATTGTTGTGTAATCATCCACATAGCTTGAGAATTGGTCTCATTTGATTTATTAAACTGTATTTTTTCAATTATGCCTAAATCAGATTGTTCCTATTTATCTTCATCAGGTAAGACTGAATGTGAAAACAGTATAATACACAGCATGGCAGGTATTTTTAGAACAACTGTTTTGACTCTTAATCTTTTATTTCTTCTACTGTCTCTGTTGTATCAGGCATTATATATTACTGTCACCCTCATATGACTTGTAATAGTTAAAAGTAGTCCAAAAATAGGCATAGGCTAAGACACTGAAATAAATAAAATTGTTGAACAGGTTTGAAACTGACATCATTATCCATTCCAAGTTTACTGTCTGATATGGTTTGGCTGTGTCCCCACCCAACTATCATCTTGAATTGTAGCTCCCATAATTCCTGGGAGGGACCTGGTTGGAGGTAATGGAATTGTGGGGACAAGTCTTTCTTGTGCTGTTCTTGTGATAGTTAGTAAGTCTTGTGAGATCTGATGGTTTTATAAGGAGGGGTTACCCTGCACATGCTCTCTTTTGCCTGCCTCCATGTAAGACATCCCTTTGTTCTTTTTTCATCTTCTGCTGTGTTTGTGAAGCCTCTCCAGCCATGTGGAACTGTGAGTCCATTAAACCTCTTTCCTTTATAAATTAGCCAGTTTTGGGTACATCTTTATTAGCAGCATGAGAACAGACTAATACAATGTCTCCTACTGAAAACAGAAAATAAAAATAACTACATGTCCCATATATGTGTTAACATATCAAATGAAATGATTTACTCTAGTTAGCTGCATATCTATGCCTAGCCTTTATCTCTATAAATCTAAAATAGACACAAGCACACAACTTGTTATAACAATGTAGCTATTCTACAAATCAGTATATTAATACTTGGAATAGAAACACATTCAGAGATCGACAATATAAGGTCTTAGTGAGCAAAATAAAAATAGTGATTATTTCATAGCAAGAATGCAAGACTTATTTTGTCATTCATCTCTAAATTAACCTGTAAACAAATCTCTTTACTTCTAGTTAAAAGACAGAACTAGGGGAAGAGTCAGCAAAGAATTTCACTTATGGGAGCACAGTTACCATTGAGGGCCCAGAGAACTGTTTGTATGTACAAGACTCCACCCACTCAAAAGCAATCAGAGAAGGAAGAATGACAGATGAGAAAGTTTTCCTCAAACCACACATAAGGCATCTTATATATCCATAATAAATGGCCTCAAAAATAATTAAAGAAAACATTTCCACTTACAATAGCTTAAAAATGCAGAAGTTTTAAATTTAACAAAATAATAGTAATATTTGTGTATTACAAACTATATCGTTGTTAAAAGATACTAAAGAAAATTTAAAGACTTGGAAAGACGCCCATATTCACGAGTGAAATATTTAATATTTTTAAGATGACAATATTCCCCATATTGATGTACAGATTTAACATAATTCCTACCAAAATTCAAACTGGCTAGTCTGCAGAATTACAAACCTTTCCAAAACTCCACTGGGAAATGCAGGAGACACGGAATAGCCAAAACAACTTGAATAAGAACAAAATTGTAGGATTCACATTTCTCTATTTTTAAATTTACTATGAACCTACAGTGATAAAGACTGTGTGATACTGGTATAAAGATAGATGATAGATAGGTAGATAGATAGATAGATAGATAGATAGATAGATAGATAGATAGTAGATAGATAGATAGGCAGGCATTAGGTAGGTAGGTAGGTAGGTAGATAGATAGATAGATAGATAGATAGATAGATAGATAGACAGATAGAATGAATTTAAGAATCCAGGAATAACCTCTTATATTTATGGCAAATAATATGGAGGCAAGTCTGCTAAATACTTTAACAAAGAGAACAGTCTTTTGGACAAAAGGTGCTGAGACTACTGGAAATCCACATGCAAAAGAACAAAGTGGCATCCCCCACCCTGCCAACACCATATTCAAAAATTCCTTTAAAATGGATATAAGCTAAAACTATAAAACTTATAGATGAAAACACAAGAGTAAATATTTGTAATTTGGAATTAAGTAACTGTTTCTTAGTTATGACACCAAAAGCACAAACAAAAAGAAAAAAGTTGATTAATTAGACTGCATCAAAATGCAAAATGTTTGTGTTTCAAAGGGTACTGTCAAGAAAGTGAAAAGACAATCTACAGGATAGTGAAAATATTTGCCAGTCATACATCTAAAAAGGGACTTATATCCTGAAGACATAAGAACTCTGATGCCTCAATAATAGAAGCAAATACCTAGTTAAAAACTGGTACAGAATTTAAATAGACATTGCTTCAAAGAAGATTTGCAAAAGGACAGCAAGTAAGTTAATGATGCTCAAAATTAATAGCTATTAAGGACATGCAGATCAAAACCACAGTGAGAAACTACTTCACGCCCACAATGATGGTTGTAATAGAAAAGACACACAAAACCAAGTGGTGGCAAGAAATTTAAAGTGGTATGGCTGCTTTAGAAAATATTTCATCAAGACTGGGCAACTGGCTGGTTGCAGTGGGTCATGCCTGTAATCCTAGCACTTTGGGAGGCCGTGGCAGGCTGAATGCCTGAGCTCAGGAGTTCGAGACCACCCTGGGCAACATGGCAAAACCTAGTCTCTACTAAAAATACAAAAATTAGCTGGGCATGGTGGTGCATGCCTGTAATCCAAGGTACTCGGGAGTCTGAGGCATGAGAATCGCTTGAACCTGGGATGGGGAGGTTGCAATGAGCTGAGATCGTGCCACTGCACTCCAGCCTGGGCGACAGATGAGACGCAAAAAAAAAAAAAAAAGAAAGAAAAGAAAAGAAAAAACTGGAAAACTGGACAACAAAGTTTGACACTGCCTTTACAAAAAAAATCAAAAAAGTTTGTCAGGCATGATGATCCGAGCTACACAGGAGGCTGAGGAAGGAGGGTGGCTTCAGCCCAGGAGGTCCAGGCTGCAGTGAGTTGTTTCTACCACTGCAGTCCAGCCTTGGTGACACAGCAAGACCCTATCAAGAAAGAAAGAAAGAAAAGGAAAGAAAGGAAAGAAAGAAAGAAAGAAAGAAAGAGAAAGAGAGAGAGAAAGAAAGAAAGAAAGAGAGAGAGAGAAAGAAAGAAAGAAAGAAAGAAAGAAAGAAAGAAAGAAAGAGGGAGGGAGGGAGGGAGGGGAGGAGGAGGAAGGGGAGGAGGAGAAGGTGAAGGAGGAGGAGAAAGGGAGGGAAAAAAGGAGGGAGGGAGGGGAGGAGGAGGACGGGGAGGAGGAGGAGAAGGAGGAGGAGAAAGGGAGGGAAGAAGGGAGGGAGGGAAGAAGGGAGGGAGGGAGGGGAGGAGGAGGACTGGGAGGAGGAGGAGGAGAAGCAGAAGGAGGAGGAGAAAGGGAGGGAAGGAGGGAGGGAGGGAGGGAAAGAAACCAGTTCATCAGTTTCTCAACGTGTTGAACATAGGGCTATCATAAAATCCAGCAATGCTACATCCAGGTATACTCAAGGGAAATGAAAATATGTGTCCACAACAAAACCATTACAAGAAAAATGATATCAGCACATTTCATAAAAAAGTGATTAGTAGATAAATACATTTGTGTCATGCCCATATAATGGAATATTATTCAGCAATAAAGATCAATAAAATGCAACATGAATACATTTTGGAAACATTATGCTAAGTGAGAGAAGCAAGTTACAAAAGACTTATCTGGTTCCATTTATGTAAAATGCTTGGAACAGGCAGATTTACAGAGATTAGTGGTTGCCTAGACTGCAAATGAGTTTCTAGAGGAGTAGGGTGTACTGTCAACTGGAATAGCTTTCTTGTTGTGGAACAAAATTGTTCTAAAATTAAATTTTGGTGATGTTTGCACTTCCTTGTGAATTTACTAAAAAACTTTGCATTGTACACTTTAAATAAGTGAATTGTGTGGTATTTCTAGTGTAACTCAGTATTGCTTTCTGTTTTTAACCGAAATTCTTGTTTAAAAAATTAAATTGGGTAATTTAGTAAATAGTTTTTAAAAAGGTGTGAAAGAAAAAGTATTGCATTTTTATTATATTTTCAAATCAATATGTCTGGCACATAATTATCTATGTTTTAAAAGCAGGAAGTCTATAAAACAAACTTTAAGTTAGTTTGAGTCACAATGTAATATAATCCACATTAATGGTATTTTACTGCATTACAATACATAAAAAAGAAAGAATAAAAGTATATGTAAATCATTGGCTGAATTGCCTACCGGCACTAACTAGAAGTTTTAAGCAGCTAAACAGGAAGGTATTATAAGTAATGTTGAGATGAACTGAAGTATACAAGAGAAGGTGTACAGGTTATGTACAAATACTATACCATTTTACACCAGTGACTTGAGTGTATTCGAATTTTGTTACCTACAGCAGGTCTTTGGAACCAATCCCCTGTGGATACCAAGAGCACACTATACTGTTTTATTGATCTGATAACCAAGATTGCTAATAAGCGACAAAGGGGTGAGTAGTATAGACAGTGTGAGTATCCTGGACAAAGAGCTGGTTCACGTCCTGGATGGGATGGAGTGGAATTGCAAGATTTCAAGTTGAAAGCATGAAACTTGCAAGTGGAACTTATGAATTGTTCATTTCTGGAAGTTTTTATTTAATATTCTCAAACTGAGGTTGACTGTGGTAATGGAAGCTGCAGAAAGTGAACCTACGAATAAGGGGGACAACTGTGTATTTATTTAGTGGATAAGAGAATTGAATTTTAGAAAATATGAAAATCAGCTGGCTGTGGTGGTGGGTGCCTGTAATCCCAGCTACTTGGGAGGCTGAGGCAGAATTGCTTGAACTCAGGAGGCGGAGGTTGCAGTGAGCCGAGACTGCGCGATTGCACTCCAGCCTGGGTGACAGGAGTGAAACTCTGTCTAAAAAAAAAAAAAAAAAGAAAAGAAAAGAAAAGAAAAGAAAAAAAGAATTGATGTCGAGAAAACTTTTGTCCGATTGGAAATGACATACATTGAGAAGTCCTATTTACATTTGTGGAAAGTCTCATAGCCATTATATACTAGAATGACTCTTCTTTTTTTTTTTCAAACAGAAGAGTTTGTCTAATCCTTGAAGAATTGTTTTTCCCCCCAAATATCCCTCTCTTATCAGTGTGGCAGGATGCACTGGACAATCATTAGCATCTAACTCTTTTTAGCATTTCCGCAGTTCTGGCTGGATCATTATAATTCTAACCAAATACATCAAAGCAGTTGGATTTGCAAGAAAATTAAATTAATTCAAATTTTACCAATTATAAGAAAACCTCTATATACTTTTTCAAATTGTCTATGAAAGAAAAGGTGAACTCTTGGTCAAGCTCTTTAAATATTTTTGTGCAAATAAAAAGTTTTAAAAGTAAAGAATCATGGCAAATATTAATTGTCAGTGTGCATATGGCTGGTTGAGAGAGAAAAAAAGAGTAGTTTGTAAGCCTTGGTATCTCACAGAATGCTAGATTACTCAAGCAGCTTAAATTGATTTTAATGTCTGCAATTCACCTTATGTTTGTAACAATTCATATGTCAATATGGTCAGTAATATGTGTGTTCTTTCTTTTATATTTAAATCTCCTAGCTTTTCCAACATCTAACACAGGAAATGATTTTTGAATAAATGAATTAATAGATGGCTTAATTCCTCATTTATCTGAGGTCCTGAAATTGTATCTTGAACAATTTACAGACTGGCTGGTTTGATGGATAAAGAGATGTGAAATATTGGAAGAGGATTAAATATAAGAAACCCACAGGAGTTTTTGAGATGGAACAAAGTATTTTGCAATTGGCTATCAATTGCTGCAAGGGGCATTACAAACTCCACTGAAAGATATTAAACTTATTGTTTGTATTACCTTCTGAACCACATTATATAACTAAAGGGAAATTTTATGTATATATATAACTAAAGGGAAATTTTTTATATATATATACACACACACACACACACACACACACACATACACACACAGATATATCTACATATAAACTTAAAAGAAATGTAATACTGGGTTAAAGCAAAGGACATCATTTGAGGGTTAACTTGGAGATGATAAAAGAGAATTTTTTTTGAGAAATCATATTTTGAAGTACAATGAAGTGAAGAAGAGTATATAACAATGTCAAGTCTGTATTTATGTAAAAATCCCACACTAAAGATTCTGACATTTCTGCTGTAAAATAAATTCCTTAAAAAGTTACAAAACTTCACAAACTGAAACTTTGAGACTGAAAAGCAATGTGGCAATAGTGAGGTACGAGGCAAGACTTGACTCTAGACCAGACTGAAGACTGGCTGAAACAGGGAAGAGGTGATAGCACCTCTCCATAAGACATGCCCTCTAGTACCATGTCCGTTTGCCATTGCCATGGCAACGACCTGGCAGTTACAATGCTTTTTCTAGGAATTTCTGAATAACCCACCCCTTAATTTGCATGTAATTAAAAGTAGGTGTAAATGTGACTGCAGAACTGCACCTCAGCTGCTACTCTCAGCACACTGCTTGTGGAGTAGCTGCTCTGCAGGAGCATTCACGGAGCTGTAACACTGCCACCTCAATAAAGCTACTTTCTTTCACCACTGGCTTGTTCTTGAATTCTTTCCCAAGTGAAGCCAAGAACCTCCTTAAGCTAAGCCCCCATGTTGGAACTCACCTGCCCAGCATCAATAGGTTCTGGCAGCTCCACAAATGGTTCCAATGTCAGTTCCCTGCTCGTGTACACAATGAGAGCCTCATTGCATTCCTCCCACAGCATAGCCCTGTATACACCATTTCCATTTTATTGTGGGGCCCTGTTGGGCACCACCTTTCTCAGTGAGTACCCAGTACTCAGTGAGTTAGAGTACCCAAAGCATTAGGGTATGTTAAGTTTCTAGACTATTTTATGTCTTTCAGTCATAGGAGCAGTTTTAATTAATGCCCAATATCAGTCCAATATGGCATGTGTCATATCATTGTGCTTGGAAATTTCTGGTCCAAAATCCCAAATACTGTTGCTGAGTGGTGATACCCAAAGGGCTTTTTCATAAGCTTCAGTCTGTGGAATTGCAAGTTGCAGATACTTTCAAAATCATATTTGAATGTGGAACTAAATGGCCACAAATCAACTGAGCCACTGTTTTCAATTCAGACATAGCCTGCAATTGTTTGGGCCCCAAAGCCTACAGGAAAATAGCTTTTGAGTGGAAGATTTGAAACGCTAAACACCTATGAAAATTTTAAACCAAAACATTGCCAACAAGAAGGGCAATAATTGGTACATGGGGAAGTGATGAAGAGTGCTACAGCAGGTATCAAAACTAAACAAAGCAATCAAGTGGTCAATAAGGCAAGACTTTTCTTGGAGCCCTGGGACAAAGCTAATGGAAG
This sequence comes from Homo sapiens, assembly GCF_000001405.40. Classification (NCBI taxonomy): domain Eukaryota; kingdom Metazoa; phylum Chordata; class Mammalia; order Primates; family Hominidae; genus Homo; species Homo sapiens. The sequence goes on from NC_000018.10 coordinate 66,702,580, forward strand.
TGAGGCTTGAGGATGGGGGTTGTGATTGAAAGCAGGCACTGAAGGCAGCAAACACCAGGCCAACAAGGCATGGGTACATCATTTTGAAGAGGAATTTCACGTGCAGGTATTATTTTTCATAAAATAGAGTGAAAAATGCCCCTGTTCCCCGTGCAATTTCTGTCTTGTTGAATGTAATAATTCTATTGCTCTTATGCTGACTTATCCTGTCTGGAGAAGATTGGTTTTCCAATATGCTTCCTAGCTATTCTGAAATAATTTTCACATTTATCAAGCACATATGAGCTAACTGACTTCATACCAGTTTCACACTAGAAATCAAATAAATGCAAAGTATAAAATTAAGAAATGATTTTCAAGTCATTTCTAATTAAGTCTACATTGGATCGATCTACAATTGCTTTTAATTTTTCATCCCCCTCCCATAACTTTTAAATACCAGTACAAAATTTCTCCACTCTTCTCAATCCTCCTATTTGACTCCCGCCCCACTGATTTCAAGGCATGGTCTTGGCTTCTTCGTATTTAACTATTAGAATAGCAATGGTAATAATAATAAACAAAAAAACAATAATTTAAGACCATTGAGGTACTTTCTCTCAGATATTTATCAGACCATAGGAGCTTAAAGTCAAGGGTGGTAGCTTATTTTATATTATATTCTGAGTCTTACATGATCTTAGGAACATGAGTTTTCTCATAAGTTTTATTAAATAAATACGTGAACGAATGGGATTGAGAAGGCCTGTATATCAGACTCAGTGAATAGAGGATACAGGGAAAAGGTTGAAGGAGACACATCGTGGAGTTTGAGATTCAGGCTAAAAGGGTAAGTCACCTGAGGGGATTAACCATTTTCTTTAAGTATCTACTATGCTTTATTCAAACTAGATAGTTTATGCATTTTAAGTTGGGAAGAATAGTATCATTTCTAAACTATTTGAAAAGTATTATTTATCTTTGACATATTACATTTAGTTTCAAATAATTACTTAGAAATTATGCTGCTCTATATCCAATTACTTTAAATAATTTCTCTGAAGTATTCATTATACATATGATAATAATTGTGATTCGGTATTTTTGACATGGATTATATTCTGAAATGAGAGAGTCTGTCCTATGCAAGGAAAACGTCCTTGATATATGCATTAATTTGTTTTAAACTGATGAAGCGTACATTTCCTTCATCACAATCATTTCAAAATGCTGTTTTTTTTAACATTATAGAGTTGTTTTCTCTTATTGGAGATCTGTCATCTGTTTCATGTTCACAAAAAATACTATTTAGCAAACAATTTAAATAGTACAATATATAGATCACTGAGAGATATTAGGGTCCACTGATGCCACTTGTAGGTCTGCTATAAAATAATTTGTGTGCATGTAATTCTGTTACATAATTGCTCATATGTAATACTTCAAAAACGCAATGATGCATTAGCAATTTATTCACATGAAAATGATGGTTAGATCAAATTCATGATTTATGTCAAACAGGATGTCTGTACTTTTTGTCTGGTTTTATTTTCTTTGCTTGCTTTCAATTTCATTACAATTTTGCTTCTTGAACATGTCACTAAACTTGCCTTAGAGATCTGAGAGACAAAATAAAAGTCGAGAATAGAAATGAAGAAGGTGACAAATTGTGGTGTTTGCAGCTATCTCAAGTCCATTATCTTTCAATTGTAGTCCTTTTCTTTCCTCCCCGCTGTAAATCCACTACTTTCAAATTACTGCAGGGTAACTTGCTCTATCATTGCCTCCACTTATGGAAGAAAGTTGAACCTCTTGAGCAAGATGTTGAATCAATATATTGTTATAGTACTCAAAATAAAAGCAACACTAAAGTATAAATTCATGTCTAGTAAAAGCAAGGTCAGTTTTTGAAAAGAAAAAGCAGAGGTACGTATCATAGCTCTCTATATTTTCCTTAAATATTAATACAAATATAGAGACTTTTCAAAAATCGTTGAACCAGACATGTTTTATACACGACTTAATTTTAAAACAAAATTGAAATTATGAATATTCATTTATTTTACCTTATATTTACTATTCTCAAATACATAAAAATAGTAAGCAAAATAAATAATATCTCTAACCTATTTAATAACTAACATATTAAAAATATGTGCATATATATATATATTTCTACCAACCCTGGATTATCCTGCATCTCTGTCTGCTTTTAATACATATTGTTCATGCTTGTTGGTTTCCAGTAACAAGCAGGTTTTTAATTTGTGGACATTTCACTTTTCCAGTGTCAGCCTATGAAGGAATAAATGATAAATAATTGTACCGTACATTTTACGTCCCGAATAGTAAACGTGTTAACAACATATGACTCAGTTGCTTTATCCGTCATTGATATTATCGTCACTAGCATTTCTTGGTTCTTCATGTCTTTACCTCTCTGATTTGCATGGCATAAAGCCTAAGAAAGGATCTAAGATCCCCAATTAATAAGCAAGCAATTCAAGACCAAGATTTCCCATTTATTTTTCAGGATGGCTTATGACATTACCCTAAGGTTTCCACATATTTTCAGAAATAAACTCAGGCATATCTAAAGTGATGGCTTAAATTAGTTCTAAATGTACAATCTCCTCAATACTTCTGTAAAATGGTATTTACATAACTGATAAATTTATATGTGGCATTTTCAAAGTTTACTGTAATTGCTTTCCCCAATATGTCAAGTAATGAAACTTTGGATTTAATTAAAATCATTTTGATTAAATTCATCAGGTATTTATTGAGTATAAAACTCGTGGTCAGTATTAAACTAAGTGTGAGGTAGGATTAAAAACATATGAAACTTAAAAGTCAAAAAGTTCCTATGACTTGGAAACAGGCAGAGGCATAAGATATAAACAAATATAATGTATAATAAAGCACTAAGAATTGAAAGTCAAAATAGGCAGTATTAATTTAGGAAACATATTTTTTGCACATTTTGAAAGAACAGAATGAATGTATATTTGAAAAAGTAATTTTTTATTTGAAATTTTAAACTATTTTTCAGGAATTATGTTTAATTATTTACTCTGGCAACACCTAACTTTATCTTTGAAGAAAAAAAGTTATAAAAAGAAAAATTGTCAACTAGCCACCATGTTTCTCCAGCCTCTTAGACTGATTTATTACTCTTTTTACTAATATTATCTATAATCATGTCTCTATCTTATATTCATTGTCATATTTATATCTGTATCTATAGTGTCTGTATCTATATTTCCTTCTACATGTATCTCTAAACTTATTTCTATCTATATCTATGTATTTATTGATATCTATGTTTGTGTCTATATACCTTCATACACGATTATTGTTTCCCTAATTAAAATACAATGTATATGGTGGATATATATAGTCAGTACCTAAAAAATGTCCCTAGCATCTGGTAAGTATGCAAAAAAAATGAATAAAATATTAAACATAGATTTGTATTCAGTCATATGTCACTCATTTCAGTAATGCACATTCATTTTACAGCTCTACTCCCTTCTGAATTAGAATATTTAAATGAGCTTATTACATAAGGGGATAAGTTTATGCTATATGAAGTCTAAATATAAAGTTGCCATCTCCAGCTAACTGCCCCATCAAATAGCAAAGAGTTGTTTATCCTTTTACAAATGCCAATAATTTTACACACAAAAGTTTCATAATTGATGTCCTACCTAACATAATAAAAGGAGGAAGGAAGGTAAACTTAGTTATGAATAGTAGTAAAAATGGGTACTTATCATTTTTTGAAGGAGATTTTTGGTTTTGTTTTTGGTTTAAGCGCTGCGTCTCAGTTTAAAAGTTTATTTGGAAAGACATAATTGGAAATTAAAACACATTTCAGACCTTCTGGAATGCAATTGCATTGGTACTATAAGAGAGAAGCAAAGGTGTGGTGTATTTATCTTCCCCATGGCTCACAATCAATAAAAGCCATATATGACTATGCATGGTCCACTTTTGTCTTCATGGTGCCTTGTTTCGTACAATTAAAGAAAGCTCAGTTAAAGAAAGCCAATTTTAAAGTACATTAAATGTTGTTAGGAAAAAAAAATCTCCCTGGGAGATTCAGGTCTGTGAAAAATGACTTCTTAAAGGGATAGTATTATTCTACGCAGGCTTGAAAGAGCATCTGGCCTTTCTAGAGATTTCAAAGATTGCTGGCATTTAGCAGATGGATGGTAGTTTTATCTGAAATTAAAGCTAAGACACACTTTGGTGCCTTCCCCAGTTTAGGAACATAAAGTTCTGTGATAAAATAGAAGTTTAATAGAATCTAAATACATTACGCCACTCTAGGTAAAAAAGATAACCAAGTGCTATTTTAGTGTTTTATATGATTGAGTGGGTATGTATTTCTCTAAGATTAATATTATTCTATTGTAGTTAACATGGATTGTGTACTGACTTGATTCATAATTTGTGTCCAGTTGGAAAGAAAGAGGATAAGCTGGATCAAAGCCTACTGGAGAATGGACTTAAAACTATTTGATTCTCATCATCTAAAACATCATCCTAAGTAAATATGTCCATCACCTTGTCATCCAATAATTATATAGTCAGGTTGCTTTTGAATTCGTAGCTGATGGACGTGCTTGAGATTGTCATTATTACTCCAGGAATATCCACATAGTTTTAACAGCAACCACGTTCATACCCCCAAATACCCTGGTAACAAATTGTATATTCACCCTGTGATGATTTCACCCTAGCAACAACTGATTGATATGAGTTTGGCGATAATAAGTCTGCAGTGGGAGCAGAGAGGCAGTGGAAGCCAGTGGAGAAAATGAGGTGAGGAATTCAGACAGCCAAGTATAAAATGGTCCCCAGAAAAACTCCAGCTGGCCTGCACACTGGCAGAAGGGTGGAGCCTCGGAAGTTAGCATCTTTTGCAGCGGGGAGGAGCTTGGCCTCTCCTCTTCTGGGGTGGTAAACTGGGATTCCATCTGTGAGGTGGGAAACCTACTACCAGGACTCTCGCTTTGCTGAGAGTCCCTGTTTCCCCTTTTAATTTCCTTTTCACCCAATAGAACCTGTCCTTCTCAGCATTCAAAGTGTCTGCAAGCCTAATCTTTCATGATCACGTGACAAGAACCCGGCTTTTAGGGGAACTAAGGAGAAAGTCCTATAACAGAATTTAGAACTCAAAATTGTATGTTTAGATATAGTTTTCCTAAACAGTCACAAGAAATAAACAACAAACATCATCAACTGCTTGCCCATTTCTAACATTCATATATTTGTTTTGTGTTCATGCGTGTTGATTTTCTGAACTTTAGATTGGTTTTGCTTTTCTATAGTGATTTTTTTTCTTTTTTTGTACGTTTTCTTTGTTATCATGTTTAATTTTAAATATATATATAAACCCCAGCAAATTATGAGCCTATAAACCAAGTAGATCACAGTGCTCACTGAGACAGTAAAAGTATTAATAGAAGCTGTGGTACTTGGAAAATTCTAGGCAGATGCTGGGTGTGGAGATGCGGGGTGGAAATGCAGTTTCCATCATCATTTTGAATTGAAAATACTATGAGAGTTTAGACTAAATGTTTAAAATATACCCTGAAATTTCTTTTGCTGAAATTTAAAATGTACTTAGTTGTAAGGAATGAGTACATATTCCCAGATAAAGAGGAGCAAGGTGACAAATATTATGAAACAACAAACAAAAAACCTGGTCAGCTGCTCTAAGGATATATAATTTCATTTACATTGAAAATTATACTCTAATTCTTACTTTGTAGGATATGAGATACCATGGTAATAACACATTGGCAACGGTTTTAGTGAAATGAGACTTTTTTTCTCTCATTATAGAACAAGATGACTTTTATACATTTCTCTCTTTTTCTAAAATTCTACCTCCCATATTCCAGGTGATGTGCTGGTTGCTGATGACACACTGATAAACATTCTGGTGATGCAGCCAGTTCATTGTAGGGCTTGCAGTGTGTATTGGGAAACAAAAATATTGGAAATAGTTTATGGCTAGTTTGAATTTAACTAAATATGTATATATGTCAAAGTTCTACAAAGTAGAGAAGCTGTACTAGGGCATATTTAAGGAAATTACACTCATCTGGGGAATTATGGGTGGCTTCCATGATAAAGTAATATTTATTTAAGCATAGACTTGAGAATATTTTGACAAAATCTAGGCAAAGAGATAGGAAAGATGTGTGGTTGGGCTGTGTATTTAACCCTCTGAGCAGGCGATAATGCTGGACTCTGTCTTTTCCTGCCACCATGCATAATTTGTTTTTCTGAAACAGAGAAGTGAAAACAGTGAAGTGGCTGAGTTTCTTTTTAGAACATTCTCAGATTCCTTTTTTTTCCTGTATTTGGTTGAAAGGAGCCTTTAAAAGAGTTCATAATTTTGGCTACTGCCTAGCAAATGTATATGGCTTTTATTTGGAAATATAAACAACACTTAAAAATATTTAACTGCAGAAAAATAAAATTAATTTAAAATTTAAGGAAAACCTAGTGTTGATTATTTAGGAAACATTGGAAACATTAATGGAAAACATTAATGCTTTGGAAGAGCTTTGTTTATCTATGCTCAGTTTCAATCTTGTATTTTTCTGACAGCTGGGGTTTCTTCAAAGCTTCTTACCATCTCACTTATTTTTTAACAGCTTTATTGATGTATACCACATATATCATACAATTGTCCATTCAAATTATGCAATCTAATATTTTTAGCATATTCTCATAGTTGCACAACCATCATCACAATCTAATTTTAGAAAATGTTTCCCTTACCTAAAATAAATGACATCCCAATGACCAGTCATTCCATGCTAAATTGAACACCCAGTTCAGCCCTTGACAACCACTTAAATATTCACTATCTCTATGGATTTACCTATTTGGGGCATTACATATAAATGGAATCAAGCAATATGTGATCTTCCGTTATGGGTTTATTTCATTTAATATTTTCCAGATCTATCTATGTTGTAACACATATTAGTACTTTATTCTCTTTTTCCCCTAAATAATATTTCATTGTGTAGATATACCACATTTTGTGTATCCATTTGTCACTTGATGGGGATTTGGGTTCTTTCACTTTTTTGGCTATTATGAAAAAATTATGCTATTAACATTCATATAAAAGTTTTTGTGTGGTCAAATGTTACCATTACTCTTGGGTATATATTTCAAAATGAAATTACTGGGTCATACGGTAAATCTATGTTTAACATTTTAAGACCAAAATGTTATTTTTCAAAACAGTTGTGCCATTTTATATGCCCCCCAGTAACATATGAATATTCCAACTTCTCCACAGCCTCGCCAACACATTTTATTGATGTTATTGCTGACTTTTTAAATTTTATCATCCTGGTTGATGTGAATTCATCTTTCACAGTGTTTTTGATTCCCACAAAACTCATGGTTAATAATATTGAGCATCTGTTCATGTGATTATTGGCCATTTGTCTGTATCTCTTTGGAATTAATATCTGTTTAAACTGTCATTTTTCAAATGGGTTGTCTTGCTGTTGTTGGCTGTAAGATGTTTATATCTTTCAGACACTAGATATTTGTCAGATAGATGATTTGCAAATTTTTTTTTTCTCATTCTCTGGGTTGTCTTTTTACTTTCCTGGTGGTATTCTTGGCAGCAAACAAGTTTTTAATGTTTATGTAATTGAGTTTATCTATTGTTCCTTTGATTTTTGTGCTCATGGTATTGTAAATTAAAAATTATTTCTTCACCCAATTTCAAGAAATGACCAACAGAAATATTCTGTTTTCTTCTACATTATCTTCTTTCATATCTACTGTTTTTCAGATAATGTACCCCTTAGTATTAAATGTCATTTTTATCTTGCCAAAGCATTTTGGTAAAATGATAAGTTAATGTTGCCACTTTTTTAACTTACCTCCCTCCCAAAGAATATTCAGAAAATACTTAAGTGCTATCAAAAGCTTATATGTTATAAAATATCCTTTTTATTATAAAGTTTAAAAGTGCTACCAATCAAGCATGACCTATATAATGACTATCAAATACATTAATATTAGATGGGCATGTTTTAATTCCCACTCAGCTTTCTATCTTTACCTGCTAAATAGGAGTAATTAATTTTAAGCCCCCACTAAACCAACCACAACAGCTTTGGGGATCAAATAATAAATAATCTCAATTAAGCAACCCATATCAACAAGATTATTTTACTGCATCTTGATGTTTCATGTATCATTATAATGAAGAGTAGTCACTTTTATGCACGTGAAACTGTCAAAAGATAAAATTACAAAAAAATTAGTTTTAAAAAGCAAATTGGTTTCTATCAGCAATTCATGAATTGGGCAGAGTCTCATAGAAAGTTATAGAAAATGTTCTCCACTAGGTATGGCATAACAGTCTATTTTTATATAATAGCTTTAGTGGGAACAAAGAAACAGCATAATACAAAAAGCAGTTTTTATGTTTCAGTTAGATTATTTCAGTTTGCTTTTTTGGTAGTGGTAAAAACAGAGGGAACTTCCTTAGCAGGAAGGCTAAAACTAGTCTGTTTGGATATATGGCTATGATCTCTTATTCCTCTTTCTTGGAAGGTTAAACAACTTAGTTTCAGTTAAGTACATGGAACTTTAGCATGAGTGGCTGCATTCTGGCTCGGTTTGTTGAGGTCTGGAGTAGAAGCTCAGCTCAAAACAGTGGAGTCCTAGAAATTTTACTTAACAACTACATTGGCAAGCAATCCTCCATTCTTTAGGATTCTCTACTAGCTGTTTGTTGTTGCTGTTGTTTAAAACCAGAATGTCTTTTCCAATATCTCATAGCCTTTTTTTTTTTGAATACCCAAAATATATTTGTAATATTCATACTGATAAGATTGAATTTGCAAATAAGAGATTTTCATGATATTTCAATTATATACATTGATATGATATAGAATTTAGGTTTGCATATGTTATTTAAAAATTTCTTGCACAAATATATAAGTAACTTTTTTTCATCTCAGAATGTATTTTCATATGATACTTCAGGAGAGGAATAAAGGTCTTGAGTTTCTGAATTCAGATACGAAGAGACACAGATAGACAAGAATAATAGGCAACATAATCTTCTCTCTGGGTTAGTGCAGTATAGTGAAAGCAATAGACATGTCAACAAACACTTATGATGTTGGGAGAATTGAAGTAGGCGATAGCTACAGAGCATCACACAAACACAAAATGAGAGGCACCTCAGTATTACTAAGAAGTCAGCTCAGCTTCCTATTGGAAGTTACATTTGAGTAGTTTGGGATAATGAGTAGGACTTCTCCAGGAACTTACCCACTGTGAAACATTTCACAAAATATGTGCTCTCAATCAAAGCCAAAACCAGTCAATGTTATAAGACATATGCTAAACCAGAATGTCAGAAAGTGTTTGTAAGTAGTTCATTTTGCTGCAGAAGGAAGTTGCTTTACTGTGAAAGTCATGTGGGAAAGAGGATATATATATTTGCTACAAATAAACTTATCAGAGAAAAAGGCAAAATTCTTCCTATATTTCATGTGAATAAATTGTCAACTTACGCACGCTTCTTTTCCATATATGTGTCAGAAGTGAAAAGGGATAAAGAATTCTGATGACAATTCTCGTGCTATTATCACACATAAAAAAGCAACTGAGAGCAAGTCAGCAAGGTGGCAATGTCTAGACTCAAGTGGCAAGTACAACCTGCATGATAGAATATGAGAAGGCCTAAAGGTTGGGGTTCGCAGCAGGGGTGAAGAGGTTGAGCGTTAAAGGCAATTTAAAAGAAATATCAGAACTCATGACACTGCACGAATGGAAGATCCTAGAACTGCAAACCAAGATAACTAAGTGACATCACAGATTATAGCTTTGTTATCTTAGTCATTAATGATAAGGCATAGGCTTTAAATATAGTTATTTAAAGAAAGCCTTTGTTCTCTTTGGGCCAGTATCTCTTCAGGTTATTCTTAGATGAATAGGATTTTAGAGGTTAACATAAAATTGTATACAGACAATAAAAATGAATGTGCCTCACAACCAAGAGAATCCAATAATCAAAACTTTAAAACTTTAGTATGAAATAGAATAATTATTCCCATGAAATATTTTTTTTCCTATACTTAAAAATATGTGCTCAAAGGGGAATACTTTCTAGGGTATGTTCTCTGACCTTTTTGCACTTCCTTTCTATAGAGAAGCTGTATTTTTCTCTTATATCTTCACTAGTTAATGTGGCTTCATTATAGCTTAATTTGCAAGAAAAATATTGAGAAATATAGGGCTGTTGTTCAGATGAAAGAAAATTCACTGGGATATAATTAATGCCATAAATGTTTAGTCATTATAATAAATATCATATATGATATTACTATATGTAGACATACCTATTTTTAATTACAAACACATGTAAATCACATTAAGAGAAATTAAAATGATTTTAAAGTTTTGAACATTTTTTATTTTATCAAACAATTCTGGATTAAAATTTAATGCATATTTTCTAATTTATTTTTAATATAAGGGGCTTGTCCTACTTTTACAAACATTTATATAATAGACTTTGTACATATTATATCAATCAATATATAGCCTATTAAAAGTCAACAGCTATATATATATTTATATATTATATAAAGTTTGGTGTATATTTATCAAAATTTAATTATATTATCCAAATACAGCCATAAATTTCAATAAAATTCATTTCTAAATTACGAAATTATGACTGTTATTTAATATATTTAGTATCTGAATGATACTAAAATGCTATCCATAAGAAATCAAATGTGTAATAAATCTCTTTCTGTGTATGTATATGTGTGTGTATGTCTGTGTGCTCATGTATGTGTTTGTGTCTATAATTTTTATAGTATTTAAGATTAAAAGAAAAAAGTATAGAAATCTCTTTCTCTTTTTTTCTAATTTTAAAGACAAGTATGCAAAGTTCCCAAGGAAAATGCCAACAGCCAAAGTAGGCAAACTAATGACTTACACTTTATCTACTTATATATTTATCATCAAAATGTGCCCTTAAATGTACTTTTGAAGCCATTCAAATTATATATATATATATATATCAGTAAATAACTTTCTCAAGGAAAATTACTTTGGGATTATTTGAAAACAATCTTTCTCCTACAAAGTGCTCCCTTCTCTCCTACTAAAGGCAATTAGATCAAAGCAAGTCTTTGTTGCTTAAGAATTCATATGCTTCAGCTACTTAGTCAATATGATCATAATTCTGATGTCATGGAGTCAGTCACTGAGAATTATAACAGTACATTTTTCAAATTATAAATGTTGGATAAAAATGTAGATGAAGGAAGGAAACTATAATGAGCCTTGCTTATCTAACTCTTTTCCAAACTGTGAGAACAAATCAAATCTTCCCTTACATACTTCAAGAATACCACTCTTCACCCATTTATCCAAACCTTCAACTCGCCAACTCTCCAATACTGGGTGAGTCAGGCTATGTATAAGTAAATGTCCTAGGACACTGCTTTCCAGAAGGACTTTTAGAATGGTAGCTGTGCATTTCTAGCACATCTCACAAACTACAGTGTCTGGAAGTGAGGTAGAAGGCTTTTGATGGAAGCCAACTGCAACAAGATCCAGATTTTTGCAATTAACATACAAAACCTAGAGCAAAGTTTATGTATCTGATTGTGGAACAGATGAGGAATCTCAACAAAGTGATGAAACAAAAGAATACCCATTCTAGAACTGAAATTTGCAATGTCTGAAATGTAAAATTTCCTAAATAATCTTAAGATTAGGCAAGAAAAATAGCTAAAAGTACAGTCTGTGAATTTGAAGAACAATGAACATCATTTGATGTAAAGGAAAGATAAATATTGAAAATGAGGACAACTTCAGTGAATATTGAGACAATATCAATAAGGTTTCTGGGAAAAGAAAATGTGGCAAAAATATTTGAATAATTGATGACTGAAAATGTACCAAATTTGATGGAAACCATAAACTTTCTAACCAAATTTCATGAAAGATAAATAGAAAGCTGCTCTTAGACATGTAATAGTCAATTTACTAATGACCAAAAATAAGAAAACAATATTGAGATCAGCAAGAGAAAAAATAATATATATAGAGTGTCCCATCAGAATCACAGGAGACTGGAAGAGAATATAACAATATCTTCAGACCTCTGAAAACAGAATAAATACTCTCTCAATCCAGAGGTAATAATCCTCAAAAGATAATGTGTCCAGAATTTATTCCTTCTGGTGGGTTCTTGGTCTCACTGACTCCAGGAATGAAGCCATAGACCCTTGCGGTGAGTGTTATAGCTCTTAAAGCTGGTGGGTCCGGAGTTGTTTGCTCCTCCCACTGGGTTCGTGGTCTTGCTGACTTCAGGAATGAAGCTGCAGACCCTCACGGTGAGTGTTACAGTTCTCAAAGGTGTCATGGATCCAAAGAGTGAGCAGCAGCACAATTTATTATGAAGAGTGAAAGAACAAAGCTTCTGGGGAGGAGCCAAGATGGCTGAATAGGAACAGCTCCGGTCTACAGCTCCCAGCGTGAGCGATGCAGAAGACAGGTGATTTCTGCATTTCCATCTGAGGTACCTGGTTCATCTCACTAGGGAGTGCCAGACAGTGGGCACAGGTCAGTGGGTGCATACACCGTGTGTGAGCCGAAGCAGGGCAAGGCATTGCCTCACTCGGGAAGTGCAAGGGGTCAGGGAGTTCCCTTTCCTAGTCGAAGAAAGGGGTGACAGACAGCACCTGGAAAATAGGGTCACTCCCACCCGAATACTGCGCTTTTCCCACGGGCTTAAAACACGCAGCACCAGGAGATTATATCCTGCACCTGGCTTGGAGGGTCCTGCGCCCACGGAGTCTCGCTGATTGTTAGCACAGCAGTCTGAGATCAAACTGCAAGGTGGCAGTGAGGCTGGGGGAGGGGTGCCCGCCATTGCCCAGGCTTGCTTAGGTAAACAAAGCAGCGGGGAAGCTCGAACTGGGTGGAGCCCACCACAACTCAAGGAGGCCTGCCTGCCTCTGTAGGCTCCACCTCTGGAGGCAGGGCACAGACAAACAAAAAGACAGCAGTAACTTCTGCAGACTTAAATGTCCCTGTCTGACAGCTTTGAAGAGAGCAGTGGTTCTCCCAGCATGCAGCTGGAGATCTGAGAACGGGCAGACTGCCTCCTCAAGTGGGTCCCTCACCCCTGACCCCAGAGCAGCCTAACTGGGAGGCACCCCCCAGCAGGGGCACACTGACACCTCACAGGGCCAGGTACTCCAACAGACCTGCAGCTGAGGGTCCTGTCTGTTAAAAGGAAAACTAACAAACAGAAAGGACATCCACACCAAAAACCCATCTGTACATCACCATCATCAAAGACCTAAAGTAGATAAAACCACAAAGATGGGGAAAAAACAGAGCAGAAAAACTGGAAACTCTAAAAAGCAGAGCGCCTCTCCTCCTCCAAAGGAACGCAGTTCCTCACAAGCAACAGAACAAAGCTGGACGGAGAATAACTTTGAAGAGCTGAGAGAAGAAGGCTTCAGACGATCAAATTACTCCGAGCTACGGGAGGAGATTCAAACCAAAGGCAAACAAGTTGAAAACTTTGAAAAAAGTTTAGAAGAATGTATAACTAGAATAACCAATACAGAGAAGTGCTTAAAGGAGCTGATGGAGCTGAAAGCCAAGGCTCGAGAACTACGTGAAGAATGCAGAAGCCTCAGGAGCCGATGCGATCAACTGGAAGAAAGGGTATCAGCAATGGAAGATGAAGTGAATGAAATGAAGTGAGAAGGGAAGTTTAGAGAAAAAAGAATAAAAAGAAACGAGCAAAGCCTCCAAGAAATATGGGACTATGTGAAAAGACCAAATCTACGTCTGATTGGTGTCCCTGAAAGTGACGGGGAGAATGGAACCAAGTTGGAAAACACTCTGCAGGATATCATCCAGGAGAACTTCCCCAATCTAGCAAGGCAGGCCAACATTCAGATTCAGGAAATACAGAGAACGCCACAAAGATACTCCTCGAGAAGAGCAACTCCAAGACACATAATTGTCAGGTTCACCAAAGTTGAAATGAAGGAAAAAATGTTAAGGGCAGCCAGAGAGAAAGGTCGGGTTACCCACAAAGGGAAGCCCATCAGACTAACAGTGGATCTCTCTGCAGAAACTCTACAAGCCAGAAGAGAGTGGGGGCCAATAGTCAACATTCTTAAAAGAATTTTCAACCCAGAATTTCATATCCAGCCAAACTAAGCTTCATAAGTGAGGGAGAAATAAAATACTTTACAGACAAGCAAATGCTGAGAGATTTTGTCACCACCAGGCCTGCCCTAAAAGAGCTCCTGAAGGAAGCACTAAACATGGAAAGGAACAACTGATACCAGCCACTGCAAAATCATGCCAAAATGTAAAGACCATCGAGACTAGGAAGAAACTGCATGTACTAACGAGCAAAATAACCAGCTAACATCATAATGACAGGATGACAGGATCAAATTCACACATAACAATATTAACTTTAAATGTAAATGGACTAAATGCTCCAATTAAAAGACACAGACTAGCAAATTGGATAAAGAGTCAAGACCCATCAGAGTGCTGTATTCAGGAAACCCATCTCACGTGCAGAGATACACATAGGCTCAAAATAAAAGGATGGAGGAAGATCTACCAAGCAAATGGAAAACAAAAAAAAGGCAGGGGTTGCAATCCTAGTCTCTGATAAAACAGACTTTAAACCAACAAAGATCAAAAGAGACAAAGAAGGCCGTTACATAATGGTAAAGGGATCAATTCAACAAGAAGAGCTAACTATCCTAAATATATATGCACCCAATACAGGAGCACCCAGATTCATAAAGCAAGTCCTGAGTGACCTACAAAGAGACTTAGACTCCCACACATTAATAATGGGAGACTTTAACACCCCACTGTCAACATTAGACAGATCAATGAGACAGAAAGTCAACAAGGATACCCAGGAATTGAACTCAGCTCTGCACCAAGCGGACCTAATAGACATCTACAGAACTCTCCACCCCAAATCAACAGAATATACATTTTTTTCAGCACCACACCACACCTATTCCAAAATTGACCACATACTTGGAAGTAAAGCTCTCCTCAGCAAATGTAAAAGAACTGAAATTATAACAAACTATCTGTCAGACCACAGTGCAATCAAACTAGAACTCAGGATTAAGAATCTCACTCAAAACCGCTCAACTACATGGAAACTGAACAACCTGCTCCTGAATGACTACTGGGTACATAACGAAATGAAGGCAGAAATAAAGATGTTCTTTGAAACCAACGAGAACAAAGACACAACATACCAGAATCCCTGGGGTGCATTCAAAGCAGTGTGTAGAGGGAAATTTATAGCACTAAATGCCCACAAGAGAAAGCAGGAAAGATCCAAAATTGACACCCTAACATCACAATTAAAAGAACTAGAAAAGCAAGAGCAAACACATTCAAAAGCTAGTAGAAGGCAAGACATAACTAAAATCAGAGCAGAACTGAAGGAAATAGAGACACAAAAAACCCTTCAAAAAATTAATGAATCCAGGAGCTGGTTTTTTGAAAGGATCAACAAAATTGATAGACCGCTAGCAAGACTAATAAAGACAAAAAGAGAGAAGAATCAAATAGATGCAATAAAAAATGATAAAGGGGATATCACCACCGATCCCACAGAAATACAAACTACCATCAGAGAATACTACAAACACCTCTACGCAAATAAACTAGAAAATCTAGAAGAAATGGATAAATTCCTCGACACATACACTCTCCCAAGACTAAACCAGGAAGAAGATGAATCTCTGAATAGACCAATAACAGGAGCTGAAATTGTGGCAATAATCAATAGCTTACCAACCAAAAAGAGTCCAGGACCAGATGGATTCACAGCCGAATTCTACCAGAGGTACAAGGAGGAATTGGTACCATTCCTCCTGAAACTATTCCAATCAATAGAAAAAAAGGGAATCCTCCCTAACTCATTTTATGAGGCCAGCATCATCCTGATACCAAAGCCAGGCAGAGACACAACCAAAAAACAGAATTTTAGACCAACATCCTTGATGAACATTGATGCAAAAATCCTCAATAAAATACTGGCAAACTGAATCCAGCAGCACATCAAAAAGCTTATCCACCATGATCAAGTGGGCATCATCCCTGGGATGCAAGGCTGGTTCAATATAGGCAAATCAATAAATGTAATCCAGCATATAAACAGAACCAAAGACAAAAACCACATGATTATCTCAATAGATGCAGAAAAGGCCTTTGACAAAATTCAAAAACCCTTCATGCTAAAAACTCAATAAATTAGGTATTGATGGGACATATCTCAAAATAATAAGAGCTATCTATGACAAACCCACAGCCAATATCATTCTGAGTGGGCAAAAACTGGAAGCATTCCCTTTGAAAACGGGCACAAGACAGGGATGCCCTCTCTCACCACTCCTATTCAATATAGTGTTGGAAGTTCTGGCCAGGGCAATTAGGCAGGAGAAGGAAATAAAGGGTATTCAATTAGGAAAAGAGGAAGTCAAATTGTCCCTGTTTGCAGATGAAATGATTGTATATCTAGAAAACCCCATTGTCTCAGCCCAAAATCTCCTTAAGCTGATAAGCAACTTCAGCAAAGTCTCAGGATACAAAATCAATGTACAACAATCACAAGCATTCTTATACACCAACAAGAGACAAACAGAGAGCCAAATCATGAGTGAACTCCCATTCACAATTGCTTCAAAGAGAATAAAATACCTAGGAATCCAACTTACAAGGGATGTGAAGGACCTCTTCAAGGAGAACTACAAACCACTGCTCAAGGAAATAAAAGAGTATACAAAAAAATGGAAGAATATTCCATGCTCATGGGTAGGAAGAATCAATATCATGAAAATGGCCAACTGCCCAAGGCAATTTACAGATTCAATGCCATCCCCATCAAGCTACCAATGACTTTCTTCACAGAATTGGAAAAAACTACTTTAAAATTCATATGGAACCAAAAAAGAGCCTGCATTGCCAAGTCAGTCCTAAGCCAAAAGAACAAAGCTGGAGGCATCACACTACCTGACTTCAAACTATACTACAAGGCTACAGTAACCAAAACTGCATGGTACTGGTACCAAAACAGAGATATAGATCAATGGAACACAACAGAACCCTCAGAAATAACGCCGCATATCTACAACTATCTGATCTTTGACAAACCTGAGAAAAGCAAGCAATGGGGAAAGGATTCCCTATTTAATAAATGGTGCTGGGAAAACTGGCTAGCCATATGTAGAAAGCTGAAACTGGATCCCTTACTTACACCTTATACAAAAATCAATTCAAGATGGATTAAAGACTTAAACCTTAGACCTAAAACCATAAAAGCCCTAGAAGAAAACCTAGGCATTACCATTCAGGACATAGGCATGGGCAAGGACTTCATGTCCAAAACACCAAAAGCAATGGCAACAAAAGCCAAAATTGACAAATGGGATCTAACTAAACTAAAGAGCTTCTGCACAGCAAAAGAAACTACCATCAGAGTGAACAGGCAACCTACAACATGGGAGAAAATTTTCGCAACCTACTCATCTGACAAAGGGCTAATATCCAGAATCTACAATGAACTCAAACAAATTTACAAGAAAAAAACAAACAACCCCATCAAAAAGTGGGTGAAGGACATGAACAGACACTTCTCAAAAGAAGACATTTATGCAGCCAAAAAACACATGAAAAAATGCTCACCATCACTGGCCATCAGAGAAATGCAAATCAAAACCAAAATAAGGTACCATCTCACACCAGTTAGAATGGCAATCATTAAAAAGTCAGGAAACAACAGGTGCTGGAGAGGATGTGAAGAAATAGGAACACTTTTACACTGTTGGTGGGACTGTAAACTAGTTCAATCATTGTGGAAGTCAGTGTGGCGATTCCTCAGGGATCTAGAACTAGAAATACCATTTGACCCAGCCATCCCACTACTGGGTATATACCCAAAGGACTATAAATCATGCTGCTATAAAGACACATGCACACGTATGTTTATTGCGGCATTATTCACAATAGCAAAGACTTGGAACCAACCCAAATGTCCAAAAATGATAGACTGGATTAAGAAAATGTGGCACATATACACCATGGAATGCTATGCAGCCATAAAAAATGATGAGTTCACGTCCTTCGTAGGGACATGGATGAAATTGGAAATCATCATTCTCAGTAAACTATCGCAAGAACAAAAAACCAAACACTGCATATTCTCACTCATAGGTGGGAATTGAACAATGAGAACACGTGGACACAGGAAGGGGAACATCACACTCTGGGGACTGTTGTGGGGTGAGGGGAAGGGGGAGGGATAGCACTGGGAGATATACCTAATGCTAGATGACGAGTTAGTGTGTGCAGCGCACCAGCATGGCACATGTATACATATGTAACTAACCTGCACATTGTGCACATGTATGCTAAAACTTAAAAGTATAATAATAATAAATTAAAAAAAAAAAACTGGCCTTATGAACCTTAGACCAATCTTGAGGGTATAAAAGGCTTCGCACTGAAGTGGCCATAAAAAAAAAAAAAAAGGAAATTATTAAAGAAAAAGCAGTAGAAATCATGGTGCTGTTTATTATCATTTGAAAAGTATTTTTTTATTTTGTTCTATTAATATGTATCAATATGAATGATGCACTCAGATCTTGGATAATTAGCACATAACGTAAATAATAAAAATCATTTATCAGACAAATTATGCCTTTCTTACACATATTTTTTCTTTTAAAATGTGCTGAAATTTACTTCTTAGAAAAAAATAAAAAAAAATAAAAAATAAATAGTAAAAACAAATTTTTCAGAAACAAAAAATAAAATAAAAATGAACAATTATGCTAAAAAAAAAAAAAGAAAAACAAAGCTTCCACAGCATGGAATGGGGACCTGAGCAGGTTGCCGCTGCTGGCTGGGGGGTGGCCAGCTTTTATTTCCTTATTTGTCCCCACCCACGTCCTGCTGATTGGTCCATTTTACAGAGTGCTGATTCATGCGTTTACAATCCTTTATCTACACACAGAGCAGTGATTGGTGCGTTTTTACAGAGTGCTCATTGGTGTGTTTATAATCCTCTAGCTAGACAGAAAAGTTCTCCAAATCCCCACTCAACCCAGGACATCCAGCTGGCTTCACCTCTCAGTAAGGCAAAGTATTATATTAAAATAAAATTGGAGAAACTTTTTTTTTAAACCAACAGACCTATACTTCTAGAAACACTAAAAGAAGTCCATCAGCAACACAGTACTGACACCAGATGGACACTCAGATGTGTAGGGAAGAAGAAGGAGCAGCAGACATGCCAAATATGTAGGCAAATATTTTTAAATATACATTTTCCTCTCTTAATTTCTTTAAATAATATACAATTGTTGAAAAATATTATAACTCTATATCACAATGATTACACACACATCACACAAACAGTGAGAAAGCAGCAACTATTTTGTTTCAACTTATTTTATGTGAAGTAGTATAATGGTAACTTTAAGCAGACTAATATGTTGAAAAGGCACAATGTAATCTCTAGAGCAATATTGAAAAAATGCAAACAGCCATAGCTAAAACATCAATAGATAATTAAAATGGAATGCTAACATTCATTCAAGGGGCACATTTCTAGAAATTATTTGCTCCAACAAGGACCTCCAATCCATTGAGACTCTCAACTACTCACTGACCATCTCCCTCATGTCTCCACATTCCTCATGGTTCATCTAGGATTTTGAGGCTTCTAAAAAATATTTATTCTTTTACACACACCTTCAACACCCTTCTCCCCCACTCTGTCACGGTTTCCTTGAATGCTAATTCTACTTACTTGATGTCTGTTTCTGAGCAGTTTAAGGTTGAATGCCAACCATTCTGACTTATATCAACCGAAATTTACCACTGCAACTCAGCAGGGTAAACAAGCCTGCTAATTTTCTCTAGTCAAAGCATTCTCCCAATTTCAGAAAGGACTGTGGTAGTGAGTATTCTCTTTACATTACCAGTACAACTTCTTCATTGCATACCTGTAAGAAATGGCCTTGATTTATTTCAACAGGGAAAAAGAAGCAAACAAATGGAATGGTTCATCTTGATACCATTAAATCTCTTACTCTAACTGTACCCGGAAACCATGGTTTTCCACTTGTTAGAATGGAATAACGGCCCTGCCTATCTACGGCCAAGCTCTCCAGTTCTGCAGTGAATCAAAACAGTTCTCATTTTTCTAAAACATTATTCAAGAAATAAACCACAATTGTTTCCTTTATCATTTGTCAGAACGTTCTGACATTGACTTCCATGTTGCCACATTTAGTGGGCAATTTCCTGTCTTCATTCTATTTGATATCAGCAAAATTTGAGGGAGATAGAATGGCCCAATTGTTTAGATGTATACGTGTTGGTTTTTTCACCTTCTTCTCTAGCCAATCCTGCCTAGAATCCTTGCTAGATTCTCTTCTACAGAAAATTTACCTCTACATATAAATATCAGATGTAAATAACAGTATATTTCTCCAAGGGTCAACAATTTTTTAATAACATAAATCAGTTAAAAGGAGCAGCAGCAAGTCGTCTGAACTTTCAACAAAAATTAAACACAAATGAAAATAGTACTATTTTATGTGGGTCTCAATATCCTTTTTTTTTTTTTCCTTTTGATACAGAGTCTTGTTCTGTCACCCAGGCTGACTGCAACCTCCCCCTCCCAGGTTCAAGGGATCCTCCTGCCTCAGCCTCTTGAGTAGCTGGGATTACAGGAGTCCAACACCATGTCAAGCTAATTTTTTGTGTGCTGTTAGTGGAGACGGGGGTTTCACCATGTTGGCCAGGCTGGTCTCGAACTCCTGAGCTCAAGTGATCCATCCACTTCAGCCTTCCAAAATGCTGGGATGGTAAGCATGAACCACTGCACCTGGCTTCAATCCTTTTAAAATATCATTTTTTTTTAATTCAGCAAATATTCAGACATACCAAAGAATAGAGACACTAAAGGGGGAATATGTCTGACCTGTCTTTTATCTTACGCTGAGCAGAAAAGTCTCAGGGCCTGCAGAAATTTCATTCAGGACAGAATGAATGTTTCCTCCACTAAGTTAGGTTGAAAGTAAAGTTTGAGACAAATAAATGTGTGTGATTATTATAGTCTACAAGCTATGCTTGTTCAATATGAACAACTGCATTCATTGGCTTTGGAGGGCTGATCTTTCAGTCTGTCCAAGATGTGAAATATTAGCATGCAGAAAGGGCCCTTTCTGATTTAAATCTGAGAAAGAAAGACTGTCTCCTCTAAGAAATCTTTTGCTATTTTAGCTACATCAACGGTAACTGAAGTTGATGCTTTAGATGGCATGTAGGTTGCATTTGCTTCAGTCTTTGGGATAGGAAGGGTTCTAGTCTGAAAGGAAAGTGTAAGTGGGAGAAAACTGAGAGCCATGTTCTGAGAGCACTTACACTTGTAATCGTGGGTTTCTGGAAAAGTGGAACTCTAACAGGGATTGGGAAGTAGGTTAGTAGTAGAGAGGGGTCCAGAAAGCTTCCTTAGACTCTGGGAGAATCTTTTACTACATCAAAACTGCAAAATTAAATGGACGTAGAAAGCCATTATATCTCTGCTATATACTTTAAAAAGCTCCACAACTAATTAGAAAAAGTTGGCTATGGTTGGTTATTAAAGAATAACTCTAGTTATTTTTTTACATTCTATTCACTATTTTCTTCTCAGTCTCAGGTTATACTGTCAATTGCTTATCAGAATCTTTATGAAGAAGGCATCTTTGCAAAATCATTTTATTCTGAGACTTTATTTTAAAAATATGACAATACAAATATCATCCTTTAAAAGTCTTCCCTCTAGCCTCCAAAAGCATTACCCATATGAGGTATACAAAGTCTTGTACAACACATTATAATGTCACTACAATTCTTCCTATTTATTCCCAAATGAGGAACATTAGCAATGACATTAAGAACCAGATGAGAAAGAAATCAAACTTCAGAAGACAGAGAACAGAGCATACGCTCATATCTCTTGTGGATGAAGCTATGTTTATATCAATGATAGTGAATTTCAGAATGTACTGTCCTGAATTTTGCAAGCTGAACAAAGACATATTGTAAAACAAGATCACGCTTTGTGGTAGAATTGTGAACTGCTAGGAATCAATAAGAGGAGAAAGTTCATGTTGCCACACCCCAGTCAGAAATGAAGTGGAAATACAAGAAACCATGCCAAAGGTAGGCGGCTTTGCAAACAAACCACAAGTACTGACTCCATGAGCAGCTTAGTCCCTAAGCGCAGATATTTGCCTTTTTGAACAGCTGTTTATTGTAGAACTTGACTGTTCTACAATCAAATTTTTCTCAAGGAAACACAGAGTTATTACAGATCTTGAATATATTGTTCAGAAGTCACAGTGAAAATGTAAAATCAAGAGTACTCTCTGAAATACCACTAAGACAGAGTGATTTCTGATACATTCATTCCCAAAACAGTTCAAGTCTCTTGTCTATCTGATATATGACAGGCATAGGCTTTGCTATAAAAACTGCAAGGACAAATGAAACTAGCTCTTGCGGTCAGATTGCCTACTTTCTAAATGAAAGAAACTCAGGTCAATTCACATTTTAATATGTTTTTGTAAAAGGCATAAATGGTATATGCACAGGGCTTTTTATGAGGAACATAGAAGAGAGAATTAACCATGTCTAACTGGTAGGAAGCACTGAAAGTCACCTCTAGTACAATATTTCTCCACACAAACAGGTTTAATAAAAGTGTATGTTTTAAGGCATAATAAGAAACTGTAGCATTGTGGTTGGGCATAATGGCTCACGCCTATAATCCCAGCACTTTGGGAAACTGAGGTGGGAGAATTGCTTGTGTCTAGGAGTTTGACACCAGCCTGGGCAACATAGAAAGACCCAATCTCTACAAATAATCATAATAATAACTGTTCTAGGCATGTGGCACATGCTTGTAGTCTCAGCTATTTGGGAGGCTGAGGCAGGAGGCTTGCTTGAGCCCAGGGGTTTGAGGCTGCAGTGAGCCGTGATCATGCCACTGCACTCAGCCTGGACCACAGAGTGAGACACTGTCTCTAAATAAATAAATAAATAAATGAATAAACAAACAAATAAAACTTAAACATTGCTTTGCTACTTATAAGATAAATGGGGTAGCTGAGGCCCTCCTCCAGGGTGGGATCATGCCAGCTGGTGCACTGGAAGGCTCATAGTGCTTGTTCACATATCTGATTCCCAGAGCTCTGTGACAGATCCTGAGCCATTTTCTCTGGGTGGGTAGAGGAGAGTTGGTTAAACCCTTCCAGCCAGCTTACCAAAGCAAAGGTGCCAGATAAATACATACTATGCTAGTTTAGTTTAATTAATTTATCTTACCATAGCATTTTATTTATGTATTTATTTTAGGATGGTGGTTTATAGGAGAAACCTAATAACATAAAGGCACTTGTGACTCAGGAGAGAGGGCCCCACAGGTTGTTGGAAATATTACCTGAGCAGTGCAGGAGTATCTTGTGAGTAGCCTGTGCTGTAGGGTCTGCAGCCAGAAAGAGAAATAGGAAAATCTAAGGGAAAGTAGAACACTGTGTCAAATGCTTATAAGATCTCCAAAGCAAGGACATGATGGTGGAGAGGAGGGTGGCATTGAAACACTCCCAGAACATGTACTATATGATTCTACTACATTTTAAAATTCACTCATCAACTTATGCCTTTGCCTTTTCTTTCCTACTAGATGTGAGTCCCTGGAAGGCAGGGCCCTGCTCTAATCTAGCTGTCTTTTCACAGCAAAAGCAGGCAATGGAGGAATCAGAGAAGGCAAATGAAGGGCAAAGGCTCCCATGCCTTGATGAGGACAATAGATTGGTCACAGTTTGACTGATGCCTGGCCACTGCAGGTAAATGAATCAAATGCATACACAGCACACGGATTATAGCTACACACATAGCTCACAGGTTATCTGTGGCTGATCAAACTAGTGTGCAAAACTCATGGAACGCACCCAAAATCCTGAATCATACATTCACAAAATTGGGGAAAAGCTGCAAGATGAAACTTAAAGAAGTTTATTTTGGATTACAGTATATATTTCTGATATGCTCAGTTGGTATAAACCATTATAAACAGAATGGCAGAAAATAATAGGGTGACACTTGCAAATAAATGAAATGCATGATCTTGAAATCGAATAGACTAAGCTTTAACATGCATTGTCTTGCAGGCCCTGTGACCTCAACTCATTTAACCAAAGCCTCACTCATTTCATCTAACAACTAGAGATGGTAATTTCACTTAGCACAAACTCTCCCACAAGTTAAGATTTGATAAATCTTGACCATTATGTTTTTTTCAGTGAGTTGTATATGAAAATATTTCACTGTGTGCTTTTAAAATAATATTTATTTTTGTTTGTAATTGACAGATGATAATTGTACATATTATTGGTGGACTATGTTATGTTTCAATACATGGATACATTGTGCAATGATCAAATCAGGGTAATTAACATATCCATCACTTCGAACACTTTTTTTTTTTTTTATGAGACACAGTTTCACTCTACCTTCTGGGCTGGAGAGCAGGGTGCAATCTTGGCTCACTGCAACCTCTGCCTCCCGGATTCAAGTGATTCTCATGCCTCAGCCTCCTAAGTAGCTGGGAATACAGTCGAGCACCACCACGCCAGGCTAATTTTTGTATTTTTAGTAGAGACGGGATTTCACCATTTTGGCCAGGCTGGTCTCGAACTCCTGACCTCAAGTGATCTGCCCGTCTTGGCATCCCAAAGTACTGGGATTACAGGCATGAGCCACCGCGCCTTTCCGCCTGTCATTATATTTTTTGTGATTAGAACATTTAAAGTCCTCTCTTCTACTTACTTTGAAATATGCAATATACATTATTATTAACTATATGCTTTTAAGAATGAAAACACAAGTTATGCTCCTTAGCTTACAAAACAATTTTGAAAAGTAAGGAATATTCATGAGAAAATTAATCTAGGAGACATCAAAAATATATATTGTCTATGTATGTATGTGTGTCTTTGTGTGTATGTGTTTTACTCTATGTATATTAGAAATAAAAAGAATTTTTTTGTATATGCAGCCATAAGAATAAAACTATCACTGCAAAATGCAGGAAGTGTAAAGAAGAAAATAAAAATTAAATCTATCCTTGAAAAATGTGCAGCAAACTTTACAGACTCCCGAGATACCGTGGTGCCTAAGAGACCAAGAATCCTCCAATTTTTCTGTCCAGATTGGGATAACTTGAAAATAATGCCAAAGCATATTCAGAATTAGTTGTAGAAGGGGCCCGGATATTCCCTAGTATAGAAGTCAAGACTATATTGAAAGGCATTTAATTGGTGGTAGCTGAGAGTTCACCTCTATCAGAATATTCAAAGCAAATGATGATTTCTGGCCCCTACTTAAGAGCAGAAATCAAATATAGAAAGAATGAAGATACTTTGGCATAATGGGAGCTGGTTAATGCAACAGGATGTGACAGTGGTTCCTGACTTGCACAATCTTTAGATACACCACTTGCACTTGCTGAGCTTGTGATGAAACACCTTCTGTGTTTTTATCATATTCAATTTTATTTTCCTGTATCAAGTGTTTTTCACACCTGTTTTCTTGAAGGATTTGAATACCATTTCACAGAGAAAAACTAATGACCATGAAGTTGATGTTGACATTTTTACAAATGTATTAGTATTTCAAAACACAACATTATAATAAATATTATATTCAAAATATGTCCAGATTACATATACTATAAACATTTGCTACATTCAAGAAATCAAAGTGTAGCTGATGCACATGAAAAATAAAATTTCATGTTCATTTTTAGAAAACTTTTAGAAATTGATATTTATTTTAATATTTCTAGTCGTACAATAAAATTATTTATAAGATTTGTCTCTCAATCCAATCATCAGTCTGTGTGATTTCTGAGCAAAATCTCATATTGGAAAATGTGTGGCATTCATGTTACCTTTTTTGTAGAATTCTTCTTCTGTTTTGTGTGTTTCTAGTCCACCTTTCCAGCTTCTCCAAGGTCTCAAATTACTTCTGATTCAGCTGGACAGTATAATTTGGATTTCAATTCCATTTCCTCTTATCAACATTTAAATGAGGTAAACAAAAGAGACGTCACTGTTTATCTGACAGTTTGTAATTTAAATATCATTTATTACTTTTGGTTGGGATTTGTATTTTTTTCTAGAATATATATCAAATGTCAAATCAACGTCATTTCAATCCATAGAATTATTTTAAAACTTTATACATGTTTTCACTGCATGGAATCTCAAGAACCATTAGTTTAACTTCCTCTATTTACAGCTTAAAAAAATGAAGTTGATGGAGGTTATACTATTTGCCCAATAGTTAGCTGACATAAGAATTAGAAAAAAGGCCAGGTGCGGTGGCTCACACTTGCAATCCTGGCACTTTGGGAGGCCGAGTTGGCTGGATCACTTGAAGTTAGGAGTTTGAGAACAGCTTGGCCAACATGTTGAAACCCCGTTTCCACTAAAAATACAAAAATTAGCTGGATGTGGTGGTGCTGCCTATAATTCCAGCTACTCAGGCGGCTGAGGCAGGGGAATCGCTTTAACCCAGGAGGCAGAGTTTGCAGTGAGCCAAGATCTCACCACTGCACACCAGACTAGGTGACAGAGTGAGACTCTGCCAAAAAAAAAAAAAAAAAAAAAGACAAAAGAAGACCCATATATTGAGTTAATCTATTCACCAGTCAGTTGGCAAATATGGATAACCTAGCAAAATTATTCAAGTTTCTCATCTTATTCTGTGAAACATTTCTGCATTTGCTAACTTTAAACTCTAGGTGCATTTTCATCTTGGCTGTTTTTCCCTATATTTAAAACCAGACTTCTGGCACTAACTTAGACAATAGCCAGGACAACTGAAAAGGGTGGACAGAAAGCAGAGGCTGTAACTCAGAGACTGGAAATGTATATCTCAGGGGGTTTGTGAGGAAATTCTCCCACCCACACTGTACTGAATGTGTTTTCACATCATTCTTCAATCATCAGTTTTGCTACATCGTTCTTCTTAAACTAGCATAGAGTTATTAACATTTTTCTATTTGGACTTTTTTTTTCCAATCCATATATTATATTTTGCACTGATAGAAAATGATAACTATGGAACATGCCTATAAGCAATGTAATGATGGGTTCATGCTCATCTTCCTAACATTCTATTGCTTGACTATTTTGTTTTCCATCTTGTGATGAACACTTCCCTTATTTTGAAATGTTGCTTGGAAAATTATTCATATCTCAAGGCTATGACCGCAGAGTACAAAGGCCAATTTGTTTCAAAATGCCATTTTTGTGATCCAAACCCTTTATGTTTCCAAATCAGCAACTAGGGAACATTAGGCTCATTCAGGTCCAGTTCACAAAAGTCAGCCTCTTAAAAGGCTGCTTTGTGCTCTGCTTTTATGAATTACATGCCTAGTAATATTACTTTCTGCAAACTCATATGCCATATGTGTGTTGTTGTTTCCTCCTACTAATTTCTTACAAGTATAAAAAGTGATTTTTTCTTGCCTATTCTGACAGTAATTATTATTATTTTTTATTAAGTTAAAAAGGAGTCAATATTCCTTATAGAAACAAATATCACAAGAGCCAGTATGAGCACACTTCTTCCATCCATAACGTGTGAAATCGGAACCCCTTCTTGAGTAGGATTCTTAGACACTTACCATTCAACAATGGCAGAACTCAAGTTCATTTTATTGTGGAATATAAAATAAAACAGGATGTTTGTTGCTTCAGTTTCTAAAATGGAAAATTCTCCAGTAGCCACATATGAAGACTAATAATTTGTGACTGATTTTATAATGCTCTTTACCCAGTGCAATAAGAGCATAAGGTTCCCCAATTAAAGGCTCAAATTTAACAGAAAGATTATGTTTTCTGATTTTGAGAAAATGAACTAAGAAGCATAAGTTAATTTTGAAAAAATATTGATTAATACTAGTATATACAATGTTTAGCTACAAAGGAGTAATATAACAAGGAATAAATATGTTTATTTAAGAGAAAAAATATAGCAATGAAAATAGTGCTTGTGATGACCATAAACTCCTTAATTATTCCTCATATCAAATGTCAAATCAACATCATTTCAATCTATAGAATTATTTTAAAACTTTATAAATGTTTTCACTAGATAGAATCGTCCTAATACAGAATGCTGAACTGGAGCAATATTTCACTTTGATTAAACTGTTTAGTCAAGGAAAGGCAATAGACATAAGCTATTTGTTTCTTCGCTATTTTTGTGTGCTTTTCTACATCATATACATTTCTTTTTCCTGCAGAGTCTAATCTTTTCTACTATAACTTGGGACCAACATTGGGCTATTGATTAGGAAGCAGGTGCTTGGCCAGAAAGCCAGTCAAATCTTCTGAAATAAACTTGGTGCTCAGTGGTATGACATGCATCATGCTGTACTACCACAGAATCCATCTGTTCAGTGAAAACCATGGACACTAAATTACAATCAATATAATGAAACATGCACTGTAATTATAGTCCTATAGACCTATGTTTGACCTTCAGTTCACCTTCTCACAAGTTATATGCCTGATATTTAAGAAACATGCTTACTCTGACATCTTATAATTAAAGTAAGGATATCACAAACTATACCAAAGCGTTGTTGTAAGGATCCTAAATAATATTGACTAGAACAGTAACAAAAAAATTCTACTTTCATTTCATGAAAAAGATGATTTAGAATGTCATTTAATTCTTCATTGATTTAAGATGGTTTTTTATTATAGAATTATTTTTCATCTATGACAGAATTGATTTTATTTATTCTCTGTATTCATACTATCATTAATTATTTCCAAAGTGACCAAATTAACACCTAGATAATTAAAAAGTTCATTATCGATATCGTTTACAAATTGGCTCACCTAGGTATACATTTATTTTGGTTTTCAAGAAAATCATCATTCCGTTAGTGAGCTAAGAGACTTAATAATACTTGGAAAACCAATGATAGGTACAGCTGTGTTTGAATGATATTTAAAATCAAACACTACTACTAAACATATATTAAAGATTATCACAAATTAAAACATTTATGAGGACTTCCATTTGTACATATGTTACCTGTATGAAGAAAAAAACACACTTTTCTTGTGTGTATATAATATGGAATGAAATAAATGTTTTGAAAGTTTAAAAATACTAAATCTTTTGTCTTTGAAACATCTAAATGTTTAAATTTCCCAGTCTTATACTGATACAGAAGCCTCTATTAATGTTCATAAAAATCTGAAAAAACAAGACTTTTTTTCCTCTGTAAATGTCATTATTCATAAATGTCAAGATAAACTTGCTTTGAGTGTTATGCAATTTAACATGTCAAATATCATTGACATCACAAAATCATAGCATGAATAGCATTTGGAGATGCCTAACCAAACTTTCTTGTATGTAAAACTCTCAGACATAGCAAAGATAAAGCTGTTTACTTTTCTGGCAAGAGAGTATGTTATGAAAAGTGATATAACAGCATTAACAAAATAATACATTGGATTTAAAATGTCACATCCTTTTGCTTCCAGCTTCTCTACTGAATATAGGCATTGGAAAATTACATTCAGCAGAGGACATCATATATTCTTTGTGACTTAAATATACTATTTAAGCATATTTTTATGGAGCAAATATCTTGTAGAAGACACGTTGTCTTTAGACAGAAAGTTTATAAAGCGTATTTTAAAATACAAAGAGTTTTGTATTACTTCATTTTCATACTGCTATGAAGAAATACCAGAGACCGGGTGATTTATAAAGAAAAAGAGATTTAAGGGACTGATAGTTCCACATGCCTGGGGAGGCCTCACAATCATGACAAAAGGCGAAAGACAAGCAAAGTCACATCTTACATGGTGGCAGTCAAGAGAGTGTGTGTAGGGGAACTGACCTTTATAAAACCATCAGATCTCATGAGACTTATTCACTATCATGAGAATAGCAGGGGAAAAACCCACTACCATGATTCCATTAAGTCTCACTGGGTCTCTCCCATGACACATGGGGATTATGGGAGCTAGAATTCAAGATGAGATTTGGGTGGGGATACAGCCAAACCATATCAAGTGCTATGGACTAAACTGAGTCTCTGCCAATATTCATATGTTGAAGCTCTAACTCCCAATGTGATGGTATGTGGGCATCAGCTTTTGGGAGGTAATTAGATTTAGAGGCAATCATGAGGGTGGAACCATAAAGATGGGATTAGTGCCCTTTTAAGAAGAGGAAGAAACCAGAGCTCCCTTTTCTCCAAATGAGGACACAGTCAGAAGGCAATCATTCGCAGGCCAGGAAAAAAAAGCCCTCACCAAGACCCAAATCTGCTGTTCCTTATCTTGACTCTCCAGCCTCCAGCATTGTGAAATGTACATTTCTATTGTTTAGCCAAACAATCTGTGGTATTTTGTTATGGCAGCCCTAACAAACTAATACACTATTTAACTTTACTTCATATTTAAGTATTTTAGCTAGGATTAAACCATTCATTTATTTAAAATATTTATTTGAATTATAAATGCTGGTTTATTACTAAAACAAAAGTCAGAATTTTATTTTTAAGTAGGTTCCCATCAGCTTAACTAATGCCACTTGACTGGCAACATTTACCAAATACTAATTATTTTAAGGCACTGTCATTGACTCCTGAAATAACAAGATTAATTAAGCACAACCCCTCTCCTCAAGTCGTCTTTGATCTGTCTAAGAATAATTGACAAATATTCCATTATTTTTGTCCAATACAGCAGCCAGGAAACAGGGTAGAGAACCACAGTTTGAGCCCAAGTCTTTTTTTTTTTCTTCTTTGAGACTGAGTTTCACTCTGTCACCCAGGCTGAAGTGCAGTGGCATGATCTTGACTCATTGCAACTTCTGCCTCCTGGGCTCAAGTGATTCTCCTGCCTCAGCCTCCTGAGTAGCTGGGATTACAGGCATGCACCACCACGCTCAGCTTATTTTTTTTTATTTTTATTTTTTTCAGTAGAGACAAGGTTTCACCATGTTGGCCAGGCTGGTCTTGAACTCCTGACCTCAAGTGATCCACCCACCTCGGCCTCCCAAAGTGCTGGGACTACCAGCGTGAGCCAGCATGCCCAGCGAACCCATGTCTTATTCATAGATCACCTTGAGAAATATCTGGTAAACTGGTAGGCAGGCTACGTTATCTGCCTCCTCTAAAACCATCAAATCATAACAAAAACTTATCCTAACTAAGAGAGAGAGAGAGAGAGAGAGAGAGAGAGAGAGAGATGCTCTCCAAAGGTTTTTGTCAGAACTCAGGATACTCCGGTAAGGCCAGTTTCATGTGCTTAGTATGTATTTATTGCAGAAGCTAGATATCTGCTGATGTGGCATAATACTCTCTGCTCTGTTTGGTTGAGTGAGTCTTTATAACAAGGAATATACCCTGACCCTCAAAATTACAGAGCTGTTTTTGAGGATATCATAAAAGTAATCTTCTTTCTTCCACCCACCAAATTGACCATCTATTCCTCACTAACATTACTCCCAGATTCTTCCCTTGCCCAACGGATTTTAAAACATAGCTTCCAATCCCAGATGATCTCTGCTACCTATGTATGTAAGGTCAAGCCTTTTGTTAATTGTACTACTCACTCTGTTTTCTAGCAGTAGTGTGTGTATGTGTGTGTGTGTGTGTAGGGTAGTGGTGACTGTAACATTTTCAAGGTTAATGCTTTAAAGACATCTTCGAGTAGCAGTTTTCAGGCTCTATAAAATCTAAAACTTCCCTCAACAAAGAAATTAATTGGAGTTACTTATGTCAAAGGTCCCACTTCCATCTATCATGTCATCATAAGAATGCTAGCATGGCATTTTCCTTTCTTGCATGAATGTCAAATGTTAGTCATGAGGCTGCACAGAGGATGCATCAGAAGCTAAGTATCCAGCCTAAGAAAACCGGAGGTGAGATTCATGTTCTCCTGAGTTACTGAGTATTCCAGCT
Source organism: Homo sapiens (assembly GCF_000001405.40). Classification (NCBI taxonomy): domain Eukaryota; kingdom Metazoa; phylum Chordata; class Mammalia; order Primates; family Hominidae; genus Homo; species Homo sapiens. The sequence continues at coordinate 66,734,735 of NC_000018.10, forward strand.
TTTACTAAGACTGCTTTTTAAGTCCTAGTCTGGGTTTCTTTTTTGTTTGAAAAAGAAACTTTCAAAGAAAAAAAAGTATCCTTCATCTGATTGTGCTGATGTAGGTCAAGTATTACACTTGGGACATGTTCCCGTTGGCCCTCACAGGAATTAGGATAGGTTATCTGAACTGTGCCTCTTAAAACCAGCATTTATTTTAAGTTTACAAAGGAACTGACTCACCAAAGAAATTGTTAGGATGAAAGAGTCAGGAGTAATAATGCCCAAGTTGCTACATTTGGTCATGTGAGCTAAAATACATCAATATTTTAGAAGGAATATACTTACAGCAAAAAGATTGTAGTGAAGAATATGTCAGCTTGAGGTTTACATTTCAGACGCCAGTGGAGACAATTTGAGAACTTTGGCATACTGATGGATACATGGAACTTAGGAGAGGTAAAGTGGACTGTCATTAGAGAATCAGGAGTCTCTGTAAAGAAGCCATAATTGCACTACTATATGCACTAAAGGATGGAACAGGTGATCAACCAAATAATAGTGTATGAAGAAAGAAAAAGAAAACATGAACAAAAGAATAATGACTTACAAAATAATACATTGGCAGGAGGCTGAGGATGTGGGAGTTAAGAGGAGAGAATGATGTTAAGTCAATTATGGTAAATGAGCATTTCAAAGAGAAGGAAGTGGTCCACGAATTCACCTACTGCAGAATAAAGTCAGTTAATGAAAAAGTGAAAAAGGACCAGGGGAAATAGAAATGAAAATACCACATAACTATGCAACATTGCCAAACAATTCAAAACATGCTGTCTTTGAGGTCAGAAAGGTTTAAACTTAAAGACTGGAGTGATAAACTTTCTAATTCTGAGACCGCAAGTTATTTAACCTACTTAAACCTGAGTTTCTCCCTCCATAAAAATGGAAATACTATTCTAACCTTTTTGAGGCTAAAAGGAAAGAACAATTGTAAACAACTTGATAAGTATGAATAGCTTTCAGCTATCACCTGGACTGTAATCAAATGCCTCATAAATAAGTATATAAGATTCCATAGGAAACTGAACTGAAACCAGGTGCTCCTTTCACTCCAACCTTCAACCTCAGGTGTCAATAATGACAGGAACTTGTATTCAGAATTGCTCAAACTCTACTACTCGTTTTAATTTCCCTTCCCGAGCGTGAAGCATGCACGTAGCAGCTTCCACTTCAGAATTATTTAAATCAACTACTTTAAAATTTCTAAATTTAATCTTGACTAGTATCTGAAGGAAAATTTCCTTCCCCCATCCCACTCTTTTCTTTTCCTTCCTCCTCCTTTCTCTCTCTCTCTTTTCTTTCTTTCTCTTTTTCTCTCCTTCTTTCCTTCCTTCCTTCTTTTTCTTTCTTTTGTTCTCTTTCTTTTTTCCTTTTTTCCTTTCTTTCTCCCTTCCTTCCCTCCTTCCTTTCTCTCTTTCTCTTTCTTTTTCTCTTTCTTTCCCTTTCTTTCCTTTCTTTCTCTCTCTCCCACCCTTCCTTCCTTCCGTTATTTTTCTCTTCCTTCTTTTCATTGAGAGGAAATTTTAGTGACTTCCTCTTTGCTAAAATTCCACATGACTCTAGAGTGACTTATGAAGCATCCAAGAGGCTTAGGGAACGATTTTTCAGCGGGTTCTTTCTCCATCCCATGCTCGTCTTTCTCTGACTTATTCTACTTTTTTTAAATCTCTGTTTCTCTTCCTACTGTTCCTTATTTATCCCACCTTCTTTCTACTCTCTTTCTTCTCCCCTTCTTTCCTTTAGGACCTCAAGAAATCAACTAGAGAGCATTTTTAAACCTCCCCTTTTAATAAGAGGATGATAATTCACGTGTTGTTTGTGTCAGTGATTCCAGTACAGGAGCAGGCTGTTTGCAGGCAAATAATGGGATGCCCAAAATGAAACTACAGGAAGAATCTTGGGATGAGCTGGAGACTTACAAAACTTCTCGTGTTCATATAACATAACGCAGCCTTGAGCATCCACAAAGGAACACAACAAACACGCTTCTTGAAATGTGTATTACACTTTAAATGAAAGACTTTAATAAACTCTTTCGACCTAGCCTTTCTCTGTATTCTTCAGTTATTATATCAGTATTTTAAACAAGAACAAATCATAGGTAATCAAAAGATAATCTGTGCACAATTGTTTTTTTTGTTTTTTTTTTCTTTTTGAGATGGAGTCTCTCTCTGTTGCCCAGGCTGGAGTACAGTGGCGCGATCTCTGCTCACTGCAAGCTCCGCCTCCCGGGTTCACGCCATTCTCCCGCCTCAGCCTCCAGAGTAGCTGGGAGTACAGGTGCCCACCACCATACCCGGCTAATTTGTTTGTAGTTTTAGTAGAGACCGGGTTTCACTTTGTTAGCCAGGATGGTCTCAAGCTCCTGACCTCGTGATTCGCCCCCTCAGCCTCCCAAAGTGCTGGGATTACAGGTGTGAGCCACCGTGTCTGGCCGGTTTTTGTTTTAACTTTAATATTTATCTTTGAGACTTTAAACTCTTAAGAGCCTAGTTTCAGAACTTAAAGAAATTAGTGCTATCTAGAATGTCTTGGCACAAATTCAATATCTCAACATTTTATAAAACTCATAGAATGAGACAGATGGAATATGACTTGTCAGGATGCAACATTATCATTTCTCAACTAGTACTATTGTTGGACACGTGACTTAAACTAAACAAAATTTTTTTTTTGTTTTTGAGACGCAGTCTCAACTCAGTCGTCCAGGCTGGAGTGCAGTGGCGCGATCTCGGCTCACTGCAAGCTCCGCCTCCCGGGTTCATGCCATTCTCCTGCCTCAGCCTACCGAGTAGCTGGGACTACAGGTGCCCGCCACCACGCCTGGCAAATTTTTTGTATTTTTAGTAGAGACAGGGTTTCACCATATTAGCCAGGATGGTCTCGATCTCCTGACCTTGTGATCTGCCTGCCTCGGCCTCCCAAAGTGCTGGGATTACAGGCGTGAGCCACCACGCCCGGCCAACAAAATATTTTATTTGTGATCCCTTTCGAGTATTTCATATTTCAAAATAAATAAAAATAGTATGATTCAAATTTTAAAATAAAGCTTGAAAATATTTTAAGGTAACACTAAATTTCTTAAAAGAAATAGCTTTTATAAAGATTTAGAAGAGGGCCAGATGTGGTGGCTCACACCTGTAATCCCAGCACTTTGGGATGCCTGAGGTCAGGTGTTTGAGACCAGCCTGGCCAACATGGTGAACCCCCATCTCTACTAAAAATACAAAGCTTAGCTGGGTGTGGTGGCGGGCACTTGTAATCCCAGCTATTTAGGAAGTTGAGGCAGGAAAATCACTTGAACCCGGGAGGCAGATGTTGCAGTGAGCCAAGATCACGCCATTGGACTTCAGCCTGGGCAACGAGAGTAAAACTCCGTCTCAAAAATGTTCTCCCATTCTGTAGGTTGCCTGTTCGCTCTGATGGTAGTTTCTTTTGCTGTGCAGAAGCTCTTGAGTTTAATTAGATCCCATTTGTCAATGTTGGCTTTTGTTGCCATTGCTTTTGGTGTTTTAGACATGAAGTCCTTGCCTATGCCTATGTCCTGAATGGTATTGCCTAGGTTTTCTTGGTTTTTATGGTTTTAGGTCTAACATTTAAGTCTTTAATCCATCTTGAATTAACTTTTGTATAAGGTGTAAGGAAGGGATCCAGTTTCAGCTTTCTACATATGGCTAGCCAGTTTTCCCAGCACCATTTATTAAATGGGGAGTCCTTTCCCCATTTCTTGTTTTTGTCAGGTTTGTCAAAGAGCAGATGGTTGTAGATGTGTGCTATTATTTCTGAGGGCTCTGTTCTGTTCCATTGGTCTATATCTCTGTTTTGGTACCAGTACCATGCTGTTTTGGTTACTGTAGCCATGTAGTATAGTTTGAAGTCAGGTAGCATGATGCCTCCAGCTTTGTTCTTTTGGCTTAGGATTGTCTTGGCAATGCAGGCTCTTTTTTGGTTCCATATGAACTTTAAAGTAGTTTTTTCCAATTCTGTGAAGAAAGTCATTGGTAGCTTGATGGGGACGGCATTGAATCTGTAAATTACCTTGGGCAGTATGGCCATTTTCACGATATTGATTCTTCCTACCCATGAGCATGGAATGTTCTTCCGTTTGTTTGTGTCCTCTTTTATTTCGTTGAGCAGTGTTTTGTAGTTCTCCTTGAAGAGGTCCTTCACATCCCTTGTAAGTTGGATTCCTAGGTATTTTATTCTCTTTGAAGCAATTGTGAATGAGAGTTCACTCATGATTTGGCTCTCCATTTGTCTGTTATTGGTGTATAAGAATGCTTGTGATTTTTGCACATTGATTTTGTATCCTGAGACTTTGCTGAAGTTACTTATCAGCTTAAGGAGATTTTGGACTGAGTTGATGAGTTTTCTAAATATACAATCATTTCATCTGCAAACAGGGACAATTTGACTTCCTCTTTTCCTAATTGAATACCCTTTATTTCTTTCTCCTGCCTGATTGCCCTGGCCAGAACTTCCAACACTATATTGAATAGGAGTGGTGAGAGAGGGCATCCCTGTCTTGTGCCAGTTTTCAAAGGGAATGCTTCCAGTTTTTGCCAATTCAGTATGATATTGGACTTATCTGACAAAGGGTTAATATCCAGAATCTACAAAGAACTCAAACCAATTTACAAGAAAAAAACAAACAACCTCATCACAAAGTGGGCAAAGGATATGAACAGACACTTCTCAAAAGAAAACATTTATGTGGCGAACAGACACAATGAAAAAATGCTCATCATCACTGGTCATCAGAGAAATCAAATCAAAACCACAATGAGATACCATCTCACACCAGTTAGAATGGCGATCATTAAAAGTCAGGAAATAACAGGTGCTGGAGAGGATGTGGAGAAATAGGAACACTTTTACACTGTTGGTGGGAGTATAAACTAGTTCAACCATTGTGGAAGACGGTGTGGCGATTCCTCAAGGATCTAGAACTAGAAATACCATTTGACCCAGCCAACCCATTACTGGGTATATACCCAAAGGATTATAAATCATGCTGCTATAAAGACACATGCACATGTATGTTTATTGCGGCACTATTCACAATAGCAAAGACTTGGAACCAACCCAAATATCCATCAATGATAGACTGGATTAAGAAAAGGTGGCACATATACACTATGGAATACTATGCAGCCATACAAAAAGATGAGTTCATGTCCTTTGAAGGGACATGGATGAAGCTGGAAACCATCATTCTGAGCAAACTATTGCAAGGACAGACAACCAAACACCACATGTTCTCACTCATAGGTGGGAATTGCACAATTAGAATACTTGGACACAGGAAGGGGAACATCACACACTGGGGCCTGTCGTGGGGTCGGGGGGAGGTGGGAGGGGGGAGGGATGGCATTAGGAGATATACCTAATGTAAATGACAAGTTAATGGGTGCAGCACACCAACATGGCACATGTATACATATGTAACAAACCTGCACGTTGTGCACATGTACCCTAGAACTTAAAGTATAATTAAAAAAAAAGATATAGAAGAGACTTTTAAAAAGGAAATTTCACATGGATTGCTGTTTCAGTGATAATTAAAATAAATGATATCTGTCTTTGGGTTAAAAGAGGAGGAAAGGTTCATGCTTATCTCTGTTTTGCCACTTCTCATTCCATCATGTTGGCCTCTAGGGCTTCTCTCTGGGTCTTCGTCCAATTGTAATACAAAAAACAACAATGTAATGATGACATCCATGAATTTAATTCTTTTTTCATTTATTTATTTATGTATTTATTTTTCAAATTTTAGCACTTTAACTTCAGGTCATTAGGTTTTTGAGCTGTTCATAAAAATTTGAAATATTTATTGTTATTATTTCTCTTTCATACATATATATATTTCACTCCACTCTTTTTATCTCTGGCATCCCTTCTACATTGTAGTTCTTTGCTCATTCTCTGAATGCCTGAAAAACAGCAATTTTCTAACTTCCACATCCAAATTTTTACGTTACTTTTTTGTATCATACAATCTAGTACTTTTATTGTGGAAAGAAATTCTGTCTTGCTTGCTTGTCTTTTTTTCTTCTTCTTCTTCTTCTTTTGAAAGAAAACACAATTAACTTTTATCTACCAAAAGATTTCATGCAACTTAAAGGTAAGGACCACATTTTGTTATCTCTGGTTTCTGAGCTAGCGTTTTTTGTATATCTTATGCAACTCCTTACAATCAAGGAAAACACAATAGCAACAAGAACAACAAATAAGCTGGCTTTGACTCTATCTTTAAATGGAGGTACATTCAGAGAAATGATGGCCTATTACCCAAAAATGTTTGAAACAAATTCCTTGTATTTTATCTAAGTATGGAAAAAATGCTAAGAGGCTGAATACCTTATACACATTAAAAATAACAAACCAAGTTTGAAATCCTTTCTCCATCTTCACTGCCATGTCAGCATAGAGTCTAAAGTGAGGCAGGTGAGGCAAGAGAGCCATGAGCCTAACGTGCAAAACTTAAGCAGGCACCAACAATCTCAATTGTAAACATAAGTCATGTTAATTTCAATGCACTATTGAAAAATCAAAGTTCATTTGATGAAATGCATGATAAACAAAATATTGAAATTTCACATAAAGACCCAAACTTGCACGTGAACAACTCACTTTCCTCCTATCACCCCAGCCAAGCCCCTGTTTGTTGCCACCAATTCTTGTTCACATATACTGGTAACAAGTGATCCAAATTCTTACTCTCAATACACACTAAGCTACAAATACAACAAACACAGCCCTTATAAACACACACACACACACACACACACACACACACACATACACAACTTTTCCCTCCAATCCTATTCAAGTAGTAAAGTGAGTTGTCTAACTGCTCTTTCCTTTAGTACACATTAGCCATTAGGTATAATACTGTGTCTTCTTGGGTTTATTTATTTTTCTAAGTCCCCTTATAAACTAGTTTACGCACAACGAAGCCAGGCCCAGTAAATGTCCCAGTGAGCGAGACTGTAATTCTTAGAGAAGTTGTGCCCATCATCTATAAGAAAGACATGCAATATAGATTCATATAATGACAATGTCAAATGAGCTTACATTCATAAACATGTGTTTGGTTTTTAAGCATTTTCACTTATGGTTCTTGTGTGCTTCTCCCCTGTGAGTGACATAAGGATTGTATTGTTATTACTAACATTACAGATTAGAAAACTGAAGTACGGAAAGGTAAAATAACTTGTTCAAGTCAACATATCTAAAAAGTATCTGTATTTAGTGGATGTGTTGGATAACCCAATCTTAACACACCTTTTTTTCCTTTGGAATTTCATATTGGAAGAAAAGGGATTTAACTCATAATTGCAGAATTATTATTCATATTAGTGCTTCTTATATATTGTAAGAAATCCAATATTGGAATAGGACATAAGTATGCATTGCTGTATAACAGCAATTATTCTGACTGTACCAAATAAACCAAAAAAATATAAAACTGGTTTGTGTCTATGTTTCCATTCAGTTTGACAACAATGATGGTATGTGCTGTCAAAAAAAAAAAAAAGAGCTGGCACCATCACAAAATATTTTTTCTTCCTTTTGGGTTGATTTGTGTGTCAAAATGATAAACTAATTGTGCAAGGAGAATCAGCATTTAGGGTGGTGTCTATTTTACCTGTCACATCCGTCTGTATTGCCAAAGTGTAAGCTGATAAAAATGCCTGAAGACTTTCCTTATCAGCCAGCAATAGTCCTGATTTTAAAGAAGGAAAAACTAGGCGCAAGGCAAGATGTTCAGGAAATAATGTAATGATGATCATCCTGAAAACAGTGGAAGCAACTTTTTGAATCTATATCCATTTTACGACAAACTCTTATAACTGAAAGAAAATCAGAATGATGAAAATTATTAAGTATCCATTTTTAAAAATATTCTTCCATACTCCATACCAAAGTACTCACTTAAGAACTTAAGATGCAGCCATTAAGGAAAGGGGTCATACCCCTCTGGAATGCAAAAATAATGTCTCAAATAATTTTCTAAAATAGCCCAAAGCAGCTCAAGTAGTTTCAGATTGCTTCAGGCATTCTTAAATTCCTAACTGACAAGCATTACAGAATTCGGCTGTAATCATCTTTCTCATTCAAGAAAAAGTTAATAATTGCAAAAATAGAAACCAGCATCCCACATTTGCACATTTTAAAATGGAGAACAAAGGATACAATGCCCTCCAGCTCATATATATCTTTGAACAAAATTGTTAAATAGTGCTGACTGGAGAAAAATAACCAAATGGATTTCATCAGACAGTTCTGAGACTAGAAGGCATAACCTTCTTTAACGATGGCACCTGGGAAAAAATTGCAGCAGTTATTATAGTTGAGTGAAAATTATCATACTTTTGTGAATATTTTTGAAAAGTGGTCTGTTTTTTTCTCCCTCAAAATCAAGAAAAGGTAGTTTAATGAGTTTAATGAGCCTGAATCATTAAACAAAACTAGAACTCATACCAACGTCTAGTAGATCTCATTGTAGCAAGATATTGTTGAAAATAATTTGGTGTATTTTTTATATTTACTGGCAGCCAATAACCTGAGTGGGTGCATTTATGACTTGCTCACAGTGAATGACGCCAAAGGTATTTTATACTTCATACTCACTTAAGGTGGACAGAATGTTAGAGAGCCTCACATATCTTCCAACACAAGAAATGTTAGTAAATAATCCCCAAAGACAATCATTCACTTTCAGCATGCACTACTGCTAGCAAATGAAAAGCTCACTAGCTGACTTCTCTAGTGGTGCAGAAAATCTATCCTTCGATTTTTTTTATTATTTTTTGGCAGAATCTGCCATCTTCTAAGCTCTTCTCATTGTTCTTATGTCTGTCTTACGGGACATCCCTGAATAATTATAGTACCATTTCCAAATAGCAGGCCACCAAATCTAGAAGCCTCTATGCCCACATTCCTATGGCTTCTAATTCCACCATTTGAATATCTCCAATTTTCTCAACTGTTGCATTTATAACATACAAATTAGACACCTAAACGTCACCTCAAATCCCCCATTGCTTTCTTACATGTTTTACAATCTTGTGAAACACAGGGAGTGATCATAGAAATTCAAATTTATGTTGCATACAAAAACAGAGTTTATTTCAAACCTAACACAGTGGAACTAAGCTCCCAACAGTCAGGACGTCCCGATCTCCATTACTGGAAACTCTACTTTTGCTGTTATTTTCTTTTCTCTCCTGTCTCTCAGTCTCTTCCTCTCTCCACATTCAATATGGTGGGCAATCTTATTTTTTTCATCTTCAAAGTACATTCAGAATTTGACCACCTCTCACCTCCCCTGCTGCTATATCATGAGTCCAAGTGAAAAATCATATTTTGCCCGAATTATTGTCATAAACTCTGAACCATGCTCCTGAAAATTTCCTTGTCATTCAATGTTCTTATCACAACCCAATATTCTTACTACAGTGATCTTATTAAGCCATATGGAGCTCATGTCACTGCTTTGCTGGAAATCCTTTTGTGTTTTCCCTTCTCTCACAGAGGAAAGGACAGTCGTGTTGGCAAACTTTAGGGCCCATCATGACCTGCTCTGTTTCCGTGCAGTGTTAGCTCTCTGAGCTCAGATGCTCATACTCTAAGACTGCCCTTCCTCCTCTCACTCTGATCTAACACCACCTGTCTCCTTGTTATATCTGAAAAGGACAGGTACATTAACACTTTAGGGCAGGCTTTTTCAGGATTGACACTGCTGATCCTTTGAGCTGGGTAAATTTTTGCTGTAGGGGACTGTATTGTGCACTCCTAACCTCTACTCATTAGATACCAGTAGCAAGCCCTGTCTCAATTTGTGAGAACCAAAAATATATCCAGACACTGATAAGTGTCTCCTGGGGATCAAAACAGTTAAGAATCACTGTCCTAGGGTCTTTGTATTGGATGTTCATCTTCTTAGAACGCAATTTAACATTATATGTAGCCTCACTTTCTTCTGTAATTTAGTCAAATATGTTTTCACGGAAGCTTTTTCTGGTCAAAGCAACAAAAATGTAACACCTCATTTTATATTATTTTCTGTTTTGTTGTTGTTGTTTATCCATAGCTAATAAACTTTTTATATTATTAGTTGTTTATTTGTTTCATCTCACTAGAATTTAAGATCTGTGCTCTGTCTCTTTTGATCCCTAATGCTTTTCCAGTCTTTAAAACATTGGCACGTAGCAAAAATGCCAATTTACATTTATTGAATGAATAAATTCGTGAACAAATGAATTAGCGAGTTATAGAGTTACTTTTGCATATTCCAGGAATTTCACTGCTGCAAATGGAAAAGAATGAAACACAGACTGCCAATCAAGGCAGCATGAGTTTCATTCATAAGAAACTCATTTAATTTTTCCACAGCAAGTCAACTTTTCATAAGGTTGGAAATATGGAGAATAAATAAATGGGAAGATACTTTCTGGCATCTTCCTTTGCTCATCTCATGATGAATGTAATTATGCATTTCTATTGCTAAAAATTATTCATAGACCAGTAATGCGTACAAGATAATTTTTGGAATAAATAGAAATTATTAGAACTATCACTCAATTTATACTGACAGATTCTCACCTATATCAGATGCCTAACAAATCAAGAGTATTTGTATGTTTTCTGTACTATTTCTTTTATGTAAATGGAAGGAAATGTAAAAGTTGTGCGTGTGTTTTAGCTTCTACCTCAAATAGAAATGCTGGGACCGTGTGCACAATCATTTGGTATTTATTTGAAGAATTTAACATCTGACTCCGAGGGTAAGCATTTATAGATGTACTTTATGATCACTGCATGAAGAGTTTGGATTGTAATGTGGTACAAAAAGATGTGCCTGAAACCTTTTTCGCATTGCAAACATCAAATGGAGTGGAAGACAGATGGGGTTCACAATTTTAAGGAAACAGTATAAGCCCCTAATGCTGGAAATTAGTTCATGTGCTCAACAGCTGCTGACGTTAGGAAATCAGCCCCTGGATGGGATGCCTGCAGCATCAGATCTCTGTGAGAGACAAGAACACAAAGTTTTCACTGGTCGGAGCAAAACCAGTGACTTCTTTCTTGAGCAAGATCCCTGAAGTCTCCTTAACCATTAACTATCAGAAAGAAGGGCTGAAGAATGACAAAGGCACACACAGGCACCCACATAGACAAAATAGAAAATAAATGACAGAGGAGGGGTACACATTGGAAAATACTACACCAAGGCAAAAGAAAGCTCTAGTCAAATCTATTTTTTTTAGCGTTTGAAGAAAATAATGAAAATATATCCTAGTAAAAGGCCATAACCAGGGATTCTATAAGGGATTCTATAAGAATAATGATGCAACAATAAGTAATAGAAATATGTAATTTTGGTGCAGAAAGGAAAGAAATTAATGAGTGATAGAAAGATTTTGAAGAAATGAATTGACCCCACAACCAGTCTGAAATTATAAGAGGCTACAAGTATTTGATTTTTTTGCTCTTCCCTCTCCAAAGGCATTAATCACCAAAGATCAGGCACTGATTTGAGGACCTTGAAAGGCATTGGGAAATGGCACAAATTCACTTTTAACATCATTTTATGTGCATCTTTCACATGTTATATTGTCTGGGAGGTCTGCACATTACCAAACCCACTGGAACAACCTGAGTTTGGTATATATGATACTTTATTTCTCTCATTATGTATATCAGTGTCTGATTATATTGTGTAATCTTTTTAATAAATGGGATCATGCCATACATATAATGCTGTATCTACTTCTTTCACAATGCAATAGGTTACTATTTGTTTTTGAAGTCAATACATTTAGTTCTCTTTCATTTTTATACAGTCTGCTTACTACGCCATTATGCAGAGATATTACAAATTATTTATTAGAGTTAATAAAATATCTATTCCACATTTAGAAAAATCTAAATTGTTCTTTAGTATGAAATCCCTGCAATGGATTTTTTATATATGTTAGTACATTATCTAATTGTTATTTAGCATATATGTTTAAATAGTTTATCTTTATTGTCAGATTCCTCTTCAAAATAAGTTGTATAATTTTCTAGTTAACAACTTATTAGAGTACTTTTTTTTCCTGTAGGCTCTTTCAGTATATTTAAAAGTTACAAATGTTATCCTGAAACACAGCTGATTTTTTTTTTACATTTATGTCATTAAGGATATAATGCATATGTTACAAATTTATTTTCCTATTTCTTTTTTACTGTTATTTCATTACCTTTGACTTTTAAAAGTTTTATTAATTTTGAAAAACCCTGTGTATATTATTTTTATGTCACACAAAAGTTATAAAATTAATAATCAGTAAGAATTTAAAATGACGATTAATCCTGTATTCCTCAGCTGATTTCAATTCCACATTCAACACATTATTTTACTGTTTGAAAGTGTAATATTCGTTTCATGAAACTTATTTTTTATAAAGAAATAAACTCTAAGTTGTGTGTATGCTTACTGTCATTTTAGAATAGATATTCAATTCATTATAAGCCATTAATTAATAAGGCTTTTTTTTTTTTTCTGACCTCATCTTCCTCTGTAGCCCAGGCTGGAGTGCAGTAGCATGGTCATATCTAACTGCAGGCTTGATTTCTTGGGCTCAAGCAATCCTCCCACTTCAGCCTCCTGAGTAACTTGTGGGAACATAGGCACATGCCACACCACACCCCTGGCTAATTTTTTAAACTGTTTTAGAGATGAGGTCTTACTATGTTACACAAGCTGGCCTCAAACTTCTGGACACAAGCTATTCTCTCACCTTGCCCTTCCAAAGTGCTGGGATTACAAACATGAACCACCACGCCAGGCCCAACTCTGACATTTCTTCACCTTAAAAAAAATTCACCATAGAGTTATATTGCATGGATCTGTTTCTGGATTCTATTCTTTCTATAAGTCAGTATAAGATTAATTCTGGCATGGCAAGTCAACCTTCATCATCCGTTTTCACAGTTCATTTCACAATTACCTACATTTATTCTCACAAACAAATTTGAATATATACACATTTAATTGTTTTGTATTTGGACACATTACTCAATTCTTATTTTTAGTCATTTTTCAGTTCATTGTTTTTGAAAGTACTATTTTTATAATCATATCAAAACCAACTTTAAATTTTCTTTAAAAACACAAGTTTGAGAAAATTAGGTACCTGGGAATCTTAAGAAAAATGTCAGTCATGTCACAGTGTGGGTTGCTAGTATGTCAGTTTCTACTTTGTGTTATGTGATCATCATTTCAAAACGCTTACCTGCAAATAAAGCTTAGTAGGTACACCACTAAATTACGCTCCAGTTAGAGTTGCCAGATTTAGCAAATAAAAGTAAAGGTTCGTGTCCAGATAAATTTGAATTTCAAATTATCATCAACAGGTTTTTTTTTTTTAGAATAACTGTGTCCCAAGTATTAAATTGAAATTCAAATTTAACTGGAGTCTCATATTTCAACTGGCAACACTAACACCAATACAAGTGTCATTCAATTTGAAAAACTGTCTTTAATTTTAAATTTGTAAGTTTATCAGTCCTAATGTTTGCATGTATTTAAAAAACAGTTTAATAATTTAATTGGTCATTAAAAAATATCTAGCAGAGAATAATTGGATTCTCTGTAACTCAAAGGATAAATGCTCTAGGGAATGGGTACCCCATTTTATAAGATGTCATTATTACACATTGCGTGTGTGTGTCAAAACAGCTCATGTACCCCATAAATATATACGCCCTCTATGTACTCACAAAAACTAAAATTAAAAATTAAAGGCCGGGCACGGTGACTCACGCCTGTAATCCCAGCACTTTGGGAGCCCAGGGCAGGAGGATCACGAGGTCAGGCGTTCAAGACCAGCCTGACCAATAAGGTGAAACCCTGTCTCTACTAAAAATACAAAAATTAGCCAGGCGTGGTGGCACGCGCCTGTAGTCCCAGCTACTCGGGAGGCTGAGCCAGGCGAATCACTTGAACCCAGGAGGTGGAGGTTGCAGTGAGCTGAGATCGTGCCACTGCATTCCAGCCTGGGCAACAGAGCAAGACTGTCCCTAAATAAATAAATAAATAAATAAATAAATAAATAAATATAATAAAAATTAAAAATTTTAAAAAGTTTACTTAAGTGATTGATTTTCCAAAAAAGAATTTTTTCTTTAAAACATGAAATTGGTGATTGCTAATATTTTTATCACAATAAAATTTGAAAACCTTATGTGTCACAAGATTCTTAGTTAATACAAATCCAACTATAGGGAATCTCTGATCTGTGGCATGCCACTCCACTCCAAATACAGGGTAAAGAAAAGTAACAATGTTCTCCTGCTGCTGAAAGTTTGTTCTGAAAAGCTTGGAGGTTAGGTACCACAGATGAATCCTAGAAGGCCCAGAACAAAACGCTCCCACCTCACTGAAGAGCTGGTATGCTGAACATTTTATCGGGATCCAAAGAGTTGATGTATTCCAACAATGCCATCTTCAGGCCAGACCACACTTAGGAAATCCCAAAATTAACAGTTTATTTTATTTTTGAAAACTTCACCTTATGAAAATGAAAAGAAAATGAGGGGAAAGGAATTTCTGAAGGAGAAGATACTAGATTTCAGAATGTTGACCATTTTGAGAAGCAAGTTTAATCTTGGAACTGTTAATTTTATTTACTTGTATTATCTGTATGATGTTACAGATACAAAGCACAAACAAATAGTGTGCATTCTTCTTCCTTCTTTTATATCCCTCTTTACCTTGCACATTTTTATACACTGTCATTTCACCATTTTTAATTTCCTGTTCCATTTTTTACTAATATTCAACACATTTTGTTTTCTTCTATTTCTGTGCTTTTCTGTGCTCCTTGTTAAATTCCCAAAAAATGTGCAATGGTAAGCATTTTTCCTAACCATTAATGTTTTTTCACAAACTATGACAGCAAAGAAAGAATGTAGGTGTTCCATGAAATAGCTGAGAGAAAATGAAACCAACATGAATATCTCTCATTTAAGCCACATGGAGTTTAGCAGCTGCCAAGGGTAAAGAATGGTTTAAGTCATTTCCTATAAGCTCTTCACACAAAAGAACAGGAATAAATTGGATTGAATCTATTTGACTCAGCACTATCTTGTGACTTTATGATCTGTTGCAGTTTTCAACTGAACTATCTGCTTACCAGTGTTCAACTCCATTTGATCTTTGGGAGGTAAGAGACCTGGGGATAACTGTTAGATTGTGAACCTTGGATCAAAGCCACTCTAGACTATAATGAGCATATAGTAGATATGTATTTGGACATGCATGTGTCCAAAGGTTCAGTATGTAATGAAACTATCCGTATTCTATCTTCTATTGCTATATTTATAGGAGATGTCGACAGTCTCAATTATACCACATCATCATCTAATTTCACGCCACAAAAGCATGTTAATAATTTGTCTGTACAACTTAATGAGGAATTTTTTTTTTCTTAACCATGGTAGTTGACTTATCCTTCAGCCTCCTACTTTTGGGGATAGAATTACAGTTTCATAAAAGAACTCAGGAGTACACTTGCTGCTTAGTTAAAATCAAATATAGTGTACTGGTGTTATTAGAAGTGATTAGTTTAATTGTTTGAATGATAAAAATAATATTAAACACCATTCTTAATGCAATGTTTATATGAAAAACATTTTAGAGATGTGCTCAAATATTATTGCTTGTGATGTAACCATATGTTCTCCCTTATATTAAAAGGTTTACCAAACAACTAGCATTTCTTCTGAGCATAACAGGATGCCAAGAACCTCATTTAGCCAAAAGACTTCTTTAAGTGCTTTATAGAATCTCTCTACTGCATTGTTTTGAACTTATTTATATTATATACAAGCACTGAATAGGCTAAAATCACTGCTACTGGAAAAAATACACACACAGGGATAAATGGATAGATACAAGAATATACATGTTTTAAAATTCTTCTGAAGTTATCTTAAACTCTTTACTATTATTAAAATAATTTAATACAAATCTCTCATATTAATTTTTCCACATATAACATTGCGTACTCTTTCCAAGAAGAACAGAGGTAAAAGAAGAAAATGTTTTGAATTTGCTTTCCAACATATTAATTTAAGGACATACATATTCCTTGGAAAACCATTTTTTTCAAAGCTCACAGGTTTTCATTTGTAGTGCTTGTTCTGTTTTCCACTCTCTCTATATTTTTATTTTAATGTCAGCTTCCTCTTGGATTAAGAGTTATATATTCAGTAGGAATTGTATATTAAAATAGTCACCAGGAGAGAGGTTTCATCTTTTTTTTTTTTTTTTTTGAGGTGGAGTTTCACTCTTGCCCAGGCTGCAGTGCAATGGTGCAATCTCAGCTCACCACAATCTCCACCTCCCGAGTTCAAGCGATTCTCCTGACTCAGCTCCTGATTCTCCCAAGTAGCTGGGATTACAGGCATGAGCCACCATGCCCAGCTAATTTTGTATTTTTAGTAGAGACGGGGTTTCTCCATGTTGGTCAGGCTGGTCTCGAACTCCTGACCTCAGGTTATCCGCCCGCCTCCGCCTCCCAAAGTGCTGGGATTACAGGTATGAGCCACCGCGCCTGGCCTCTTTTAAAGTGCTGTATAAATCAATATATACATTATTATTCAACTTCCCATGTTAGTACAATAATATCCACAGAATTTTTTGAATGTATAGGTATTTTCATTCTGAACAATATTAAAATGTATATTTTTGAATGTTCAATGATTCTTTCAATGGAATATGTAATTTCTGTTGGCCAAAATGATTTAATAATGCCTATTAGCTCCTTCATATGTATATATTGAATATTCCATACTCAATAGTGAGTAACCAACTTCATTTTCTATTTCTCTCTCAAACAATACTGAGACCAGGCATAATTTTATGTTCATATGTTTAAGTCCAGGGATTAAAGTATAACAGTCTTGCTCTACGAACTACTTCCTAGAAGATAAGACTCTGATTGAACTAGAACCCCTTGCTTAATTAAGATTTACTTTAAAGACTTGCCTCAATCTAAAAATAATATGTTATAAACAGTGTCCAATCCCAGTTAATCCCTTGGTTTGCAAGACCTACCTTAAAATCACCCACCATAGGCTCTTAAACTATAAAATAACCTTTCCATAATTTCCACATTTGGAGATACTAGAAGACTCTATGAAGGTAGTTTTCTTCCATAGTGTGGTAAATCTAATAAACTTACCTTTTCTCATTAACATGATTTTTTTTTTTAATTTTTACTTTGGTTGTCCTTTGGATATCAACAGCCCACAGCAGAACAATGCCTTAATCTCATATATGGCTGTTTTATTTAATGTTCTTCCTATACATTCTCTTATCTTCTATTATTCTAATCATACTATGCATGCTGTTTTAGCAATACCTGGTGTATGTATGTATGGTTACATAGAGAGACATACATATGATTTATCACCCCTGTATGTGCATTCTTTCTGTCATAAAACCATTTCTGGTTTTCACTTTTCAATTATAAATATAAAAATTTTGTATTTGAAGTTTTTATTTATATGGATCAATTCTTGATATTATTTTACCATAATATTTTCATCTTCATGTTTTTTGTTAGAATGTAATTTTTGGTAGAAAACTGGACATTTTAAATACTATATGATTGTGTATCTGGATTCATTTTTTTTCCTTCTTAATTATTGTTATTTTGCTGTGTGTTTGTTTGGTTGCTTGTTTACTTAGTAACATGCCTGGACAAAACCTATAAAATGTATGCTTATCTCGGCATATGATTTTGTGTGCCTCAGTTAAATTTTTTTTAAAAAAATTCTTATTATTAATTTAAATCATGACCTCTTGAAGACCACTCTTGTGTCTGCATAGCTTTGTGGTCAGAAGCTGTACTCAGACATCTGAGCTGGTAATTCTTCTATCTTTGTGGCTGATGCATTTGAGTTTAGGGTAGCATATTCAAAGACCAAATGGTGTTCAGTTGTCTTAGCTTTTCCTTTCTGCTGTCCCCTCTCACTTTCCCTGCATGTGGGCACAGTCTCACAGTCAGTCTGGGCTGTGTCCCCAGACAACATGTTCTCCAGGCATGTGCATGCAGTTTTCAGCGGGACAGGTGTATGCAATGAGTTCATCACAGCACCAAGTAGCTGACTCATTCCCTGTCACCTCCTGATAAATTTTTGTCCAGTCAGCTAAATTACTGCTTACTCAACCAAGGCTACTATAAACTCGAGTTCTTTGAATGACTGTTTATTTCTTTTCTTATTTATTTATTTGCATGACCAAGATTTTTACTCCTATTGTCAATGCCTACTATGGGCAAGGGGTTTTCTACGCTATACTTTAAGTAAAGTAACACCCATCTGTTGGCAAAGCTGATCATTTTTCATGGCCTGCCCTAACCTTGGAGAACTACCATGCTGACCAGGATTTAAGTGGGAAAAGTAGGGTAAAAGAGAGCCCTATGCAGAAACTCGACAGATTCTTCATTTTTCTAACACAGCATGGTAGTCAGAATGTTATAATGGCCCATGGTTCTGGATTTCTGGTGTTCACAACATATGTGATTTCCTCATTTGATGGTGGTCAGAACAAATTACTTGCTTCTAGATAACAGTATATGGTCAGATTGAAGAGATTGTGTAGATGTAATAAAGGTCCCAAATCAGTCATATTTGAGTTAATCAAAAGGGAGATTATCCTGAATGTGTCTGTCCTAATTAGGTGAACACTCTCAAAAGAGGGATTGGGCTACCCCTGAGGTCAAACACCCTTTGTAGTAGCTTAAGGAAGTCAGCAGCCCTGATGAAAAAGCTTAAATGGCAAAGAGCTATGGGTAGCCTCTAGGAATTTTCAACATTATCTAGGACCTGATTGAAGATTCCAGCTTACATCCAAGAAAAAAAAATAAAAATAAAAGATGCTGTCACAAACCACAAATAAAATGGTTTTTCCAACAACTTGAATCAACTTGGAATTGGACTATTCTCCAAATAAGCCTTCAGATGAGAATGCAGCCTGGCCAGCACATTGCTGCAGCCTTGTCTGACATTGAGCACTGGAGCCTGCTAAGCTGGGCCTGGATGGCTGAGCCACAGAAATGGCAAGAGAATAAGGGCATTTTGTTTTCAGCTAATAAGCAGAATAATTTGTTACACAGTAATAAAAAAGCAGTTACTCACATTTAAGTGTTTTTCCTGAATAAATGCTTTTAAGTTTTCATATGCTCTTGGTCAATTTTAAGAACATTGATATAGTTGTTTTAAGAAAGAGGATTTGCTGAACGATTTACTCCACTGTATCAGAGTTCCCACCTGTAACTTCTTTTCAGTTCTTCTGACTCACAGTATTAGAGATGGGCCCACACTGTATTAATAGGTGAAATACAACCAAGTTTTCTTGCCTTCGTTTCTTGTTTATCTGAAGTTGTTGATTTTCACATGGAAACAATATGAAGTGTGATTTTTAAACAATGGAATCAAACAGTAAAATTAGACTTTCATAGCACAGGTAATAGTTGCAAGTAAAATAAATTGAGATGGCATCAAGTTCAAGTACTCTTTCTCAAGTTTCCTGTGGATTACATGCCCATTGAATAAAATAGTAGATGAAAACTGACCCAGTTTTGAATGATGTTATCTCACCTGGCAGTCTCCTGAGTTTAGAGTCCCTCTTTTCCCAACATAGGAGAGTTAAATGTTTGCCTATACTATCTCATTTGCTACTATACTTCAGAAAGTGTTTTCCCTCAGGCTTCATTCCCCACAGCTGAGTAATTCCATTTAATCTCAAGTCACATATGAGTTGCCGAGAAACATGTCAGGGATCTTTCATTCTTGCTAATTTTAACCAATATTATACAGTTTGGTAGAAAATTTATATGTCAGAATATTTGAAGTTTTGTACTTGTTACCCATCTCAGAATTTCTACTACTTATACTTAGAATGGCTTCATATTTCCCCAAATCTATAAAACTCATTTCTTTAATAATCACCTCAAAGCCATTAATGGAATTTTAAAAGGCTTTTATTCTTTTAAATATCCAGGTTGATTTTGACATTTAAAAACAATCAACAAACGTACATTTTTAGAAGTAGTTCCTGGATAACTAATATTGCTTGGTTTTCTGATTAAGAATTGTAGATTCCAGGGCCTCATCCAACAGAGTAAAATAATAAAATATGTGTACAGAGGCCACTGGCAATGAAAATATTTATAAACATCTTAAATTCAGTATATTTTAAAAGCAGTGGGAATAGCTTCTTATTCAGGAAAAATAAATTTTAGTAAATTATGTCCCTCTAAATATTTGAAGAACCATCATATAACATTACTCACTTAGAAACTTTGTGGAATGGCAATTTTCTTTTTTAAAAATTTAGACAATGAGAACTTACGGATATGTAGATGTCAACCTAAATGACAGAGAGTAAGGTTCTATAAAAAAATGATAGTTATTTAGGAATGGGCACTGCAATGGGAATACATGTGCCATAGTAAATGCTGGGCCTATTCAGAGAGATAAAGGAAGGCAAAGGTTTCTGAGGAAAAATAAGGAGGGTTACATAAGTTTTGAGACAATGAACCTTGGCTGCAAGGATCCATAATAAGGGTGGCATCTGTCCAAGCTGCACAAACAGCTGATGAGCGGATGTACTCACAAAAATGTGTGTGTGTGTGCGCACGTGTGTGTCCGTGTATGCAGGTATATATACTACCCTGCTGCATACTGTCTTGTTCAAAAGAAAACATAGTTAGAATACCAATACAACCATTCTGCCTTTTATATTTATTACAGTATTTAATAAATTATATTATATATTCAATATTTTATTATGAAATAGGTTTTGTGTTAGATAATTTTGCCTAAGTGTTGGCTAATGTAAGTGCTCTGAGCACATTTACTAAGGTAGGCTAGGTTAAGCTGTGATATTTATAAGTTTTGTGTATCCAATGCATTTTCAACTTACGAAGTTTTCAACTTATGGTATGTTTATTAGGAGATAACCCTATTGTAACCCGAGGAATTTCTGTACTTGGTTCTACTGTGATCTAATAGGTAGTTTGTTTTATACAGAAAATAAAATCATTCTTTTTTTCATGGTTGGAGGTAGGACATGAGTATACAATCTCTGAGGAAATAGGAAGAAAAAAATGTATGATTATTTCAAATAATGCAGGGAAGAAATTGTGATAAAATTCAATAGCAACTTTTAAATCAAAGCAGGTGTATATGGGAACCTCTTTATCTTGGTAAACATTAACTTCTAAATAAAGATCACCTAAAACTATACCATCCTAAAAATTTTTAAGTGAGTAATTGTAGAGATTGTGGTTCATTTCTGAATAAACTTATAGATTCTTGGTCAATGTTGATAGAAAAGTATAATTTTAAATCCAGCTAACTAAAAATATATTTTTTGTGTGTGTTGGCACAAGTATGTTATTTCCTAAAGGTAATCATGATGGGAGGTGAACATTTTTTCAGCCTTTATGCCTATAATTCTTAGTAATTCATTTCTTGTCATTAGGTCTCATTTTTTTTGTATCTTCAAAAAAAGACAAAATGTATGTCCTATGTTGCAAGTTTTAAATTCCATCTAAGGTGCATATATTACCACACTACCCTTGTTTCTATTTAATTTTATGGAAATATTTTTTAAATTATTATTCACTTTTTTCTGTTTCTATCTTCTATTATTCACATATACTTTTATCTGTATTTCTGTTTCTTAGCACAAATCTTAATAAAAAAATACTAAGTGGTCTCATGTGGATTATTACTAAGAAGTTGTACCAAAAGCATGTTAAAAAGATTTTAAAGAAGTATGAGTTTACCTTCTGAGAATTTAGGTTTCAAATGAAGAGGGAGAAAACAATGTGAATGGACAAGTGAAATATGATAGAGAGAAAGGTGACTAAAACAAATACACCAACACAAAATGCTTACTGGAAAGGGCAGGTTAGAGGAATGAATAAAATGGTACCACAGAGATCCAACAGTAGCCTTATTATGATAAAATATCGGGAAATAGAATACAGAGGACATTTACATTGTCTAATATTTTGGAAAAGAAATGGACTTTAAAATTCTAAAAACATATGTAGTAATTCAAGTGAAAGCCAAATTTAACAAGCATACTCTGATGATAAACAGTAGGTACAGATTATAAAGAATAGGGCTAATGGGATTTACAATGGTGCTACTGTTGAACTGTCCCCAGATTCATAACATGAATGGGATTAGTTATTTTATAAAATGGCAGAAGGAAAGTAGCCAGGCCCTTCTGTTCTTTGATCCCTTGTACCATGAAGGGGCACAGCATTCAAAGTAGCATCCTGGAAGCAGAGACCTGGCCTTCACTAGACGCTGAACCTTCTGGTGCCTTGATCTTAGACTCCTCAGCCTCTAGAACTTTGAGAAATAAATGTCTATTACTTATAAATTACCAATCTCAGGTATTTTGCTATGGCTGCACAAACCACCCAAGTAAAAAATGGCAAAACTGCAGTTAGTTTTGCACCAACCTAATAGTTTTAATTTTTCTATGAACAGAAAAAACATTTCTTCAGTTAGAGTTTTAAAGTTTTCCAGAGTCAATGCTGAGCCCTCTATTCTTTTCTACTCTTTCCCTTCAGGGGATTTTCTTTTCTTGTGAGATAGAGTCTCGCTCTCTCGCCCAGGCTGGACAGTAGTGGTGCAATCTCGGCTCAAGGCAACCTCCACCTCCTGGGTTCAAGGGATACTCATGCCACAGCCTCCCAAGTAGCTGGGATTAAAGGTGTTAGCCACCATGCTTGTCTCTCTTTTATTTTCAGTCACTATCCCCATACCCATGGCTCTAAAACTCACATTCCCAACTCAACATTCCTTCCACAGTCTAGACTTTCACACCTGGCTTCTCTTTAATATATTTGCTTGGATATGACAGCACACGTTTCTCAGTGGTTAAGTTTGAAGTTTTCATCTGTTTGTCCCAACTCAATGAGGTCTGTATTTAACAAGTTACTGAAATCTGTATATTGGCTACCATTGTCATTTCTTTTAAATTCTTTATCCTAGCTTTCATTTCATGACTGTATTCTTCTCACATTTTCTTCAGTATTCCTCTAAAATTAATTTACTTTTCTGACTATTTTCAGTATACTGGCTTAAACCATCGTAATTATACAAATATCTGTCAGAATGGTTTTTCTCCTTCTACAATAGAGCTTCAGGTAATTTTTAGCAGAGTAGTCATTTATATCTTTTTCAAATGAACGTAAAATTTTGTCATTTTTTTCTACTTAGAAGGTTGTTAGTGGTTTTCCAACATCTTTGGGTAAAATGCTGACTCAGAAATAGGATTGTTAAGACCCTGTCTTGGTCAGACTCCCGCCTACCATTCTGTGGTCAAAAATTCAGCCATTCCGGTAAATATACCACTGACATTTGCTTTCTTAGCTACTTAAACTCTCCAAGCATTATCTCACCTCAGAGCTTTTACATTTGCCATTCTGTCTGCCTTGAAGATTGAACCTATTCTCTGTCTACATCTAATTGCTTTCCTTCAGGTTTCAGATGAAAGGTCACATACTCAAAGATTACACTAATGCCTCAATCCAAATGAAGTCTTCCCTATAATTTTTTTTCAAGGTGATCTGCATTTCTTTTGAAATTTATATAATAAACTGTAATGTTAATTTACTTAAGGTCTGTTTATTCTTCTTAACAAGATTGGAAACTTCGTAAGGGCAGCCAATATTTTGACTGTTTCATTCACCAGTGTATTCTTGAAATCTAGAAAAAATGTCTAGCAAATAGCAGGTAGTAACTAACTTTTTTATTAAGCCATCAAATGCTTCAAAATAAAAAAAATCTGACAACAATTATTACTGAACAGGACAGATTATCTATAATCATCAAAAAATGCTTATGGAGACCTAGAAAAAATTTAACCTAAGAGACTAAAACTCTGTTGAAATTTGGAAAAACAAAAAAACAAAGAAAATCACCCCTGATTTCTTTGCTATATAAAAAATGAAGGAGAGAACCATCTAAGTATTTTCCTCACCTCCTAATCAGTGATTCTTGTACTACTCTAGTCATTAATAAAGATATGTGGGAGGTATGTGTGTGGAGTGTATGAAACAGGAGAAGAGCAAGGGAAAATTAGCATTAGAAATAGATATAGATACAGGAAAAATAGCATAGCCTTAAGTCACTGAAAGAACTCATGTAAATTAATTAACGCCTACATTTCTTTGAGTAATACAGGGCACCTTCTATACATTCCCTTTCCAGACCTATGAAGTTCTTACCAATCTTTGCCCACAAGCATTACTATGTAACTGAACATGCACTGGCAATAGGTTCATTTGCTCCAGCAATTGCGAGACCTTCTCCATGGGCCTGATTCTGCCACAACTGACATGCGCATAATTCCACCAGAAGCCAGTGGCAGTTTTGCATGATTAAAGATGGCAGAATCAGGCCTATACATACATTTCCATGCAAATGTGCTTGAGAAAATAGCATACAACACATTATGTAAACATATTTAGAATGAATAAACACACTCAGCTAAATTTTCAAACATCTGTTCAGAGCTCACGGCAGTAGCCGCAATTTGCATACCTAACTGTTTTAAACAGGTCCTAATTTTGCCCTCCATATTATTAGATTATAGTAACCTTTAAACTCCAAAATGCATAACTTTTATGGTACAGATGATGCTAATTAGCATTTATAAAATTCAACTTCACTGCCTTTTAGCTTTTGACTTCCTTCACTGTTTTCTGTTAGAGAGAAGAGCACACAGCAGTGTCTATGATTGGGGGGAAGCTTTTATGCATCTTCCAACTGGATTCATGCGTTATCAAGAAAATAATTGAGACTTGAATTACTTGCATAACTGTGCTTCTAGCCATATACAAATGCAGAACTTCTAACCTCAAGATGCATATTATACCCCCTTACTGGCATAAACCTGCCATCGCTTGTAGTTTACATATCCTGGAGTTCAAAAAATAGTGTAATCCCAGGTTTTTGTTTGTTTTGTTTTCTATTTTTATGTAGCATGACCTTCTACAGTCTCTATCAGTTTCTGCCAAAAGTCACATAAATACATAACACATGGTCTCAGTAAAAATACTATGGTTAATTTGAAAGCAAAGTTTCAGAACAAGCGCCATAGCTTTCCATTCAAACAGATTAATGAAGTTGGTCCATCTTATAAAGAAATTGTGGAGGAGACAAGGCAAAGATTCATTTGTTTTCTTTAATAAGATCTGTTTTTAGAAGATATTATTTGTATAAGAGTTACAAAAACTAGTTAAAAAACAAAAATAAATGATTTTTACATACTCTCTTTTCTTGTACCTGTGCTTAAAGAAAACTGCATTTCTGATTTGTGAACCTTGCATATGTGGGTATTTCTTCCAAAATCCAGTTGCATCTTTAAAAAAATAATGAATGAAATAAACCTTATAACCAATTAAAGATAATTATTCAAATTATTTCTGGTAAAGTCAAATGCATTCATTCATTTATCCACTCATTAAATATATAATAACTCAACCTAATACTCCACTTGTCCCTAGAGATGTGGTGCTTAAGTACATAGATACAGTCTTAGTTTCACAAAACTTGCAATCTAAGAGGGGATACAAACAAAAGACAATTAAAATATGTGTGGTCATTCTACGATAGAGAACTATCAAAAATTAAAATTTGTTACCAACATTGGTAGGTATTCATTGATTAAAGATGACTGAACATTCATTTTTTCTTTCATTGTGAGGTGGAATCTAATATCTGCCCCTTGAATAACTGGTGAACTCTAGAAACTGCTTGTAATTGATCTGATAACACGGAAGTAATGCTATGCTAATACGAGTTCCCAGGATTTTTATATATATATATGTATATATATTTATAATATTATAAATACATATTTATTATATACAATATATAACATATATAAATGTATAATATTCATATATTTATTAATATATAATAAATACATCATATTATAAATATATATACATATATATGTATATATATAGCATCTAGTCCTGTTTCATGCCACACTGGCTCTAGGGGAAGCCACACCCTATATAAGACTTGTCACTACAATGAGAACACCATGCTGGGGAGGCCGCCGGTAGGCATTCTAGTGAGAGATCAAGTTGAGCCCAGCCTGTAGGTGCTCTGCAAATGTGCCAGATGTGTGTGCAAAGCCCTCTACATGCCTCCAAACCATCCCATGTACGGAACTAATGCCACACACGATCTGAGTCATTGACAAATAGATTCATAAAATGTAATGAAATGACTGTTTTGTTTTGTTTTTTCCTCGTTTTGAAATAGTCTGTGTAACTAATCTAAAACAATTTACCTGCAATTGTGGTGCCATTGTAACTAAAATTAAAATACACGACATTGGCTTTGGGACTAGATGACAAACAGAAGCTAGAATAGCCTACAAGAGCCCGGCCCTAAAAGCTGCAAAGCCTCAGGGAATTCTTGGTGAGAGCTGAAAAGACAGAGATGATATTGTTATTAGAAAATGGGCAGAAGGTTTGGTAACACAGTTATCTTTGGTCACACATATAATAGACAATACACTTAATATCCTGGTTGAATTTTGCTAAGAAGCCTGTCACAGAGAATGTTGAAAATGCTAAATACAGTCACGGGTTCCATAACAACATTTTGGTCAACAAGAGACCATATATACCATGGCCCCTTGCGATGATAATGCAGCTGAAAATTTCCTATTCCCTAGTGACTTTGTAGCCATCTAAAAGTCATAGCACAATGCATGGCTCATGTATTTGTGGTGCTGCTGGTGTAAACAAACTTGTTGCATTGCCAGACATGTAACAGTATAACATATACAATTATGCATAGCACAGAACACTTGATAATGCTAATAAACGGCTATGTTGCTGGTTTATGTGTTTGCTGTACTATACTTGTCACTGTTATTTTAGAGTATAGTGTTTCCACTTAATTAAAAAAGCTAACTGGAAAACAGCCTCAGGCAGGTCCTTCAGCAGGTATCCAGAAGACATCATTATTGGAGATGACAGCTCCATGTATGAGAGTAGCCCTAAGGGTCTTCTAATGGGACAAGATATGGAGGTGGAAGACAGTGTTATTGATGACCCTGACATTGTGAAAGCCAAGGCTAATCTGTCTGTGACTTAGTTTTTAACCAAAAAAAAAAATTTTAAGTAAAAAAAATTCCAAAATTAAAAATAGCTTATGGAATAAAGATATAAGGAAAGAGGCCTGGCACGGTGGCTCACGCCTGTAATCCCAGCAGTTTGAGAGGCCAAGGCGGGTGGATCACAAGGTCAGGAGATAGAGACCATCCTGGCTAACACGGTGAAACCCCGTCTCTACTAAAAATACAAAAAAGAAAGAAAATATTTTTGTACACCTGTACAATGTGTTTGTGTTTTAAGCTAAGTGTTATTACAAGAGGCAAAAGTTAAAAAAATTAAAAATTTATAAAGAAAAAATGCTACAGTAAGATAAGGTGACTTTATTATTGAAGAAATAATTTTTAAAAATAAATTGAGTGTAGCCTAAGGGTACGGTGTTTATAAAGTCTACAGTAGAGTGGACGGTAATGCCCTGGGCCACCGCATTTGCTCTACACTCACTCGCTGACTCACTCAGAGCAAATTCTGCCCTGCAAGCTCCATTCATGGTAAGTGCACTATATATGTGTCCTATTTTTTTTCTTTATACCACATTTTTACTGTACCTTTTCTATATTTAGGTACGTTTAGATACACAAAAACTTACCATTGTGTTACAATTGCCTGCAGTAATCAGTATAGTCATGTGCCACACAAGTTTGTAGACTCTGAGTGATAGACTATATCATATAGCCTACATGTGCAGTAGGGTGTAACTTCTGAGTTTGTGTCAGTACAACCTCTGATGTTCAGACAACAACAAAATTGCCTAATGATACATTTCTCATAATGTATCTCATCTTTAAATGATAGGTGACTGGAGTTATTTTAGGCATACATGAGAAGGTTTGGTTAAAAAATTGTCCAAAATAAAATAATTATTCAGTTTTAAGCAGAATTTGGAAGAAATATAAAGGATCCAGGAATTACCGGGATCAAATTAAAACTTTTCTGATCCCCAGTTTCTTCTTTAACAAATCTTTCAAGTAAGAGACAAGACAGAGATCAAGACCAGAGCATTCACAATAAAGCACTGACTAAAGTTTAAGATCTCAACAGTGTGACTTGAAGAAACCATATTGTGACTTCAAAGAACATTTAAGGGAAAATCTAGTTGGGTTTCTAAGAATATTAGGTACGTGCTTACCAGACCCATTTTAAATAGACAAAAAGGCTTCTATAAATTTCAAGTGTGATGTTACCCCAGTAAAATGATTCTCAGCACAATGTATAAAAGAGTCTAGATTTAAACGAAATATGAGTGTGACTTTTATCTAATGAATTAAATGATCATTCTATTCACAGAAATATAATAAAATTTTAAAGTAAATGATACTATTTGAATGAAAAAGACTGAGGCTGTATAATGAAAAAAATGACTTTGTACTCTCAAAATTGTACAAATAGAATGGAGGCAGAGAAAACTACTCAGCTTTAAATCCAAGTCAGACAGTGAAACCAAGAGCCTGGAGAAAAGAGGCATAAACCACAGAGAGTATTTTCCAGGCAGCAGTACTGGGACCTATTCAAGAACCTGGCACCATGTGCCTGGTAATTTTCAAAATTTCTATGAACCATTAATGACTATATGTCTTTTATTTTTCCCTTTCTGAATGGAAATATCTATTATGTTTTCCTACAGGTGTCTCATTTTTATTTAGTAGATGTATGGGGGTTGGAGAAGATATTATGTATCTCTACACTTTGCAGGTCTCGGTTCAAGAGAAACTGTATTTAAGAAACTGAACCTAAGAAAACATACAGAGGTAATCTTGTGCCTATCTGAAAATGTTATCCATATTACTATTCTAAAATTTTTGCCAATGCTATACTGAAATGGTTACTTAGAAGAGAGTATATATGTTGTATTTTCAGAGCTTAACAAGTCAAAAGCTTCCAAACTAACCCTTTATTTTTATTTATTAAAATAGTTTCAGTTGAAGAACACTTGAAGGTCTGAACACAAAGAGGCATATCTGCACATAGAACTGATTTAGATAACAAGATCCTGAACTTCGAACAAAAGATGTGATGGAATAAGACTTTGTGGAGGGGCCTTGGAGCAACTGAGTTTATTTTGCATTTGGAAGGAATATAAATAATTTGTAGCCAGCGGGCAGACTCCAGCATATTAAAATGGCCAAAATATTTTTGCTACTTCTCCCATTGAGAGGTAGAGTTTAATTTTTATCTCTATGGATCTGGCTGTTTCTGCTACTAATTTACAAAAGAAACACTATAGATGTGACACTGTCAGTTTCCTGGACCAGGCTTTAAAGATCTGGCATCTTCCATGTACTGTCTCTGGGACTGCTAGCTCAAAGTTCAAAAACTTCCACAAAAGAAGGCCAACTATCCTGAGACCACTGTATTGAAGAGGCCATGCGTAAGAACTCAGACCAACAGTCCAAGCTGTGCTTTGCCTTCTAGCATTCCCTGCCAAAGCACATGGGGTGTGAGGGGAGCCAAACTGGCCTCTCTGTGACAGTCCAACAGCCAAATCAATTGCAACAAGTGACCTCAGTTAATGACACATGCAGCCAAAAAATGGCCGCCTGAGACATGCTCACAATTTCCGATTTTAAAAAGCAAAAAACCATGAGATATAGTAACATGTTCGTTGTTGTAACACACTACATTTTGGAATGATTTGTTAAGCAAAATTAGATAACAAGAACATAAGGATGAGAAAGGTCTCCATTTCTGTTTATATGAAGACAGGCAGCTGAGAAGCATGCAAGATAATATTTGACAAGTTCTTTCTCAGTCCATATTATTCTGGTACTTAAAAAAAATTATATACTGGAAATCCTAAATCACTTGGAGATACTGACTGTAGTATGTAGTGTATTCAAATTACAGTCTATTTTTAAACAATAGGAAAAATGCAAGAACAATACTATCAATTAAAGTTGATGTCAAGATATAATTGTAAAAAGAAAAGCTTGTAATATAGTACACTGGTTCACCCAGAATTATATATATTAATTAATAGTTAGCCTTCTTGGAATAAGTTAAAGCAAGTAATGATGGACATCAAAACTCTATTTTGTACTATTTATTAGATAAACCATATGTCCACTTTTGAAATGCAATTTTCTTTTACTTTTCAGGGATTGCTTAGCTTATAATACTTATTTAAGAGTAGAACAAATAATTCTATCTGAACTTTTGAAAAAGTAGATAAAAACATACTGTATCCCAGCTGGGCGTGGTGGCTCACGCCTGTAATCCCAGCACTTCCAGAGGCCGAGGCAGGTGGATCACGAGGTCAGGAGATCAAGACCATCCTGGCTAACATGGTGAAACCCTATCTCTACTAAAAAATACAAAAAATTAGCCGGGCGTGGTGGTGGGCGCCTGTAGTACCAGCTACTTGGGAGGCTGAGGCAGGAGAATGGCGTGAACCCGGGAGGCGGAGCTTGCAGTGAGCCAAGATCATGCCACTGCACTCCAGCCTGGGCAACAGAGTAAGACTCCGTCTCAAAAAAAAAAAAAAAAAGTGTATCCCTTAGTAAGCTTATTTTACAACCTTAGTAATATTCAATGCCTAAATATCTAAAACTACCTTAATAACTTTTTAATGTATATTTGCAATATATGAATGTAAAGTGTAATGAATAAAATACAGTAATTACAATAAAAAATGCATTTCCCATTATCAGAACTCTTTTCAAAGTGCTCTTCTAAAAGAATAACATGTATTTAATAGATATGGCAGAAAGCTAGAAGTAATCAGTAAAACCGAGAATAAAAAATGTAGTGAGGGACACTGGAATACAAGTTTAGAAAGTGTCACTTTGCAAAGTTACTTTCTTGAATAATCCTCTTTCCTACCACCCTGTCACAAAAGACAACCTATGAAATCAACAAAAATGTGATGAAATATAATCGACTTGATTTTATGTATGGTCTTAATGAAATTTTGATATAGTTTAGGCAGATTTTTATCTCAGGTTTTTTGTTTTGTTTTGTTTTGTTTTTCTGTTGTTGAGACAGGGTCTAGATCTTTTGCCCACGCTGGAATACACTGTATCATCAAATACCTTCCACCTCAGCCTCCTGAGTAGCTAGGACTATAGGTGTACACTGCCACACAGGCTAATTTTATTTATTTTTATTTTTGGTAGAGCTGAGCTCTTGATATGTTGTCCAGGCTGCTCTTGAACTCCTAGCTGCAAACAGTCCTCCCACCTCGGCCTCCTAAAGTGCTGGGATTACAGGCATGAACCACTACACCCTGGCCTAGATAATTTGTTTGAAAAAAAAAAAAAGAAAGAAACACAAAAATTCTTCTAAGGAAGCATATTAAAAATAGGTTTTTCTGTTTCTTCTTTGAAATAAAATAAATCTAAAATAATAGGCTGATGTGCCCTTACCACAAACAGAAGTAACTATTTGTCGGTGTGAAATATTATTTCCCTGCAATGAGTACACCACTGAGTTCAGATGTATTTATTAGTCTATAACTGGAGATAAAAATATAACCTGATGTCACAATAATTTCTGCAGGCTTTTGAGGCACGTTCTTATTCTCCTTCCATTGTACCATCCTAAATTAACTCTGGTGAGAAGCTTCACTTCCACTCTTCATTCTATACTGAGGAGCCATGGGTCTTGACAATGAAATAAATAACATGAAATACATCTGTTTTCCTTTCTGTTAGATAAAAGAAACCCAAGAGAACACTGTAACCTGAAAATAATCAACTGATGAGTAAATGACAGTCTTCAGCATTTCTAGTACACTCAGTCTGGCAAAACTGTGGCCTATACCCTTAAGTTATATATTTATAACAGGCAGATAAACACCATCTTTATTTACAGAACTCTTAGGGAACTATATGAAGCAAGCTAAAAATATTTAAAAGAATATGTAGGACTTTTTTAAAATATATTTTTATATTTTTGATTAGTCTATCATTAATGCCAATACAGTCAAACCTAAAGAGCATGCTCCCTTAGCCCTCATACCAAGATTTGGGGAAGACATTTTTGTCTTCAGTCTGATGAAAATTTCAGGTAGTTTCTTTTGTATAGGAAAAATGTTCACCAGAATATTTTAGGATCAGCCATTTGAAAGAGATTTCCTCATCAGTTTAGGTGGAAGAAGTCCCTGAAGTTTATCATTGTTAAGAAGTTAAGGGTGAAATTGTTGGTGGGAAGGTAAATTAGTACAGCCATAATGAAAATTTTTTGAAAACAAAAAATAAAAAATATAACTATTGCATGATTCAGCAATCCCATTGCTGGGTATATATCCAAAGGAGATGAAATCAGTATGTTAGAGATATCTGCACTTCCATGTTCAAAGAGCATTATTCACAATAGCCAAGATATGAAATCAACTTTAATGTTCATCAACAGTTAAATGGATAAAGAAGATATAGTATATTTGCACAATGGAATGCTATTCATTCATAAAACAGAAGAAAATCATCTCATTTGCAACAATGTGGATAAACTGGAAAGACATTATGTTAAGTCAAACAAAGTAGACACAGAAAGACAAATACTGCATGATTTCACTTCAATGCAAAGTGTAAAAAATTTGAACTGCGGTGGCTCACGCCTGTAATCCCAGCACTTTGGGAGGTCGAGGCGGGCAGATCATGAGGTCAGGAGTTCAAGACCAGCCTGGCCAATATGGTGAAACCCCATCTCTACTAAAAATACAAAAAATAGCCGGGTGTGGTGGCACGCACCTGTAGTCGCAGCTACTTGGGTGGCAGAGGCAGAAGAATCACTTGAACCCGGGAGGTGGAGGTTGCAGTGAGCCGAGATCGCACCACCGCACTCCAACCTGGGCGACAAGAGTAAGACTCTGTCTCAAAAAAAACAAAATTTGAACTGATAGAAGTAGATAGTAGAATGCTCATTACCAGGGGCTTGTGGAGGGAGGAGACTGGGAAAATGTTGGGACAAATATGTTCAAGAAAGCTATCGTCCAACATGATGACTATAGTTAATAACAATGATTATAATCTTGAAAATTGCTAAAAAGAATACGTAGGATGTTTTAAAAATATTTTTTTATATTTTTGACTAGTCTATCATTAATGCCAATACAGTCAAAGCTAAGGAGCTTCATTCCCTTAGCCCTCACAGATTGACATATTTTTACCACAAACATAAGCAAGTGAGATTATAAATATGTTAATTAGCTCAATTTAGTCATTTCATAATGTATACATATTTCAAAACAACAGCCTGTACATGGTAAATACATACAATATTTACTGGTCAATTAAAATAATAAATTTCAAAAATAAGTAAAACATGAAGAATTTGATCATTAATTACAATATTTGTAAATAAACCTGGATGAATAGATGTCTCTCTTTTCTCTCTTACTTTTTCTAAATATTTGTACAGAGTTCTTAGCTGTCTCCCATTCCCCTTTATCTCACCAGAGAAAGTGATCCTCTTTACAGTGACCGAAGCTATTAATCGTAATGTAACGCAGAGCAAAGACATACAGAAGGTCAGAGGGGCAAGGGACTTAATTTAAGGCAATATCTCTTTCAGCTTTGTCACTCAACCCATGAATATACTGAGGTCCATAAGAATTAAGTTCATTTTTCAGTCCAAATAGCTCGATTCCTGAGCATCTCCACTACTTTTGTTTAAAAAAAGGTCATGGGGGCAGCAGACAAACAAACCAGAAGCAAAACAGAAAAACCATACATAAAACAAAACAGAACCAAACAAAAAAAATGCCTTTTTGTAGCGCTGGTGTTAGCTGTTTTCTGACTCTGAATTCTTAAAGCAGTTAATTTCACCTTCCATTATATTATTACACATTATTTCTATAATTCTGGTGTTATTAATATTTTCCTCAATAGTTTATATAACGTATTCACTGAATGCATGCTATGTGAAGGCATTGCACTGAAAAGCTAGGAAATTGTTTGTGGCTTAAAAAAAGGGATGAACTCCATTATGAAACATATAAATTTAAGCATATTAATAATAGTAAAAATGATAAGCATGCATACAGAAATACGCAAAATATGCTATGAAAATGGTTGTTTTCAGTAAAATACAGCAAATATCTGTGTACCTATTCTTGTGTGGACCCTGTGCTTCTCCCAGAGATGATATAAATGAATAAATAAATAAATCCAGCACGCCATATGGAAGAAACAGACATGCCAACGAAACATGTCAGGGCGACGTTATGAATGCATTAACTTTCAGTCTTAGAAGTTGGCCAACAAAAAAATGGAAAAAAAATTTAAAAAGAGAATTTTCCAGGAGGAAGAATAATGGTGAGCAAAGATACAGAGGTATAAGAGGTACTCAGAACATGGTAAAGTAGTTTTATATCCTTAGAATATGGAGTACAAAAAGAAAGAATGGGTACGTGGTGGGGACTAAGTCTTAGAGATAATAACGCTCCCTGGCATAAAGAGCACGTGTTAATTTTAGACTTTAGTCTAGGTAATCTTAGGTTTTAATGTAAAGGGAGTAGGGTGATGCTGACATTTTAAAGGGAGGGAATGACATGAATAAATTCAGATTTTAGATGCATTGCTTTAGAAAGTGTAAGAAGGGTGGCTTCACATGAAAGTGCAGCAGAGAGAAAGTCAAGAGGCTGAATTAGTAAGGAGAATTGCCTCAATGAGATGTATGCTTAGGAAAATGCACACATCAATAAAATATTCAGGACAGATTGCCAGCAATTCACAGCTGGCTGGATGTAGTGGCTAAGGGAGAGTTAAGAACAGAAAGGCTAAATCGAATCCTTTGAAGGGAAGAATCAAGTGAACCTTGTTACGGGGGTTGCACATTCTAAGGAGAAAAGTGCAAAAATATATAACACCCTGTATTACATAATTAATTTATTGTGCTAATCTCCAAGATATAAGTATTAACAAGAAATGGGCAAGAAATTGTTCCAGTTTGTTTTGCTGGCCATGTGAAATATTTCATATATTTTTTAAACTATAGTATTAAATTTTATATATCTAGTAAAACTATATTTCATATGTTTCAAAAGTATTAATAAGTATATATTAGAGTATAGATGCAATTATTAGGTATTATTATAGAGTATAGATTGAATTATTCAGTATTTGAAAAGATACTTTATTTGCTTTCAATTTTCTGTGAGAAAAGCTATCTAAAGTAAGCCAGAAAAGACAGAGCATTTTTCAGTACCAAGATATGGCTCTTTCACTACAAAGCTGCTCAATTTATCCCAGTTCTGGTTGATCTTATCCACAGAGAAGACAGAAAATCCTTCACAGTGTATTTCTGAACAGAAACTGCTCAGATTAAACAAGCTGTCAACCACCCAGGATCATTATACCGATCAGGATTTTGGAGATATCTAGGAGAAAAATAGAATATGCATCTCTTTTTTTTTCTTTCTATGTTAGGTATTATGTCCTGAAAACATACCGGCATAACATTGCAATAAATGTGACAAAGGTAAGAGTTACACCCAAGGAATCAGGAAATTTTCATATTATTTTTAAGTTGTAATTATACAGTCTTACCTACTGGAAGTACCTGGACAATTTGACCTTGTCAAAATAGGTATCAATTGGTTTAAGCAGGTAAGTGTAATACAAATC
Organism: Homo sapiens; assembly: GCF_000001405.40. Lineage (NCBI taxonomy): Eukaryota > Metazoa > Chordata > Mammalia > Primates > Hominidae > Homo > Homo sapiens. The sequence goes on from NC_000018.10 coordinate 66,770,568, forward strand.
CCAGAAACATGCGGGCATAGAATGTGACAGCAAAGAGAGTATAGAATTAGAACTCTAGAGCCTATACTGACATTGTCAACTATAGCTGTAGGACCCTGAGTTAATCACTTCTTTTCTAATACCTTCACTATTTTATTTCAAAAATTAGGGTTTTTTTTTTTTTTTTTGAGACGGAGTCTCGCTGTTGCCCAGGCTGGAGTGCAGTGGTGTGATCTCAGCTCACTGCAACCTCCACCTCCCGGGTTCACACCATTCTCCTGCCTCAGCCTCCCGAGTAGCTGAGACTACAGGCGCCCAACACCTCGCCCGACTACTTTTTTGTATTTTTAGTAGAGACGCGGTTTCACCGTGTTAGCCAGGATGGTCTCGATCTCCTGACCTCGTGATCCGCCCGCCTCGGCCTCCCAAAGTGCTGGGATTACAGGCATTGAGCCACCACGCCGGGACAAAAATTAGGTTTTTAATTAAAGAGGTGAAAGTAATCCCTGCTGGACACCAGGCAAAGTGAAAGTAAGCCTTTTGAATATCAAGACTTGATAGTCCCATCAGAATGTACTCAAGAGTCAAAACAGGATAGAGACAGGCTACACTGATTACACACACATGACTGAATGTGCCCCTCTTCTGAGTAAATATTTAGCTCTACTTCAATTCCCTTGCTTTCTTGATAGATATTAGGATACACGACCATAAATTGCTCCAACTTCTTGACATTGTCTAATCTAGAATAGCCCCTGCTTCCCTATCTCTGTCTCAGCTAACACAAAGAGAGAAACCCTTGCTTTTTTTAGACAGAGCAAGACTCTGTGTTTGGATCCCTGTAAGCCAGTTTTTTTTTTTTTTTTTTTTTTGAGACGGAGTCTCACTCTGTCGTCCAGGCTGGGGTGCAGTGACGCAATCTCAGCTCACTGAAACCTCCGCCTCCCGGGTTCACGCCATTCTCCTGCCTCAGCCTCCTGAATAGCAGGGACTACAGGCGCCCGCCACCACGCCCAGCTAAATGTAATTGTAATATGTAAAAGTGTTACATAAATGGCAAGGCTTGACTAGATCCGTAAGGTTCCCAAAAATTGCATCAGCAAGTTTAGGAGACTTATTACTTCAATTTTTTATTCATATCGACAACCTTATTTTGAGTACCAACACCAAGCGAACAGAAAAGTGAAAACCGACCTGCGTCACAGACAGATCTGCACTGTATGTTAGTAAGGGTCTGAGATACGTAGTGATGAATTTCATTTTATTGAGGAATAACCTGGAAAGACAAGGATGTGGGAATACCCTCCCAATAAACATAATTTTGACCAGTATATCTCTGGACCTCATCTAAGTCAAAGATCAAACTAGTAGGGAATGACTAATGATTGACAGGGAATTCAGGGATCTGGAAAATAGGTGATTGGGAGATCTGGGGATAGTATGTGAATTGACTATTTAGAACAACATAGAATAAGAAAAAAATAGATTTTATATAAATACTTAACTAGAAGGCATTAACAGCAATGGAGGTTCACAATAATCAGGGGAAAGAATGGTCTTGTCTGTGAGTTAAGTCAGCAGCTTAGACAAATTACCCTAACTTGCATAATGGGCCTACTTACAAAATGCCCATGGCAGCGGAGAAACAGACTATGAATGGCTACGAACATGCTCAAAAATGGTCTTCTTGACGGTGCTGGTCTATTGCTACTGTGAACAGCTGAACTATCAATATTTCACCATTCTCTAAGTATATGAGCTGGTCTTCTGGATGGTTACAGAAAGATATTTTGGATATGAATTGCTTGCAATGTTAAACCAGTGATACCACTTGTAGATTTATTGAGAGGTTGACCTATATGGTTTACATCAACAATCTTCCATGTTCTCTACATTATGGTTAGAACTGGCTCACAGGGGCCGGGCACGGTGGCTCACTCCTGTAATCCTAGCACTTTGGGAGGCCGAAGCAGGCAGATCATGAGGTCGAGAGATTGAGACCATCCTGGCTAACACGGTGAAACCCAGTCTTTACTAAAAATACTAAAAAATTAGCTGGGCTTGGTGGCGGGAGCCTCTAGTCCCAGCTACTCGAGAGGCTGAGGCAGGAGAATGGTGTGAACCCGGGAGGCGGAGGTTTCAGTGAGCCGAGATTGCGCCACTGCACTCCAGCCTGGGCGACAGAGTGAGACTCCATCTCAAAAAAAAAGAACTGGCTTACAGGGATCCAAAGCTGGACATAGGAAGGGGGAGTAAATCATGAGGATTGGGTATTTATTTTATTTTCCCCTGCTGTAGTAATTTCCTCAAGCCAGCTATGCTCACTTTACTAAAGGTCACTGCTCTTCTTAAGGATCTGCTTGTCTCTCTGTCCAGAATAAATCCTCACATCATTTTTTTATGGCGATAACAGCAACGGGGCTGGCAGCATGGGGCTTCTGCATTATAACTTGTTCTTTCCTTGATCCCTGCCACATTTTTGTAATCAAATAAAACATAATGTAAGTGTGTCATCTGTTTCCAATTTTAAACTAAATTTAATAGAATTTTTTTTGTTTTGTTAAAGAAAATAGAAAAGTATAACAGGCACTTAAGGTGGGAGAATACAAAACACAAGCTACTATGTTTGTCAGGCCAAAAATATACCCCTTTACTGGTCAACACATTTAATCCCTGTCTTACCAAACCTATCTGATAATATGAAATTAGAGTTCAGTGAGGGGTTACAATGGAGTAGAAGATGTATATTATGAGACAATTATAACTGGGTCCTTTGCATTTCTGTATGCCTTATGATTGTGTATATTTTTGACTGTCTCTTTGAGGATTTGTATAGCAGACAGCCTGGGAAGATGGAGATATTGTCTGCCTCTGGGGAACAGAGGATGGATTTGTTTTCTGGCTGCAATATTGAAGCCTTTGTCTTACTCTGAGGCAAAGGTTGGATAGATATACTAAGAACACTTTAAAACTTTAAGGTTTCCTAAGCTCTCACTTTTTCAGCTATGACACAAGTCTCTTGTGTGTACAACATCCAACTGGGCTTCTCCACACTGCCCCTGGACTTTGAGGGCAAGGGAAATTTATGGGAGCATGAAGCTCATGATGCCTGCTGTGTCTTGAATCATAAGAGTTTTTCCTCTTTTTTCTTTCTTTTTTTTGTGGTGGGAGGGGCGGGGGGTAAAACCAGTAGTCATCTTTGTTTTCCCCAGCATCCATGAAACTGGAAGGCTATCTTGCTATATAAAATCAGGGTAAAATTTCAGTCCCTTCACTGTTCTTAAGAATGTAGTTTCCAAAAAAAAAAAAAAAAAGGTGATTATGTTATGGATGGTCTTAAATGCTATAATGAAAACCATTTATTTCAGCAGATGGTGGAGCACAATTTATGGTTTTATTTTTGCAAATATATTTTGGAAGTATATAGAAGTGACATGACTAAAGCTGGGCTTTAAAAGTGAAGAGTTAAGATGACTGGATTGAAGTGGGAAGATAAAATGTGTATAATGAAGTACTAATATTTTATTGTGTTATATACTGAAGCAAGGATATTTAAGTCCTTCTGAGAATACAGTCCATGAGCACAGAAATTAGATAGTATTTACCATGCATAGTCATTACTTGTAAGCAAGTAATAAAGGGCTAAAAAAACTCAACATTTAACTTTAAAGTTTTAAAAGTAAATGAAAAAAAGTTACTGGTGTCAATTACAGAACTAGAAAAAAATAAAAATCAGTGTTTTGTGGACAAAATACTATTTTTTTAAATGCATGAAGACATATAACTGAGTAAAATATAGAGAGTAAATTTGAACCCAGGACATAGATTAGAATCTATTCTTCTATCTATGACTGTTGAGAACTATTCTGAGTCAAAAGGAAATTTTTCACTGCCAAAGTAAAATAAAAGTAAGTTTTATTAGAAAGAAAACCAAGATACTATAGTTACCTTGAAAACAAAGGAGAGAAAGTGCATCAGAAAAAGAGGTGCCAAAATTATCAATGGTTGTGCAGAGATTAAGTCACATAGGATTATGACAAACTGTTCCAGACAACTAATCTTGCTCTCCACTGTATCCTCAGAGTCTGACACAGTGCCTGGCTTAAGTTAGTATTAAAAATGTTGATATTGAATAAATAAATATAAACTAGAGTAGTACTATACTCATTATATCATCAAAATATCAATTATAGTATTGCTGTTTGTGGATATTTCATGGTAAAACTGACATTTTGTTTATTTCTCCTTGAGGTAAATATCATTTGTTTCTTTGGGAATATTTTTCTCGTTAGGTGTTTTCTTTGGGGACCCTTCCTGAAAATAATTACTCTACTTTAATATGCAAGTTTCATTGCTTTATTTCACTCAATGTTTATTCTCCTATGGTATTTGTGATGCAGAGCTTAGAATAAATTCTCGGGGAATAGGAAATAACTTTAAATGCTGCTTGGTTAACAGAGAGTGTTTCACTTGCCATTTCATAAATTCAGAGTCAGCAGAGTTTCCTTTGCCTGTCTCCTTTGACTCATCAATGTAGAATGAAATCTAATCAATCTGCAATCATGCTAATCAATGTACTGTGCTACTTTCATTGCAGGAAAAAATAATATTGTTATAAACTCAGTTACATATTAGAATAATGCAAAAATTGAAAGTGCTATTCTGTGTGATATGTAAATGAAGCATTTTATAACCTGAGGCTTTACCATCAAAATTCCATTTAGATCCATCAATTTTCATAAACAAATTAAAAGAACTTGTAACTCAAGAATGAGAAACAATGAATTTAAAGTTACAACTTATTAGTTTTGTGAAATGTCACAAAATAGATTACTTGTAACAGCAATATATAAAAATACGCCAGCATAGTGAAATCAAAAACCTACGTTCCTTCTGTACCACACTGAGATAAATATTATAGAAGACTGTTGTTGTCTAATTGACTGAACTTTTTAATAACTAAACCAATGACTTTCCTCCTTCTGAATTGGGGAAACAATGCAACTTGTACTCTTAGATCTCACAAGTTTCACTTCATTGATTATTCCTATTCTCTGACATAGATTATCATCATTATTTGTCCCATTTTTAGGGTTAATAATTTGTATCTTGTTATTACAAACTGAAGTACATTCTTTACCTTTTCCATGTATTATCTTGGTAACAAAGGAAATAAAAAAGTAAGGACAATTAATCTCAGTTCTATTTACATTTTCCATGTATTATCTTGGTAACAAATGAAATAAAAGATTAAGGGCAACTGATCTTTCTCACTCAAGTACCTCCCACAATAAAGACCTATTATTCGTATCAGAATGAGTTTCGCTCTATGTGTACATTGTGTCAGAGTTCCCCCCAAAAAACAGAACAAATAGAATATATAGAGAGAGAAATATGAGAGGAAATTGATCATAGGGATTGGCTGTATTATTTTGGAGGCTCAGGGTGTCTCACAATATACCATCTGCAAGCCAGAGAAACAGGGAAGCTTACAGGTTGGAACAGTGCAAGTCTGAAGGCCTCAGAAGCAGGACAGCCAGTGGTATAACCCTCTGTCTAAGGCCAAAGGCTGATGACCTGGAGTTCTAATGTTCAATTCAAGGGCAGGAAAAAATGGGAGAGGGAGGAATTTGCCTTCTGCTTTTTTGTTCTACCCAAACCCTCAGCTGATTGGATAGTGCCTGCCAACACTGGATGAGGGCATATCTTTCTACTCACTTCTCTGATTCAAATGCCAATCTCCTCCATAAACTCCTCACAGAGATGCACTGAAATTATGCAATAATACAGCTTTTTGGGTATTCCTAATTCAGTAAAGTTCACACTTAATTTAAGCATCACATACATGTACACACACATCTCTCTCTTTCACTCTCTCTCTCTGTGTATATATATATATATATATATATATATATATATAAAATATATACACACATATATATACACACATATATGTGTGTATTTATGTGTGTACATATACACACACAAATACATATACATGTATGTGTATGTATGCATAGATAGATATACGATTTCTACATTGCCTTGCCTTATCTAAATAGTAATTTTTCTCTTTCATATTGAATCACTGTCCCAGAAAACCAGTTATTCCTATATCCATGTATTAGTCCATTTTCAAGCTGCTAATAAAGTCATACCTGAGACTGGGAAGAAAAAGAGGTTTAATTGGACTTACAGTTTCACATGGCTGGGGAGGCCTCAGAATCATGACAGGAGGTGAAAGGCACTGCTTACATGGCAGCGACAAGAGAAAATGAGGAAGAAGCCAAAGCGGAAGCCCCCGATGATAAACCCATCAGATCTTGTGAGACCTATTCACTATCAAGAGAATAGCACGGGAAAGACCAGCCGCCTTGATTCAATTACCTCCCCCTTGGGTCCCTCCCACAACACGTGGGAATTCTGGGAGATACAATTCAAGTTGGATTTGAGTGGGGACACAGCCAAACCATGCCATTCCACTATTGTCTTCAAATATCCTTTAAAAAAAAAAAAAAAAAGCTTATGTTTCCAATTCACAGTTTCTACTAGGCATTCCCAATTGTGTGCACAGTTTTGTGTCAAGACTTAAGGAATGCTCTGGGGTTGCAGTGTGTGCAGATTAAATCATGGAAGTTTTATATGTCAATGAACATCCACTCCCTACTCTTTTCCAGAGCAGTGGAAGTGAGGAAGCAGCTCCATAGAAGTAAGTTCAATGTATAGCTCCATTAGACACACAAAAAATAATGACAGACTCAAAATGGGTATTTGGTATCATTGTTTAGTTATTTCTCCCACTTCGATTTTATTTCATCAGAAAATTTACTAGAAAGTATTATAGTTCATAGCTCTAGGTTAATAAACACATTTTGGTGAAGGGTAAAATATTTATATATTTTTTCAAATATTACACAATAAAAGTGGGAAATCAACATTTTATTCATGACCATTGTGTCATATCAAAATATTCATATTAATAATGCAATATTATATTTGTGATTACAGTTAGTGGTAGTTTAGTACAAGAAGAGGAGATGATAGATAGGATAGGTAACTTTTTTTTTCACCTATTTCTAGCTGCCCAAATTGGCTACAAATGCATACAAAGACACTGTCAATGGATATAGAGACAAGCAATAATTGGGGCTAATGAATACTTGATGAACAGTGCTAACCCATACTGATGAAGACAACTATGAGCTATAAATTTCCTTGCAAAAAGGTTGACAGAGATAGTGTCTTCAAAAAAGTAACATTTAATACAAACCTATAATGATGTAATAATGCATAGGAGTCAGCTTGGGAAAAAGTGTGCCATGGAAAGAGCACAGATGTGTGAATGTTCTAAAGGAAGGATTAATTTGCAGAATTCCCCAAACAAAGAGGAGGTTAATATTGTAATGGATAGAGCAAGTTATTCATGCAATACAGAGCCTGAGAGGAAGCTAGAGACCAACTAGTTCATGCAGAGCACTGCAGGTAATTTTAGTCCCATGAAACTTTATTCTAAGGCAAATGGAAAATCTTCCCCAGTCATTTTAATTGACAAACTGAGTATATGTTTTAAGGAAATCTATGTGCCTGATTTTTAGAAAATGCATTGCAGCAGCAAGAGTCACACAGGAAAACTAGGTCAGATGCACACACACATGGTCCAGTTAATGGGTGACGGCAAATTGAATCAAGGTGTTGTTAGCAGAAATAAAATCAGAGGCAATTAGGCAAGAATTAAAATGGTATGGGCAGATCTGGGTGATGACATTGATATGGTTCCAAGAGAGAGATTTAAAAAGATCAAATGTCTTTGAAATTCACAACTGGAAATACTAAAGCATATACTTGTAACTTTGATTCAGTTTTGTTTATTTTATATATTTTCTCTATCCCCGAACGGCCTTGTCTACCATTCTCAATACAGAATGTCACATTCCTCTGACCTTTTACCCTTACGTTCTGTGATGGTTAATTTTATGTGTCAACTCATCTGGCAGTGGCCTCAATATTCCAATGGGCCTATATCAGGTGTCCAGATGTTTGGTTTAACATTATTCTGGGTAAGTCTGTGAGGGTGTTTCTGGAAGAGATTCACATCTGACTTAGTAGACTAAGTAAAGCAGACTGCTCATCAGGATGTGATGGCAGTCCTGAAGGCCAGAAGTCCTGAAGGCCGAGTAAGAGAATTTGCTCCCTCTGCCTGACTGGGTGAAAAATCACCCAATTGCTTATGACTAATTTTCTAATGGGAGTGATTAACGGATTATGTAAAGCTTAACTGCTTATTTTTAAGTAAAACCTGAGACATTACTCTTCTCTGGCCTTCTAGATTCAGACTTGGACTGGAATGACATCATCAGCTCTCCTGAGTCTCCATCTTGCCAGCTAGAGATCTTGGGACATCTCAGCCTGTATAACTGTGCTAGACAAGTATTTATTATCTATGTCTATCTGTCTATAATCTACCTATTATTTTACACTTGACCTCAGCCGAAAGGCAGAGAAGCGATCTATTATTTTATATCATTATTATTGATACCTTATTGGTTCTGCTCCTCTGGAGAAGCTAGAATAAAATATTTACTAGGTAACATCCTTTTTTTTTTGTTTTAAAATTTGCTCCTTGGTGATCACTAAGACTTTTATTAGTAAGGGGCTTAGTAGAACTCTAGAACTAGAACTCTTAGGTATGTTCTTATGGAGAACAAGATCTTTACTTATCCAGGTAAATTACTTATTTCAATTAGTATGCAACAAATGATCAAGGAACTCCAGCTGAGGTAACCATTTTAGCCCATGAATTATTGCTTTCTTAAATAATCTTTTTATTGGAGTAAAACATACCTAAAGCAATGTGCACAAATTATAATGTATCATTTAATAAGTTATCAGAAACATAACTCATCTAACTGCAGCCCAGGTTAGGACATGGAGTATTTTCATCACTCCACTATCCATTTGTTCTTAACCAATCACTACTCTTCCCTAACAATATCAATTATCCTGACTTCTAAGTCTATATAATTTTTGCCTGTTTCTAAGCTATACATGAATCAAAGTATATTGCATATTATTTTGATACTACTTTATTTTGTCCAATAGCATATTTGTGAAATGCATCTACTTTTTTTTTTCACACTGATAGTAGTCCTAGTATTTTAAAATATGTTTATTGGGATATAAGAAATTTTGGCATAAGTATACACCCCTCAAAACCATAACCACAGTCAAAATAATAATGAAGATGTACATCATCCTCCCAAATTCCTTTCTGTCCTTTATTCTTCCTTCTCATTTCTCACAATTCCTGACCCACATTTTCAGGGAACTAATGATCACCTTTATGTTACTCTTTATATTGTAACTATTAATCACTACGTGTTTCATTTTATAACTTTATCATAGTTTATAAAGATTCTCCCATATATGTAATTCTGGACACAACCTTGTCACATGGGCGTGATTAAGAATAATGGGAGTTAAAACTGAGGTTTAGAGGGGTTAAGCTGTTTACTTAGAGTAGATCTCATATTAAATGGCAGTTAGCCTTTAAGTATTAAACTTCACCCTAATTTGGATGCTATGATTCCAAATTCTTAGCTTTTACTACATAATACAATTTTCATACTGAACAGTAAATTTTCTCTAGTCAAACTTCTCGAATTTCTTCATCATAGCAAAGCACTTATTTCTGCTATTACCAATATTTGCATACTTTAAAAGTTTAGCATTCTTAAAACAAAATTGTCCCACTGCCAATGGTCTTCACATGTTCTAATGAATGTAACTGACATTTAGGAAGGCATAATTAGTCAAAACCATAGCTTACCACTTACTATGTTATTGAGAAAAATCACCCAGTCATTTATGGCGCTAATTTTCTAACAGCAATGACTTATGGATGATGTAAAACTTGACTATTTTTAAATAATAGAAAATGAAGGGAAAAATAGAAAGGGTAAGACATTATACACTTATTCATATGCTAACTATAATGAACTTAGCTTTGACATATTATCTCTGCCATTTAAATGATGATTGTCTATAAATACTTGTTATGAACTTGAACCTATAGCAGAGTGTGACATCTTTCAATAAAATATTCAGTGTGATGCTTTGAGGTCTTCAGAGGAACATGAAATAGTTCCCAAATTGCACATTACATGTAGTTTTCCATTACACACTGCACAAAATGTCCTTGACATTCAAGAGTGTACTATCATATTTTAGTCTAACTCACTCCGGGGTGTATTTGAAAATACCCTCCATTTGCCTTTAATAATAATGACTTGTCATATGGAATCCAGCTCTCAGATAATATAACATAATATGTACTTGGTGGTTTTATTAACTGTCAAATGAAACCCAATAGTCGTCAGAAACATTTTCCCCTTCTGTCATGCAATTGTTCTCAGCATGTTTCATTTCTGACCATTAATGTAAAAGGTTAATAAACTCAACTACTTGATGTTATTAATATTCAATATGCATGGCAAGTGAATCATTTTTCAAGCTTTTGATTTTTAAAGATGCTGGGCCATTAATGTTACTATTTTGTGGGCTTGTAAAATTACACCATGCAGCATGCATGCCATAATTTGAATACTAAAAGGTTTGTGAAGAATTCTTTGCTACATTACACTTTACTCACCTTTATTGAAATTCGGACTCTTTGGAATGTAAAATGTCTCTCTCTCTCTTCTTAATATTTTATTTTCACTTGTTCTTATTCCTTATTAATAAATAGCAATATTTAATCAAATTTTTAAAATTTCTGGCTTTACTGGATCTCTGATTAATATAAAATCAGATCCAGATTTTATCTAAGAATAATTTAATGGTCAATGTCCATTGTTATATAGATTATTGGTTAAATATGTTTAACTGAGTCTTCTAGTTGTAAAATATGTTACAAATGTAAAAGGAATTTGAACCAAGTTTCAGGCATAATTCACAGATTGTTACTCAGAATCATTAAAGGGGTGTAGGGTTATGAAAATAATGAATTACGAATAGGAGTTTGAAGACTTGAGCTTTGTCTTCAATGTGTACTTTTAATTCAGTTTTCTTTTTCTTAGTTTGCCTGTCTCTCAGTTACCTTTTTCCCTTGAAATTGAAATCAATTTCCTACAGTGCATTTTATTTTCAAATAAATAGCTAACAATAAAAAGCAATAACAAAAGATACATTAACTAAATCAATCTTATTGAAACAATCAGAACTGAACAAAACATTGAAAGTTGTTAAAGTAGTCATTGAAATTTATGTTGGCATATTGAAACTGTTATTACGTAAGAAAAATGTCTTTGACACAATTGACAGAAGAAAGGAAGAAAAACATTTAAAAGTGTAGCATTCTCCTTTTTTCTAGGTATCTATAATCAACCACCAAAGGAAACTAAATATAAGTGTTAAGCATTTAGAGGATAACAATAATTAGATATTCTTGTTCCTAAAATAATCTCAAAATAAAGTAATCCTAGGAGTAAGTAGTATCATTGAGAGGTTACTTTTCAAGTACATAAAAACATAACCATGTATGTACACCTACATATACTCACATGTACACAGTAGAAATATACACAGGGCCAGATGTGGTGGCTCACACCTATAATCCCCACACTTTGGGAGGCCAAGGCAGGCACATCACTTGAGGCCAGGAGTTCAAGACCAGCCTGGTTAACCATGGAGAAACACTGTCTTTACTACAAATACAAAAATTAGCCAGGTGTGGTGGCACAAACCTGTAATCCCAGCTACTTGGTAGGCTGAGGCATAAGAATCGCCTGAACTCGGAAGGCTGAGGTTGCAGTGAGCCAAGACTGCACCATTACACTCTAGCTTGGTGACAGAGTGAGGCTCTATGTCCAAAAAAATAAAAATAAAAATGAATAAATAAAATTAAAAAGAAAGAAATATACACAGAAAGTGCTTATTTTTCTGTAACTTACAAGTATAGAGAATTTTAAGCATATTGTGAATATACTATTAAAATAAACTGACCAATATTATCAATAGGACATTGGCCTAGCTCCAGAGTGCTGAGCTGCTGCCTTAGAAGAATTTGACTCTGATTTTCATGTTGTATCTGAAAGTAAAGATCAAAGATATTACCAGAGTCTTTTCCTCAGGAGGATGGGATAAAATTAATGGTGGGGCATAATTTTTGGTGCTAAAAATACTTGTGTAGGTAATTTGAGGTTGCCTTGATCTGAGGCTTTCAATAAACACTTTAGTGAGCAAGAGATCTGCTGGAATCTTTTAAAATATAGTTGCAGCTTTACAGAGAGGTACTTGATAAAGAGAAATATATATAAAGATTTTTGAGAAATTGAAGACATCTCAAATAGCCCTTGATATGGAGAATAATCTTTTATTTCTGTCCAAAGAAAGAAATTCTCTAGCTCTAGTAATTTACAAAGTAGAATTTAAGGAGAATTTTGCACTTTGAAATACCAACATTTGAATGGATTTGTATTATAACAAATAGAAGGGAAAAAGCAAATCAGACTTACATTTTTATAAAGATTTTGTACTCTGAGAACGAGATGGCAGAAAATGAGAATAATTTAAAATGTTTAATTAAGCTTTGTTATAAAAAAGGGAACAAGTTGATTTGGATTTCTTGGGTCTACATGGGACAAAGATTAAGAGATACCACCAAGACTAAGTTGGCGATAAATGAAAATCTGGACCTAAACCAGTACAAAGTCATTTTATAGCCACCTGACTATAAAGTTCCTTGATACAATAGACAGCAGAATATGACTAGAAGCAAATGCAAATAGTTAAAATTCCAGGATGAAATGATCAGGAAGCATGCATAACCCAAAGCCTCAGCTCTTCATGTAATTAAGGCTACAAAATATTTTCTCTGGCTTCCAAAATAGGTAGACAATTTTTCTAACTCGCATAAAATATTATCCATCATTCAAGACTCCTATGAAAACATGTATTAATTATTGATTTGGACTCCATAAGGCTTAATTACACAAGGGGAAACCTGCTTATAAAATAATATTTAACAAATTGTTCTTAAGAATCTACACATTACCTGTGTAATTTAAAATTAGTGAGCAATTTCTTTCAGCTTTGGTGTTTAACTTGCTTAGAGTTGATCATGTTAACACTGAATTCAAGTAAAGACAGTTCTAACATTGCAAAGATTGTAGGTAATTTAAATATCTACATAGAACATTTTAACTTTGCCTTGTTTCAACCCTGCATAAAAATTTAAACTCCAAGTGTATGTCAACATTTTTTTTCCTTCAGCTATGCAAAGTGTTACAAGACTAAGCAAAGAATCTTTAAAAAGGTGATGCTAGGTAGCATTTGTACAACAAATAGGCATTTCAGTGACTGTCAATAAAGTAATGGAAAAATGCCTCTATCCTCAGCTATGTGTAACCCCCTTAGAAATAGTGTAACATATTTGATAAAATAAAATTTATAAAAAATTTAAATAATTCTAAACCAGAGAGTGAATGATAACCAATTCATAAACTTAAACTTTGTCAGAGATTTTGACTGCAGTTGGGCTTTGAACTGATAAAGACTGTCAGTTCATGGAAAACATACCATTCCTTTATATCTTTCTGTCTGCCTCAGCTACTAAATAAATGCTGGATTTAAAATAAGTATTTCAGGCCTGGCACGGTGACTCATGCCTGTAATCCCAGCACTTTGGGAGCCCATGGTGGGCCTGAGGTCAGGAGTTTGAGACCAGCCTGGCCAATATGGTGAAATCCCATCTCTACTAAAAATAAAAAAATAAGCCAAGCATGGTGGCATGCACCTATAATCCCAGCTACTTGGGTGGTTGAGGCAGGAGAATTGCTTGAACCGGGGAGGCAGAGGTTGTAGTAAGCAGAGATCGCACCACTGCACTCAACCTTGGCAACAGAGCGAGATTCCGTCTCAAAATAATAATAATAATAATAATAATAATAACTATTTCATATTGATAAATATATTATTTATAGCATAGATGCTTTGGTAAATAGGCTAATAAAAGGAGACTGAAGTGCAAATATATTTGTGCTGCATTTGTGTACACACTAACATGTGAGGGAGCAGGGGCTCAAGCAGAGATATTTTAGAATTCTGTTTCTAAAATTATAATATTCATATTATACTCTACTCATCAATATATTTGTAATAACAATATTTCTAATAATAAATAATTATTTACAGATCTCAAAAAAGGTCCTATTCTTTTTTACAAAATATGAGACACAAATATTGAAATTAAGGCTACTCTTTGTCTATCACGCCTGATTTCTCTTTCAGGTTGACTGTCTGGAGAGCAGATCATTGCTTTATGGTAATGGTGTGAGATCACCCTTATAAGAGAAGTCAAATTGGAGAAATGTGGGAAGAGGTATTGAAAAGTTGTAACTTTTATAGGTTGAGTGAGATCTGGAAATTGGTGCAACCACTAAAAATATATTAATTTAAATGGTTAGTCTGTTTTAGGATTTTTGATTCAGGCTTTCTGTTACAGAGGTATTCCTGCTGTAGATACTGACATGAGTCAGAATGGTGACATTTACAGAGGCAGTTTTCTACTGGAGCTGTCGTTTTCAGCTCAAATTTTTCCTAAATTGGTTTTCGACTGTTTCAGCTGGAATGACTAGAGGCTCTGTCTCCATGGGGGGCAGGTGCATGCACCTGCCTGGATTTCTCCTGTGGCTGATTCACATTTGGGCACTAGTGAAAATATTGCCAAAGTTGTATGCAGACAAGCTGTTGCTGTAATCAGATATAAGAGATGCAAGAATCTGACAAGTAAGCCCTAGCACACAAACCATTCTTTTGCTGGACTCTAGAAAAGAATCAGATAATTATGATGATGATTCAGCATCCCACGCTTAGGTATTTAGAATTAAATTTTAATTTCTTTCTCTTGTTCTTTGGTGAAGGTTTTTAATTTCCAAGCAATTATTTGTTAATTCATAGAAAGCTTTTATTGTATTAGAGCCCGAAAATAAATAAAACCAAAACATCACATATTGCCTCTGCCGTTAAACACTTACAGATTAGTGAAAAAGAAAACAGAAGTAAACAAAGAATTGCAATACACTGACGTAAGTCCAATAACAAATATTTCCCTAAGCAGAACAATATGAGAGACCAATAAATCAAAGTCTACCCCCAAAATGTGAGTATCTGTCTAAGGCAGGTGATGGACCCATTCTGTGGATAACAGTTCTGCTACCAAAATGTAAACTTGACTTCATTTAATCAAATGATTCTATAAAGTATTGAAAATAATAAAGGCATCTCTATAGCTAGATTTTTAAATTTCTTAGAAAAATAATAAATTATATATTTCTATACCTGAGTCACGGAGTTAGTATTTTGCATTGTATAATGCTCTGTCAAGGAAGCACTGGGTGATACTTTATCACAGAATTGTCACTGACTTATTATTTACAGTTTATTAATGGCAAGTGTTTGTGTTCTGTGTTATTGTAACATCATTATTTCACAAAACACAGAAATTAATAAAATATTCATAGATATAAATTAGCCATGAATATTAAAAGACTTTAATTCATACAGACATTCAATCAACTAATTATCCATAAAAAAGATATTTACTACTTGAATTGCCATCTACCAAGAGTAATTTTGGCAGATATTGTAAATATTTTCTGCCAAAAGCAACATTCATCTTTTGTTTAGCAAAAAGACAAACAAAACGCATATGAGAGATAAAAGTATGCTTTAATCAAGACATGGAAGCTGCTTCTTATCCCATGCTGTTATGTGGGTGATTACATTGGCTAATACTTTCATGATTTGTTTTATTTTTATGAATATACACATAATATGAATTTGAATAGATTTTATATTACAAAATATGTGGAAAACTTCATTCCAAATTCCATCTTGGGAGCATATGTCAAAAATTTTTCCTCATGATAGCCTGATCTTTTATTAATAGGGTCTTCATTACTATTGTACCTAACTTTTTTTCTATATCATTTTGCCATTATCTCTTCTCTCCTCTTCCCCCTACTATCTATGTATTATAAATTTGTCATGTTTTTGTATCTCTTTTTTTGAGTTGTCATTTGTTGGGGTCTAATGATAATGTAAACAGTTTTGGCTATGATTTTCATATTTTCTCTTACACTTATTCTCCCACCAAACATCTTATTTGTTTTGTCTTAATGATACTTTCTTTTTACTTTTATAGCATAATGAAAAAACTCTAAAATGAGGAAGTATTGTGATTTATATTTTATCTTCAGATTTAGCATATAGATATGGCTAATTATAACTGGACAATAGGACAGTTTGAATGTTTGTGTGTGCATGTGTGTGTGTATGTGTGCATGTATGTGTGTGTGTGTGAGACAGGGTCTCACTATCTTGCCCAGGTTGGAGTGCAGTAGTATGATCATAGCTCACTGCAACCTCTGCCTCCTGGGTTCAAGTGACTCTCCTGCCTCAGCCTCCTGAGTTGCTGGAACTACAGGCGCATGCCCCGCTGATTTGTATTTTTAGTAGAGACAGGGTTTCAATATGTTGGCCAGGCTGGTCTTGAACTCCTGACCTCAAGTGATCTGCCCTCCTCTGCCTTCCAAAGTGCTGGGATTATAGGTGTGAGCCACCGCACCTGGCCAAATGTATTTTTTACATATGCTCCGGTGCTATTATTCACAGTATTTTTTCTTTTTCTCCTCCTTCTTCTTCTTTTTTTTTTTTTTTTTTTTTTTTTTTAGAGATGGGTTCTCACTCTGTCACCCAAGCTGGAGTGCAGTAGCTCCTAGATTCAAGCCTCCAAGCCTTCCTCCCACCTCTGCCTTCTTAGTAGCTGGGACTACAGGTGCACATCTCCATGCTGGCTAGTTTTTAATTTTTTTGTAGAGGAAGTGTCTCACATTGTTGTCCAGGCTGATCTTGAACTCCTGGCTTCAAGTGATCCTCCTGCCTTGGTCTCCCAAAGTGCTGGGATTACAGACATGAGCCAAAGTGCCCAGCCTAATTTTTTAAAAAATTGCATTTCTTGCAATGACATTTTCCTAGTTCTTAGTAACTACCAATTGATGATTTACTATTTTCCTGGCATTGTGATAACCACTCTGAATGCATTATGTTAGAGCTTCTTCACAATAAATCCATGGGGTGAATTTCTTTATGAATCCACTTTCAGATGATAAATATTAGCTTATTACAAAATAAGATTAAAATTTAAAGATAATAATTATTTCAAGATCAGACTGGATATAAACGTAGCAGAGATTGTATTCTCACTAGGTTGCCTGCTCAAGATCTTAGCAAAACATGACCTGTGTATACACCTTGTCTTCTCACATTAATTTTGGGAGTTATTCTGAATTTCATTTGTTTTAGTTTTGATAATGCAACTGTATTATAATAACTACGTGATTATAATAAACATACATATAAATCACAGTTTACCTATAACTTATATTTCAGGACTTTAATAGTTTTCCAATGAAAGTAGATACACCTCTAATAAAGTTTTCACTGATGTATTCATAATGAGAGCTGCAGAACTCCCAGCTCATAACCCCATCCAAACCCCTCCCCTAAGAGACTTGATCAACCGCTAACATGGCTTCTAGCAGCATAGGGCCATGTCCCTAGGATGATCCCAGGACCGCATTAAAATGCCTGCCTGAAGAAGAACAAGGCTGACAGAATTGACTGTTCCAGCCACACCTGAGACAGGGCCAACTGCCCTTTCTCAGTGCATTTACAAAAAGGGCCTACAATTGTGAATATGTGTCTCTTACAACTCAGATGTGTCTCTCAAGGACCTGAGAGCCATTTCTTTGAAATGTAATCCTTAGAGAGGATAGATCCTGTCTCCTGGTGTCTGTGGAAGATAGAATTCTAACTTAGATAGCTGCCAGCTAACACACTCAGCTGGCATGATCACACTGACACTAACCAACACTTCATATTTTTTCACTTCTCTCACTCTACTGAGCCCCTCACTCCCTCCTTCCTCATTCCCCTTTTAAAATACCCAATTTTCCTTTGTACAAATTGAAGTGGATCTCAGCTCTTTATTCTACTGTCAGTAATATTTGAATAAAATCTGTTTTTACCACTCTAAGATCTGGCTGTTTTATCTTTGACAGTACAAATCTATATTTGTCTTCATTCAGTCAAGTAGTTAACTGAGGCACTATTTGCATTATTCCAGCTAAAGGAGAGGTAAACCAAGTGCATATTCAGGATGATAAAAGTTTATTTTGGGGCCCAGCGCGGTGGCTCACACCCATAATCCCAGCACTTTGGGAGGAAGAGATGGGCGGATCAGGTATTCAGCCTGGTCAACATGGCGTAACCCTGTCTCTACTAAAAATACAAAATAATTAGCCAGGCATGGTGGTGCGTGCCTGCAATCCCAGCTACTCAGGAGCCTCAGTGGGAGAATTACTTGAACCCAGGCAGTGGAGGTTGAAGTAAGCCGAGATGGCATCACTGCACTCCAGCCTGGGTGACACAGAAAGACTCTGTCAACAACAACAACAAAAAAACTCTAAGAACAAACTCAGCTACACCTACAAACACACACATATACACACACACAAATCTACAACAACCCTACAGTAAATAAATTTTCTGTGGTGTAGCACTGAGCTTTGATATGGTAATTAAAGAAATGTTTTCCTAAGTCATTAAAACATGTCAAAAGGTCAGAATTGTTTCAGTGGTTACAATCTTAAGATTTCATTTTAGGAAAAAAATTGCATGTAATTTAGATTTTACAATATATTTGAATGCTTCCTTTGATGTTAATCTGAATTAGTTATAATTCATTGTGTATATTTAGCTACATAGGTGGAAAGTATTTTTTGGTATACTTCACAGCTACATTTTATGGAAGGCATTACCTTTCATTTGTGATATTAAAATATAATGGTTTCATTTCATAATGAATGTATGTAACAAAGGATTTTCTAATTGATATAAAGACTATAATTTCAAGTTTCATAAAGACATCTTATTTGTGTAAAACTTTAATGGAGAGGAATCATGAATGTGTTTTTATGCCCATTTACTTATAAAATATGGGAAAAATGGAAAAGATTAGATTCACTGAAAAGATTTTAAAGATAAAACTTTCATAATTCCGATAATTGTGTGTTCTTTGGAACACTGGGAATATATTTAGATGGTTTCTCTTAAAAGTAAGGCAACTGTCACACATTATAATTACTTATACAACTTTCTTAGCATCTCAAAAAATTAGTGAGATCTGCATTATTATGTTCAAACATTGCATAGATATAGAAGTATAAATGTCTATTACATTCCAGTAAAACTTCCAAACCACAGGTATTTTTAAGAAACTTAAAAATTATTTTTAAGCATTTTAGGACCTTAAAATACTCTTTAAAACAAAGGCTTTACCAACCAATTCTGAATATACTCAGTTTTTGTCTTATTGTTGTTTTTTTTCTCTCGTAGCCCTTAAAATAAATGAATTAGTTTATATTTCATCCAGTTAAATTTTAAATATCAAAAAGCTTATTTTATCTATTAAGAATCCAGTATTTTCTAAAAGTCTGATGACTTCTATTGATTTGTTATAAATTTGTGTATATTTTACACTTCATACTAATGAAAAATATATCTCTGTTTTCCATTTTGATTCTTATAAAACCTATTAATGGAAGAAAAATGATGACTCTCAATTGTCAATGGCTGAGGAAAAAATATGGTTGTCTGGTCACATATTCTTTGGTGATGCAATTTGGCTTTGCTAGAGAATAAAGCTCCATCTAAAAACAAAGACATTTGATTTCCATTTTATTTATAATAGCTGATTTTTAAATATTTTTAAAATTGTTAATGTTTTGGGTACATAGTACATGTATATGTTTATGGGGTACCTACAATAATTGATGTAGGTATACGATGTGTAATAATTACATCAGGGTAAATGGAGTATTCATCACCTCAACCTTTTTTTTTTATTTTTTGGAAAAATACTGTTTGTACCTTCCACGGTGATGATATCTTTTCTGACCATGTATTTTATAAAATTTCCAACCATTTTCTTGAAATTAGAAAGATTCCCAGACAAATAGCAGATTATTATTAGAAATATTATGCTTTTGTTTCCATTCTGTAGTTTCTGTTCTGAAGCTGAAACTTTGAGCAAATCACTACCTCCCTTTGTCTTAATATCTTTACTTATAAATGATTTCACTGATCCAGATGAACTCACAGGTCTCTGACAGTTTGAGCATTCTTTAAAAACAAAGATTTATGTTTCTTTTCTCATAAAATTGATAAGCTACTTTAGTTGTATCCATGGAGACCAAAGGTTCCTACCTGGTTTCAGAAAGTTTCAATGCCTTCTCACTTGCTATTTTTTAAATTTTTAAAAGCTTGATAAAAATCATAAAGATTAAAAAATAACAACGAAAGGTGATGGATAGGTTAATTTGCTTAATTGTAGTGATCTTTTTTATGTATATGTATATAAAAATAGCATGTTTTATAATGTAAAGACATACAATAAAAGTCATCAAGACATTTACAATATATATCAGGGGAAAGAAATTATATTACTGTGCAAGGCAATTATGTATATACCAAAGCTGATTATAATGTTTCAAAACTTAAGGGAGACATGATTCCCAGCCACATCTTGCCCAATTATTCCTCTAGATCTCTAAGTATCTGCCATATTGGGCTTTTTTGTTGTTGTTGTTGTTGTTGTTATTTTTATTTATTTATTTATGTATTTAAGACAGAGAGTCTCGCTCTTTCACCCAGACTGGAATGCAGTGGTGCCATCTCAGCTCACTGCAACCTCCACTTTCCGGGTTCAAGTGATTCTTCTGCCTCAGCCTCCCAAGTAGCTGGAATTACAGGCACCTGCCAACATGCTCAGCTAATTTTTGTATTTTTAGTAGATACAGGGTTTTGCCATGTTGTCCAGGCTGGTCTCAAACTCCTGACCTCAGGTGATCAGCCCTCCTCAGCCTCCCAAAGTGCTGGGATGACAGGCATGAGCCACCATGCATGACCGATACTGGGCTTCCGTTAGTATCCAGTTCTTTGTTCCACACCCTCGTGCAAATTCTGTAGCCTTATCTTAGAAAAATTATTTTTGCTTTCATCCACTGGCTAGCTTCTATAAAGTCTTTAGGCCCTAGCTTGAATACCACTTGCTCAGGGCTGTTTATTCTGAACAACCCAACATTGTCCTGACCCTCCATACAGAAGACACCTTGTAATTATTCCAGTGTTTCTTTTGAAAAAGGCATTACAGCCAAAGAAAAATTGAGTATCTACTCATGGTATTTCCATTTTGTTACACAAATATTTTTATAATATAGTCACAGTTCTGCAACTTGGTTCTTGCATTCACAAGCCTACAGATTGTTTCATGTCAAATTATAGTGCAGAGTTTAAACAGAACACAGAAAGTTTTTCATTTTAATGTTATGATTGCATAAAAGTCATGAGTTAATTTGTGATATTTATTATGTTGACATATCATGCTTCATTTATCACGTCATGATATACAGACATTTGAAGTTTTTCTAGTCTCTTTTATACCAAAAAAAAAAAAAAAGAAAAAAAAACCCACTTTGTACGCACATTACTTTGTACACATGCAGGTATATATTGGTACAATATCCTAGAAGTAGATTATCAGTAAAGAGGTAATACATTTGAAATTTTTATTAACAATGTGAAATTGTCTTCAATAGTTTGTGTGCCACGTTTTTTTCTTTGCTTTCCTATATTTTCACAATAATATATGTTATGCTCAGTTTGGGAATCATTGCTAATACAAGAAGCATATTTAGGAAATTATTTTCCTTCCTAGATTCCTCAGAATGTGTATTATAAATGAATGTTTAATTTTGTCAAGTGCTTTTTCTGAATTTTGAAATAATGATATATAATTTTTCTTTATTTTTGTGTTAACATGATAAATTACCTCGACAAATTTTTGAATGTTACACTAACCTTGCAATCTTGGATGTATTCATTTGCAAGAGCTGCTGTCATAACATACCACAGGCTGGATGGCTTACACAACAGAAAACATACTGTTTTCCGTCCTGGAGGCCAGAAGTCTCAGACCCAGGTGTCAACAGGATTAGCTCATTCTAGGGCTTTGAGGAAGAATCTGTTCCATGCCTTTCCTAGCTTCTGGTGATTAGTCAGCTGTCTTTGGAATTTCCTGACTAGGTAAGACATATTATCCCGATACTTGCCTTCATTTTCATATGACATTTTCCCTAAGTGTGTGTTTCTGTGTCCAAATTGCCTCCTCCCATAAGGACACAAGACATATTGGATCAAGGCTGATCCTAACAACTTTGTGTTAACTTGATTACATATGTAAAGATTGTTTCCAAATAAGGTCACATTCTGAATGAAGTACTGGGGATTAGAATTTCAATTTATCTGTTGGTGGTAGTACAATTTAACTCATAATACTGAAATATGCTTGGTTATAATATATTTTATATAGTCCTCGATTTTATTATGTAGAATTTTGTCACTACTTTTTACTCCTGTGTTAACAGGGCATATTTATCTGTAATATTCTTATTTTCTGGCTTTGCTGTTAGGATATTGCTGGCCTTATTAAATTAGGTGTGATGTCTTCCCTTCTCTTTCTTTATCTAATTTTTTTCTATTGATTCAAATAGTTTGAAAATAGTAGGTGTTATTTCTTCATAATTCTCAGAAATTCACCAGAAAGCACATTGAGACTGGAATTTTCTTTCTGAGGAGACATTTGTCTATTAATTTAGATGTCTTAATAAATATAGGGCTATTCTAATTGAGTGTACTTTATCAATTTGTATCTTTTGAAAATTTTATCAATTCCATCTATCTTTATAAAATCATTGACTAAAAGTTATATATCATGGTTTTTTTTTTAATATTACAGGATCTCTAGTTATTACCCTTATTTATTCTTGGCATTGTTCTCTCTCATCTTATTCTTCCTTATTTTCATTCTTTTTAAATTTGTCTTTGCCTTTCTTTTTAAGTATTTCAAATATCTTGTTTTTAGCTTTGTTAATATTCTTTCTTTTTTGATGTGTTTTATTTCATTTTCTTCTGGTCTTCTTTTTTTTTTAATTCTACCCTTCCTTTTGCTTAATTTGGATTTACTTTGTTCTTTCTTTTTCTACCTTTTTAAAGTGAGCCACTGTTCATTGATTTTAGAGCTTTTTAAAAATATTGTATCTAAAACTACAAATTATCTGTAAGTACTACCTTATATGCATCCAGCAAGTTGAGATATGTTGCATTCTTATTACTTTTCAGTTCAAATATTTTCTGATTTCTTTAACAATATCTTTTTTCTATAAATTATTCAGAAGGATATATCATTTCTCAGTAATTTTAAATTGTCTGGATATTTATTTTTTATTTTTAATATCATTATGTTATGAACAAAGAATAAAGTATTTTAATTATTTGACATATATTAAGACATTTTATGGCGCAGTACATGGCCTATCTTGGTGAAAGATGTACATATATCATGAAGAATGTGTTTCTGCTCTTATCAGACAGTGTTCTAGAACTAAACATTAATTTAAAATAGTTCAGTATGTTCTTTGGATCATCTAATTTCTTACTATTTTTGTGTTTCTTAATTACTGAAAGTATGAAAATATTCTAGTATTATGGTCGAATTGTTTGTTACTTTAATTTCATCAATATTTGTCTCAAGTATATTGAGGATTATAATAGGCATATGCACATTTATGATCTTTATGTCCTATGTGTTGTTGTAATATCTGGCCATTTGAATTTTTAAAAAGATACAGTACTCATTCCAATCCTTATTTTGTCCACATTGGAAGCAGCAAAAGAAGTAGGTTATAATTATAATAAGTTATGTTCCCAAATATACTTAACTGCAATGACAAAAGTGTACAGAGCAACAACGCATTTAAGAAAGTAAATTTCTGATCATCAGGTTAGCTGATGTTAGATGGTATCTGAAAGATATTCCAGGAATATTGCTTACTAGCAATACTCAGTTTAACGTATCAAATAAATATTTAAATAAAGAGATTTGTTTTTTTTAGAAACTTGAATGAGTAATTAATTCCATATGGTACTTCTTCCTATACTTTGGTCCATATGTCTTCTATTTTTCAGCTAATTGACTGAAGGACTGAGGGAGGAGCTTATGTCTATTACTGCCCTAGGGCTGTAGATGTAATGATACAGCCAGGTTATACAGAAGAGCCGTGAAGAACAAAATAGAACCTAAGGGCATACCTGAAAGGGTTAGTAGACAAGAAGAGTTTTTATTTTAATTCCTGAAGCTCCACAATTGTATCGAGTTTTTAAAGTCTTTGTAGCATTTTCATAAAGATATCTTCATTATTAAATATATATATACCTATATTTCCAATTTCATAAATTGTGATCATGTCTGAGTTTTGTCTGAAAGGAAGTTGTCATTGCATTGGTCCAATTATGAGCTCTGTTTGTTCCTTTATTTATATTCCTCTAATTACCCATTGATAAAAGTCTGTCAGTGGATAATGCCTGCGAACATTATCAAATGGTTTGGTAATGACTCATGCAGAGCAGTGATATCTTTCCTTATTTGCCTAATCAGTATCATACTTTTCAATTTGCCTAGATCATTACCTCTGGCATGTCTCACAATACTTCTGGGGCCCAAGAATTTAGCTAACAATTCTAAAATATAAATCATCAGTCGCTGGCAAATTGTTTTTTCTATCTAAACTACTAGAGAGATTGTATGAAGTATAAGCAATACATTCTAGATGTGTAACCACCAAGAAATTTAATGATGTAATCCACTGATATTATTCACATTTCGCTTGTTTTGCATGCATTCATTTGTCTGTGTGTGTCTATTAAGTTCTGTGCATTTTCAGCACATTCATAGATTCATTTGAACGCTGTTATAGTTCAGATACAGAAAAGTTTCATCACAAAGTTTTCTACAACTACCACTCAGTGGCAAGTCACAATCTTGCCTTACCCTGTTTCTAAAGTCTGGCAACCACTAATCTGGTTTCTACCTCTATAATATTGTCTTTTCAAGAATATTATCCTGATTTGATCATCATGCAAGATACATATGTATCAAAACATCAAATTGCATCCCATAAATATGTAAAATTCCAATGTGTCGATTAAAAATAAACATTAAAAATAAATAAATGTTATATAAACTGAATCAAACAGTATGTAGCTGTCTGAAACTTGTTTTTTAATGCAGCATAATTCTCTTGAGACCTATCAAAGTTGCATGTGTATTAATATTTTGCACCTTTTAATGGCTGAATAGAATTCCATGGTACGGATGTGCCACAATTTGTTTAACCATTCATCAATTTTTTGACACTTAGATTCTTATTTCCAATATTTTTTGTTTTGCCAGTAAAGCTGCTGTGAACATTTGTGCGGAAGTTTTTGCATATAGATTAATAGAAAAATATTTCATAGGTAAAACAGACACATTCAAATTTTACTTTAGCTTCTTTGTGAAACCTAAACACGGGCTTAAAATTAATCTCTTGATAAGAATAATTACATATTGTTTACTCCTGCCTTGATACTTTTATCTCTAACATTACGTGTCAGGTGGTAAATATTTAGGTATCTAAAGAGTGTGGTCTGTAGAGTTAAGCTTCCCGAGTTATCCACTTAGTTGTGTGCTCCTTAGAAACTACTTTGTTCCATCCTTGGTACCTATGGGCAAATGTGAGTGATTTCAGTACATATTTAATTGAGTGAATGAAGTTAGAGAAATTACAGAAAACATTTTCACAGTCTTCTCAGAGAATGAGCATTCAAACATTATAAGGTATAATACTTATTTTAATAGGAACAATGTAGCCTTAATTTCTATAAAATTAAAACATCTTCTATTTTAAAAACTCCCTAAAATTTATAAAATGAAAGTATCATTCACTCATTGTCTCAGGAAATTAATACCTTACATTCATAAGAGTGATTAGCAGGTAAGAGTCTGCCTGTTTTACGATAAGAATTTAATCTTCTCAAATGCTAAAGATTCATTTGCAGTTATAGGAATAGAGATGGAAGACACTAAATTGAATGCAAGTATTTTTATTTCTAATTAAATGTACTAAAATGCAAACTAGGCATGATCTTTCCTTTAATGCTTTAAAGGCATTGAATAAACAAAATTTGTATGTGAAGAAGGATGAGAGAGAAGCCTAATTCTAAAAGAATATAAATGAAGAGTTATGCATAAGCTATTTGTTATTAATGATTTCTAATGCTAGGAGACATCTTACATCAGCAGACATATTTTCTTAACATGTTTTCTGAAGTTTTATGACAAATATGATCAGTAATAAGAAAGTTGAATTTATGCCCTGGAGATCTGTGGAACTTTGAACTTGAGAGAGATAATTTATAGGATACATTTTAAATAATCACGCTGATTAATCCTTCAATTTGTTCCTATATTCCATGGTTTCTGATCCCATGAAAACTTGACAGAATTACTACCGTTTTTTGAAGGAAATAAAATAGCTATTTCCCTTCAATAAATGAAAGGCCGACAAAAGAATATATGGCAAATCATAATATAATAAACACTATAAGATTATATTTGATTCATTATATTTTAAAGTGCAGAAGATGCAATAAAGTAATAAGTAAATAAAATAGCATATTGCTATTTTTATAGAACTTTCTTAAGTTTCCCCAACAACTACATGTTTGATTTTTAGTCCTATTTATATTTCCTATTGCATTAGTATAACATAAGTTGAGCTTCACTAGTGGATATGGATTGATGAGACCCTGTCATCAAGCAGGGTCTCATCACTGGACCATTGATTTTGGTCCAGAATTTTCCTTTTGTATCTGATAGATGATTTTAACAATTTCAGAAAATAATATTGATAGATGATATCGATATAGACATATAGATACACATCTATGAACACTCTCTTGATTCATGTTGGTAAAAATTAACATTCTGTGTCTATTTCTCTCTAAATGATTTTGGAATTTACATTAAAACATTGAAAAACTTAGCTATGCTTTTATAATAAAGTCTCAAGTGTCCTCAACTTTTCTTTAAGTCAAATGTGAACCCCAGGGAAAATTGTTGCAGAGATTTGCTTAAACATCTCAAGCCAATAATAATTAATTCTTTGCAATTTTGATCTTTGTATGGCCCAGAGGCCACATTTCAAAGTTCAGGAAGATTGCAAGTGTACTGGCCCATTCTCACGCTGCTATGAAGGAATACCAGAGACTGGACAATTTATTAAAAAAGAGGTTTCATTGACTCACAGTTCCACATGGCTGAGGAAGCCTCAGGAAACTTACAATCAGAGCAGAAGACACCTCTTCACAGGGTGGCAAGAGAGAGATTGAGCGCCCAGCAAAGGGGGAAGCACCTTATAAAACCATCAGATCTCGTGAGAACACACTCACTATTACAAGAACAACATGGGGGAAACTGCCCCCATGATTCAATTATCTCCACCTGGTCCTGTCCTTGACATGTGGGGATTATTATAATTCAAGGTGAGATTTGGGTGGGAACACAGAGCCAAACTGTATCAACAAGCATGCTGCAACTTTTACTTTCTGCCTAATTGAGGCCTCATGTTTCTGGGGGAGGGGTTAGTAGGTAGCTGTGATCCCCCGTGCTTTCTCCTGAGCCTGCTCAGAATTTGCACAAGCAAGCTGCCTTCCAGAACACCAGAGATATATGAAATCTCATAAAGGTCCTCTATGACTATTCTAACCAAGTGTTCCTTTTACATTTCTATATTTCCTTCCAGTATTTGCTTGCCCCAACACATATCACCATCTCAGGCTAGTTCCATATTGACTTTCTCAAATATTTAGCAGTCTTTCTGGACGCTCCATTTGTTATGCAAGTGGTACCTCTGGGTTTGCTGTTTCTGTTCTCTGACTCCACATCAAATCAGTCTGCCCTGCCCGGTAAGAATTACTGCAATCGAACTAAGAAGGGAATTGAAATAGGGGCATCTCCCAACCAAAATGCCATAGGCTCCTATGTCTCACAGACTTTTCTAATAAAGACTTCTCTGTATATAGCATAAGACATCTAATTCGTGTCCAGAGTTCCGGAGTGATTGCTTTGACAATTTATTCTACCACTTTTTGAGGAAAGAATTTGTGCTCTTTTTTCAACCTTTCTTGAAGTCCCACACAACACTCAAAAAGTTTTTGCAGTATAGGAGACCTAGAAATCTCTAAGCATTCTTTCCATGTTATTCTCTATTATATAAAAATAATTTGCTTCCAGAGAATAAAGCAGATGTAGCAGAAATTTTTTGTAAAGGGTGAAAGAAAATTCAATTGATAGAATATTGATAAGAACATACAAATATTACTTGTTACAAATTATTTAAATAGTTTAATCTTTAATATTGAGGATTGAGGTTAGTCAATTAACACACACATTGTACTATTATAATATTCAGTAAGAGCTCATTTTAAAATTATGTAATGCAGTATACTATGCATGATTCTTATTCCAAGAATATAACTGGTTCGTTTCATTATCAACATTTATATTATAAATAAGATAAGCTATGAATGAAGAAAATTAAGACAAAAAGGAATGCAAGGATAATGAATTCCTGGAGACATCCATGCCTTTTTATATTGTACTTATGTGAAAAGATAATTGCCATGGTGTTACATATCTAAAGTAAACTAAAATAATAATAATAATAATTCTCAATCACGACCTAATACTTTGGAAAATTTATATTAACTATATTGCGGTGTATCTTCTTTTCATTAACAAATTGAAAAAAAAAAACTTCCCATAATTTTTTTTAAACCAAGAAGATTATATTTACATTATAACCCTGCAGCCCATTGGTTTACTTGATAACAAATTCCTCTCCTATTCTACATGCTATGTTTCAATGGTAAAGAAAGACTCAGTATTAACAGCATTCTGGAGGAGAATATGTGTCAGGAGAAAAAGATGCAAAATTCATTGCTATCATCCTTCTGAACATTATCTTTATCAGAATGAAACTTCCGAGGTTTTCTCATTCTCTATGAATAAATCATTACTTCATCAGATACTAATATATAAATGTCAAATTATGTTCAACTATTTATATAAATTGTGGCTTAGGTTTTTTTATATTTTTCTTAGAACTATCCTATTGACTTTTTATAAATAGTTCCCATTGTAGTTTTTTACAGAAAATAAATAATTTTGTATTTATACATTAATTAATAGTTCTGTTTTCCACTTTATTTAATAAAATTGCCAAAACTTCTAATTGGAAAGTTATGTCTATCTAAATGTTATACTTTCTGGAAATCTTGATATTAAATTAAATGAATTAAATAAACTAAATTTAAATTATTTATATATTGACTAAAGATTCTTACATTTTGGTCAAAATATGAGTTATTCAATTAATTAATGAATGTTATAATACATTATTATATTTATATACATTATTATATTTACATATTTATATAAATATGTATCTAAGTATATATTTATATACATTATTATATTTAATAAATATCTTAAATGTCTCCCACATTATGACTGAAAATATTTTCCTAGTTGTGAAATAAAATTTGAAATAACATGATAATCACCTACAGTTGATAAATTTATAAAATATTAAAATTTAAAATTTGAAATATGTGATGTGCTTTTAAGGTTTCCTTTGATATAACTTGTATCAATTATGCATACATTTTTCCTGCTATTTGTTTTACTTGGGAATCTCCATTTCTAGAAAAATGTTTGACATAAGGATTACAGGTCAAAAATGTTAAAAAGAACTGAAACCCCCAAATGAGTATTTTCTTCTATGTCTTCTATGTCTCAATTTTGCAGACTCTGTTCATTTTCTATATTTATAAAACTCTTATTTTATAAATTTTCTTTATAGAAAACTATCTTACAAAAGCCATCTTGGTTGATTATGTAATTGTTTGCAGCACTCATCAGCAAACTTTTTCTGCAAAGAGGCAGTGTTAGGCGCTGAATTATGCACCCACATAATTTATAAGTTGAAGCCCTAATTCCTACTACCTCAGAATGTGATGGGAATTGGGGCTAGAATCTTAAAGTGATAATTAAGTTAAAAGTAAGTTCATTAGGGTGGACCATAATCTAGTACAACTTGTGTCTTTATGAAAAAAGGTAATTAAAACATGGAGAGGTATAGGAAAAAAACATGTGAAGCAGCAGGGAGATCACCATCTACAAGCTTTCTTCTGAAGCCTCAGAAGAAACCAATCCTGCAGACCCCAGGAGTCTTGGATTTCTCAAATTCAGAACTGTAAGACATAAGTTTCTGTTGTTTAACTTACCTGGTCTGTGGTACTTTGTTATAAAAGCCCTAGTAAACTAACACAGCCAAGAAAGTGAATATTTCAAACTATGTGGCCTTATGGTTCCCAATGGAGCTACTCAAGTCTACTATTGTAATGCAAAACCAACCATAGACAATATGGATAAGTACGATTGTGGCTGTATTCATGTACATAAATATGCTGAATATGGTTCATGGGTCATGCTTTCCTTACTTATGATTTAGGTGGAAAAAAGGCAAATAAAGAAAACCAAATATTTCAAAGAAAAATGTAGGCACAGAATGGAAAGAAAGACTAATACCATAACAGACTGGGCATAGGCAGAAATTCCTGAAATTTTTCACTTTACACTTTGTAGAAAACTAGTAATCTCAGGGACCCTTCCACTGCAATTCAACTCTATTCCTGATACAATACAGTCAATACCTTGCAAAATATTTTTAATATCTCAATAACTTAAACAAACAGATAGGTGAAAAGAAAAATGATCTGAGCTGGAGTGTATACAACAAACAGTGAGGAAAGTGGATAAAGCTCAGTAGATGAATGCCAGTGTAAGTATGCAACAGGAAGATGTTGCTGTTGCTTTGGCATTGTTGGGGAGCTGAATCTAAGACTTCAAAGGATAAAACATCCAAAGGAGATTGAAAGGTCCCAGATTAATAGCAAGCTCTCTCCCTTCCCTCCTCTCTTGTCAAACAGTAGAAAAAAGAAACCTTCCCTGGATGAAAGAATCTCCAGATTAGACTCAAGACATTCTCGTACATTAGGCACAATCATATATAAATTCCCCCAGATTTACTTACTGACCATGTAGGAGTTAGCCAAATACCTAATAAAATGTATATTCATGAAAGTATTCATAAAATTGGAAAATATACTAATAATAGAAAAAAATATATACTTAAAGAAATGAAATAAATTACAAATTAAAAAATGAATACTACTAAGGCTATCATAAATATCTGTATTTCCTCAAAAAAAAACCTTGATGGATCTTGAAATACCAAAAAGATTGCAAATAAAGTAAACATTTTATGCTGATTGCCGGGAACTGGAAGGAAGGAAAAGTGGAGTTTATACCTGTTTATACTAAACAGGTATAAAGTTCCAGTTAATCAAGATAATTTTAGAGCTCTGCTACTATGCAACTTCATTCTGGAGTTAACAATACTGTATTATGCACTCAAACATTTGTTAAAAGAATGGCTCTTGTGTTAAATACTCACACTAAAACAAAACAAACCAAAATAAAAAGACATAAAATCCATCAAAAGTGACTTTTAAAATTTATATGGAAAATAAAATAAATGCCATAGAAAAAAATTAATGGATAGATTAACCAACAGATTAGTCACAGCAAGAAAGAGAATTAATGAATAGAACTAAAGCAGTTATATACTGTAGCAAAGATAAACAAATGGCTAGATAATATGAAAACATTTAAGTTATGTAAGATAGAAAGGTTGATTCAAATATATTTCTAATTATAGTGCCAGAAAATAAGAATCGTATATACAGAAGAGAGGTTATACATAAAGAATCATAAGCTGTACATTTCCCTACATTGATTGAGATCAGATTCCGTCAACTATTAAGCACAATGTATATAGAGTAGGATAAATAAAATGAAGTCCATACTTATGCACATTCAGTCTGTTAGACTGAATAACAGACATACATTCAGAAGGAAAACAGTGTTTATAATCAAAGGACTCACAGTCATATAAACCGCTGATTTCTCAAATGTGTAAACCAAAGTGTCTGAGACAGATCTCAAGCGATTGAGAGGTTTATTTTGCCAGGGTTGAGAATGCACCTAGGGAAAACAAAACAAAAGAAAACAAAACACAAGTTGCAGTAGAATCTGTGACCTGTGCTTTCTCCAAAGAGGGTTTTGAGGACTTCCAATATTTAAAGGAGAAAAAAACGCCCAGGAGGGTGATAGAAAAATAAAAAGAAAGGAAGGTTCTTGTGAGGTTTTGATTAGTGCTTACCGAATGCACATTTTAAAAGTGCAAAAAGAGTGAGGGGAAAAGTTGATTATGTATTCCTCTGGAGCTCCGCTGATCTACATTTTCCATAAGACAAAGTAAGCATGTGAAATTACAGCTATCTGTTTGGGAACAAAAGAAAAGTAGATTTTGCGTGACTCAGTTCCCAAGCTTAACATTCCCTTTGGCATAGTGAGTTTGGGGTCCCAAGATTCTATTTTCATTTCACAAAGGCAAGAATGGGTACCACAATACAGAGGAATCAAAATCTCACAATCCCCAAGAGAATAGTATTATCAACTTAAATTTTATATTCTGCAAAGCTATCTTTCTGGCATAATACTAAGTTAATGATATTTTCAGATGAAAAACTTGAATTTTCTACCAGTGCCTCATTGCTAAAAGACATTTTCAAAGAAAAAATTCAAGAAAAAATGAAAAGGTTTTCAAGGCGAAAAGACCAAAATGCAAGTAAGGAATGTGAGAAAATCAATTTGAAAATCATGTTAATACATCTAACAAACAATGCACGAGGTTAAACAAAACCAGACATACATAAGGCTATACTTTGAACATAATTTATTATATTTGCACAGTCCTGGAAGCCTGTGTTTTTAAGGCATGTGAAACATGCAGAAGAAACAAGAACTAGAGGGTATAAAATCCCAAAATGCCAGTAACTCCTTCGAGTGAATTGAAGACCTTTAGCAATGCCTAGGGACTCCGCCAAGCAAAGCCAATCTAGGACGAGTGGATGAAAATCTCTATAAGAGAAAGCAGCTGAGCTTCTTATGGTTACATAGAACTGCAATGACAAAATAAGATGCAGAAGAATCTTCAAACCCTCAAGACCTTTGTCCAATTCTGACTGACTAGAACAGGAATCTGAAGAACCAACTGATAATGAACAAAGAAAATTATAAGTGTCATCACACTGGGGGAGATGACACTATTTCAAAATGTAAAACAGGTATTGATATTTTCCTTAATCATATTATAAAGGTTAGTAATCACGTTCACTATAATGTTATTGAGTTTACATTTTTTGGAGGATCTCATGATCAAATTGTGGAGATAGGACCATCCATATGGCATTAAACAAGGTTTATGGAGGTTAATATTCTTGCTCAAAACAGCCACAGAGCATAATTTCTAACCTTTTAGTAAACTGACTGAAGAACGCGGTATATACAAACTTCTTAATAAGTGTTCATTAAGTGAATCAGTGAGTGGACAAGAAAGAAGCAAAAAAATGGTTTGGGAAATATTATTCAGTCAAGAATTTGGGGATCTATTATAAGGAAAGATTGGTTACACTTTCTGGCCTTTAGGTATTTATTGACCAAAGAAACCATGTTATTATATTAACATATAATTAATTAATAAATTGTTATATTATATATTATATTATATTATATATATTATATTATATATTATATTATATTATATATATTATATTATATATATTATATTATATTATATATATTATATTATATTATATATATTATATTATATTATATATATTATATTATATTATATATATTATATTATATTATATATATTATATTATATTATATATATTATATTATATTATATTAAGCCAGAGATAAATTACTCAGCAAAGTTGAAATAGTATCAGTGCAACTTCCCAGGAATTATAAGATATACACACACATAGGCACACACACAGATACATATATATATATATATATATATATATATATATATATATATATATATTCAAGTACATCCAGCCCTAAAGTTGACAAATTGCGAAGATTTAAAGACATGGGTAAGTGCCAGCTTCTACCACTTTGTATGGTCATATATCATCCTGGCAGAATGTAGGGTGATGAGCCATCTCATCACCCTAATGTCTGAGAAAGAACTTGGATCTCAAGTGTAGTTCAATTTTCTTAACTCAATCCTTTTAAATGTTTGAAACACTCTTAGCATTTTGTATATCGATCATTAGCAGATCAGAAAGTAGTGTATTTAATCAATGTATATGAGCAGGACAAGATACTTAAAGTAAAAAATGGCATAAAAATAAAGTTAAATAATATTACTTCTGATACATTTGTATTTGAAGCTTATTGAATGAACATTTTAGTAAAGAGAGGCCACATAGTAAATATCCTTTTTTCAGAAGATAAGTGGGATGTTACACGGAATAAAATATCAATATTGACTTTTTAAATTAATTTGAGATTAATGACTTTTTTATTTAAAAGAAGATAAGAAAAATGCAGTTTGTTTTGATTTTGGGGGCAGGCATTTTATTTTTTAATCTAAGACAATGCTACTCAAGGTCTAATTCAGTTTAGATTAATGTAGATTTCTAGATTTTATTGCATTTAATAAAAATAGTATATTAAAATAAAATGAAAACCATCTTGTCTAGCTGCTTTTAATCTTTTATTTTAAGAAGTCCTCTAGGAGGCCTTCCTTAACTCTATCCTAGTTTATGTGCTTTTCTGGCCTGTTCTATCCAACTGCACGCTTATTTCAACTTCAATACTTAAACATATTTTCCACATATAATTCTCTCCTTTTATTAGCCCCTTGAAGAAAGATTGTCTTTCATCCGTATCCACATGGAAGAATATAGTGTTTAGGATAGAAATATGTACCACAATTGTATCTGATAAATGAATAGATCAATAAATGAATTAATTTTTAAAAGTTTTAGCACAAAAGAAAAAAAATCACCAATACTTGCAAGGAATTAATTTTATTTAGAATAATCATATTGATATAATTTTAGAAATTTCAAAAAATGACATGAAAAAGAAGATTATAAAGATCATTTACTATAATCCCCATTTTACAGTTGAGGAAGCAGAGGCACAAAAACTTAAATATTTTTCTCTTAGTGTTTTAATAGTCATAAATTCAAAAAGACATGACAATTTTCATTATGTTTTGCTAACTACCTTCTATAAAATTACACACACATACACACACATGTGCACAAACACACACACTTAAAACTAATTAATAATTGACAAACAAATGTTTCCATTAGATTAAATGATGTTAATTGTAAGATTCTTTGGAGCTTTTTTGTAAGTCTCCTTTCAGTTACTATGTTAGGTTAGTAGATCATTTTGTTTAATTCCTTAAGGTTCCGGATAGCCTGAATTGTATGCCATGAAAAAAAATGTGTATTTCTTTACTTTCCTTGTCACTAGCTAATTTATTAACAGATGAGTAAATAATGATAAATTTCTTTTAAATCTCAACTTATGCTAATGATGCTCTTAAATAAGAATTGCCAGCTTTGTTAGACATGTATTTTTTTAGACATGACTAAGCAGAGCTTTTTAATGCATTTTCCCAGCCTGAAAAAAACATACCAATGGTTTTAAATGTAATTGTTCCTGTGGCTTAAAATAATATCACATGAACAAATAATGTAAATTGCCTTGTACAGTGTTTTCTAACATTTCTATCATTTTCCACAACAGATATGTGTCATGTCAAAGACACATTATCTCATAGTTATTATTGTGCTGTATAAAGATAAATATGTTTTAACAGATAATTAAAAATTTTTGCAATTTTGTATTTTTCTTCTTAAAATAAATATGTACAGGATAAAGCTTTAGCCTGTGATATTATTGTTATACCCTAAAAACAAGTTTTCATGACTGATACAGTTTGGCTCTGTGTACCTACCCAAATCTTGTCTCGAATTGTAATCCTTATAATCCCCACATGTCAAAGGTAAGACCTGGTGGGAGCTGGTTGGATTATGGAGGCAGTTTCCCCCATGCTGCTCTCATGACATTGAGTGAGGTCTCAGGAGAGCTGCTGGTTTTGTTTATGTTTGACAGTTCCCCGTATGCAGGCTTTCTTCTCTCTTTTGCCTGTCACCATTTAAGCCACACCTGTTTCCCCTTCTGCCATGATTGTAAGTTTCCAGAGGCCTCTCCAGCTACATGGAAGTGCAAGCCAATTAAACTTCTTTTCTTTATAAATTACACAGTCTTGGGCAGTTCTTTATAGCAGTGTGAGAATGGACTAATACAATGATGAGATGAAATGGAAGGTCTAGGAGCTTCTAAAAAACATGAACTATTCCTAGTGAACACAGAATGGCCACTAGGAATAGTGCATGTTTTTTGAGAAAAAAGGAAAATTAGGCATTTTTAGTCTGATATTTATATTTATTTTTATCCCAAAGAGTCTTAAATATTATTTCAAGAAAGTATGACAACTAAGAAAAATACATAAAAGTCTACAAAATCCCCAAAATGTAACCTTATATTATGTGGTATGAAAGAAATCATGTAAATACCCTCAATCTATTGGTTGTTTTTCCTTGAAATAGTTTATAAATGTACTATTCCAGTGATCAAACTTTCTCATGCAGTAACAACAGAACGCTGTCAACCAAAAGATGTTGTGCTTAAATTTAAGCAATGTTTGGTTAGAAACATTTGCTTAATCTTTAACCCAGGAATATTTACTGTGGTCATTTATTTAATGAGATAAATAAATTCAAGCTTATAAAATTGTTAATTTCTGAGTATAATCTGTCCCATGTTTTAGAAGCTAGGTTTTGGTAGAAACAGGATTATCCAAAAATATTTAACATACTCATAGTTTATTATATCAATAATTAATAGTATAATAATTAATTATTACTATTAATAGTAATATTAATTAATAATTAATATAATTAACTGTAAGTACGAGAATTTTCTTCTTTGCTAGAATTCTCATTGTTGACATTCTTGACCTTCTCATTGTTTTCCAAATGTGTGGTAAATTTTCAAATAGTTTCATTTCAGCTTCCAATTTGATGATTTTCATTTTTAATCTATTAATGCATTCTTATTTTGTATTCCACAAAGTAAATGACTTCTACTCTTAAAAATACTCAGGTAATGAAAGAACAAAGATTATTCCAGACTAAAGGTCTGATGATTACACTGTGGTTATATGAGAAAATTACTTTGTTTTAGGTAAATACAACCTAAAAAGCTCAAGCCAAGGGACATTATACTTTATACTTGGTAACTTACTCTTAAAAGTTTCCAAAAATATTTATAGGTGTGTAAACTGTTATATAAATAAATATACGCGCATATGCAAATATATGTGTGTATATATGTAAATAAATGATAGATTAATATATAGTCATATGTAACAATAGATCATGAAAAGGCAAATGTGAGTAAATAGGAAACATTCGTAGAATCTAGATGAGTAATGTATGTAAATTGTTCATACTATTTTTTGCAGTTTTCTTTTAAATCTGAAATCATCTCATAGTAAAAAGTTAAAAAAACTAAATTTAATGGTTTTATTATAGTCATATAAATATATCGAATAATTTAAAACTTCATTAAATGTTTTAAAATTTGTCTGAAATACTTTACATTTCAAAAACATCTATTAAAATCTTATTCTGGCCGAGTGCATTGGCTCAAAGCTACAATCTCAGCACACTTTTGGAGGCAGAGGCATTGCTTGAGGCTAAGTGTTTGAGATCAGCCTGAGCAATAAAGCAAGATCCATCTCTACAAAAAAATAGTTTTTTGTTTTTTTTTTTAATGTAGCTGAATGAGTGTGGTGGCTTGTGCCTGTAGTTCCAGATACTTGGGAGGCTGAGGTGGGAAGATTGCTTGAGCCCCGGTGTTTGAGGGTACAGTGAGCTGTGATCATACCACTGTACTCCAGCCTCGGTAACAGAGCAAGACTCCATCTCAAAGTAAATAAATAAATAAACAAAAATATCAACTACAACAACTTATTCTGAGTCAAGGACTAAATTTAAATCCTACAGACAATTCAAAAAATATAAAATCAGGATGTTTGATAACATATTGAAATAGAATAATTTGCTGAGTGTCTCTTTCGCTCAAAAAATCCTGTTTACATTTAAGAGTTGATATATCCAGAAAGACAATTATAGCAGAGTAATGCAGAAGTAAAATGTGTCAGCTTTGATTATACATAACAACAAAGCAAAGTTGTTTTCCACATTCTTACACGATCATTATGGAAAGTACTATATACTATGAAAACATTATGGTATTGTCACTGCCAGAAAGCAAACGGTTCTCTTAAACCACTCTTAGAATGCTTTTAAAATTGTTTCTAAATCTTGCAATAAGAAAAGTTTTAATTATTATCAATTTAAAGCTCTGAAGTTTGCATGAAAAACATTACAGTGAGTAGAAGGTGTAATGCACAATATTGCATGTAGTTGTACCAAAATAAAAACGAGCTCTTTCTGGTAATTTTCTTTGTTGTTTGAATTGTTTTGGTAAATACACAGGAATAGCAATAGTGAAACTTTAGTGCAAATTTATGTTCTCATTTTTATATCACTTTGAAAATGAAAATATGTATTTTACTGTACATCTGTAGATAACATGCTTTTACAATATGTCTGACTAATTTTTCTTTATTGGGCAAAGACATAAAGATTTGCTATAATGAATTGCATAAGGATTTGTAAAACTGACCCTCAGGAATTTAATATACTGGTAAAAACTGACAACCCGAAATTTATGACCCCAAAAAAAAAAAGTTAGATATTAGGTTATCAATCTGGGTCTCTTCTGGTGAAATCAGGTAGATCATAATAAAATCTTGCAGAAAGAGCGACTATCTAGATATATGCCACATATAGCGTATGTTTCAGGAGAGTTAAATATTTGGGAAACTAGATTCAATTTTAAAAATAATTTTCCTTCCAGGGATTTATGTACATGGGACTTGGTAGGATGGTGACTTGGATACACATCCAACAAGGCCAGGGCAATTCGTGTCTCTCCTACTTTTGAAAATCCCCAGAGTACTTTGATGGGTGCATATGGTCTTTGGTCCTGCTTTGGGATAGGGAGACTTCAATCTCACAACTAATACACTTTGTTGCTGTTGTGGTGGTAGTGGTTGTTGTTAAAGTAGGTAAGGTAGGGATAGAGGGACGGACAAGGATAAGAGGCAGATGCAGAAGGACAGGGCAGTTACACACCACTGGTCGGCTTTGACTCTAACTTTTGTTTTCAAAAGTCACAATGGCCACCTTTGAATCCTTTAAGCAAAGCTTGAATGTTTTCAGCCCACAAAAGGCTGTCCATCAAGTACTAGGTCCTCATTAGCGATGTCACCTATCCTGGCTTTAGGAACTCTTGGCTCCACAGCCACACTGCCCTTGGCTCATGCTGACAGAAGTCAAGGAAGTGCTTTTGTGCTCACTTGGAAGAAATAAACTCGCATACTGTGAAATGCCTCTTGGAGCTGAGGGCAGTCCCCAAGAAATAGCACCCATTTATTGTCTCACAAACTCTTAGTCTTCTTGAAATCAAAAAGTTAATTGTCATAGATACAACTTTTTGTTTTCTTGAAAACAAAGTTTATGAGACAATAAATGGGTGTTACTTTAAGCTACTAAATTTATTGTAATCGCTTACACATAATAGTAAATTATAATAATATGCTGGCTGTACAAATTAACCAAGGATGTCAAATTTCTCTGTCTTCCTTCCTCCATCCTGTATTTCTTCCTCTCTTCCTTTCTTAAAACACATAGGATTGTAGCACACGCTAATGCTTGATTTTCTCCTCATACATCATATTATAAACATATTGCTGATAAGACATAACAGGTGAAGTTTAACGTTATAATTTGATATTAATTAGACATTTTTTGATCTCTAGTCATTTTTCACTGTAATTTTGGACCTTTGGAATTCTATAAATATTGTTGATAAATTGTGGGTGAATAAGTTATCTAATCACTTAAATATCAATAAAGCACACCTCTTGTTTTAAGAGCAATCTCTAAAATTTAAGAAATTTGGGCCCTTAGTTTCAGTACTCACAAGTACTCACAAGTGCTCAAAATAGCTAGCGGCTACCATATTGGATGTCACAGATACAGAAACACACACTTTAACACAGAACATCCTACTGAATTTCCCTTATTTATTTCATGAACCTAGCATAAACAGTTTTAATAGTCTAAAGATAAATCACATATTTCTGCACTCTTAGATATTTTATTCCAACTTTACAGGGTCAGGTTGGTGACATAATCTATCTCATAGGAATGTTTACGCTCAAAATATACTCAACATATTAAAGATATACTGAAGGTGAACAAATGGTCATCAATTAGCAGTAACTAATTACTCTCCTAATTCTCAGATCTGATGTGTCCTTTCTTCTTCAAAAAATATTGTATTAAAATAATAAATTTGATAAACTTTATGAAATTGGATGATGAATTCAAACATAATCTTCTCCATAAATCTGAAAAATATTGCCAACGTTACCACAAAAATAAAGGAAGGTGAAAGAAGTCTCCTATTTGTTCTGAAAATCAGACTACTTGCCTCCAGTGCTTAAATATAGAACAAGGCTTCTTGCTACTTTGATGTCATTGGAGACAGGGCATCATGGTGGTTAGGGCATACTCTGGGACAGAATAGCCAAGTTGGACTTGTAACTCTGGCATTTCTTAGTTGTGTAATATTTCTGTGCTTCAGTTTCTTCATCTAGGTATTGGGAATAATAAATTAGTCCATAATTACTAGGATTTTAATTGGAATTGAATAAATTGTCATACATACCAAATTCAGAACTCAGAAAATATAAAGTACTTGGTATATGTTAATCATTACTATAAAGTCTTTTTTTCTGTAATTTGTTGAAGGATTAGGTCAGCTAGTGTCATATATGTTTTATGAGACTCAAGATAAAAAAGAAGAAATTACTCAGAAATTTAAGCAATGTGGAAAATTGCTATCCTTAACCAACCTATGCTAGTATACTCAGGTTTATGAGAATAAATCTTATAAGACTTCAAATATTCAAAGTCACATAAGTGCACCTGTTGTATACCATTGCTTGGTATACAGCTGTTTTAAGAATCCGATGTCCTAAATATCCAGAAACATTGTTGGAGCAAATGATTTTCCTCTGAACTTTTCTGAAAAGAAAATGTATAAACCACTAACTAGAAAAGAATCATGACTGAACACTGAACACTATCGTATACAGTCATATATAAAACTCAGTATGACAACTGTAACTAGGCAGGTGCATTTAGAAAACATGACATTAGCTCCAGACTGCTCTTTGATCTGAATTATCAATTTAATTAGGTTAGCCTGCCTTGAATAGAGTATCCAAATCCTTTTCAGAAACTTTTTTTTTTTTTTACCAGCAATTATGTTTCTTAACTGCTTCAAAGTATTCCATTTACAAGACATGGAAAACAATCCTTAAAAGGGGAATGTCCTTTCTGTATTGTGGCATTTGTGATGAATGCCAAATGTATTTTTAAATAGGATTAACATTTCATCTTTTATTTAACAGAAAGCAAAATAACTTCAATTTCCTTGAAAGTCTATTAAATTTTCAGCCATTGCTAAATAGTCTTCTAGAACAGGTAAACATCCTTATAGGGTGAACTAATGCTACCTTATCTAGAACCACAAGTTCTGAAGGTGCAATATGAGAATGATGATTTATTTTCTAAGGTTAAAGGCAAAGGATAAGAGGTCCAACAAAATAACATACAGAAAAAAAGACAAGATTGTGGATATTACTTAGAGCAGATGCCATCAATATCTCACCATTTCCCCCCTTAGTATTTGGCATCTCCAGATCCCATGGCTACCAACTGTGAGTAGGAGTGGGTATTTATCCAGGATGCATGGGACAAGCAAGAAATTCCAGAGCGTTTATGCTCCCTAAGAATGGGAG
Organism: Homo sapiens; assembly: GCF_000001405.40. NCBI lineage: Eukaryota > Metazoa > Chordata > Mammalia > Primates > Hominidae > Homo > Homo sapiens. Next base: position 66,812,621 of record NC_000018.10, read on the forward strand.
TGAAACAAGGGATTCCATGTGGAACTATCTTGACTGCCATCTCCCACTGTTGAGGTAACTCTGAGGTATTTTCTACACTGTTTCTCTGCAGCAGTAATCTGTTGACCATATATTTTATAGTGGTCTCTTTTTATTCTAGTCTCACATATGTGATCCCCTAAAGATTATTCCTGAAAGAATCTGCCAAATGAACTAAATTCACCCATATACTGGCCCCAGGATCTGCTTTTCAAAGAATTCAACTTAAAACATCTGTAACAAAATGGAGTAGAAAAAATGGGTAGCAATCAACTTTGCAACTGCTACTTTTGGGCAGCTGCAGAAGACACCCAAAATCTCAGACTGAGTATCCACGCCATATTCACTTTCACTTCTATCCACACAATTCACCAGCTAGTCCTTTGGACAGCCAAAGCTACGGCGCAGGATGAGCGCGCAAAGGACAAGGGAAGAAAGTGCAAGCGGTCTTCCATTCCAATTCACTTTCCCAACTTCTCCCAATATTCTCCAATAATAAGTGATTCAGAGAAAGAAGAGCTCCTTTCAGGGATGCATGATAACCATTAAGAAGCTACCATGGAGCCATAGGGTAGAAAAAAAGAAGTTATCAAATAATGAGGAAAGTTATAGGACAAAAATAAATAGCAAAATGAAAATAAATGATTAAATTGGTGAAAATCTTATTAAACATACAAAGGAAAAGAGAATAAACTGAAAATAGCCAGTCAGCTAAAAATAGTCATGGATATAGAAAGTGAATATTGGGAAAATATTTTTAATATTAATTTAAAAAGTGTTTTCCCACCATATAGAAACTCAAGAAAGAGTATGCCCTGGTCTTTTCTTGAACAAAATAATAAAAAAAGAAAAATCTTGTGGAAAAACTCCAAGTAACAAAATGGTAGCTATAATAAAATGTCTATGGTGATCACTGAATACATGTAAATATAAACTGAAGGTAGAAAGATGTTGGAATTATTGTAACATAAGAGAAACTAAAATATTGTGTGGAAAATAGATATATCCATATTTTTGAATAGCCACTAACCATTGCTAGAATTGTGTACGTAAATCTTTTAGTAGTGTGAGTAGAATAGAAAAAAATGGACTCATTTTTTTTAACTTTGACTGATCCTCTTAAAGTAATAAAATATAAGCTTTCTTTCCCCGAAAGTTTTTTGTCATAGGTTACTAAGAAAGCAAACTTAGTTGGGATGAGAGGCTGGACAGGAATTAGGAAGTCTAGATTCACACACGTAACTATGGACATGCTAATTTAAAAGCGAAGCAAAATGAAATAACTCTCGAAGAATCCACTGACTTGGACAAAGCATAACTGGACAGCTCATTGGGAATCTAGATTTATCTGTGTGTGTGTGTGTGTGTGTGTGTGTGTGTGTGTGTGTGTGTGTGTGATGTATATATGAATTGGGCATTTATTTGTCTGCATGTGTTTGTATGTGTACCCTGTGAATAAGTACACAAATATGCCTTCAATAATAGGAAACATGTTACACCCTATACAAGACTTGTTGTGGGGTAGAAGGCAAATGTGTAGATTTTTTTTTTGTTTTAAAGACAACCTCAACAATAACAATCATTCCCAGTGCTTTTCTTAAACAATGTGATTTTGTTACTTCTCCCATGGAGAGTTTAGATCCATGTCCCCCACACTCGCAATTGGTTGGGATTCAGATTCACCTATTACAAAAAGAGAACTATGAAAATGATGTTATATGATTTCTAAGATGAGGTCAGAATAAAGATGACCTGTCTGTCTGCCATTTATGCAGCAGAAGAAACTAGCTCTTTTTGGATAGAGATAATATTAGCCTGAGTTTTGGCAGATTTTCATCCATAAGGTCTGTCATTGGATAAAGCACTATGGACATAATAGAGGGCTAATGCCTGAATACTAGGAAAATAATAGAAAAAAATGTAAAACCAAAGTAATATATTACAGTTATTATACATGGACTTTAGAACAAATATGATTATTATGTTTAAGGGAATATTAAAAGATACCAGAAATGCATAAAAACAAGTACAGTAGAAATACTGGTAATAAAATTAAGAAATCAATATTTGAGTTTAACAGTAGCTTAGACACAGCAGAACAAAGGATTCATGAACTTGAAAGATTGACCAACAAAAATTCTGATTGAAGCACAAAAAGACAAAAGGATAAATGAACACAAAAGAGAGAGAAATGGATAGTGCAAGTGTTATGTACATTTGTTACAGGTATTCAAGATGAAGAGGGTAAGGAAAATGAGGAAGGTGCCACATTTGAAGAATTACCATGAATTTTACAAAAGTGACAAAAGATATAAAACTAGAGTTTCAAGAACCTTATAAATTCCATACTGTAGATTATAAATGACTTAAAATCATTTTTAGGTACAGACATGAATAACAAAGCATAAAATATAATTTTAAGGAAATCAGGGAAGTTTGATTACAGATGGCAGATTAAATAGTATCAATAAATAATTTACAGTTTTGTTAAATTTAATAATAGGATTATATTTATATAAAATGTCTAGTTTTTTGAAAATGTATAGAGGAACATTAAACAATGTATAGGATTTCATTTAAAACACTGAATATTTCTGCAAACCAATAATTAAAAGTTATAGATGCAAAAATTTGCCAAATATCTTACTAATTGGTTGGTGTAACTAATTATAATGAGATTTGTTGTATTGTTATGTATTCAAAAATTAAAATATAATTAATAATTGATAAAGGGTTTTACAGATTTAAAAAAAATTTTTAAAGATGTATTAGACAATTTATAATATATAATATATACTAGACAATTCATAAAACAGAGATGACGAATAGAAATTTAAAACACAATTTAATGCTATTCCTATAGAGAGAGATATTTGTTCATGTGTTGATTACTTCCTCTAATATGTGTGTATATGTTTGTATATATGTGTGTGGGTTTCTGTTTTGCAAAATTGGGTTAGTAATATTTTCATAATACATTAAGAATATTTTTCTCTCATCTTAAAATTTTTTGAAATATTTTTGACTTTACCATTATAAGACTGTTACACTATTTTTGAAGGTCCTTCTCATCAAATAATTTGTTTTTAAAAAACTGCCAGTTTTAAACATAGTACTCTGATAAACATGATATATACCTATTTCTTGCCAAGTCATTTTATTTTCTAAAATATGGCTGTGGCAGATGAAGGATCACTACGAATACTTGATACCATTCTTCCCTGTGAATCTGGATTGGCCTATGTGACTTGCTGGACTAATAGAAAAGATGATTTCCAGCATCACAAAAAGGAAAAGCCTTGCCCATTCCTGGCCCACTAAACCATCACATAAAATAAAATGGTTAATGTTTTTAAGGCACTACATTTTGTATTTTTCTCTGTGGAAATAGATAAGCAGGAAGGTTTTTTATTGGCATTATTATGGAAAATAACATCAGGTTTACATTTATTTTCATATTATATTTCTATATTAATCAAACTTCATTCCAGACTTAGTGTGCTCCAACTTTTAATATCATACACTCTATGATCACACACTTCCAATAAATATTTGTAAAATACATATGTGAATAGTTGCACAATATGAAATTTATTAAATGTACAATGTAGACATTTGAAAATAATAAAATGTGGAAGAAATAAACAATATCATTAGATAGATTGCTAGTTGAGAGAGATTCATCATAATGGGATAATTTTGAAGTCTTCTCTGCTGATTTCTAGCCAGAGATGTTTTACTCATTGTTTTGAGAAAGAACTTGTAGTGGAAGCAGAAGTCACGTTAGCTCTGACAGTTACTCTCATTTATACTTTTAATACTTTTTTAAATCCACAGATTCTTAGCAAGTATTGTTTTTGGTATTACTCATCCATTTCATTACATTTAACTTAATGGAAACTATATAATATTCTACTTAATTAGAAATAATTAATTAAAATACATCTAAAAACACAAAAATTACCCCTGGAAGCTTGTGCTCACCCTTTCTGCAAGTAAAATTTCCATTATTTCTCAGTACCCCTCACATTTGTGAGTTGTTGCCACATGATGATAAATAAGGGCCGAATGCTGGTAGAAGATGGAATCTATATATTATATATTACATACATTATATATTACATATGTTAATATATACTATCCTACATACTACATATTATATTTGTAGGTTACACACACACAATAATTTATAGTAACTTCTTTCTCTGCTGCAATTCATGGATTTGTGTCTCGACATGGTTACACGGTTGTATGCACAACACTTTGTAGAACATTGATTAAGATGGTCACAATTTGAGCTATTCAAATTCAAATATTACTGACAGTTCAGTATTAGACATTTTTGTACTGTCTCATAAGCATCTTATATACAATAAAATATCAAGGATAGCCCATAAAACTATTTATAGTATTTGTTAAGTGTCTCAAAATTTATAAAGGTGCTCTTTTTTGATTTTTAATTCTGAAGGTGTTAGTCCAGGGTAAACTTCTTAAATGATGAGTTAAATAAAATTTGATTTGAAGATACCCCTTTGCTTTACTTGAAAAACACTCTGGCATTCTTCATTGCTCCAAGGACCTTTGTATAACTTTCCTAATTAAGGCCATCAATCTTGACCATTTTTATCGCTGATTTGTGCTACAGAAGTGCTTGGCTAAGCCTTTGAAAATTAAAAGATCATGGAGTGGTTGTTTGTATGGCGATTCTAGCTGTCACTTTGGTGTTTGGTTTCCACAGTCTATTACCCATTACATTGGATGAGAACTCCATAGATACAAACTTTGCCTATTAATGAAGGGATTTACAATGACAGAAAACAAACAACAAACAGACAACAAGGAAAAATGCAAAACTGAGATTCCTAAGGTGCAATGTCAGCAGGCCTGTAAGAAATTACCCTCACATCCTGCATTTCTCACTTAAAACCAAGATTGAGAATTATCCCTTCTAACTGTGGCCATTTTACTAGGCTAAAATTTAATTTTATCCTGTTAGTGGCACAAAAGTTATGTTCACAAAAGGTTACCTTCCCAAGCTCATAATCTCCTAACCACTCAATTCTCAGTAAATGATCTCATTTCCTACTTTATCCTTTGAAGAAAAAATTATAAGAACAAAATTTATTTAATTATTGCACCAAAATTACCTCAGCTCCAGTCATCCTTTCTTTCTTCTCTAAATGGAATAGATAATTGCTCCTGTTCCCATTTCTTCCGGCCTTCTCAGGTAGAGTGATCATCTCTTTCACCTTTATCTTTACGGAATCAGCTCTAATGCTACTTTGATACCAAATAAAACAAAAATTTACCCATATTGGTAGCCCCAGTGTCTAGTATCAATTCCATTCAGTTGCCTCCTATTCTTGGCTGCTTTGAGTCTCTGGTCTGCTAATGTTGTCTGCTTTCACTGTCAGTTCAATAAACAAACCACAGTGACTTATCCAATGTTGCAAAAGTGCTTCAAATATTATCCAAGAATCCCCACAATCTCTCCTCTGCCACCCTGCTTCTAATAAACAAAACAAAAAACTCCATTATAGTTCTCAGTGAGCCTAGATTAGTTTTACAATAGCCATACCACAATTTCACTAGGTAAATGGAAAGATATAAACATTATAGTAACATTTTATTTTACCCAAACATGTCCCAGACTGATAATATGTACAATAACGCAAATATATTTTCAAGTTCAAAATTGAAAACAAATATGTCACTTTTTTAACTTCTAAGATTTGTAACGGAAAACTCAGCCCCTTTCTTCTGTAATAATATATTGAATTTGAGTTCCCATATCTAATGATGCATTCCCCATTATGCAATTTAGATTTTAAATCTTGCATATTGTCATTAAACTATGATGTATCTTATCATGCCAATATCAATAGAAAACATGCACTGTTCGAAGATGGTTTTATAAATAAAGTGCTGAAATATATGTTCTTTGTTGTTTACTAATCAAATTTTATTTTGGAATAATTTTAAATTTACAGAAATGTTGCAAATGTAATACAAATATTTTTAGTACACCTCACAAAGTTTTAGTTTCTCCTAATGGCATCTTATATGACAAAAACATGTTTTTTTTCTTAATCTAAGAAGCCCACATTGTTAACTCTAGACTTTGTTCAGATTTGGCCAGTTTTTCCACAAACATAATTTTTCTATTGTGGGATCCAATCCAGGATACTGCATTGCATATAGTGATTATGTCTACTTAGCCTATTCTGGTTTCTCAGTTTTTCTTCATTGTTATTAGTTTAACAATTTTGATAAGTACTTCAGAAGTATTTTGTAGAATGTCTCCCAATTTCATTCAGTTTGAATTTCTCCGGATTCCTAACTCATAATCAGACTGGGTTACAGGTCTCTGCAAGGAATACCACAGAAGTGATGTGCCCTTTTCTTCGCATCATATTAGGGGTTCATAATAGTCACATGGCATCAGTGATGACTTTAAACTTGGTCACTTGTTTATGATAGTGGGATACAGGTTTCACCATTGGAAAGGTACTCACTTTCTCTTTGGTCTTTAATAAATACAGCTCCCAGGCTGGGTGGAGACAACTAGCTGTATCTGCTGAAATGGGAGTATTTATATGTCTTCATTGGGGTTCTTCCACAAAATTTGTATCTTCCCACATGCATTTGATAATTTATGTATATCAGTTCAGTATACATAATTCATTTAATAATTAATAATTGTGTTTTTACACTTTGGATTATAATCTAGTACTACGCTTATTATATTTTGTTGCAAAAATTGTTCCAGATTTGGCCACTGGGGACTTTTCAGCTGATTTCTGTGTCCCATTGATCTGACTCTATCCTCTTACTTCTGAGCACTTCCTTCTTGTTTCTACAAGATGCTCCAGGCTCATCTTGTGTTTTCCTCACCCAACCCTAGCATCAATTATTGCTCTGAGGAGAACTGGTTCCTTTTATTGGAAACTGGTATTTAGAAATCAATATCTGAGCATTGTGAGTGCTATTTGCTTTTGGAGTTCATTTCATCTAGGTGCTCTCAATAGAAACAACTAGATGTTTGTTATATGTATGTAATACCAATCCATTTTTATATGTACATATTTATAATTGTTTATTTACCCATGTATGTAAAGCATATGTGTGTGTGTGTGTGTGTGTGTGCATGCATGTGTGTGTTTGTAAGGTTATACTGATATCTTCAACTCTCATCCTACATATGGTATTCTTTATGGCCTGGCTTTCTTGCTTATCTGGAACTTTCCTTCCTAGCAGTGAAAAGTCTGTAGTCCACCATCCATCATCTATTTACTTATTTATTCAGCCCCAGTACATATGAAAAGTAGTTCCAGAATTTGTAACCCTTGCACCTATGAAAAATAAATTTACCAACTAAAGTGTTTATGCATAGTTCATTTAGTCTTTTACATTGAAATTTGCAAACACCATTTTCTAAAGCTACTGATGTCAGCTTCTATTACTCTCACACCCCTTCCATGCTGCTACACTACAAGTACAATGTGTTACAGTTCAATTCTTTTGTTGTAGTCTGCATTCCATCCTGAGATCCTCTGGCATCCTGGTCCATGGCTACTTTTGTTTATTTATTTTGAATAGTTTGTTTCATGATCTGTTTTCATTGGCTACATACATTAAAATTATCTCCTCGTGCTGTGCAGTTCTGTGTGTTTTGATAAACACAAGGAGTCAAGGAGTCATGTATTCACCCCAATACCATACATGTCAGTTCCTTAATCCTAAATGTTCCTCTTTGCATCTACTCTGTAGTCAAGAACACCCTCAACCTCTGACCTCGGCCTACCACTTACCTGCTTTCTGTACATATTATATGCCTTTCCTAGAATATTATATGAATGGAATCATGCAACGTGTAGCTTTCTGGGTCTAGTTTCTTTCACTTATCAAAATGCATTTAAGATTCATCCATATTGTTGAAAGAGAGTTCCCATTTCTCCAAATCCTGGCTGACATCTGCAGTTTTATCAAGTATTAGCCACTCTAATAGGTGTGTAGTGTTACTTCATCCTGGTTTTAATTTGTATGTCTTTAAAAAAGACAAAATAATGTTTAGGTTTTTATGTGTAATCCATGTCCTTTTTATACTTATTTTGATTTTTACAAGTACATAGTCAGTGTATACTTGGGATAAATTAGATATTTTGATACAGGCATGCAATGTGTAATGAACACATCAGGGTAAACGGGCTATCCATTATCTCAAACATTTATCATTTCTTTGTGTTACAATCATTTCAATTATACTTTTTGGTTATTTTTAAATGTACAATAAATTATTACTGACTGTACTCACCCAGTTGTGCTATAAAATACCAGGTCTTATTCATTCTTTGTAACTATGTTTTTGGACTCATTAGCATCCTCACATTTCTGCCCACTCACCACACCCTTCTTTTAGGAGTTCTAGTTTATTGGTATGTTGCTGCTCACAGTAATATCTAATGACACTTTAAATTTCTGCAGTATTAGTTGTAATATCTCCTTTTTCATCTGTGAATTTATTTATTTAGGTTACTCTCTTTTTTTTCTTAGTCTGGCTAAAAGTTTGTCAATTTTAGTTATCTTCTCAAAAAAACAACTTTTCATTCATTGATCTTTTGTATTGTTTTTCAATTTCATTTATTTCTGCTCTGAGCTTTATTATTATTTTTAATTCTACTAATGTTGGGTTTGGTTTGCTCTTGCTTTTCAAGTTCTTAGAGATGCATGGTTAGGTTGTTAATTTGATATTTTGCTACATTTTTGATGTATGTACTTATTGCAATAAACTTGTCCCTTGCACTGATTTACAGATTTTGCATGTCCCATAGGTTTTTGTATGTTGTGTTTCCATTTTCATTTGTTTCAAGGAATTTTTAATATTCTTTTTAATGTATTCATTGGCCTCCTTTCATTCAGGAGCATATTGTTTAATTTCCATATGTTTGCATAGTTTCCAAGTTTGCTCTTGTTATTTATTCTTAGTTTTATCTTGTTGTGATCAGAGGAGACACTTAATATGGTTTCAATGTTTTTTAGATTTTTAAGACTTATTTTTTGACCTCACATATGATCTATCTTTGAGAATGATCCATGTGCTGAGGAGAAAAAATGTGTATTCTGTAGCTGTTGGGTGAAATATTCTGTAAATATCCTTTAGGTTCATTTGATCTATAATGCAGATTAGATCCAATGTTTTGTTGCTGATTTTCTGTCTGGATGATCTGTCCAGTGCTGATAGTGGGATGTTGAATACTCCAAGTATTATTGTAATAAGGTCTCTCTGTCTTTATTTCTAATAACATTTTCTGCATAAATCTGGGTACTGCAGTGTTGGATACGTATGTATTTACAATGGTTATATCCTGTTGCCGAATTCATCTTTTTATCATTATATAATGAACTTGTTTGTCTCTTTTTACAATTTTTGACATAAAATCTATTTTTTAAATATAAGTATAGCTATCTTGTTCTTTTTTGTTTCCATTTGCATAAGATATCTTTTATTCGTCTCTTTATTTTCTGTGTATGTGTGTCTTTATAGGTAAAGTGTGTTTATTGTAGCAACCGATTGTTGGATCTTCTTTATTTTTATCCATTTAGCTACTCTTTTGATTGGAGGATTTAGTCCCTTTACATTTAATGTTATTATTGATAAGTAAAGACATTACTCCCAATAAAATATGTTTTCTCATTGTTTTATGGTGTTCTTTTCTTCCTTCTGTTCTTCCTTTTTGTGAAAGTGAGGTAATATGTTTTCATTTCTATCTTTATTTTTTTTTCTGTATCTGTTTTCGGATTTTTGGTGTGATGTTACCATGACGCTGGCAGATAACATTTTATAAACCACTATTTTAAACTTATGATAATTCTGATTGCAAAACCAAACAGGCAAAGAGAGAAAAATAATAAAACTATCAAAACATTATATTGTAAATTCATCACCCCCTCTGCCACTTTGTAACTGTTTTCTCCATTTGTATCTTATTATACTATCTATGTCTTGTAAAGTTGTTGTAGTTAATTTTTGACAGGTTCATATTTACTCTTTCTACTGAAGACATGGGTACTTCACACACCACAATTACATTGTTAGATTGTTCTGCATTTGTCTGTGTACTTATTGTTGCCAGTAAATTTTTATACCTTCAGATGATTTCTTATTGCTCATTAACATTCTTTTATTTCAAAATAAAGAACTCCCTTTACCATTTATTGTAGGACAAGTCTCATGGTATTGAAATCCCTTTTTGTTTGTCTGGGAAAGTCTTTATTTATCTTTCATGTCTGAAGGATATTTTCACGGCATACAATATTCTAGGATGAATGAGTTTTCCTTCAGCACTTTAATTATATCATGCCACTCTCTCCTGGCCTGTAAGGTTTCTACTGAAAAATATGCTGCCAGACATATAGAAGCTCATTATGTGTTACCTTTTTTTTTAAGTTGCTGCTTTTAGGATCCTTTCTTTATCCTTGACTTTTGGGAGTTTGATTATTAGTGTCTTAAAGCTTGAGGTAGTCTTATTTGGGTTAAATATGCCTGGTTAAATATAACCTTGTACTTGAGTACTGGTATTTTTCCCGTAGGTTTGGGAAGTTCTCTGTTATTAGTCCTTTGAATAAACTTTCTATCCCACCCTCTCTCTCTAGCCCTTCCTTAAGGCCAATAATTTTTAGATTTGCTCTTTTGAGACTATTTTCTAGATTATATAGGTTAGCTTCATTATTTTTATTTTTTCTTTCGACTTTCCTGACTATATTTCCAAATAACCTGTCTTGAAACTCATAAATTCTTTCTTCTGCTTGATCAATTCTGTTGCTGAGAGACTCCGATGCATTTTTCTGCATGTCAATTGAATTTTCTTCTTCCAGAATTTCTGCTGTATTCTTTTAAATTCTATCAATCTCTTTGTTAAACTTATCTGATATAATTCTGAATTCTGTGTTACCTTGGTTTTTATTGAGCTTCCTCAAAACAGCTAATCTGAATTCTCTGTCGGAAAAGCCACATATCTCTATCTCTCCAGCATTGGTCACTGATACCTATTTACTTTTTTTGCTAAGGTCATGTTGTCCTGGACAGACTTGATGTTTGTGGATATTTGACAATGTCTAGGCAATGTCTGTGGAGTTATTTATTAAGGAGTTATGTATTTATTGTCATTTTCGTACTCTAGGCTTGTTCATACCCGTTCTTCTCGATAAAGCTTTTCAATATTCCAAGAGAATTGAGTGTTATGATCTAAATTTTTGGCCACTGCACCCATATTTTCATAAGGAGGCACCCCAAAACCAGTAACACTGCGAAAAAATTCAAACCATTTGGATGAGCTATAATTTCAATCACAAGTCTTTGTGAACTTAGAAATGTTTTCTTAGATGTTACAAACAGGTTTCTATCATTTACCAAAAAACAAAAGAAAGCAAGAAAAAAAAGCTCCTACTACCTGAGTCTAAGAAACATAATATGATATTGTAAAGCAGTCTATTATAATTAACCCAATTGTACAAGTAAATTATTGAAATTTCTTCAGTTCTAGCTGGGGGTTATTTATTTGTTTATGATTGTTTATGGTTACTATGTCCACCATGAGGTCTTAACATTTTTGCCTTTAATTCTTTCCATGGGTTTGAGCACAAAACTATATGGTGAATGATGTCGTGAGTATCTTACCCTTGCAATAATGCAGTCCTGTTTTTTCCCATATCATAAGAAGTCTGGTATTATTATTGGTATTTTGACTGAAATTATCATTTTCTCCCTTAATCATTTAACAGATATGTACAAGTTGTAGATAGCAGATTAATTGCCTTTTATTCTGCTATTTTCTGAAGCCTCATATTTTTGCAATGAATTCTCCCTTAAATGTTTTACCTTTTATAAGGAGATTTTAAAGAATCTTTTGCTGGTTGTTATCTATACTTAGATGCAAATACAAACTGTTTATTTACCATGGCCTACAAGACCTTACACGTTTCACTCTTCCTACACTAATGTCCTCCTGAATCCTTTATCATCATGTTCCAACCCACGTTTCATTTCTATCTATCCTTCAACCTTCCAAGCTTATTCCCAAATCAGGGCCTTTATACAAACAAGATGTTCATTTTATATTGGAATGTAATTTTTGAAATATTCATATGGATTCTCAACAATCATTAACTGCTCAGTTGACATATCACCTTTTAGGGAGATAATTATTCCCCAAATCTGTTGTTAGGGTTGTTTCTTCAATTACAATGTAAGAAGGGCAGATTCATTGTCTTCATCATTTACAACTGCATTTCTAGTACCTAGAATAAATTCTGATACATAGCAGGTTCTCCCTAAGTATTCTTAAATATAAAAATATTATGTCTTCCTAATTTGTTGAAATTGTCAGAATTTCAAAACAGTAGTAATGGAAATTCCATTTTTAAATTTTCATTTTAGAAGAAAGACTTTGGCAGGTCACAGTGGCTCACACCTATAATCTCAGCACTTCGGGACCCAAGGCAGGTGGATAACTTGAGATCAGGAGTTTGAGACCTGCCTGGCCAACATGGTGAAACACTGTCTCTACTAAAAATACAAAAATTAGCCACATGTGGTAATGCACACCTGCAGTCCCAGCTATCTGGGAGGCTGAGGCAGGAGAATTGCTTGAACCCTGGAGGCAGAGGTTGTAGTGAGCCAAGATCACACCACTGCACTCCAGCCGGGCAACAGAGTGAGACTCCAACTCAAAAAATAAAATAAATAAAATAAAATAAAGAAAGCCTTCATCAGTATCATATTGGCTTTAGATTTGTAAATAAGTATTAAAAGTACTTTTATAGAAACATTTTTCTATTTCTAGTGAGTTAACTTAATCTGTTCGGGCCCACTGTCTGTACTTTGGCTTAAGGACTTGGTGTTATTCAGCGCCTATGAATCATTTCTGTGTTAGCAACACTGAGTGCTGTCTGTAAAACACTAACAACATAGAGACATTCAAAAATACATAGATAATACTATTTCTGAAAGAAAATGAGTTCTACATATCTAACATCTGATTATTAGAACAAAACATTCACATACGGTATATATCTTTCTCTGATAATAAGCAGGGGTTATCAAGAAGAAAAAATTCACCAAAACACAGATGCATCTTGTATATTAAAGCTTCTTTTTTTAGAGACAAATTTATTTTAAGATACAAGCCAATTGGCAATTGATACCAAAATGCCAAGTTTTTAAATTAACAAATAGTTATATTAGTATCGAGAATAATATATCCTAATGGAGATAAAGAAAATATAAGGATTAGTTATAAGTCCAGCAAAGAGATATATTGGGGAAACTAATATAATTTTTTTAAAAAAATGCTGTCTCTATAGGCGCACTTTCATTTTCATGGAGACCTTCATCTTACTTTTCTTGGTTAGTTGTTATCTCTGGAAAAACTCTGGAAACACTGCCATGACTTGCCAAATGTTCCAAAATTACAGAAGAATTTCAATGTCCTTACCAACTAAGGCAGAGTTTTTAAAAAATACAGAAAGAGGATATAATATAGAATATAAAGACTACGGAAGTAGTTTATTTTGACAAAGTATTATTCAGGAAATTTGATGTACTTAGGTTCTGAAACTTAAAAATCTATTTCTTTTATCTCTCATGAAGATCCCCTTTGCCACTCATGTGACAAATGAAGTTTAAATATTTTGTATAATTGCCAATATCCTGGTGAGAAGCCTTTATAACAAATGTGTTCACTCTCTCCATTAAGGTTTACACCACTATGAGCCTGATGTACTATTGATCGGTTTTTACTGTGGTTGCCAAAATCCTTCTGCTAGAGCAATTTCCTGTAATTGTACTTGTACAACAAAGCTAGTGACATTTGAGGGTGAGGGCAAGAATTAAAAAGATAAAACATTTTTGAGGCTCTAAATATTCCCAGTAATTTGAGAATTAGGTTATCATTAAATAAAATATAGTCTTTTCAAGTTAAAAATGCAAACCTTTCTATTTTAAATTTATCCACAGAGGCAGGCTCTGTTATTATAGCTTGTTATTATTTTAATCATTAATAAAACTATTTTGAGTTGAAAAAATTAGGTTGATCTGCTTTGACCTCACTTATACTCATGTCACTACTCTCACTATAGATTTAGCGGACAAGATTTTCTATGCACTCTATCTAGAGAAAAATGATATGTTTGAAGACAAAGAATCTATATCTTCATGCTGAGTTATAAAGGCGGCCCTTTCAAAGAAAAAAAATTACTCTTAAAACTGGGTTTCAAGTCAATATCTAAGTTTATGAAAAATAATTTCTATTAATCCTCTGAGCTAGGGATTTTGAAAAAGCATACAAATGAATTCAAAAAGTAGAAAGAGGGATAATGCATGATGATGTAAGGAAAGAAACACCATCCTAAAAGAGGATTACATTTTACACAGTTGATGAGAATGGGAGGGAGCATACCTGAATTAAAATGTGAATGTGAAGTTCTTAATCCCTGAGTCTGGGAGGAGACAATAAAAATACAATGAACTGCCCATTAATGTTTGGGAATCCTAGAAAAGAGGAATTGTTGTCCAGCTCCTTAAGATGTCCTCTAGAAAGACTGCCGGGGCATAAAGAGATCCATATGCTGTGCGTCAGCAGTGACTGAGCTGAGAATCTAAACAGATAGGCCTGAGGAGCTTTCAGAGTTTCCTGGATTCTAAATAGGAATATGAAGATATCTGTAATGGGCCATTGTATCTGGATAATTTTGATAATTTTCATCATCAAGATTAGGAAAAAATTAAGTGGATGCTTGGGACATGTGACTCTGTCATGTAGGAATACATGCATATTTCAATATGAACGTGGCATGCTAAGTAACTTCTGATTATATAATGTGTTTGGCAAAATTGTGGCTTATAACAGCATTAATCCATTTATTCTCCTCACAATCCCAAAATTTGGAAAGGGCTCAGATGGCAATTTTTATTCTATATGACAACACTGGAGGTAGTTCTACTTGGCTGTCAATATGGCTCAGACATAGAGCTAGTACATTGATGTTGGCTGCTGAATGATACCTCAGCTGGAAAGATTAATTTCCCTTTTTTCTGGAAATTTCCACCTAGCTGTTTGGGCTGTTTTTTTTCCTCGTTGGAATGATAGCTCTGTTTTAGTGATGAGTGCTCCAAGAGGCTTGGTGAAAGCTAAAAGTCTTTTTGTAACTTAGCCTTATAAATTCCATCTATTACCTCTACCATATTCTATTGCTCAAGCAAGCACTAAAGTCAGCCATTTTCAAGGGGAGTAGAATTTGATTCTAATAGTCTAAGTGAAGAGTGGCAAAAAGTTTGTGGTCATCTTTCTTCACAACTAGTCACAGTTTACTCTCTGACCACAAATTAATTATATTCCTTCACATGCAAAATGCATGTAATCTCTCAAAAGCCATGCAAAAGACTCATCTTATTACTGTATTGATGTGGAGGCCAATGTCTTGTCAGGTTTAAGTTAAGATGATGCTTCACTATTATGATTCTTTAAATATTATTCCCAGAGACCTACTTTTCATATTAAATCAATAATAAGTTTTACTTTAGAATATTCTATATTGTAAAGCTCCTAATGTGTATAATATACATTTTACAAAATCATGAGTTTAAATACTTTAGTATGGTGAAGTTTAGAAAAAAAATACATATCCCTATTTATTAAAGAGACTGTCCTTTCTCCATGGTATGCTTTTAATGCCTTTGTCAAAATTCAGTTGACCGTAAATGTGAGAATTTACTTCTGGATTTTCTATTCTGTTCCACCAGTCTGTGTATCTGTTTTTATGTCAGTCCCAAGCTGTTTTGGTTACTATAGCTTTGTAGTATATTTTGAAGTCAGGGAGTGTGATATCTCCAACTATCTTCTTTTTGCTCAGGATTGTTTTGATTATTCTGGGTTTTGGTGATTCCATACAAATGTTAGAATGTTTTTCTCTGTTTCTGTGAAGAAAGTCATTGTTATTTTGATAAGGATTGCATTGAATCTGTGCATTGCTTTGGGTAATATGGATTTTAACATTATTTCTTCCAATCCATAAAAATGAGATATGTTTCCACTTTTTTGGTGTTTTCTTCAACTTACTTTACGAGCATTTTATAGTTTTTCTCATAGAGATCTTTCTCTTCTTTGATTAGATTTATTCTTGGGTATTTTCTTGATTTATAGCTATTAAAATGAATTCACTTTCTTGATTTATATGTTCATATTGTTCACTCCTTAGATATAGAAATGCTACTGATTTTTGCATGTTGATTTTTTACCCTGAACTATTACTAAGTCCATTTACCTATTCTACCGGTTTTTTGGTGGAGTCATTAGAATTTTCCAAATATAAGATTATGTCATCTGCAAACAAGAAAAATTTGAATTCTTCATTTCCAATTTGGATGTTTTTTAGTTCTTTATCTTGTTTAATTGCTCTGGCTAGGACTTTCAGTGGTATGTTGGATAAAAGGGGTGAAAGTAGGCATCTTTATCTTGTTCCTGATCTTAGAAGAAAGGGTTTCAATTGTCGTCATTCAGCATGATGATAGCTGTTGGTTTGTCATACATAAGATTTATTGTTTTGAGGTATTTTCTTTCTATACTCATTTTGTTCAGGGTTTTATCATGCAAGGATGTTAAAATTTATTGAATGCTTTTCAGCATCTGTCTTACTCAGCTATAATACTGCTATAAATAAAGACAAGAGACTGAGTAATTTACAAAGAAAAAAGTTTTAATTGGCTCACAGATACATAGTCTATACAGGAAGCATAATGTTGGCATCTGCTCAGCTTCTGGGGAGGCCTCAGGAACTTTCAATCATGGCAGAAGGCAAAGGGGGAGCTGGCACATCACATGAACGGGATAGCAAGGTAAAGAGCAGGGGTAGTTGCTACACAATTTTAGATGACCAGAACTCATGAGAACTCACAGAACCAGCACTAGTAAGATGGTGCTAATTCATTAGAAATCATCCCCATGACCAAACCACCTCCCACCAGGCCCCATCTCCAACACTGGGAATTCTAGTTCTATATGAGATTTGGGTAAGAACTAAGATACAAATTATATCATTCTCCCCTGGCCCCTCCCAAATCTCATGTATTTCTTACATTTCAAAATAAAGCTATGCCTTTTCAACAGTCACCCAAAGTCTTAACTCTTTCCAACATTAACTTAAAAGTCCAAACTCCAGTCTAATGAGAGACAAGCCTAGTCTTTCTTGTCAATTAACCTGTAAAATAAAAAACAAGATAGTTACTCCCACGATACAATGGGAGTACAGGCATTGGGTAAATGCTTCCATTCCAAAATGGAGAAATCAGCCAAAACAAAGTTTGGTGAATGAGTACAGGCCTCATGCAAGTCCAAAATCCAGCAGGGCAATTATTAAACCTTAAATCTCCAAAATAATCTCCTTTAACTCCATGTCTCACATTGAGGGCAAACTGGTGTTGGGGAGCAGTAGTCAAACCCTTGAGCAGCTCTGCCACTGTGGCTGCTCTCATAGGCTGGCGTTGGGTGCTTGCAGTTTTGCAAGGTACAGGGTGCAAGCTGTTCATGGATCTATCATTCTGGGTTCTGGAGGATGGTGGCCCTCTTCTCACAGCTCAAATAGGCAGTACTCCAGTGGGACCTCTATGTGGGGGCTTCAACCTTACATTTCCCCTCCACAATACCCTAGCAGAGGTTCTCCATGAAGGCTCCACCCCTGCACCAGGCTTCTGCTTGTACATCCAGGCTTTTTCATATGTCCTCTGTAATCTAGGTGGAGGCTCCCAAGCCTCAACTCTTCCATTCTGTGAACCCACAGGCTTAACACTACATGGAAGCCACCAAGGCTTATGGCTTGTACCTTCTGAAGTAGCAGCTGGAGCTGTACTTGGTCCCCTTTTGTTCACGGCTGGAGCTGGAGCATCTGGGATGCTAGGAACAGTGTCCCAAGGCTGCACAGAGCAGCACAGCCTTGGACCCTGCCCACAAAAGCATTCTTCCCTCCTAGAACTTGAGGCCTTTGATGGGAGGGGCTGGTGTGAATGTGTCTGAAATGCCTTGGAGGCCTTTTTCCCATTGTCTTTGTAATCATTACTTGCCTCCTTTTTACTAGTGCGAATTTCTGCAGCCTGCTTTAATTCCTCCCTGGAAAATGAGGTTTTCTTTTTTACCACATGACCAGGCTACAAATTTTTTGAACTTTTACACTTTGCTTCCTTTTGAAATATAACTCCAGTTTTAAGCCATTTGTTTATTCACACATATGAGAATAGGCTTTTAGGGGCGGCCAGGCCATATCTTGAACAGTTTGCTGCTTATAATTTTTTTTTTTTTTTTTTTTTGCCAGATACCCTAAGACATCATTCTCAAGTTCAAAGTTCCACAGATCCCTAGAGTAGGGTACAATTCAGTCAAGCTCTTTGCTAAAACATAGCAAAAGTGACTTTTACTCCAGGTCCCAATAAGTTCCTCATTTCCATCTGAGACCTCTTCAGCCTGGACTTCACTGTCCATATCACTATCAGCCTTTTCATCACAATTCAAGCAGTCTCTAGGAAGTTCCAAACTTTCCTTCATCTTCTTGCCCTCTTCTGAGCCCTCCACACTCTTCCAACCTCTGTCCATTACCCAGTTCCAAAGCTGCTTCCACATTTTCAGGTATCTTTATAGAAATGCCCCACGCCTCAATACCAATTTTCTATATTAGTTAGTTCTTGCACTGCTATAAAGAAATACCTGAGACTGGGAAATTCATAAAGAAAAGAGGTTTAATTGGCTCACAGTTCCACAGGCTAAATGGGTAGCATAATACTGGCATCTGCTTGGCTTCTGGGGAGGCCTCAAGAAACTTCCAACCATGGCGGAAGGCAAAGGGGAAGCTGGCAGTTCACAGGGTCAGAGTAGTAAGGAGGGGGTGGTGCTATATACTTTTAAACAACCACATCTAATGGGAACTCTATCACAAAAACAGGACTAGAAGGATGGTGCTAAACCATCAGAAACCACCTCCATGATCCAATCACCTCCCACCTGGCCCCACCTCCAACATGGGGATTATAATTCGACATAAGATTTGGGTCACCACAGTTCCAAATCATATTGGCATCTAACGAAATGATCAGATATTTTTTGTCCTTGATTCTGTATCACATTTATTGACTTGCATCTGTTGAATCATCCTTGTGCCCTGGGATGAATGCTATTTGATCATGGTGAAATTATTTTTGTAATGTGTTGATGAATTCAGTTTGCTAGTATTTTGCTAAGGATTTTTGAATCTATGTTCATCAGAGATATTGACCCTTATTTTTGTTTGTTTGTATTTGTGTCTTTATCTGATTTTGGTATTAGGATAACACTGATCTCTTCAATAAAATGGTGCTGGGAAAACCGGATAACCATATGAAAAGAATGAAGTTAGACCCCTATCTCTTATCACATATAAAAATCAAATTAAAATAGATAAAAAACTTAAATGTAAGACCTGAAACTAATAGAAGAATACACTGAGTCAACACTCGAGAACATTTGTCTGGGCAAAGTTTTTTTTATGTAAGATATTAAAAGCATAGGCAACCACAACAAAAGTAAAAAATGGGATTGTATGAAACTAAAAAGCTTCTGCACAGCAAAGGAAATAATCAACAAAGGGACAACCTAAAAAATGGGAAAAATATTTGCAAACTACCCATCTGACAATAGGTTAATAGACATAATATGTATAAATAACTCAAAAACAAAAAACAAATAATCTGATAAAAATCAACAATAAAAATCTGAATGGACGTTATTCAAAAGAAGACATACAAATGACTAACAGGTATATTAAAAAAAAAAGTACAGCATCACTAATCATCAGGAAAATACAAATCAAAACCATAATTAGATATCATTTCATACCTGGTAAAACAGCTATTATAAAAAAGAGAAAATAACAGATATTGGCAAAAATGCTGAGAAAGGAAAATGCTTGTACGCTGTTGGTGGGATTGTAAATTAGTACTGCACCTATGAAAACAAGTATGGTATTTCTCAAAAAACTAAAACTAACATTACCATATATATCCAAAAGAAAAAATCAATATACTAAAATGTATCTGTATTTCCCTGTTTATTTCAGCATTATTTATAATACCGAAGATAGGAAATAAACCTAAGCATCTATCAAAGGATGACTGGATAAAGTGTGGTATTTAGACACACTGCAATATTATTTAGCCATAAAAATAATTAAATCCTGTAATTTACAACAATATAGGTAGAACTGCAGGACATCATGTTCAGTGAAATATATCAGGCACAGAAAGACAAATATTGCATGTTCTTACTCATATGTGGCAGTTAAGAAGGTTGAACTCATGGAGGTAGTAAGTAGAAAGGTGGTTACCAGAGACTGGCAAAGGAAAAGGGTTGAGGAAGACGAAGAGAGTTTGGTGAATGAGTACAAAAATACAGTTAGAGGGAAGGAATAGATTCTAGTGTTTGATAGCACAGTAGGGCAACTTCAGTTAACAAGAATTTATTGTATATTTAAAATAGGTAGAAAATACTTGAAATGTTACAAATATTACAAAATGGTAAACCTTTGAGGTGATTCTTATACTAATTATGTTGAATTTAGTATTGCATATTGCATGCATGCGTCAAAACGTCACATGTACTCCATAAATATGTACAACTACCATGTATCTATAAAAATAAATATCTTACAGTCAGAATCTACAAAAATGAAACATTTCATCAGGCTGTGATAATGCAACATGCATTTAATTTGTCTTATTCTATTATCTCTATATAGAAGTGAAGGACTCTTCTTTAAATGCCATGTAGCTTCTATGCAATGTGAGTCTTCTGTGTATGTGTGGTGTATGAGGTGCGTGCTTGTTGCATGTGGTGTGTGTGTGTGTCTGTGTGTGCATATTTAAACCATATCTAGTACAAAATATTTTCTTAACAATTTTTCTAATCATAGATATCTAGATCTCATTAATGAGGGCAGATGTTGACATCAACGCAACTGATCTCGTCTTCCTGACATTTTACTGCCACTCTTGTATAGCATACCATTTGCATTCTTGCACTGCATGGAAATCAGTTGCTTGGACATACTGAGCACATTTCTCTATCTCTATCTCATGCTTTCAGACACTGCCTTCTCTTCCACACATCTGTGTCTTGGCCTTTAATCTGCTTGCACTTCACATTTATTAATATCACCCCACTGGACACAATGACGTTTATGTTTGCAGCTGTTTGAACTAAGCCTTCTTAAGTAAGAGATTTCTAACAATTAGTTACACTCATATTTAGCTTATCACCGTGTAATGACCATAGATTTTGGAGGGCCTGGATGATTAAATGCAAATTAAACCTGAGGTTTACCTGGCTTTGTTCAAATATTTATAACCAATTAATTTCCTTCAAGGACACCATTCACAGTTGGTACAAAAAGATAAGATTTAATATTTTGGAAATATTACAAAAAATCTGAACATCTTACAATTTAAAATTGAATTAAATTTAAAATTAAATTGTAAAATGTTTAGCCAAATTGTGATGCAACACTGAGTGAAATACTATAATTTTAAAATGTTTCAGTTCTAACTCAGTATTTTAAAAATTTTAGATATATTGTAAAAAATGTATAGACCTCTGAACACAAATAACATGTATGTGGCAACTTGCAATTTTTATGCTATTTTAACTTTTTTTCTACTTTTGATGCAATTCTGGAAGTTAATGTCATCTTTACCTATTACATGATGGAGATAGGAACTTTAGCCTCAAATCTCATATTTTTCCATCACCACCTCTGTCTCAGTAAGGAAAGTATTATTTATTTATTTGTAATAATCTTTATGAAGAACTTATTTTTTTCTCTACAAATTTCATCTTATAAATTTTGAGTTGCTTTTGCTTAGTTGTTTGTGGATATTCCCAAGATTCTCTTATAAATAATTTTGGAATACATAAAGGCATTGAAAATCCTTAGAAAATAAGTATATATGTCTTAGGTGTCTGTGTCTTAGTGTGTAGTCATGAAATGAAAATCTACACGAGGATTAATTAAAGGAATAAATTACAATACACATGTGAGGCAGCAAGTTTCATGAAAAGAACAGGAGCATGCAGATCAGGAAACTAGCTGTTTTATCAGCTCCACCACAATAAGGTTATTATCCTCCCAGAAACTGTTTTGGTCTGCCATATGGGTATGACAATATCGAGTTCACAGGATTCTTTTTTTGGTATGACAGATACCCAGCATAGAATCTTGCACATGGTAAGTTCTCAAAATTGGTTTTTTCTTCTCTATAATACTAACACAACCTGGAATGTTTTTCTAAAGTGAACTTGAATAAAGAATAATTTGATTAGGTGCTAACATCATTGTTTCAAAAATATTGCCAGGTGAATTTAAGATCCAATAGTACTAACTTCAATTTTGAGAACATAAAATACAGTCTATAAGATGGGCAACCAAGGAAGATATAGTCTTTTAAAAATTAATCCCTAATGAATGTTATTTCAATGACTTACAAGTAAATAGGAAAAAAATACATTTTCATTAAAACAATTTTCTTATGCTATTGTACATTTCACAATGACTCCATAATTAATTTAAATTGGGTTCAACCCCAATATTTATGGGCACAACTATGTTGTTTTTTGTTTTTTCTCCCTTTTGATTAGTGACAGCTATGAGCTGCGGACTAAGTGCCTTCTTAATAACCAGGTGACTATGTTTAATATAAATTAATGGTAAAATGAAAGTAATGAAATGCAGACATTTTGTACGTTCATAAACAAAGTGACAATAAAGTGTCCAATAGATTCAGTCAATAATGTTAGTGGAAGAAATTAAATGTTTATATATAAAAGGCCAATTGATTCAGTTTAAGAGTGCTTTATGAAAATTCTTAATGTCATATTTGGATAAACTCAAATAATAATAAAATATTTGTCTTTAAAAGAAATGAAGTGATAGCCAGGTACTATGTTATTGTATGTTACTTTAAGTTAATGTACTTAAATACTGAAAAAAAAAAAATACACCAGAATCCCTGTTTTAAGGGAGCTGGAGGTTTATATCATCATTTTCATATTTGTACCATTAAAATGATCTGTTTTTTCAAAAATCTCTACAGATATTTAGAATTTAAATTATTCCTTTTCTAATTCTTTACAAAGCTTGATAGTATGTATATAGCAGTCAAAATGGAGGAAAGTGATAATGATACAATTTTAATAGGCATCATATCTTAATAAGTTTACTTAATAAGACATATAAAAAATGTAAAATTTTTATGGCAAACATTATACTGAGGTGATAAAAAACTGCTGCTGAAGGTGCAGTTATTGCAGCCACACCTGTTAGAAAAGAGGTTGTCTTCTAACACTGAATTGTACTATGTTCTATTTTATCCAGACTACGTCAACTTCTCAACTCATCCCTTCACGGCCTGTTCTCTGCCTTTTTATCCTGATCCTGTACTCTCAAACACGTTCTTTGGGATAACAATGATTTATTGGCAGGTCCTGTGTAATTAATTTAAACACTGTCAATGCTTCTATTTAGAAAAAAAAAACAAAATAACCAATAATAATACACATTTTTAAAAATGGTGTAAATGTCTTGTATGTTTTGTTTTAATAAAACATAAATGCAACAAAATACAATAAAAACAAAACACTATGCACTAATCCTCACATAAACACAAATTAGTATTTTTCTTCAATTTAAATCTGCTACTTTGAGCAAAAACAAATATTTTCTAATTTATTTTATTAAACTTCTGGTAATTTTGTTACTTATTTTTCACCTGTAATGCCATATACTTTTGTTAATTTTTAAAACTTGTAATGTTTGAACATTAGTGTCTCACTTTTCCTTATTAGCTATAATTTTTCTATTTTTAGAAACTTAAAAAAAATCTTTCATATTATAAAAACAAGATAAACCCATTGTTATACTACCTTTATAATTTTACCCCTATAGGTGTTCTTAAAGTGTAATGTCATATATATGTATATATCATGCATCTCTAAATATAGTTGCTATCATATGTTATATGTAGCTGTATATATTTTTCTTCCATAAGTATCAGGATATGTATCAATGTCACTAGATATTTACCAGTATCATACATATGGCATGTACTAGTATGATACTGTGGTGACATATTAGAACAAGGACTAACAAACGGTGTATTTTTCTTTTCTTTTTTATTTTTATTTCAATAGCTTTTGGGGTACAGGTGGTTTTTGGTTACATGCATAAGTTCTTTAATGATGATCTCTGAACACTCAGCTTTTTTTTTTAATTAGACCTTAGTGCTTTTTTCACTGCATGATATTATTTTTCAATAAACAGAGTTTCCTCCCTAAAGGCACAGTCACTGCCAGAGTCATAAAAATGGAGCAAAAACTAAATGGGTCAGGAGTGGGTATTACATGGGCATCTGTAACATTAAATTACCAAATCTATCCATGTGAGTAAATTATGAATTATTTAATGAGACCAAAAATGTATTTTCATTTCTAATATGTAAGAAATGCTTACCTAAGAAATAATTTATCAAGAGTTGTCCTAAGAAGCCTACTCCTTCCCCCAAAATGTGCATTGGCTAATTAGCAGAGAAAATGCAAAAGCATCCTCTCGAGAACTTCTAGGTATCAATGTGAACTGTCGTAAGTGACAGCCAAAATAGATTTTATTAAAAACCCTTGATGAAATTTAGTGATATAACGAGAAATCAGCAGAATAAATTTTAAAAATACAAAAACTGCATATAGAAGGATGAAATGTAAAGTCCTGATTTTTGACAACATCATATTTAAAAATGCTAATTTATGTGTTATTTTTGTCTCCACCATTGGAAAAATAGCCTTCCATTAACTGCTACAAGAAAGGGTAAAACCAGGGAGAGTCTGAGAAAAAAATAAAGATGAAAAAAAAAGTGCCTCGTTTTAATTTTGTGTTCAACAGTGACCATCTGGTTGTTAGGATAAATTTGAAATGGGGAAAAATGAAGAGCATAACATCCTCTCAAAATCTCTTTTTAATTTATGCTAGATAAATTATTTTCTAGCTGGGCAAAATGAAGAAAATTTTAAAAAGAGGAAGCAGAGGAGAGCTAGAATGCACACACACACAAACGCACACACACACACATGCACACAAACACAGACACCCTGGTAGTAAGGGAAACTCTTTCGTGAACTGTGGTAGTCAACAGGCTTGTATAGATGAAAGGCTGGAGCTTGGGATGCCACTAATTATCTCAAGGATCCTAGGAATCATGAAACCCGTGATTCCATGAGAAAGGCAAATAAAATATAATACAGGGAACTTCAAAAAATTTGTGGGAAAACTGAATTAAAAGAAAAATTTAAAAATGTGGTTGTTTTTCAAGATGGACGACTCAAAGATTTCAGCAAGCCTCGGCCACTTTAAAATAGTAATATATCATGCAAGATCAATTCTGTAAGCCTTAATTCAAGAAGAAAAATGAGAATCCACTCTAATCGTCAAGGACACCCCAGATCCTGGGGAGGAGAACATGGACAAACAACCCCTGTGACGATGTCCAACTGACAAAAATGAGTGATGCCCCAGTATGTGCAGTATGTGAGAGGCGGAGAACCACTCTCTGTGACTCACCTTTCTACTGGGGATGCAAGCCACCTGAAGGAGAACACTTGTTTCTTCCAAGCCTGGAGCTAACATGGAGAAAGGCTTCACCGTATGGAGAAGGAGAGACACTGGAAAAAGCTGCAGGCAGTTTCCCAGACCCAAGAGTGACAACAGGATACCATTTCAATCTGGGTGTATACAAGCTCAGTCACTCTGTGGTGACGCAGCAGCATGGCCACATAGACATTTTAGTCTCGAGCCAAAGATTGCAGCACTTGCTCTGGAGTGAAACAGGGGCCTCCACAGCCAGAACTGTTGAAAGTGCCTGAGCAGTAGGTGCCAGAATTTTGCTTTCCCTTCCCACAGGGCTCGGGAATGAGGAGAGCTGCTATAGCTACAGTTTCTCCTGAGTGACAAGACTTGCAGCCAGGGCCAGTTTATCAAGCTAGAACCAGTCTGCATGTGTCATCAAAGTGTGCCTCATCCTGCTTCCCTGAGATTGTGGTGTGGCAGAGTCCTCTCTGCTCCATGCCCAAGCATGTCTCCAGGCATTTGGAGCACCTGCTCACCTGAAGCAGCAGCCTGAGCTAGCCTATCCACCCTCTGTAGAGACTGTGGAAAAGTGGGGCCCTCTCTATTATATGCCAAGACAGATCTCCAGAGAGTCAGAGCACCCCTTCATTAGCACCCTGAGCCACCTCACGCTTTCTGTGCAGAGATTGTGGCACAGCAGGGCCCTCTACGCTGTATGCTCAGACAGAGCTCCAGGCATCTGGAGCACCCATTCTCTTGGATTAGGAGTTTGGGCCACTCCCAATCTTCAAGCAGAGAACTTGGGGCACAGGAGGTCTCCCAGCTCCATGCCTAGGCACATCTCTGGGAGCTTGGTGGCTACTCACTGGATTCTCCATTGATGCTGGTGCTTGTGCCTGCCCTTGGGGGACTCATAGGTGAGCCTGCTCAGTCTGGCCCTACTCATGGTGCCCCCTACCCTGCTGGGGCTGAGCAGGAACTCAGACCACTGTGCACTCAATGGATCAACTTATTACCTGAGGCAACAGAGATTTTCTTCTGGTAAATAAGAATCAAGTATGTGATCAGCCATATTGGCCTCAGCTGGCTTTTACCTATATGCACCATCTATGGGGTTTTAGGTCAAACCTCACAGTTCAATATAAAACCTACTGAAAAAAGTACACAGGGCTACAGAAGCAAAACCAAAAGACCCTATCCAGCATTCTCTTCAGCTACACTCCCTGAGTGGGAGGGAATAGAAAGGAGAAAAAAAAGTTAAAATTATAGGGAAACAAATAAAAAGAAAAACAAATCACACCTGCATGAAGATAATTACAAAAATTAGAAGTGCCCGTGTCTCCAGATGAGAAGGAACCAGCACAGGAATTCTGGCACTATGAAAATCTGAACGTAGTGACACCGCCGAAGATTACTCTAGCTTTCCACTAATGGTTGCTAACAAAAATGCAAACTCAGAATTGACAGATAAAAATTTAAAGCATGATCTTCAAGGAAATTCAACCAGATCCAAGACAAGGTTGAAAATCAACACAAATAAACTTCTAAATTGATCGAGTAAAAGAAGGAAGTAATAAACATCTTTTAAAAAAATTAATCAAAGTTTCTGGAAAGAAAAAAACTCACTTAAGGAATTTCAGAATACAATTGAAAGCTTTATCAAAAGACTAGGCCAGGCCTGGGGCGGTGGCTCACACCTGTAATCCCAGCACTTTGGGAGGCCAAGGCGGGCGGATCACGAGGTCAGGAGATCGAGACCATCCTGGCTAACACGGTGAAACCCCGTCTCTACTAAAAATACAAAAAATTAGCCGGGTGAGGTGGCGGGCGCCTGTAGTCCCAGCTACTCGGGAGGCTGAGGCAGGAGAATGGTGTGAACCCCAGGGGCCGGAGCCTGCAGTGAGCCGAGATCGCACCACTGCACTCTAACCTGGAGGACAGCGAGACTTTGTCTCAAAAAAAAAAAAAGACTAGGCCAAACAAAGAACAAATTTTAGGGCAGGAAGACTGGTCTTTCAAACTAACCCAGTCAGAAGAAAAATGAAGAAAAAGGGAATTTGAAAAAATGAACAGTCTTCAAGAAATATGAGATTATGTCAAGCCACCAAACCTATGAATTATAGGCATTCCTAAGAGAGGAGGAAGAGTAAACATCCTAAAAAGTTTATATTTGAGGGAATAAAGAAAATTTTCCTAATCTTGCTAGAGACATTGACACTAGGTACAAGAAATTCAGAGACCACTTGCTATCAACTGTACAAAAAGAGCATCACCAAGGCATACAGTCACCAGACTGTTCAGTGTCAATGCTAAATATAAAATCTTAACACCTAGAGTAAAAGGTCAGATCACGTACAAGGGGAAGCATTCCAAGCTAACAACAGACTTCTCAGCAGAAACCTTAATAGCCAGGAGAGATTGGGGGGCTTTTTTCAGCATTATTAAAGAAAATAAATTTCAACCAATAATTTCATATCCCATGAAACTAATCCTCATGAACAAAGAGGAAATAAAATCTTTTCCAGGCAAGCAAGTGCTAAGGAAATTTGTTACCACTAGGTCAGCCTTACAAGAGATATTTAACGCAGTTCTAAACATGGAAACAAAAGAAAGATTCCTGCTACCACAAAAACACACTTAAATGCATAGCCCAAAGACCCTATAGAGAGCTACACAGTAGAAACTACAAAGCAACCAGCTAACCAGCTAATAGGGTCAAAACCACACATATCAACATTATCTATGAATGTAAACAACTAAATGCTCCACTTAAAAGGCATGGAGTTGTAAGTCATATAAAAAACTAAAACCCACCTATCTTTTATCTTCAAGACACCCATTTCATATGTAGTAGCATCCATCAGTTCAATGTAAAGAATTGGAGAAAGATCTATCAAGCAAATGTAAAACAAAAAGGAGCAGAGATCACTATTTTTCTATCAGATAAAGCAAACTTTAAACCAAGGATGGTAAAAAAAGGACAAAGAAGGGCATAATGTGATGATAAAGAGTTCAATACAAGAAGACTTAACTCCCCTATATATATGTACCCAACAATAAAGCACCCAGATTCATAAAAGTTACTTATAGAACTATGTAAAGACTTATACATAAAGTAATAGTGGAGGACTTCATTACTCCACTGACAGTGTTAGACAGATGATTAAGGCAGAAAACTAACGAAAATATTCTGGACTTAAATTCAACACTAGATCAGTTGGACTTAATAGACATCTACAGAACACTCCACCCATCAACCGCAGAATACACATTCTTCTTATCTGTACACAGAACATACTCCAAGATTGCCCACATGCTTAATCATAAACCAAGTTTCAATAAATTTTTAAAAGTCAAAATTATGTCAACCTTACTTTAGGATGATAGTGGAATAAAAATAGAAATCAATAACAAGATTTCCCCAAACCACGCAGTTACATGGAAATTAAACAACTTGCTCCTGAATGACTTTTCAATAAACAATAAAATTAAGGCATAAAGTAAAAACAAACAAACACACACACACACAAAAGTTGACATTAATAAAGACAGAGGCACAACAAACAAGCATCACTGGGCTACAGCAAAAGCAACAGTAAGAGTAATTTACAGCACCAAATTTCTACCTCAAGAAGTTGGGAAAAACTCAAATGAACCATTTAACATCACACCTGGAGGAACTATAAAAACAAGAACAAACTAACCTCAAAGCTAACAGAAGAAAATGGATAACTAAAATCAGAGCAGAACTGAACAGAACTGAGATCCAAAAAGCCATACAAAGAGATCAAAAGTTGTTTCTTTTAACGAGTAAGCAAGATCAATAGACTGCTAGCTAGATTAACAAAGAAGAAAAATCCAAATAAGCATAATCAGAAATGACTAATGTGACATTAAAATTGATCCTACAGAATCACAAATGATGCTCAGAGTCTATTATAAACACTTCTATGCCTGCAAACTAGAAAAATCTAGAGGAAATGGGTGAATTCCTAGACACACACAACCTCCCAAAATTGAAACAGGAAGAAATTGAAACCCTGAATAGACCCATAAAAAGTTGAAAAATTTAATCAGTAATAAAAATCCCATTAACCCCACATAAAAGCTTTGGACCAGATGGATTTACAGCCAAATTCTATTGGACATATAAAAGAGAGCTGGAACCAATTCTACTAAAACTATCCCCCAAAAAAATTAAGAAGGGACTCCTCTATAACTCATTCTATGAAGCCAGTATCACCCCATACCAAAACCTACCAAAGACACAATGAATTTAAAAAACAACAACAACAAAAAAAAAACAACTAGAGGCCAATATCCCTGATGAACACAGACACAAAAATCCTCAATAAAATACTCGCAAACCAAGTCCAGCAGCACATCAAAAAGTTAATTTACCACAATCTAGTTGGCTTTATTCCAGGGATGCAAGCTTGTTCAACATATGCAAATCAACTGACAGTGTTAGACAAATCATCAAGGCAGAAAACTAACAAAGAAATTCTGGACTTAAATTCAACACTAGACTAACTGGACTTGATAGTCATCTACAGAATACTCTGCCCATCAACCACAGAATATACATTCTTTTTATCTGTACACAGAACATACTCCAAACCTACAGAATAAGAGAAAATACGTAAATCAACAAGTGTTATTCACCACATAAACAGAATTAAAAGCAAAAATCATATGATCATTTCAATAGACAGAAAAAACTCCATTAACAACATAAAACATGCCTTCATGATAAAATCCCTCAACAAATTAGGCATCAAAGGAACTAACTTTATATGAGAGCTATCAATGACACATCCACAGACAACATCATACAGAATGGGCAAACACTAGAATCATTTCCCTTGCGAACTGAACACGACAAGGATGCTCACTCTCATCGCACCTATTCAACATAGTACCGGAAGTCCTTGCCAGAGCAAACAGGCAAGAGAAAGAAGTAAAGTCCATTCAAATAAGAAAAGAAAAAGTCAAGCTACCTGTCTTCACTGATAATATGAATCTATATCTAGAAAACCCTGAAGATTGAACCAAGAGGCTCCTGGAACTGATAAATGATTTCAATAAAATTTCAGAATACACAATCAATGTATAAAAATTAGTAACATTTCTATACCCCAATAACATTCTAGCCAAGAGCCAAATTCAGAACATAATTCCATTTACACTAGCCACAAAAGAAATACCTAGGAATACATCTCGCCAAGGAGGTGAAATATTTCTGCAAGAAAAACTACAAAACATTGCTGAAAGAAATTAAAGTTCACACAAATTGAAAAATATTCAAGCTTGCAAATGAAATAATAACTATAATTAAAGTGGCCATAGTGCCCAAAGTAATTTACAGATTCAATGCTATTCCTAACAAGGTGCCAATATCCTTATTAACAGAATTAGAAAAAAAAAATTATTCTAAATTCATATGGAACACAAAAGAGTTAGAATATACAAAGCAATACTAAGTTAAAAAGAACAAAGCTAGAGGCATCAAATTGCTCTACTATAATATAAGGCTACAGTAACCAACAACATGGTACTGGTAGGAAACAAACATATAGATCAATGGAACACAGTAGAAAACCCAGGAATAAAGCCACACACTTACAACCATCTGATCTTTGACAAAGCTAACAAAAATAACCAATGGGGAAAAGACTCTCTGTTCAAAAAATGGTGCTGGGATAGCTGTAGAGGAATGAAACTGGACCTTTACCCTTCACCATATACGAAAATTAACTCAAGATGGATTAAAGCTTTAAATATAAGAACTCAAACTATCAGAATCCTGGAAAGAAACTAGGAAACACCATTCTGGACATTAGCTTTGGAAAAGAATTTATTACAGAGTCCACAAAAGCAATTGCAACAAAAACAAAAAATGACAAGTGAGACCTAATTAAACTAAAAAGCTTCAGCAAAACAAAATAAACCATCATTAGAGTAAACAAATAACCTACTAAATGAGAGAAAATGTTCACAAACTATGCATCTGACAAAGGTCTAGTATCCAAAATCTATAAGGAACTTAAGCAGTTCAACAAGCAAACATAAATAAATAACCTCATTAAAAAGTAGGCAAAAGACACAAACAGACAATTCTGAAAAGAAGACACACAAACAGCCAAAAACATGAAAAAATGCTCAACATCACTAATCATTAAATAAATGCATATTAAAACCACAATGAAATACCATTTCACACAGTCAGAATAGCCACAATTAAAAAGCCAAAAACTTAGATACTGCTAGGGGTGTGGAGAAAAGAGAATGCTTATACACTGGTGGTTGGTATGTAAATTAGTTCAGCCACTTTGGAAAGCAGTTTGGTTATTTCTCAAATAACTTAAAGCAGAACTACTATTCAACCCAACAATCCCTTACTTGTTGTGTATAAAAATAAAATTAATTTTTCTACTAAAAAGACACTTATACTCATATGTTCATTGTAGAACTATTCCCAAGAGCAAAGACATGAAATTAACCCAAGTGCCCATAAATGGTGGATTGCATAAAGAAAATTTGAGGACCACATACGCCATGGAATACTATGCAGCCCTAAAAAAATAACAAACATGAATGCTGCTGGAAGCCATTATCTCAAGTGAATTAACGCAGGAACAAAAACTCAAATACTGCACATTTTCACTTCTAAGTGGGAGGGTACTCATGGGTATAAGGATGGGAACAACAGACACCTGGGGACTGCTATAGGGAAGAAGGAAGCAGGGGGCATTATTGAATAGCTATTGAGTATATACTCATTACCTGGGTATACCTGGAATACAACAGCATTCAAATTCCAAACCTTAGCATCACACAATTTAACAAACTTGCCCATGTACATCCTGAGTCTGAAATAAAGTTGAATTTTTTAAAACAATAAATAAATATGAACTTTAAAATATAAGCTCCATCAAGTCCAGGACAATATTGCAAATGATGATACAAGCAATTTGGTCCACCCCTAAGGAACTGAGGTTCCTGGAAATTTACCATATCAGTGCTGCCATTTTTACATTATTAATGGATGAAAGATATATGTGTTTTACAGTTTTTAAGATTAGTAAACACAAACTAGTCGAAAGAAGCCAAATAGGACCCTAAGATGGAGGCCTAATAATTTATTATTGAAATTCTTGTAAACTTGCCCTTATTTGATGAGAGGAATGCGCAAGAGTATTGTTGTGGTTTAGAATAACTCTTTGGTAAAGCTTTTCCAGGCAATTTTCTGCTAAAGCTTTGACAAAATTTCTAAAAACACTATCATAATAAGCAGTTGTCATTCTTTGGCACTCCAGAATGTCACCAAGCAAAATGCCTTGAGCATCTTGAAACTTGCCATGACTTATGCTTTAGACTGGTCTGCTTTTGCTTTGCCTGGACCACATGTGGCTCTTGATGGCTCTTGATATCCACTGCTGCAGCTGTGCTTTGTTTTCTGGATTGTACTGGTAAAATCACGTTGTACCTGCTGTTACAATTCTTTAAAGAAATGCTTCAGGGGTCTTGACCCCGCTTGTTTAAAATTTTCCTTGAAACTTCTGCTGTTATCTGAAGCTGATATGAGCACAATAGTTTTTGGCACACATTGAGTGGAAATTACTTAACTTTAATTTTTCAATTAGTTTTTTTTGTTTGTTTTTTTTTTTTTTTAAGACAGAGTCTCACTCTGTTGCCAGGCTGGAGGTGCAGTGGCATGATCTTGGCTCACTGCAACCTCCACCTCCCTGCTTCCTGGGTTCAAATAATTCTCCTGCCTCAGCCTCCCGAGTAGCTGGGACTAAAGGTGTGTGCCA
This sequence comes from Homo sapiens, assembly GCF_000001405.40. NCBI lineage: Eukaryota > Metazoa > Chordata > Mammalia > Primates > Hominidae > Homo > Homo sapiens. Next base: position 66,846,139 of record NC_000018.10, read on the forward strand.
CCACATCCAGCTACTTTTGGTATTTTTTAGTAGAGACAGGGTTTCACTAAGTTGGCCAGGACGGTCTAGTTCTCTTGACCTCATGATCCACCCACCTCGGCCTCCCAAAGTGCTGGGATTATGGGCATGAGCCACTGCACTGCTGGTGAAACTGAGATGTCTGTGGTGGTAGTGATTGTTTCTTTTGTTAATCATTGGTCTTCTTTAAGGAGGGCATAAAGAAGATGAATTTTTTTTCCTTGCTAGTTAATGTGAGATAGTCTGCCGCTGCAGGCTTTATCCTTAACCTTAGCTCATCCCTTCTTAGAATGAGTTTTCTACTTGAAAACATTTGATTTCTTTGGGGCATTATCTCCATGAACTTTTCATAAAGTGAAATCAAAGATTTCACTATTCTTCCACCCAAGCTTCACCATAAGTTTGCTGTTTGCTCTTGTTTTTGATTTTAGAATTCATCTTGCTCTTATAGGGTCAACAGATATCCTTCTTACTTCCACAAACTATATTCCGCTCAGATTTGAAATTGATTCACAGTTTTTCATAATACACATTTTTATGGAGGGAAATGGTCTTGATAGTCAGGATGAGGAAACTGCTTAGTGAATTGTTTACTGACCAGAAGATCTGACAGACAATAATAATAACAACCTTGGAACCAAATTTTGGCATCAGGATGATGCTGGCCTTATAAAAAGAGTTAGGAAGGAGTCCCTCCTCCTCAATTTTTGGAAGTTTCAGGAGGTGCAGTACCAGCTCTTCTTTGTATATTTGGTAGAATTCAGCTGTGAATCCATCTGTTCTTTTATTGTTGTTGTTAGGTTATTATTGCCTCAATTCAGAACTAGTTATCAATCTGTTCAGGGATTCAACTTCTTCCTGGTTCAGTCTTGGGAGGGTGTATATGTCCAAGAACATATCCATTTCTTCTAGATTTTCTGGTTTATGTGCATAGAGGTGCTCGTAGTATTCCCTGACAGTTGTTTGTATTTCTGTGGGGTCAGTAGTAATATCTCCCTTGTCGTTTCTGTGTTTAGTTGAATCTTCTCTTTTTTCTTCTTAGTCTAGCTATCAATCTATCTATTTTATTAATTTTTTCAATAAACCAGCTCCTGAATTTGTTGATCTTTTAATGGTTTTTTTGTATCGCTATCTTCTTCAGTTCAGCTCTACTTTTGGTTAGTTCTTGTCTTCTGCTAGCTTTGGGATTTGTTTGCTCTTGCTTCTCTAATTATTTAGTTGTGATGTTAGGTTGCTAATGACATTGTTCTAACTTTATGATGTGGACATTTAGTGCTATAAATTTCTCTCTTAATACTGCCTTAGCTGTGTACCCAGAGATGGTGATACAGTGTATTTTTGTTTTTATTAGTTTCAAAGAATTTGATTTCTGCCTTATGATTTACCAAAAAGTCACTCAGGGGCAATTACGACTTCCATGTAATTGTATAGTTTTGAGTGAATTTCTTAGTCTTGATTTTGAATTTGATTGTGCCGTGGTCAGAGAGACTTATTATTTCAATTCTTTCAAATTTGGTGAGGAGTGTTTTACTTCCGATTATGTGATCAATTTTAGATTAGGTGCCATGTGGTGAGAAGAAGAGCTTGACATTTGGAAGATTGTTATAAACAAAGGAAATAAAGCCATTCATTTTCTCACAGTGTGCCTTGAAATCTGCTATTACATTCTTCCTTAACTTCTATAAAACCAGCCTGACTGATGAGAAAGAGATCTCTATCTGAAATATGCTTCTGATTTATATAAAATAACTTTACAACTTTATACTTAGTATCTCAAATTTAAATCTCATCATCACCTAAAATTTTAGTCCAGATTTTTAAAGTAGAGAATTTCATTATTTAATAATTATTCAATTGAATTTTTCATCCTGTGATTATGTAGGACTGTATTCCTTCCATAGAGTAATACAGTTCATTCATGTTGTTTCCTTCTAAACTATGGTTCTAAAGATTTTTTCTTCCAATTTTCAGTTAAGCAATTTTATTTGAATTATGTAATTTCTTTTCTGTCTTTAAGCATAGGAATTCACAATAATACATGTGTTCTTAATTGGCAGCCTGCAGTTTAATTGTATCAATATAATAAACCATTCCCCAAGGTGTTTTATTGTTTATATTTGTTCTAAAATATGTATGAACTTTCAAAGTTAATATTTGGATTAAACTTAACTGATAATTAAATGATCAAAATCAGTAATAATACATGCAATAACATAAACTACTTTGTTCCCTAACTGCAAGGAGATTATGAGACTAATTCAAGCTGCGTAGATTTTATGAACTATTCAGTATTTTCCTCAAAGCATTATAGCTTCTTTTATAACACATTGTTAACTGATGGAAAAAGCATTATGAAGTCAAGATTTTATATATCTGTTATAAAATAGTTAAAATTTATAATCATCAGTAATGAAGAGTTGTAATTCCTATCTTCTAAGAATTAGTTTATCTCCTAAGTAAATTATTGTGGAAAGTGTAATTTTTCAAACATTAAATTATATGACCACATCTACTACTTCTTTTAGGTACATCTGAGAGTAGGGGAATTTTCATTTAATCCTCTGCTTGGAGATCTATTTCAAATAGCACAGAATGTGGTAATATAAGGCTCTTTCACTTTTATCACTGAACAAGGTACTGGGAAAAAAAATGAGTTCTTGAAATGCAAAATAATTTTGAAAAAGCTGTTACACAAAATGAGAACATAAACTTAACACTTTGAAGCAAGAACTACAAGGTTAAACATAAAATATTTGAAGCCACATACGTATTTTAGAAGCACTTAGTGAGGGAAAGACATTAATATTTACTGAAAGACAATAATATGTCAAGTACTGTGCAAAGAGATACCATCTCAATCATCAGGTTTAATTCACATAAACATCCTTCAAAGTAGGTACAATATTCTAATATTGTTAAAAATAAGGCTAAGAAGTTTAAGTAATTTGCCTAGGGCCACAAAGAGAATAGTGGTAGACCCAGATATTAACACAGGTATGTCTGTATCCAACATTCATAATCTTTGCATCATACAGAAAGCATTGGTTAAGAGTATCATTCTGCAACTGGAAATTTCCTGGGTTCAAAACTTGAATACGCCAATTAGTTTTACAACCTCAGGACAAACACTTAACAGTCTCTGCCTCAGTTTCTACAACTTTCATTTGGATAGAATGTATGCATATTAAATGAATACATTAATTTGGCAGGATGACATACACATAGTAAATGCTCAATGAATGTTAATCACATTTCCTCCTACTCAATGTCTAATAGTTAATTATTGGCAGACCAGGGAAGAATTCTGGTTTCTTCACTCTCAGTCCAGCAGTTGCTTCAGTCTCCTAGATACTATTCTGTGAAAGAAAGTAAATTGATTTTTCAAAATTATTTTACAACCACGTGTTACCTATATGACCCTCTTTTGGGATGTTACCTTACTTACCTAAATTTGGCGATGTAGAGTAATGCTAGAAGTGGTAGAACACTCACAAAAATAACCATAAGTTGTAATAAGTTAGTTTGCCACAATTCCATGGATGCTGGTAAAAGACAAGAGGTTCCTATGTTGAAGATAAAGAATGGTATTACTCAAGGTCTAGCAGGCAGTGGGAGCATTGTCCTATTGATACTTGATTTCCCTGTTATTGGAGGAAATGTGAAGAATCTAGATGGGTGATAAACAAGGAGTGGCAGTTTCACAGCTGAGGAACTGAAGCTTAGGGAATCTGCATTTTATAGCAAGGAGTAAGACAAAATGATCTTTGCCAGGAAGACAACTAGGTACAAGCGTCAATGATGAGTCTATTTCTATACAGTTAGTTTTAAATTTACAGCAGCATAAAATGATCTTTAGAACTGTGCCACTCTTTGTGTGATACTCGCCACTCCTGTGTTCTGGATTAAAGAATACTGAAGACCTTGTCATTCAGGCATAGGAACCAAGGTGTGTAGAAGGACAGAAAGCTCTTGTGGATGGTCTCCTAAAGCAGGTTCTAACACATACCGAGTTGTGAAACCTCAGTACTGGACCTCAGCATTCTGCTTGGTACCCATTGCTTAGCTATTTCAAGAAAATATTTAATTGGAATTTCTTCAATTACTGTCTTTGTATGAAATAAAATATTATTTAATAATCAATACAAATTATAAAGATACAATGGTATCACTGAATTTATTGAAAAGGAACTTCATTAAACCATTTTAAAAATTCATGCTTTTTTATAGACATTTGTGAGATGCAAAGTTATTTACATTTTATACTTATATATTCTCCTCAATGATAAGAACATTCTATGTTAGAATGTTGTTGCAAAAATCAAAATGTGCATCCTCATATGCCTGCTCATTATCAAGTATAATATACCTTGAAAATGTATGCTTTTAAACATTCATAATGTATAATTTTAAACATCTTTTACAAAACATGTTTGAATCATCCATGCTGTGACGGAGCTTACCTTCCATTGATGGAAAAAAAACACCACAAATAAGAATACAAGATGGCAACTCAAGAGAGTGCAGCTTTCTCTGAAAATATCCAAGCAATCAGATGTAAAATGGGTGAATTGGTTGAAAGACTATGTTGGAGGGGGATGGCTGGAAGGAGCTGCACTGAGGAACCCTTACTTTCGTGCTAATTTACTAATATACTTAATAAATAATTATTGAGTGCTAATTTTATATTGGGTAATGGTTTAATTCCTGTTAATACAGTGGTATATCAAATAAGTAAAGTTCCTTAACTTGTGAAATTTAAATTCCAGTGTAAGAAGCAATTAAGTAATTATAATAAATAAATGTTCATTTTTACTTAAAATGCAGTTGTTTCTGAAGAACAGTATGTCACTTATTATAAGCAGAAAAATACAGATAAATTCCAAATGTCATAGTATATGGTCTCTAAGAGCTATAAAAACAATAAAGCTTATGAAATATAATCCCAGTCAGTGTTGGAATTTTTAAGAAGGTGACAATTTCCAACCATTTTTCTCTCATGAGGGAATTTGCTGATTTTGGCTCAATTTTGAAATTAGAATTGTCTAGTCATGGAGCCTCTGTTGGGGAAGAGAAACATGTAAATACGTTGCCAGTTGGGTGGGACCAATATAACAAATCAGAAAGTTCAATGGACTAATAACTTGGTTTCTTTGCTTTAAAGAGTATTAGCTGATTAACTCAAGGTAGGATACAAAGGAAAACTCCCTTCAAGGTTTTGGTCTTAAGAAAGCAAAGACATTCTAGGGAAGATTTGATTCAAAAAGACCGAGTAAGGTCTTTAAAATGCATGCTTTTAAACATTCATAATGTATAATTTTAAACATCTTCTACAAAACATGTTTGAATCATCCATGCTGTAATGTCCACAAGACGTTAGTGAGATTTCACATATGTCTAAGGCTCACCATTGGAAAGTCTGGATGGGAATCTTTTACTGGCAAAGCTAGATCTTCCTGAGGAGACTGAGACCTGCAAAACGTTTATTCAAGGCCTTTGGATAAAAGTTGAAACAAAGGTAGGTTAAATCTCCCTAAATCTGGAACCCCATCCCCAATCAATTTCACATTAGATTGAAGCAATAAGCACCTAAGACTCTCTTGCTAACAAGGAAAAAGAAAAGCTTCCTTGGAATAAGGTAATGCTATCATTTTCTGCCATGCTTTATTTGCATAGTATTTGGCTTGCAGTAAATACAATGTTGATTAAAGGAGGCAAGACAATATGAATTATAATTTAGAGGATGGGAGACAATAAATGGATACTCAAAGATAATAAATATATTGGAGTTAGAAAATAAATTTCAATAAATATTTATATATAAAAGAAAATATAGAAGAATATGAACAAAATAGATGAAAAAAACTAAGTATAACAAAAAATTGGGATCTATTATTATAATAAAAGTGATAATGTAAATAATAACTATAGTAGTCATAAAACGCTAAAGAATGAGAAAAATGAATGCCTTGAATATAGTGACAGGATTAGTAAAGCCATCAGTAAAAACATCCAAATTGTTGCATCGCTGTGTAATAAGAAGAATGATAAGAAGAAAAAAAAAGAAATCAGAACAAGGTGACACATCTTTCAAATGCATATGATTGATGTTCCAGAAGAAGAGTACAGATAGAGAAGAGGCTATTTGTAAAACAAATTAGCTGACAATTTTTCCCAATGTTGAACTATTCTAACTCACATATTTAAGAAGCTTAGTGAACTCAAAGCATAAGGGGATTGTTTGAAGCAAAGTGAATAGCAATATATGAACATGTTAGATATGAAGAAATATTAAAAATTAATAAAGTATTTTTAGAATGAGGTTTTTACAAATAAAGCAATGAAGCAAAACTAAAGTGATACAATTGATAAGATATTAATTAAAAATAATGCATATATACACATATATATACAATCAACAAGTAATACTTATTTCAAAAGAATAAATTGTCAAATCCCATTCTAAGGCTGATAAACTAGAGAAAACACAGATTTCCAATATTAGGAAAAATGAGGATCATTGCAGGTCTTTCTGACATTAAAAGTTAACACAAAAATATAATTAAAAATGTGCCAATAAATTTGAAATGCTGAGTAAATATTAAAATAAGGAAAAACCATAATATAACAAAAATAAGGACATAGAAAATCTGCATATTATTTATTTATATGAAAGAAGTTAAATCTTTATACTAAAACTCTTTCTTTAAACAAAATGCAATAAAAACAAAACAAAGGCTTATGATTAATTATTCCATATTTAAGAACAAAAACACCATTGTAACAAAAAATGTTCTAGCCTATGAAAAAGAGACATTTCCCCTTGTATCTTATGATGCTGTTAGATACAGCACATTCATGTGATAAAATTTATCATCTATGCCAAAACCTCAGAGCAAGTTAGAATAAAAGAAACATTTTGTAAATTAATAAAAATAATCACAAAAAACGGCAATTGCATATTTTGTGAGGGGTTTTTGACAGCTTTACACATGAGATTACGAATGAGACAAACGTATAAGCTTTTATAACTTCTCTTCAGTATTATACAATATTGTATGGGAATTGATATTCAGTGCTAATAAGTTAAGAAAAAAGTTATAAGGAGGGAAAGGAATAAGTAAAATAAAATAACAAGACTATATGATTATATGCATAAAAATCCAAAAATAATCTACATGAAATTTATTATATTCTACTTTTTATTCAGGTACCACATATAGAAAAAATCAACACCACCATTAACTAACTGGATTTAATCAATATTTATAGAACACTCTACCTAAGAAGAGCAGAATATATATTATTTTTAAATGCTCATAGAATATATACCAAGATAGACCATATCTTAGATTTCTTAAAACAGATCTACAAACACAAGTTTGACAACTTATATAAAATGTGCCACTTTTGTCCAAAAATACACTATCAAATCTATATTAAACAGATAATTTAAACTTTCCTGTAATTACTAAGGGAATGATTTCATAATTTACAAATTCATACAAAAATATACCTCTAAATCCAGATGGTTTAACTGTAGTGATCTACTGTTTTGTTGAAAGAAAAATTAACATCAGTTCTAAAAAATATATTTTAGGATATAGAAAGGGAATGCTTTATAAAGTTAGAATGACCCTGATAAGAAAATGGTACAAAAATAGTACAGAAAACAAAAATTACAGACCAGTATTACCTCTTGAATACAAAATGCAAAAATACTTAACAAAATATTACCCAATAGAATTCAGCAATATACAAAAATATATATGTAATGACTCTTTAGGATTTATTTACGGAATTCAAAGCTAGCTCAATATTTAAAAATCAATCAATGTAAAACATTATATGAAAAGATAAAGAATAAAAAAACATATGATTTTGTCGATTCATGCAGATAAGCATTTGACACAATCCAACACTCATTCATAATAAAAACACACAGAAAACTAAGAATAAAAGGCACACCTAAACTTAATAAAGAAAATCTATAAAAAACAACACAGCTAACATTATACTTAGTGATGAGGACTGAATATTTTCCACTAATATTAGAAACAAAGATTTCTGCTCCCACCACTTACTTTCAATTTTCTTTTCTGGAAATTTAACAAGTCTGATAAGGCAAGAAACAAAGAATAAAAGGCAGAAATAAGTGAAGAGATAAAAAGAAATGACCGTATTTGGAGACGACATAATTGTCTATAGTGAGAACACCAATAAATCTACAAACAGATTTTTCTATAAATCTAATACAACATATGTAAGACTTGTATACTTAAAACTGTACAACCATGCAGAAAAAATATCACATAAGCTCTAAGTAAATGGAAATACATATAATTCCTAGATTGAAGGAATTCCCCATATGGTTCCTAGATTGAAATACTGAACACAATAGAAATCTCTATTATTTCCAAATCAATATATAGATTTTATGCAATTCCTATCATGATCCCAGTAAATTTGGTACAGATATAGAAAGAATTGTTTTAATATTTATGGAGAATAGCAAAGAAACTAGAATAGCTAAAACCATTTTGAAAAATAATAAAGTGAGAGAAATCAGTCTACCTAATTATATATATATAGTTGCATTATTATATAGTTAGATCATATTTTGGCATTAAACAAGATGGGAAAATTTTTGCAATCTACCCATCTGACGAAGGTGTAATATCCAGAATCTACATGGAATTTAAACAAATTTACAATAAAAAAAAAAATCCCATCAAAAGTGGGCAAAGGATATGAACAGACACATCTCAAAAGAAGACATTTATGCAGCCAACAAACATATGAAAAAAAGCTCATCATCATTGGTCATTACAGAAATGAAAATCAAAACCACAATGAGATACCATCTCATGCAGGTCAGAATGGCAATTATTAAAGAGTCAGGAAACAACAGATGCTGGCAAGGTTGTGGAGAAATAGAAACACTTTTACACTGTTGGTGGGAGCGTAAATTAGTTCAACCATTGTGGAAGACAGTGTGATGATTCCTCAAGGATCTAGAAAAAGAAATACCATGTGACCCAGCAATCCCATTACTAGGTATGTATCTAAAAGATTATAAATTATTCTACTATAAAGACACATGCACATGTATGTTTATCGCAGCACTATTTACAAAAACAAACACTTGGAACCAACCCAAATGCCCATCAGTGATAGACTGGATAAAGAAAATGTGGCACATATTCACCATGGAGTACTATGCAGCCATCAAAAGGAATGAGTTCATGTCCTTTGCAGTGACATGGATGAAGCTGGAAGCCATCATTCTCAGCAAACTCACACAGGAAAAGAAAATCAAACACCACATGTTCTCACTCGTAAGTAGGAGTTGAACAATGAGAACACATGGACACAAGGAGTGGAACATCACACACCAGAGCCTGTCAGGGGGTCGGGGGCAAGGGGAGGGAGAGCATTAGGACAAATACCTAATGCACGTGGGGCTTAAAACCTGGATGATGGGTTGATAGGTGCAGCAAACCACCATGGCACATGTTTACCTATGTAAGAAACCCGCACGTTCTTCACATGTATTCCAGAACTTAAAGTAAAATAAAATTAAATTAAAATTTAAAAAGATTAAAACAAAGTTTTAGAAAATGTAGAAACACATCACTTGCATTTGGACTAGACAAATCATTTTGAGCCATGATACTAAATTACCATCCATAATAAGAAAAATGAATAAACTGCACTTCATCAAAATTAAAAACTCTGTGTTTTGAAGATCCTATTAAGCAATTGAAAACACTACTTACTGAATAAAGAAAATATTTTTAAACCTCACATGTGAATAAGGACTCTTATCTAGAAATATAAAGAACTATCAAAACTCAACATTACCAACCAACGAACACACAAAACAATGATAATATGCATGAAAGACATGAATAGACATTTCAATCAAGTGTGTATACAAATATTAAATAAGAACATCATTAGCCATTAGGGAAATTCAGAATTAAAACCACAATGAGATATTATAGCACGTATGTTGAAATGGTTCACTAAAAATAAAATGTGGCAACAACAAAGGCTGGGAAAGATATGGAGCCAGTGGGTTACTATCACATTGTTGGTGGAAATATAACAAGATCAGAAACTCTGGAAAAAAGTTTGGCACTTTCTTAAAAAACTAAGCATGCAAATACCAGACGATGCATCAACTGCACTCCTTAGAGAGGAAAACTTACATTCACACAAACGCTTGTACTCAGGATTAAGAAAAAAAAAAAAAGTATTTATACACACAGTAACCTGGATGATTGGTGACAGAATTATGCCGACTGAAAAAAGATTCAATTCCCAAGAGATTACATAATGAATAATTCCATTTCCTTACCACTTTTGAAATGATAAAATTATAGAAAGGTAGAATGTAGGAATTGTTACCAGGGATTAGGAAGAGCTGGGAATGGAAGGGAAGTATTTGTGTCCATTAAAATGCAACATGACGCATCCTTGTTGTGATGGAAAGTATTCTGCATTTTGACTGGATTAATGTCAACTTCCTAGTGGTCATACTGTATTACAACTTTATAAGAGGCCACCCTTAGGGAAAATTAGGTTAATGGTACACAGGATCTCTGCATATTACTTTTTAAAACTCCATGTAAATACTGAGTTAAAAAATAAAAATAGGCAAATGAGATGGGTAATTTTATGTGTCAAGTTAGCTGGGCGATGGATCCCAGATATTTGGCCAAACGTTAGTCTATATGTTGCTGTGGATATAATTTTAGATGAGATTAACATTGAAGTCAGCAGATTTTGAGTGAAGCAAATTGCCCTTCGTAATGTTCATGGGCCTCATCCAACTAATAGAAGGCTTTAAGAGACAAAAGATGGCTGGGCGCGGTGGCTCACGCCTGTAATCCCAGCACTTTGGGAGGCCAAGCCGGGTGGATCACCTGAGGTCAGAAGTTCGAGATCAGCTTGGCCAACATGGTGAAACCCCCATCTCTGCTAAAAATACAAAAAAAAAAAAAAATTAGGTGGGCGTGGTGGTGTGCACCTGTAGTCCCAGCTACTCAAAAGGCTGAGGCAGAACTGAATCTGGGAGGCGGAAGTTGCAGTGAGCCAAGATCGAGCCATTGCACTCCAGCCTGGACAATAAGAGTGAGACTCCGTCTCAAAAAAAAAAAAAAAAAAAAAAGACACCAATCAAAGGCCAACTATACTACAGGTAAAGTACTAACCTTTAATATTCATTACCTTGCTGAATATTTCAAACGGTATAATAAAATATGTAAATGCTTAGAAATTGTCTCCTCCCTTCACTCTGTACCTTCAGGAAGAGAGTATATTTCTCCTCACTGATTTGGGCTTGAAATGGCCAGCAGCTGACAGGAAAGAAATGGAGATATCAGTCGTCCCACTTCAAGGAACTGAATTCTGCCAATCATCTGAATGATCAAAGAACATATTATTCTCTAGAGAGACATGCATCTTACCATCATCTTGATTTTAGTCCAGTAAGATGAGTATAAGATTTCTAACCTACAGAACTGTAAGATGATAATTTTGTGTTGCTTTATACCATTAAGTTTGTTATGGCAGAGATATAAAACTAACATAAAGGAGGCAAGGGTGCAGGAACTTCCATTCTAGGGTAGTTAAATGTTGCTATACTGAAAAATAACTGAATATGAGGCATACCAATGAGTAAGAAGGACATTTGGTATGGTAATATTTTAATGCTGGTAGTTGACTTACGCAAAAGTAAGCAATCATCTTTCTGCTTATAAACATGAAACTACAGTAAAAGGGGTTAATTATCTAGGTTATTTTTGCAGTACATGAACTTGGAGCTAGGTTGTTTTCCCTGACACCCAGATCAATCACCAGGCCATACTGCCTTCCACTCAGCCTAGCACACACTTTTCTTTTTGGAAGATTCACATGGTAACTTCAAGTAAGATATATTTTTGTGGGAATAGAAAAAAAAGATAGTAATATTTAAAACTGCTGAAGATATGAATTAGAGTGATTGCACTGGAATTTTTTAAAGCAAGGAAAGAAGTACATATTTTAGAGACTTTTTAAAGAAAAATGAACTGTGTAACATGTAAGATATGAATTAACTGCATTATTTTGCATGTGGATATCCAATTCTCCCAATTGTAATTGTTGAAAAGACTATCCTTTCTGAATTTAATATTTTTGGTATCTTCTTCTAAGATCAGTTGACTGTATTTGTGGAAATATTTCTAGATTCTCTATTCTCTTCCTCTGGTCTATATATCTGAGTTTATACCAACACCATCCTGTTTTGAGTACTGTTTCTTTGTAATATATTTGAAAATCAGGAAGTATGATGCCTCCAGCTTCGTTCTTCTTTCTCAAAATTGATATGGTTATTTCTGGTCTTTTGTGGTTCCATAGGAGTTTTATAATTTTTTTCTATTTTTGAAAAAATAAATGTCATTATGTTTTTGATAGGGATTACATTATATATATAGATCACTTTGGGTAGTATGGACATTTTTAATGATATTAATTCTTCCTATCCATGAATGCAAGATATATTTCTATTTGTTTGTGTCTTTTTTTTATTTTTACAGGCCATCAGGTAAGTGAAAACATCCCCAATGTCACTAATCATCAGGTATATGAAAATCAAAACCACAATAATCTATCATCTCAGACCTCTCAGAATGGCTATTATTAAAAAACTCAAAAAGGACAAGTGTAGGTGAAGATGTAAAGAAATTCAAAACTCTGGATACTGTTGGTGGGAATGTAAAATCTGTAGGATTTATGGAAAACAATTTGGAAATTCCTCAAAAATTAAAACTAAAACTTCCATATGATCCAGAAATCGTACTTCTAAGTATTTGTCCAAAAGAATTAAAACCAGAATCTTAAATAGATATTAGCATTCCCTTGCTCATATCAATACTATCCAGAAAGCCAGGATTTGGAAACAACCTAAATGTCCATAGAGATTTGATGGTTACAGAAACTGTGCTATAAACATACAACACAATATTATTCAGCCTGTAAAAAGATATCCTGTACTATGCAGCAGCATGCATGAACCTTGAGGACATTATTCTCAGTGGGATGAGCCAGTTATAGAAAGATAAATACTGGATGACTCCACTAACATGTGGTATCGAATATAGGCAAGTTCACAGAATCAAAGAGTAAAATTGTGTTTGCCTGGGTCTAGGGAAAGAGGGAAGTGGGGAATTGCTAATCAACAAACACAAAGTTTTAATTGAGAAAGGTAAGTTCTCAAGATATGCTATATTGTATCTATCAAAATACCCAACTATATACTTAAAATTTCATTAAGAGAATAAATCTCACATTAAATATTCTTACCAAAATAAAATAAAATTAATGAAGTTAAAAGGGCAATGGATATATCTGAATATAATCTGGTATCAGAAGGATCCTTTAACCTCACAGAAATGAAGTAGATTTTTAAACAGATGTTAATTTATGTTTATTTACATTTTTAAATCAGTAGTAATACTCATTAACTCTTCTGTTATGGACAGTCAAATAAAAATTATGAATCCTAGAAAATAAAAATAAAAACCAAACAACAAAGTAAAAAGAAAGATAATAACAAGACTGTAATAACTTGGAAAGAACAAGTGAATGGGAAAGGAAGACTAAACGATGATTATGAGATATAAAACTCTAAGTTTAGGTGAAATAAAATAAATTACAATTCTAAATATATTGACTTTCAAGAGTGAAGGAACATACAGGTAAACAGGTTAAGCTTTTTCAAAACGTTGTTCTCAAAGTATGATCTGTCTACACACACAACAATGAGAACACATGGGCACAGGGAGGGGAACATCACACACCAGGGCCTGTCAGTGGGTGGGGGTCTAGGGGAGGGATAGCATTAGGAGAAATACCTAATGTAGGCGACAGGTTGATGGGTACAGCAAACCACCATGCCATATGTATACCTATGTAACAAACCTGCACATTCCGCACATGTATCTCAGAACTTAAAGTGTAATAATAACTATAATAATAAAAAGATATGACTCTTCCTTTCTAAACTCATCTTACCCATTTTCATACCACTGTTATATTTAAAAACTGAGATATGTTTTTTATAATCTATTAAAATACTTATGATTCCACATCAACTGAAATGCTCTGTCCTCTGTTGTTTTCTTTCATTCCCTGTGTAAAAAAGCCACTTTTTCTCTTGAACATTGCAGTAACTTCTTATTATCCAGTAATAAGTAAGGACACTGCTTTCCTGGTAGTTATAATGCTGACTCTTAATAATCTATTCTTTCCAGATTTCTTTTTTTTTTTTTTTTTTTGCTACACTTTTTTTTGTTGTTGTTGTTATACTTTAAGTTCTAGGGTGCATGTGCACAAGGTGCAGGTTTGTTACATATGTATACATGTGCCATGTTGGTGTGCTGCACCCATTAACTCGTCATTTACATTAAGTATATCTCCTAATGCTATCCCTCCCCCCTCCCCCCACCTCACGACAGGCCCTGGTGTGTGATGTTCCCCTTCTTGTGTCCAAGTGTTCTCATTGTTCAATTACCACCTATGAGTGAGAACATGCGGTGCTTGTTTTTTTGTCCTTGCGATAGTTTGCTGAGAATGATGGTTTCCAGCTTCATCCACGTCCCTACAAAGGACATGAACTCATCCTTTTTTATGGTTGCATTCTTTAATAAAGATCCAAATCTTATTTGTTTTTGTATCTCTCATACCATAGCAGAGTTCTGTGTACCTAGTAGCATCCCAATATTTGCCTAATATAACAAAACTGGAAATTACTAGTGTTATTTTTATAAATGAATATTTATTTGTTTCTTACAGGGGCTGCCCAACTGTATTAATAAGAGTGATTGGATATACTTTAAAATGTGAAAAATATATTTTGAAATAGTTTCAAAGTGGTTAGAGGTTAGAAAATGTTAATGAATAGTACCCTTTTTAATGAACAGATGGTATAAAACGATCACTGGAGCCACAGGGAACTAGTTTAACAAAGATGTTTTGAAAGGATGGCAGAGAGTCTCAAATAGTAATAGGATTTCTTTTTTTTTCCATTTTGCAAAGGCCTACTTTACGGTCTATTTTCTTAGGCTTTCCAAAATGCTACATTTGAATGATGCTGCAATACAACACTGTACAGATTATTAGTTTGACAGTTTCTAGAGATGAGTTGTTGGAGAAACTATATGAAATGGGATGTCCTCTAGGTTCAGAGCAGTGTTCCAGAACTGAATTTTAGGTTTAGTACACTTTTATATAAATGAGTTGAATAAATAAGTAATTTAAATGCAGATGTTACCTTTTCTATGCTAGTGGGGATTGGTGAGAAGTTACAATCTGTCTGGGAAAAGATCTTTGCTGCTTCTAGATAACTTTATTTCAGAAAAGGGGCTTTATAAAGAAGGAAGAATGTAACAGCTGTGTTTCTTTTTGGTTAGAAAAATAAGAGCAAAGGGACATGTAATTCAAATATAAATGTTGACTCTCTTCAGAAGTTACAAATGAAAGTGATATTTAGGAAATTATTTATGTCATTATACCGTGATGATTTATCAGAAAAAGGTAGAAAATAGCTTAATGTTTGCATTAGTAAACAGAATTATATGATTTTTATATGTGTTTTACAAATAGATAAAAAACTGAGAAGCAGGATATTATGATTTATTAATTTGCTTTAATATACAAAGAGATGTACTTACCAATTTTTATATAAGAACTAATCTAAGTATGCAAAGAAACAAAAAAGTCTCATTTTATACATTAGAAGTATCTTTCAAAATTTCCTTATTTTGATTTTTTTCATGTAAGAAATGGATAGAAAGGGAAGAAGTTTTGAAAAGTGAGATAATTCAAAGCTTTCAATATTTGAATGTAATTTTAACTTAAAAAACAGAAATAATAAAATTAAATGCTTTAAGGAGCATAATTACTATTGCTTCTGATGTTACAAAAAAAAAAACAAAATATTAAAATTACATAAAGTTGTTGAAGAAAATAATGCAAAAGTTTAATATTTATAATAAAATTGATCATTACTTTTTCACTGTGGTTTGTTATTACACACAGTATTATTTGTTTCTTACTCTTAAATTTTTACTTTTGTGTATATACACCATCAAAAACTTATGGAAGTTAAAAACTATTATTATTATTATTATTTTGATGCAGCATCTGCTTAGAGTAGCAGATGGTAGGTACAAAAATTTATAAAGTTAATGAATCAAATTATTCATTACTTAGCTAGAGAGGTAGTGGCAAACAAGCTTCTATCTTCAAATATTTCAATATAAGTGAGAAGACAGAGATATAATTACTTAATATTTTATTTTAATTTGAATTTACTTTGGGGATATTTGTAGGCTTTCAGCATACAAATGAGATTGAATGTGTTACTAAATATTTATTATTTTTTGTCATGCAACTTGTAGCATATTAAGAATTTAAATTCTCTTTCAATCATATAATATATACTATTATACTCCAAATGGATTAAACTCACCATAATTATCTTATCCTTAGTCCTGAAACACTTCTTTCCCTTAAAATGAAATCATTATTCACCACTATTCTCTCTCAAAAAAAAAAAAAAGGCAATTTATATCTTGGACAAAAGTATATCTGTGAAAAAGACATTTTAGCCTTTAACAGATGGACTTATTTCAAGTCATTGATTTTGAGATGTTAAAGAAAGCAGCAGAAAAGTCTTTCTGGTAATTTTTATTGAAGAGACTCCTATTAAGGATAGAAGGCATGGCAATAAATAACAGTAACCTTTGTGTAGCACAGCTTTAGGCAGTATTAAGGCCAAAAACTTCTCATGGGATTGAAGACAATTCTGGTGCTAATTACCTTTTTTATCTATATGAAATGTTAACTGTCTAAGAATTAATGGAACAAATCCTTTCAACTGAACTCATGTTTCAAGAGCTATGTCATCTTGAAATGTCTCAGTTGTACAATGATAATCAGTGCATTTTCACTGTATATGAAGGCTCGGTCTCTTCACTTTTTTCACTCTGAGAATTGTAAGGACTGCATGTTGAATTACATTTGTCTGTCCCTTGTTTTTGATAAAGGCCATTCATCCAAGGGCAAAATCTCACATTAAAATGTTACTAGAGATTTGACTGACACAGCCTTATCCTTCCACTCATTTATTGCGTCAGCAATCCTCAACCAAATGGACCTTGAGATGAAACACCAAGACAAGTGTGGAAAGTGGCACCTTGTCCCTGTCACAGACGCAGTGAGTAGACATCGCTGAGAAAGTCTGCAGTCATAGGTTAATCCGCTTTGTATACTAGTATCCAACCAGGTCTGACCAAGCAACAGTGATGTTGGGAATCAGGATTAGGTAATTTCTCTGTCCTTCAGTTTTAGTACTGGAGCTGCTATTTGCTACCATGATGAATGCTATCATTTACCAAAAAAAAAAAAAAAAATAGTTTAAAGTGTAATACTAAGTCTTGAGGTCCCTTTAAGCAACTTAAACTTCACTGAAGAAAGTGCACTGGACAGTTTTAGAGATAAAGGAACAATTCCACATTGTTACTAGGATTAGGGTAAGTACGGCAATCTGTAAATGAATCAGGTTATTTGAAACTAGTTTTCAAGCATTCAATCTGATTTCAAGAGAAAAGAGGCCTTACTTTTACATTTAGGAAGCACTGATACCAGTCAAACAGTAGGAAAATAAGCATTTTAGAAATAATCTACAAGAAGATTTATTGAAGTTCTTAAAAATTGCATTAGCAATATGAGCTGGAGAATGTAGCTACCATTCAACTTACAAGTTTCTTGCCTTCTAGGACCACAAAACTCCTGAGATTTGCAGGAACAGAAAACGAAATGTGTTATTGCATGTTTTGTTGACCTGGTTTATCAGCTTAGCTCACTCTAATGGTATTCACAAAAGACTAACATGGACATCAAAATGCCAACTTACCAATTTATTATGAAAATTATACTCCCCCAAAAGTAGTTCATGGACTCTATATGGAAACATCTACATGGAAGTTAACCATAAGATAGTGTTTGGGAAAATATACAATCGAAGTAAGAAGAATTAGTTGGATTCTCTTAATGGCATTGTCATCTCTTAAAATAGTTATCCATTAAAGACATATATGTTAGTCATCATACTAGAAATGTATGCTACATCTTAACCCCTCAGCAATGAGGTGTACACGTTTTTATCTAACTCATGGTTTCTTTAGCTGCACAGAGTATACTTTTTTCTTTGTCTTTATTGAGATATGTTAATATGATTAAATACAATTTTATTTAAAATAAAGGCAAAATATATCAGATTTCTAAGCTTTGCTCTTTATACTTTTGACTGATAAAGTAAATCTCTCCTTATAAAAATAATATACTGATACTTTATATAATCATTTTCAAATTTATGTAATTGATTACCAACCATTTCTCAAAAAGTATATGAACAACTGCTAAAAATTACATGAAGTATTTTTTTTTAATTCCTAAACTTTCTTCACATCTACTGAAATTCTTATCCCTGAAAATAGCACCTGGAAATCTGTTATTGTTGAGCTCTCTAAACTATTGCTCTGTATTCTAATGTTTGAGAGCCACTGGAGTAGAGTATGTTTGTAGCCTAATATAGACGTGAAATACATTTGGCCTTTCAAACAATCTCAAGTACAAAAGCGTTCATCCTATATCTATTAGCCAACTCTTTAATGTTTACCACAGAAATTTTATTTTAAGTCTTACAAAGTTTACACTGCTGTTCACATAATTGTTATTAAACTTCCTTGTCACCAAAGGAAGCATAATGATGATATTAGCATAATGAAAGGATTAGAGAAAATTTTGCAGATTGTTCTGTGGGCTACCCAGGAGAAAGACTCTTTACATTTATTTTCAAGGCTACAGTGGAAGTCTTCCTGGCCCTAATTGACAAATGATACATCATCTCCATTGCCCCATCAGTCACATATCACTTGGGGTTGCTTATGTTTTTTCTTTTGCTATTTGGGATTTTTTAAATTTTTATATGTAGAGTGACTAATTAATATAAAGCATATGAAAAGAAGCAAAATTAAAGAAATGGCTTGCCAGAGATCTTCAAATAATGTGTTACATGAGATTTAAAATCAACAAACATATATTTATTAAAAAATGATTTTTTTGCCCTTTAGTATAGCTATAAATCTAACCTTAAGTGCATTTTTCAATTTTTCTTCTCCCTTCTTCCATTTACCCCGATCTTGATATTTGGGTGGGTTTCTGTTACCTTTGGTAATTTTAGATTTTTCATGTTATTAATGCTAACCTAACTTTCTTCACCCCTATTAACATCCTTAATCACTGGGATTAACAGCTGGAACTCTGTGTGTTTTTTTTTTCTCCCTAAACTATTACTCTGTATTCTAACTTTTGAGAGGCACAAGAGTGGCTCTTTCTAAATGTTGTATGTTTGTAAGTTTGAAAGTCCTGTACTCTTTGTGTCCAGGTTGAATTTCCCTTTTTTTCTGAAGACTTCCCAGATGTCTTTTCTATTTAACAGCACATACATTTATAGGCACTATACTGTTTTATGAAACTGCTATTTTCTGCATCATATAACAAGAATTTGTACAAATAACTTAGCTCCCTCTGTTGAGTCCTCTTACTCCTTTAATTTAAAAAAGTAGTTCATTCACTCTCTCTTCCCATGTAATTGTTAGTAGAACACCTGTACCTTTTACATAGATGATAATCCCTGGGAAGAGTAAAGAATGATACAACGAAAAAACAAACAATGTAGGGAATGCCTCTCTTCTAAATGGCATAATCCCCACTTAGAATTAAATCATATGTTTATTTCTAAACATGTGCTCAAAAATTTGACTTTCAAATCTTTCATTAAGTTCAGTATTTTAACGAGTATGCCCAGATGAACTTTAAGTTTCTTCACTCCTTCTGCCTGGAAGGAATTATCTTCCTCACATACTGTGGGTCTACCAAACTTACAGGGTAGCTAAGATTTTATGAAGAAAGCAATATCCTAGTAAACATTTTACTCTTCTCTGTTTCCTAAGGGGACCTTTATAAAATTTAATATTAACTAGATATCAATGGATAAACATCAGAAAATGTAACTCTGACATGAGTATTAGTCTGTTTTCACACTGCTAATAAACACATATCCAAGACTGGGTAACTTATAAAGGAAAGAGATGTAATTGACTCACAGTTCCACACAGCTGAGGAAGCTTCACAACTGTGGAGAAAGGCGAACGAGGAACAAGGTCCCATCTTACATGGCGGCAGGTAAGACAGCTTGTGCAGGGGAACTCCCAATTATAAAACTATCAGCTCTTGTGAAACGTATTCACTACTGAGAGGTGACAGCATGCTGGCAGCCCTCACAGCCCTGGCTCGCTCTCGGCGCCTCCTCGGCCTTGGCGCCCACTCGGTCGCGCTTGAGGGGCCCTTCAGCCCGCCGCTGCACTGTGGGAGCCCCTTTCTGGGCTGGCCAAGGCCGGAGCTGCTCCCTCAGCTTCCGGGGAGGTGTGGAGGGAGAGGCGCGGGCGGGAACCGGGGCTGCGTGCCGCGCTTGCGGGCCAGCGCGAGTTCCGGGTGGGCGTGGGCTCGGCGGGCCGGCACTCGGAGCGGCGGCGGCGGGCCGGCCCGCAAGCCCGGGGCATTGAGGGGCTTAGCACCTGGGCCAGCAGCTGCAGTGCTCGATTTCTCGCCGGGCCTTAGCTGCCTCCCCGCAGGGCAGGGCTCGGACCTGCAGCCCGCCATGCCTGAGCTTACTCTAGGGTCTAGGGATACAGAAATCATCAAAATTCACACAAAGATCACCCTCTTGGAATTTAGAGTCCAGTTTGGGGGATGCAGTCAAAAGAGCTAATAAAGAAATACATGCATACATATGTATTAATTTTTATAAATAACATGGAAAAAATACAGCTTAACATAGTACATGATGGGATCAGGAGAAATATGCATATGAAAATTTTGAAAAGCCTCATTAATAAAATACTGAGCAGAGATTGAAGGCCAAATGTGGGCCAAGTCATGTTGAATCTGAAGGAAGAGGTTCTGGACAGATGAGGCAGCAAATCAAAGGTACCAAAGGCAAAGTGGTATTATTTTGAAGAGGGGAAAAAAGTACAATGATGGTGGAACACAGAAGTCCATGCCTTTTTTCTTCAGTCTCTGGGACATGCCATGGCTGAGCACTTGCTGATCAGTTGGCTCATTGATCACCAATAATCTCTTCATGAGCTTCATATTCTCTATGACTTGAATTACTATGACCCTTGAACTCATTAAAGTTTGGCTCTGATCTTGGTGATCTTTTGGAAGCTAGGATTTTCCTGACTTGTAGGGATTCTAGCTTTTGCTATTTTTAAGAGCTGCGAAAAAATACCCTCTGCACAGAAGCTGTTCTTTATTATCTAGGCGTTCTTCAGCTCATTCAAATAAGTGAGTATTTAAATTCCCTATGTAGACGTCTAGGTGACAATATTGCTACAAATGCATAGCTACTGCTGGTTGAGATGTTCTCTGCTAGTCTCATAACCTGAATGTCTATGTTTTACGTAAATCCTGAGCCTTACTTGTCTGTTTGGCCTGAGGCCCTACGGTTCCCACTCCAACTTAACACCTCAGCTACAGACACAGGAAATCAGAATGCCACAGGCACCAATAAACATTTCATTTTTACTCATGTTCACATATTTGTGGTTAGAGCTAGACACAAACACGTGGATTTTTAAATCCAAGAGCTCATTACCATAGTTGACATCGCTAAAATATCTTGATTTTCATTGGTTACATCATTGTAATTTACCTAGGAAACTGGACCTGTCTTAACTGTGTGTAATCAGATTAGATGGACTCAGACAGAGGTAGGCTGAGTTCTGATTTACAGATTATTCATTTGTAGGTTAAAGTTATTTAAATCCCATGCTTTAGTTTTCCAACATATGAAACTGAGTTAATGTTACTTACTTCACAAGGTAGTTAAGAAGAATAAAAGTGATATATGTAAGAATATTTGTTGTGGCTGTTAGTAATTGAATTTAAGTATTTAATAATATGTCCTCCTTTTCTTATTATAAATTAAGATTTAGTCATAACAAATGCCAAGAGTTCTGTTATGTGACTCCTTACCAATAAATGTATATAGAATTTAATTTTAGAAATAATTTTCTGCAGTTGTACCATATATTTATAATAAATGAAAATCAAGCCTTTTTATTATCTTACTTTGATAAAGAGAATGGAGTTTAAACACAATAAAACCTTATTTTCATTTATTTCCAGTTATTATTTTAATACATTAGAAAAAATCACAATTACATATTAAATGTAGGAAAAATAATGATCCATTTAAAAATACTTTCTAAAATTGTCTTAATTTCAGAAAGAAAACAAGGAATCAAAATTAGGTTTGGATAATACATTAAGACTTTTAAAATTTCCTTGTGATTTAAGGTTGGTTCAACTGGATAGCATTATCTAAAAGTCTTCAAATATGATTGATAGAAACATTAAAGTATTTCATCTTGAACTTCAAATAAAAATGGTAGAAATAAAAAAAAAAAGATATAGCATGAAGTCCTCCCTGGGGAACCAGAAATCCTCAACACTGTGAAATTGTAACTTCCAAAATGATTTAATAAAATCTATGAAACAACACTCCTAATATTTGTGGAACTGCATCTTATCAGTAAGGGATTCTCTATGCAGGGATATGATGTTCAGCCTTCTATGTCTTTAAACAGACATTCTAGTTTTGGATACACAATCCTAATAAAACATGGCCTCGAAAGGCAATTGTTTTTCCTCTCATTTAGAAGTCTATACTAATCAAGTCAGAAAAGGTAATAAGTAACTGAACACACAAGGATGTAGCCATTCCAGTCTTCTGAATTGATACATGTAGCAAATTAATAACTTAGGTTTTCCCAGATACTAGAAAATAAAGAATGCTGAATAGAACTCAAGTTCTTCATGAAATAATATTTCCTACCATGGCCAAAAAATATTTGAACGTCCATGTTACAGACTTATTCTCCCTTATTTGTGTTTCCTGAATCCTATGCAAGCTCTGCTCTCTCCATCTCTTCTTAAGCTGTTCTCAAATTTTTTTTTTATTTTTTGCAATTTTGAACTCATGTTATGAACATCTTAATGGTTTTTTTTTCCTACTTTGGTAAAAGGGCGTTTCAAAACCCTACTGATTTTGATCCCTAAGATACTCTTCATTTTTTCATTCAATAAATTCAAGCAATATCAATTTCTGATATCACTTGAACATTGAAGATTTCTAAGTGTATGATATCAACTCAGATTTCTCTCCAGGTTTTCAGGTTTCAGAAATATATACTCAAATTATAATGTACAAACTTGACTGAATTTTCCTCAAATACCTTAAATACCTCATATTTGAAGTCTTATCACCTTTGTGAACGTTGTTCTTTAGCTTGCTTGATGGTAATATGCATGCTTTAAATCCCTACTTTAAATATGTGACTATGCCTTCTTCCTTTTAAATTGTATTTCTCAAATTTCACCTGCTGTACCATTTCTACTTTTCTGTATTAGTTTATAACTTCATGATCGTTTATCTGAACTCTAGCAACATGCCAGAAATGTCTTTCCTCCTCATAACAGTGTTTCTGTCTCAAATATATTCTCTGAAACTTTTATCCATGTTGATCCAAAACCTTTCGGTTAACTTCTCAGTGATGGCACCTGAAGGTGTTTGAAGGACACTTCATTATCTGTCCCCTTACTTTCCCAGTCTCCTACCAATCGCTCTCTAGTTCCAGCTTTGCTGTCCAAACCTTATTCATTTAGGCTTACTTTGTTTTTAGCATTCTTTTTTTTGTTCTTGTCTTTTTGTTCGTAAGTTATTACCTTCCACTATATCTCATGCCCCAATGTCTTCACCAGGGTTTGTCACTTAATTTTTGAATCTTTGGCCATAAATCACCTCTTCCAGGAAGCTTTTCCTTACTCTACCAAAACAAACAAACAAACAAAACACCTTTCCTCATATATCTAGGTATATAACTATTCCTGGTATTTAATACATTATTATTTAATTATAAAAACTCACAGAATTGTCATTGTCATGGAATTACCTTTAGAATAACTTGTTTCAAATAACTTAAATGTTATTAGTCTCTGTATTCTTTTCTTGCAAATTGATATAGTAAGAATAACAACTCAAAATGGATATTGTTGTTGTGAGGATTAAATGAGCTAATATATGTAAAATTTATCAAAAGGTCTAGTTTAAGCAATCAATACTTCGAGATAAATACATGGGAAATGAATAGATTCTGGGTTAATCAGATTAAACAATCCTGATCCTCAGGCTAAATTCATGCCTAGTTTATTATTGGTCATTAAAAATCCCGAGTTTCTGTCCCCAGAGAATTAATTCTGCTTATTCACTGGGCACAGTCTGAGTCCCAGAACAGTATTTCCAAGTTATCTCCATAACCATTACTGGTGACACTCAATATAATGTACAAAAAATACCTTTCACTAGCTATTCCAATCAGGGAATAAACTGTTTAGAAGCAGTGGTTGGATTACTTGATTTAATTATTTAGTGTTACTGTGTTTTAGGTACTGTAAATGCATTTTATAAATAGTACCTCATTTAGATCTCATAACAATCATTGTGGGACATATTTATAGACAAAAATTTAATTCAGGCTCACAGAGATAAAGTGATTTTTATAAAATAGACTACTACTTAAGTATAGCCTAAATGTTAAAGCCGGTGATCTTCACCACATGGTTAACTAGTCTCTTTGTTTTTCTTTTCTATTTTTCTATCCACCAAGTTTTGATAATGTTTAGGGGAATGTGGCAGGGCATGTTGAAAAAGCTCACTGAGTCATTGAAATAGTGCCTGAAAAATGCCCTTCAAACCTACTGAGACCATGGTAGGTAAATTACATGGAAGATTATTTGCTTTTAATTAGAAAAAAAAAATTTGTTAATCATTTTGACATTTTTGTGAATGATTTGTTCTTCTCCTGTACAAATTTTTTCCTCTCCTATACAATTAATTGCAAATAGAACAAACACAAATATTTAATTAAGGTTCAAAATTAGCAAATCTAAAGTCTTTTTTATAATGCTAAAACTTACATGACCCAGCAAAAGTCAACAGTGTCCTTTAGCTGAATATGCTTAGTGGACTCTATGTCACTGTGACATTTTTCTTACATAACTTATTGCTTGCTATAAATTGCAGACAAACACAAAATTGTTGTGAAAAATGCAGTTTACTGTCTAAAAACTAACTCTGTAGATAATGCTTAACCAACATTATCAAACCTTGGTCACAGAAGATATATGTGTGTGTATAAAATACACATTATATATATATGTGTATATATATGTATATATGTATATATGTATATTTATATGTATATGTATGTATATATATGTATATATGTATATATATGTGTGTATATATATATGTATATATATGTGTATATATATATATATACACACACACACACACACACATAGTTAAAAATGCTTTTAAAATTTATTCCACTTTTGAAATCTTCCAATAATGACAATTAAATTATCACGCTTCCACCAGATGTACTTTAGATGGACAGAGGGACAAAAGTATCATGACTACATTGCTGTGGTTTAAGTGATAAGTGGCTGCTGACAAGAAGAATTTATAAGAAATGGAATTAGATATTCACTTGACAGAACTCTCATTTCCTTTTCTCATTCATTATGTGGATATACTGGGAAGCTTGTTCTATTTCTGAAGAATGTATTGCTGTGGAATACACAGACATGATCACATTAAAAGTAATGGAATGGGATCCCTTGTACCATTACTTTCAATGTGTTAATTCAATTTTACTTGGTAAATGGATTTAGCATTCTTGGTAGTTTCTGCTATCTACTTTAAAAAAAATCATTTACTATGTGTGAAGCAGAAACCTATGTCTCATGTGGGCAAGATATATGCCTTTTCATCACTTTTTGCAAGTTCTGATCTATGGTTTTTTCTTTCTTTCTTTCTTCACCGCAGTTTTAAATGGGAAGACACCAATACTGTTTACCTCAGATAAAGTATTTTAAATTACTATTTGAAGATATTTCCTACTACATTATTGAGCTATGACATTTTATTTTCCTTATACTGTGTAGTGATTTCTTATGATAGGATATATTCTCCTTCCAGCTAACCTTTGAAAGGAAGCTGTCAAACAGTGATTGTCTTGCATGCATTTTGAGCCCTCCTTGAGTATGCAGAACAGATTTGAGGCACCTCACAGTTGCACATT
Source organism: Homo sapiens (assembly GCF_000001405.40). Classification (NCBI taxonomy): domain Eukaryota; kingdom Metazoa; phylum Chordata; class Mammalia; order Primates; family Hominidae; genus Homo; species Homo sapiens. The sequence goes on from NC_000018.10 coordinate 66,872,478, forward strand.
TACTGCCATCTAGTGATTAAATAATAAATATATTCTGTATACTATAATCACTATATACATACTTTTTAGCATAGCGATTTTGAATCACAGAATGATAGTGAATGTGAACTTTGAGGTCATGTAGTCTAATGCAAGAAAGTAGAGAAGGACTCAGAGGAACAAAAAAAATCACATGAGTATTGTGAACTTGAGCCAGGATTTGATATCTGAACTTTTTAGAAAGTGTTTATCTAGCTCTTCTATTTCTACTCATACTATCATCTGATTATGTCAGAAGGATAATTATCTTCTGATAATGTCATCTTTGTCTTACCTATTATAGTTCAAAAATAATTACCATGAAAATTTATTTTTTATTATGCTGTCCTAAAAAGTGTTCAGGAAATCAGAAGGATTATTCAATTATTAAACAATAACTAAAATCACAAGTTTGTATTGTATGAAATTTACACATTAAAAAGGCCCTCAGCAAATATTTCAAATAAATCCTTTATTCAAAACATACATTATAGACCTAAGCATGGCACTATATTGGCCCTCATGACTACTTAAACATCTATGGCTACTAGTTCAATATGACTTTAATTTATTTGAATTATATATTATTTTTGAAATGCTTTGATGTGTAATTTCGTAGGTATGTTGTCCAGTTTAATGGCACCTGAAAAAAAAAAAACTCATTAATCCACACCTGTATTCCCAGTTACTCAGGAGGCTGAGGCGGGTGTATCGCTTGAGGTCAGGAGTTTGAGGTGCTTTGATGTCTCCTATGAATGGCCACAACACTCTAGCCTGAGCAACATGTGAGATCCCATCTCTAAAATAAAAAAATGGCCACAGCAGCAAAAACCAATCAGGTACAGGTTGCAACAAAATCCAATGTAATTAAAAGTTACATTGTCTTCAGTATTTCATAAACACATCCCTTCTTTTTATAAGGCCTGTTCAAGTTTCTCAGATTTTTTTTCCCTTACCTTAGACTTGAAGATGGATCTACTAGAAATATGTAATGCCAGCCCTTATATTTCATCTTGCCCCCAGCCTTTCTTTCTTTCCAATAATCTGATTGGGGCTTAGAAAATGAAGAGAATGGGCAGTGAGCGCTGGAATATTGGCCTTAGTGAGGAAAAGCTAGTAACAGTAGTAACCTGGGGTAGCAATGGTGTCTGGACTATTTCTTTTTCCCTAAACTGATGTAGGTAATTTTGTTTCAAATCATACAGCTCCCAGGTGAAGTAGAGCTGATGCCACATTTTTTAGAATTTGGTCATAAAACTAGGCATAGATAAACCAGCAAAGTAAATATAAAAGCAATCCTCAAATATTGTGGAGGTTTCAATCAGCTGGAGGAGCTCTTTTTTTAATAAAAGTGAGAGATTTCCATATAAATTCAGTAGTCCAGGGTATAGTTCAGTGTTGTGGATTTTTAGTAAGTATCTTTGGTAATTCTGAAGTGGATGGATACTACCTAAATCATATTTTTCAATCATTGACATGGATTTTGTTTTTCTAATTCCTCTGTCAGCTGTTTTTCCGCAAGCCTGCCCATGACTCCCACATCTTTGCAAACACAATCTGCCAGCTATCTCTCTTACAGATGACAGTAGCTAATAATTATATTTACTTCTGATGCTAGGTACTCAAACATTCCAGAAATTATTGCAAACATGTTCTGAGAAGAAACTGAGAGGACAGATGAGCAAATATTGTTCAAGGTCAGTTTCCAAATCACTTGGGATCACATCTAAGCTCTCAAAATTAAGCGCAACATCGGGCACGTTCCCTAAAACCTCAGTTTCCTTCAAGGATAAGTACCTCACAGAATGTTGTAGATAATTATATGATTAATGGATACACGCTTTAGAAGAATACATTGTTTCATTTCCATTAAAATCATACTGTAGTTCATTGAATTAATGTGTTTATTCAATTAATTAACATTTTGTTTTCATTTAACTTCTTACAATTAGACTAAAATATGTTTCTGACTTTGTATGATTCTAATTCCACAGTGTAGTGTAAGTGACTGTGGGAGGCTGTGTGAGGACTCTCCTGTGGCCTAACCTGGAAACTTTATGCAGGGCAGGCCTCTGTGTCCATTCTGTCCTGTTCACTCTAAAGCTACCCCAGCCTCTAAATCTTACACAAGATCTAATGACTGTGCTGAATTTGAAAGTGCTAACAGAGGCTAGTATTCAAAGTTATATTACAGCTGATTTAATATTTTCTATATTTGATATGATACTTTACTTAGAAAACAATTAAGAATATTTAAATTTTTGTTATTTTCATTTTCCTGAATGACTACACAGCATTTACATACATTAAGCATATACATAAGCACATATATATACATGTACATATACACATATGTGTATAATGTTTATATAAATTAAGCATATATGTAAGTATATACATAAGCATATGTAAGGATACAGCCTTAGTCAAAATGGTATCAAAATAATGAGGATGTTTAGCCAATAGTCTATTTGTTTTGAAGAGTATGAACTTAATGTTACAAATGCAAAAATCAATATGCTCCTGTTTCAATTCTGCTAGTCTGCACAATAAGCTTTTTCTTGAGAAAAGCACTGTGCTATACAAGTCATTTGATCCCAATAATTCATTAACTTTAATAAAACTTAGAAATGTTATAAAAGTAAGAACTCAAAACATACACAGATATAAAATACCTACTGAAATTAAAATACCAGGATAGGACAAAATGATCTTTGATGTTGTTTCCAATTATCTCGTGTTTGTTCTAGGCACTGGCTATGTCAACAAAGCTTCGCCTTTTTTTTTTTTTCATGGTGACACAACCATGGCTGTGTTCAGGTTTACATGTTCTTACTTGTGTATTGGGGAAGGTTGGCCCCATCTTTACTTTTACGGGGTAAATGTTAAATAGTCTAACATAATATGAACAAAAACATTTGAGAAATGGACTCTGGGTGTTGTTTCATGAGGAGGCCATGCCTAAGCTGCTGTAGCCATCCTGGGATACAAGCTTCCACCAAGGTGCTTAGAGTGGATGTACAAATAAACAGCATGAGGTCTGGGTCTTTGATGATGATGCTGAGATGTGGACTAATCAACTCTGCAACTGCACCTTAATCTACTTGTTATGTGATATAGTAAATATATATATTACAAAAATAACTTTATTATACTAACCATGCTTTCTCCTAAAATTTAAGAGTCATTGGTCTTAATAACATATTATATTCTTTTTTTTTTTTTTTTTTTTTTTTTTGAGACGGAGTCTCGCTCTGTCGCCCAGGCTGGAGTGCAGTGGCGGGATCTCGGCTCACTGCAAGCTCCGCCTCCCGGGTTCACGCCATTCTCCCGCCTCAGCCTCCCAAGTAGCTGGGACTACAGGCGCCCGCCACTACGCCCGGCTAATTTTTTGTATTTTTAGTAGAGACGGGGTTTCACCATTTTAGCCGGGATGGTCTCGATCTCCTGACCTCGTGATCCGCCCGCCTCGGCCTCCCAAAGTGCTGGGATTACAGGCGTGAGCCACCGCGCCCGGCCAACATATTATATTCTTAAGTAAAATAACAAATGTATATTTTTAATCCATTTTTATTCCTTTTGGATAATTATTGTAATAAAATGGTATTAGGTAAAATTATGACTGTATCATTAACTCATATATGGCAATCCCTAATTTTTGTCAGTATGAGGCTTAGGTGTTTTTAAAAATGTGCAAAAATTACTTGACAAAGTAGTGTGTTTTTACATACGGTATATATTTTAGAGAATGTGCACTGTTTAATAGACCAACATAAAATTCATCAGTTTGAAGGTTCAGATTTTGATAAATAGATGTGACTGTTAAAAATATTTTGATTTTATTATTTGATTTATGCCCAGTGAAAACCATCTCTATAATCTAGTATTTGTTTCTACTTTTAGCCAATTATTTTCTATATCAGAGTACCACTTTTGTTTACTCTGACCAGGGATACATTAATTAAAACAAAACAAAACAAAATATATATATATATATATCAGGGGGATCACTTTAGTTAGTAGAGTAGTGGAAAATATGAAAATTCATTTTAGCTAAATATTTCATCGTGTAGTAAGGCCAAATCATGACCATTCCAAAAATGTCTACGTCTTAATCCCCAGAACCTGTAATTATGTTAGGTTTCATGGCTAAAGGAAATTAAGGTAGCAGGAAAGTTAACATTGTGTTATGGACTGAAACCTGTCTCCCTAAAATTTATATATTGAAGCCCTTTCTTCCAATGTAACTTTATTTGGAAATGGGGCTTTTAGGATAATTAAGGTTAAATAAGGTCATGGGGTGGGGTCCCAATCTAATAAGGCTGGTGGTTCTACAAAAAGAGGAAAGAGAGAGACCTCTCTCTCTGAGCACACACACCATGGAGAGGCCATTTTAGGACACAGAGTGAAGGTTGCTGTCTGCCACCCAAGGACAGAGAGATGGTGGCGTGAAAATGACTGGCTTTAAAGACAGAGGAAAGGAATCACAAGTCAAGGAAAGTGATCAGCATCTAGAAGTTGGAAAAGGCAAGAAAATACATTCTTCCGTGAACATGGAGAATGAAATACAGCACTGATGAGATTGCGATTTTTAACACAATAAAACTCATGTTAATTTTTTATCTTCCAGAACGATAAAATAACAAATTTATATTTTTAAGCCATTAAGTTTGTTGTAATTTGGTAGAGCAACAATGGAAACCAGTACACATTGAAATGAGTATTTAAACAATCAGTATTCTTACTGGAATTCACTTTTATTATTTACAAATATGGCTAAGTAACTTCACATGTTTGGTGAAAAATTGTTACAGTAATAGTAGCTAGGGTGTTTCTACATATCTTTTAAACATTTATTATATATAACATTTCAGTGAATTGCAAGATTGAAACTACATACCAAACCTGGCGAGTAGAAGTTATTATGGAAAATTTAGAAGAGAGTCTTTGACAGTATTGACACAAAAAAATGAAGGAAGGAAGGAAGGAAGGGAGGAAGGGAGGGAGGGAGGGAGGGAAGGAGGAAGGGAGGCGTAGAAGTAGGGAGGGAGGAGCTAAAGAATGAAAAGAAAGAGAAGGAAGGAAGGAAGGGGAGAGAAAGAGAAGGAAGGAAGGAAGGGAAGAGAAGGAAAAGAAAAGAAAAGAAGGCAAAGAAGAAATAAGTGCTTATGTGTGATGACAACTGTACTTCATTTTTAACAGTGTTCTTATGAAGACACATCTCTTCAAAAGTATCTAAAAACCATAAATACTTCACTCTGTTAATTTATAGAAAACTAGTTTTTCTCATGTTTCTCTCTCTTATTTATTTGATTTTGCAAATACTTTTTTCAGAGACTTTCTACATGCTTCAGGTAGTTTTCAGCTGGTATTCGTTATCTTAATATAGGTACAACTAAATTTCTTATAAAAATTTCTTAATTGTGTTATGTTAGTCACTGACAGCCTTTTAATTCTGTACATTTTGTGAGCACTTTTAAGATAGTAGAACAGTCTTTCAGTAATCAATTAAATGTCTATTAATATGCATATTTCCCCATAGTATTCACTATGTAATTAATGTTCAGGTCATGTAGAAAATAAGTCTTTTCATTAATGTGACTATTAAGCATGAAAACATTGATAAGATGGTATTTACAGCTATAAATCACATGAATAATTTTCTGTAGAATAGGGAAAGGCAAACATGTTAAATATGTAACTCGTATAATTTTTAAAATGACTCTTGAATTCCATTTACAAAATTGAAAATACTTACCCTTATAATAGGAAATTAATCACTATACATTAATATTTTTTGTGGATTGCTGAAGGCAATCTTACAAACATAAAATCCCCACCAGTTTGAAATTCTAAACCCAAACACAACAAATATTTTAGTAGTTTTAGCATTCATGACATTACCAGTTCAGGGACAATTTAATGAAAATTGGAAATATCTACACAGCATTGTTATTCTCAGTGTACATTTGTTTTGTAATTAGATACCATAGTGTTTTAAAAATAAAAGGTAGAGACATGAGAAATGAACAGTTCACCTTTGTGACTGGGCAGCCCAATCAATGACCATTAGCAATCTTTACTCTGAGAAGCTGCTGCAGTATATAATCATCTGCTGGATGAGTTTTAAGCTATGACATGATATGAAGAAATCTAAAAACAGCTTAGAAAAGCTATTTTTCTGCTCTGTCTTAAAATGTAATTGTAAAAATCATTATTTAGCTTCTGGCAAGCACTTTTTCTTTTGTCAATCCTTTAGAGCCTTGACCTGTAAATAATTTTTGTTTATGGAGTTTCTTTGCAAAATTCACCACAGGTATTGCTTTTTCAACAACTTATTAGTTCTTAATTTTGGTAAATTAAAACTTTTTAATATGTTGGAAATTATTTGAAATTCAATTTTGTTCTAATTTCCATGTCGCATATTAACCAATACTAGATGCTTTTATAAATTCTGGATTATCTAATACCTCTTTTTTAAACAATATTTTTGTTCATATGATTTACTTGGCATGTACAAGTTATCCTCTTATAGTTGCAATTTTTAAACAAAGCCTAAGGATTCTAAATATTCTGTGAAAGGAAGATACTGTTCCTTTGATTTAAACAGGATGCTTAAATTTCTATTGCAAAAAAAGTCATGTCTGTAATTGGAATAGCTAAGCTATTCATTCCAGAAAAATTACTTTTAATTGAGATATGAATACTGATTTTTGTAATGAGTTCCTTTTCTTGTAGAAATAAAAATTACACCTTTCTCTCATGAAATGTGTAGAATGCTAAGAAGTTAATAGTAATGAATGATGAACATAACAATTATGCAATTTTTATAGTTTAGATATTTGTAACTATATCATTGAAATAATTATAAAGGTGACAGATGCCATGAATCACTCATTTAACAATAATTTTAATAACTTAAAAAATGAATTTAGTGACCCTATAATTATGTAGAAAATCATATTATAATACTAAACCAATTACAATGTATGAGAACACAAGATTGTGTGGAATTGAGGAGCATGAATAAAGTTTGATAAATTAGCAATGTCCCATACACCAGATTTTAATATCTCTTCAGGTCACTTTTTTAGGAAAAGGCTTTGGGCTATTTTAATGATAGACTTTGTATACTTAAAATGTATAAGCCTAATAGTTATAAATCAAACATTTCACTAAAACAAAAACTGTATGAAATGAGCGCAGGATTGCCACAAATCCTTTTAAATTACCAAACTTGTATCAGATACTTTTCACTACAGAGAAACTTGTGTAAAATTCTAATATTTTATATAAATTCAACCCATTTAAAATGAAATTTCTGTATTGAATTTATTCTATTAGTGCCAGAATAGAAGCTTTCTATCTGCAAAGGCAAGAATGGTGATTACTCTACAACCACTTTATTTCAATAGTGAATGGATTGTACAGGAGGTTTTATATATATAATATATATGTATATGTATTATTTTATATATATAATATTTTATATATTATTTTATATATGAAATATTTATATATATAAACTTATATATTATATAATTTATATAATATATATTTTATATAATTTATAATATATAATATTTTATATATAATATATATTAGGTTGAATCACATAAAACTTCTACTGTTATAGGTTCAGAATTTCATATAAAAGCAATTTCTGTTTAGTCAGCCAACACACAGAAGAGTATTAGGTAGGTAGGTAGGTGTGTAGGTAGGTAGGTAGATTGAATAATAGGTAGAAGTAAGACCTGTGTCACACCAGCATCCCAGCATTCTGGTTAAGTATAAGAACTATAACCTTGTCAGTATCTAACAAGCCCTCATCTGCCCTTTCCATCTCTTCTCTTTACTTTTATGCTAGTCACTTCCTTGGGATATCTTGTAATTGTATTACTTATGAGTGTATCCCTAAATGACATATTTTTAATTTATGAATTTTTAACTTATGTTTATGAGTTTTTAAAGAGTGGAATCAAAACTATGCAACCAATATTTAACTTGCTTCTTTTGTGCAAATTTGTGTTCTGAAATTCATACAAGATTACATCCATAGCTGTGGTTCACTTCTGTGTAATATTCACTTAAACAAATATACTTTATTTTTTTCATGATAAGACTGGTAAGTTGTTTCCTCATTTATCACATGATAAATAATGCTGTGTGCACAAAGAACATGTGATATAGTTTTATAGGATATAAACCCAGTCTCTCCAGGTAATGTTAATTTAGGCTACAGTTCTAAACAAGGACAGCATTATAATTGCAATGTATCAGGGATTTTTTTTCCCTTCCCTGTGTTATGTTCAGTGTCAAGGTAAATTTCTGTATAATCATTTGAAAGTAAGAGAAGGTCGTCCACTATTTTACATGTGGTCACATTTACATTGAGGATGTAGCACTTATGACTCTCCACCTTTATGTTGAGACGTTTTCTTTCTTTCGGGGGAGGGTTTATATTGCAAACAAAAATACAGGTTACTGAGTTAACGTTAAATTTCTGATAAATGCTTTCTTTAGTATAAATACATCCCCAAAACTGAATGGAGCATACTTATACAAAAAAAGTTGTTATTTATCTGAAATTCAAGTTTAATTGGCTATCATGTATTTTATCTTGCAACTCCATTTTAGATTTCCCATCTTAGGGAGGTCTTAGATTTTTTTCTTCTGCTCCCCAAGACTTGAGAGACCATTGGAAACAAGAAAATGCACTCTAAACAAAAGAGAAATTTTTGTTCCACTTTCCACACAGGTCTTGTTTTCACTTAGATCTTTGCCCAACAACTTTTTACAATATTGCCAGTTGTTTATTACTGCAGAAATTTGATGAAATGAAATTTTCTCCATGTCGTGTGGTATGGGGGGGTTTGAATGACTGGATCGTCCTTTACCAAAAATTTAGCTTTTATTTATATCTTATGTTTGCTTATGCATCATTTGTTGAATGTTTCTATACTACATTTTACATGATAAGGGCTATCCTTTGTTTTACATGAGAAAGTGACCAAAGTATTTTGATTTAGCAGAAATATTTAAATATAATTTGGAGATTTTATAATGATTTCCATTCCCTGTATTTTTCTACCGCTGGTATGTTTTACTCTAGTAAATGACCAGAGACCCAGAGACTGCGCCACACTGCCAAGGGATGAGGGACATCACCCAGACATGGAAGGCGCCCCCTCTTCGGTCGCCCTCTCCCCTGCAGTTCCCTTACCCTTCTGTGTATGGTAGAGCTACCCTCCAGGCCTCCAGTCTCTGAACAGGCTCCTACTCTGAGAGACTTCCCCACATGCAAACATCTCAAGGCTTTTCTCAGTAAACTTTGTGTTTTCCATGTCATATGTTTTCCCTAGATCAGCCCCAAACTCCTGGAAGCCCTGTGATTATCTACATGTTAACATATTTATCAGATCTGTTCCTTCTTCACTAAGTCGCTGTCAATGTCCAAAACCAAGTGTTCATCAGTTTTCGCTTGGACTAATTTCAGTATCTAATTCTCCCACTCTCTAGTCATCCATCCTACCTTTTAGTAAGAGATGTGTTTCTGAAAATATCTGCTAGTGATAATTTTTTACTTATTTGGTGATGTCTCTATATTGATTTTTGAGAATATGAACATTTTGGGAAACTATATAAAGTATTTCACAATCTGTCTTCCTACTAATTTAACAGCCTCCTCTACTATCTCTCTTTTTCACAGTTGATTCACCAGTCTGCAATGCAGTAACTGCAACACACTTTTCTTAAACAAAAATACTTGGTGAGAGGACAAACAGTTACACTTGTGAATAAAAGCTTCACAAGTTTTAGACTTGATGTCTCGGTGACACATATGTGTGAGGGACTGAAATGGTGCTTTTTATTATATACCTTCTCCCAGTGAAAAATTAGAGTATACATTCTTGTGCCAGTGTGAACATTACCTGCTCTCTTTTAAGAATTATGTTTTGCTTATTCAATCAAGTATAAGCAGAGAATGAACTGCCCAAGACAGAGGGGACTTGTTTTGAATTATGGCAAAAAGAATGAGATACTTCAATGGAAGCTGAAAGTAATGCTATTAAATAAAATAAAAATGAATTAGATAAAAAATAATTTGTAAAATATGCTGGAGGGTAAGGGAAATGAAAATAAGAGGGAGAATATAAGACTAACTTTCCTGGTGTGCCATCAGTCATTCAGCTGTGTAAAATGGAAGTAAATTATCTAAATATATCAGGTGATGCCTAAGTATCAAGGAAAGGGTTTATACAAGGTTGAGAGAACCCCCAAATATAAATATTTCTCAGAAAAGCTTGGAATACTGAAAATATTATCAATAGAAAAAGAGAGCAGTGAAGAGCAAGGACAAAGAAGGTTTCTGAGTAGCCTCTCGTTAGTGTTATTTGGACTATGCATTTAAATATGTGTATTCATATATGCATAAATATGTATATAATTTGTATTTTATTCATGAAAATTATAGTGCTTCTATTTATACAAGGTTTATGAGGCTGGTAATGAGAGATAGTGTATGATAGTGCAACATTTATTCCCAGTCATAACACCAGGCAAAAGGCAGAAGAATCATAAAAATTCTTAATTTGGATCATCTTGAACAATAAAAAAAATTTAAATGCAGTTTTTATAAGTGTGTGTGTGTGTGTGTGTGTGTGTGTGTGTGTGTGTGTGTGTTTGGAGAGGGAAGTAAATATAACCACAACATACAAGCTAGAGCCATCAAAAATTAGGTTTCTATAAAGTAGTATAGCTCAGAGGGTTTGATCATGCAGACTGTCATCACTTTGGAAAGTATGACAGTTTAGGTCAGCCCAGGTGAGCTTCTAGGGCCAGCTTGTTTCGGCTACTCTAACAAATTATAGAGTTGCAAATTAAACCCTGGTCCTCAGAACATAATCCCTCCATTTTCCTCCATCACACTGAGCAGTTACTACATTAAAAGGTTAAAAACACTTAGCCTCTGAATTTCATTGAGGTTATGATGCTTCTGGCATGGATCTGTGCTGGGGCACACACCACTTACCTTTCCATATTTGTACCTGGGAATTTTGGCATCATTCTGCTTACCTCACTTGTTTTCCTTTCTTTTCCTTCCTCTTTTTTCTGTAGTTCCTGACCCTTGATCTTTGCATTCAGACACGGTTCACTACTCCCTATTGAACAAAATAATCATATTTAAATACTGGTTTCACTTGTAGGACACTTATTGCTGATTGATGTTCATAACTCTCTTTCACTGAATGACTTTAATTCATTCCCAGAAATGCTGACACAAAATGAAAAACCCTTAGATGAAAAAAATAATATTTTTGAAGAGAAAAATTATGTTGCATTCTATGACAATCCTAGACACCCAAACAATTTTCACAGACAAAGATTATCAACTACATCATTACAACTAATTTTTGTAGGTAATGTACACCAATTTGAAAGTAAATAAATACATATTTGCACATAAAAAGCAATATAATGCAAGTTTATTGGAAAAGTTGAAGGAGGAAGAAAAGTCTTAAGAAGGTTCATCACTCTTCAAAAGGTGTGATGGATTTTTCAGACAGGCATTCCACATCAAAATCAGTGAAGCCTGATGATAATTTTATTTTCATTGAAACGTTGACATGTAGAAAGAGCTCTGATGCAGAAAGTTGTGTGATAACCATAGAAGAAGTGAATTCTTTAGGCCAAAAAAAAAGATGCATTTTTGTTGACTTCTTTAAGTTTGTATTAATATACGTCCTTGAAAGTCACTTTGCCTGATAGAGAACAATTTCCTAGAATGTGCCACTGATTCAGAACTCTCTCTTCTTACATCTTCTAAAACAAGCGTAGATTCAGTAAAGCTAAACCAGATGATAGGTTAATGTCATTTATGTATATCCCACTTCAGTTGGATTCATCTTTTCTTTATGGATAAAGCATTCTTACTCTATTGTATGATTTGTAAAATATGTATCTTCAAATTGTGGGGCTTTTGAATATCTTGTACATAAAGTGTTCTCACACATAAAGTTATAATGGAGAAAAATATGTTTGGGTAAAATAATGAATATATGTGGCCGAGCACAGTGGCTCACACCTGTAATCCCACCACTTTGGGAGGCTGAGGCAGGCGGATCATAAGAACAACAGATCAAGACCATCCTGGATAACATGGCGAAACCCCGCCTCTACTAGAAATAAAAAAATTAGCTGGGCATGGTAGCACGCGCCTGTAGTCCCAGCTTCTCAGGAGGCTGAGGCAGGAGAATTGCTTGAACCCAGGAGGTGGAGGTTGCAGTGAGCCGAGATCGTGCCACTGCACTCGAGCCTGGTGGCAGAGTGAGACTTCATCTGAAAACAATAATAATAATAATAATAATAATAATAAAAAATAATGAGTATATGCAAAAGTTTTTTCAAACACAAGGAAATAGCACACCTACAAAACAAGTTGAAGAGTTGTAGATAATGGTAATTTTTCAAACTCTTGTCATAAAATGTTTTGGTTCATCCAAACATGGTAAAACCTTCCCATTAGTTCTATAGATAGATAGCTAGCTAGATAGATGATAGATAGATAGATAGATAGATAGATAGATAGATAGATAGATGTAATCTGGCTAAGAATACTGTTGTGTGGTATAAAATAGTGGGCAACGTTCTCTGCAGTTATAAGTTTGATGCAAATGTAATTGCAGTCTTGCCATTATAATAGAATGCTGAAGATGCCACTTCTTATAACAAATATATTTATATTGTATAGTTTTGAGTTAAAAGTATAAGTTTTTTTATACTAAAAAGAAGTATTCTCTTAAAAAATGTCATATGTTTTCAATAGCTATTATGGCTAAAATATAAAGACAAATGCCTTCTTCTCATATTTAACCTAAGATTGATTGAAGTTATTTCAGTTTTAAAGAATCTCAGGTCTATGATGATTTATATGTGATCACTAATTACTTCATGATAAGGTTGACAAACTCCTTCTTTTCTTTAAAGGCATATGGGTGCTTTCCTAGTTATGCACCATCTAACTAAGAATCAAATTACTATCTTTTTTTTGTCTGTTGCATGCCTGTTTAGAGACTAAACCTGGTATTTCATGTTGTTTAATAGGAGGACTGCCATGAAACCAATTTTCACATCTTTGAATAATGCTCTTTAGCCCAGAACAAATGTAAACCTTGCTTACACAGATATGAACAAACAACAACAAAAAAGTTAATAAAATTGAATAAAATTTTTAAAAACTATTACCAGAATAAAAAAATATGAGCTCTAGTTAATTTAGAAACCTGGAGCTAGTTGGTAGAGAGTAAAGGTGAAGAAAAACATCAAGTTTATAATTTGTGCACAATTATCACCTTTGTACATGTCTTTGTTTCCTGGTCCATATCATGGAAACAATTCAAACATAAAGAGATATGCTGCAGCTCATTGAAATGAGTTATATATGTTTGTTATTAGTTATGTTCTTTAAAAGTAGTGTAATAAAATAAGGTTGTATGTTTTATCTAGATTTGTAATTTTTGAACCTTTTGGTCGAGTTTCATATTCCAGCTACATTATTGTAACTGATGAATATTATAACAAATTTGTGTAAAGGAAGTTAGTCACTCATAGCACAAAATATATAGGGGTTTCACCCCTTGACTCAAAAATTATTTTTCTCAATTATTTTCTCTCTTGAAGTATGCCATTTCAGTCATTATTTATAAATAATTAAGTAATTTTAATGAGGCAAATACTTTTCTTAAAATTGTTTAAACAGTATCTGGTTAATAGGTCAAAACTAGATTACCCAAGAAGGTAATAAGGATCTTAATTATAACTAGTGTTGGATTGCCATTAGTTTTGATACGTAGGTCAACCAAAAGAGTCAAACTGTGTAAAATATTTGAAGAGATTTATTCTGAGCCAAATATGTGTGACCAGTGGCTTGTGACACAGCTCTCAGGAGATCCTCAGAAAATGTGCCCAAAATTGTCAGGCTAAAGTTTGGTTTTATACATTTTAGGTAGACATAAGACATCAATTAGTACATTTATGATGTACGTTGGTTCTGTCCGGAAAGGTCAGACAACTGGAAGTGAGGTCTTACAAGTCAAAAGTGGATTCAACAATTATCTGATTGACAATTGGGTGAAGGAGTTATTATCTAATGCCTGGACTCAATAGAAAGGAATGCCTGGGTTATGATAAAAGGTTGTGGAGACCAGGGTTTTGTCATGTAGATGAAGCCTTCAGGTTACAGGATTCAGACAGGATAGATTGTAAACATTTCTTGTAAGACTTAAAGAGTCTATCAGTCTGAAGTTCTGTGTTGATGTAAATGCTGGTCAGTGGGACCTGAATTTCAAAAGGGATAAGTGTATAATGAAGCATGTCCTACTTCTGCTTCCCATCATGGCCTGAACTAGTTTTTCAGGTTAATTTTGGAATGCCCTTGGCCAAGAGGAGGATTGCATTCAAATGGTGGGGGTGGGTGGAGGGGGTGGTTAGAATTTTATTTTTGGTTTACATTCTCCCCCTTCTGGCCAAGATTTGCAAGAGGCAGCAATGGCTATCACACTTTTATTTTGTCCCGTAGTGTTGCCAAGGTGGCATGGCTGCCTACCCTGAGTCCACCCCGTTCCTTGGTGGAACGCCTATGACCAAACGACTTAGAGACAAAAGATTTATAGCCAATTTCAATGTTCTAGGCCAGGCAGGAATGGACATGGACAGGCATTAATTAACCCTTAAAATTTGTAAAGTAATACAAAAGCCAGCAAATATAAAGCCAATGGTGAGCTTGAAAGTTGACTTGTCTGTCTTTAATTTCTATATATTGAGCTACTGTAATCTTGGTTTTATTTATAGACTTACAGTAATTAGCTATAAAAAACATAAGCATTGTTAAAACCTTTTAAGCTAATGAATTTGGAGACCTTCTTTGTGCCACAATGCTTTCTGTGATCTTTTAGAACTTTGTCCTAAAGTGGCTGATTTAAAAAAAAAAATCTGTTAATATATATGTAGCTGCATAATTCTCATAACTAGGTGTATTATACATACCAGGAGGCTTTGCCATGAGGTATCTTTATATCCTCTCAGTAGTAATTTTCTTTTAAACTCTATGAGAAGCAGAAAATACTTTATGGTTGAGATTGGTGAAAAGGTGCCAGGTAATAACCCAGGAGGCAAAGTCCTTTCTTTTACTAGCTGTTTAGGCATTCTGTGTAGCATTCCTTGATTTGAAGGATCTGAACTAATCCTATCCCTCAAAACTGGCTTTTATAATCTCACATGCCCACCTCTTCCACAATCGTCCCTAGACCTAGAGAGAGGGTGCTTGAATAGTTTTAGCAGCAGGAAATTTGCTGTGAAAAACAGATCAGGCCAGTGTGATTCTAAACGAGGAACATTCACAGGCTTTTGGCAAATCATCTCTAGTTTTCAGAATATCATGATTCTGGTTTTCTCAGAAGTACAACTATGAGCGACAAATAACATTAATAATTTGACAAAATATGTGTGCGTCAGAGCAGAAAAAGGAACCTATTCTATTAGGGCACCAACTACAAACACAAGGAAAAATTATAACCTCGTTCTCCTTTAGAGTATTATTGTAGCCAAGGAGTAATTCATGATTCAATCTGCACTCAAAAATAAAAGTCAGAGCAGAAAACTAATAACAGGTGTTACAGTTTTCCTTTGAAACAATTTCTCTCACTCTAGCCTTCCTTTTTTACTAAAGGAAATTGTAGTAAGACCAATTTGTGTGCAGAGTAAGTTTCAGGCTTATGATATTGGCCTGATTATTTACATAAAGTGCAGCAAGAAATGATTGGTCATGTAGGCTTTTTTCGAGTTGGCTTTGCTGGAACTTTACCTAAAATATATTATTCTAGTCAAAGCCTTGGTAAAATAACCAGTGTCTCCAATTGTCCTTTTTTATTTTATTTTATTTTTTTAAAGACTCTTAATTAACTTATGCAAATAACTATATTGTCATAAGATGAGAACATTCACAAATAGTTTCCAAATTTTGGACAGCTCAGAAAGGCTCCCCAAAACATATTTTACCCAAATGCTCTAAAGTATAAATAACTCAAAAGAAAAGGATTTCCTTGACTCTTCTTTAATCACAGCAGTAGCATTCCAAAAAAGATGTTTGTTCACCTTGGAATTGCCATTCAAGAGCCAGGCAGCTCTTGTCAGGTGAGAGCTGTTTATCAGGCACAGTAGAATGTAATAGCTTCTCACATAGAGTCAGTGTTAGAGGAAGAAAAGAGGATCCTTGCTCATGAGTTTCTCTTACTTGCATCCCCAGGTAGCAAGATCCGATATAAACCGTTTTTATTTTATCATGGAACTCTTCTGGGCACTATGATTCCTATTAGCATAGGATAGTTTCAGTTAGCATCTCATAACAAGGTGGTACATGTCCCTCAAGTGAAAATTCTCCAGTACAAAGTCTCAGTAGTTGTCACTGGGAAGTTTTCACTGGCTTTTGCCATAAGCCCCAGTAAACACTCCACAAAGAGCTACCAAGTAGATAATTTGTCCCAACCAGTGCTACAGCTCCTGGGCTCAGGCAGTCTTACTAGTGTCCATTCACTATGTCCAGTTAACATTTCTCAAAGGACAGATTTACATGCCTTCCGTTTCATGGTACTAGGTAGGGGAAACATTCCCTAGTCAGATATAATATCTATTTTTGTAAGACATTTAGGTAAAGGACTCATAACTACCTTACATAAAACCTGTGTAAACATCTCAAATGTCATAATCCTATCAACCTTTACATTTTTGTGTTCTAGGATTTCTCTTCTCTACCCACAAACCATTTTACCCTTTCTGGTAAAAAAAAAAAAAAAAAAAAAAAAAGATTCAGGTTCCCAGCAGGGGGTTGAGCCAGGGACTCACATCCTTTTGTTAATCTTGATCTTAATTTGCCTCAGCATGGCTCCCAGGCAATGTCAGCTTTCTCATTAGAGCCTTTGGCATTTGATTTTTCTCAAATTTCTCCAATATGGGGCAAATGCAGTAAACTGATGTGGGGATCTTGAATGGTAGGGAATCAGCAAAGATTCCCTTCCATCAACCCAACCTTCGATACTGTTGTAAAGACTTCTGTTTTAATCCCATCATTTATCATTCTATTTATTTCATTTCTTACTAACCATCTGATAGAGCTTGGCTCTGTGTCCCCACTTAAATCTCATGCTGAATTGTAATTCCAATATTGGGGGAGGAAACTGGTGGAAGGTGATTGGATCATGGGAGCAGATTTCTCCCTCATTTTTCTTGTGATAGTGGATGACATCTCATGAGGTCTGAGGTTTAAAGGTGTGTAGCACTTCAGCTCTCTCTTTCTCTCTCCTGCTCCACCATGGTAAGATGTGCTTGCTTCCCCTTTGCCTTCTGCCATGATTTTAAGTTTCCTGAGGGCTCCCAGTTATGTTTCCTGTTAAGCTTGTGGAACTGTGAGTCAATTACACCTCTTTCCTTCATAAATTACCCAGTCTCAGGTAGTTCTTTATAGCAGTGTGACAATGGGCTAACATACCCAGAGTCAAAGTTTTCTCATTCTCCACCTTGCTATGTTTCTCTTTATTCATTTAGTTTTATTTATATAATTTTTTTACTTATTTTAAAGGAACTCTTAACCTCTAAGCTAGAAAAATGTTAAATTTCTTTAGAAAAAAAACTACATCCCTGTATTTTTATAAACTTCACCAAATATAGTATACTTTCTTATTATTTCAACTCTTAGATAAATTTTAACCCAATTCCCAGTGGAAAAAAAAAACTGAGGTTACATAACATGACTTTAAGACTTTACACTACTGGAGATAAATTTGAGATTAAATTTACCAAATTAATCTTACCAAATATTGCTAAAGTCTGATGCTAAAATCATCAGAGCTAGCTTTTACTAGCCTGAAAAGCATTTACTTTTTCTTAAGCCAGTTGATTAGAACTTTTTCATATAATTTGGTAGTGAAATATCACTTCCACATGACACATATAAATATTTAACCATAACATACAGACAGAAGCAGCTCCTATAAGATTTTGCAATTGCCTATTTTCAAAAAAATTATATCCCTTACATTAGACTATTAAAAATAATGTTACAGGAGTCAACAAAAGTTGAAGAAACAAGTTATCACAGCAAAAGGGAAGTAAATAAAGAACTGAAGTAGCAGTGTACAGCAAGAGTTGAACTTCTGAGATATTAAATTGAAAAATTTCCAAAAGAAACAGATTATACAAGTTAAAAGTTAATAACTTCTTGCATTAAGAGTAAGTCAATATTTTAATAAAATCAAGCCCAATTTCTAAGAAGACTTTTTAAAAATTATAGCCAACTTAATTATAGAACTTTTTAAAATAAATTCCTGTTTTACTTACCTCTCTACAACTTAGGGCATTCACAACTTGCCAGGACTTTCTGATTTGTCCTAAATCCTTCTTAAATCAGTCATGTCATTTTAGGACAAAAATTTACCATACAAAATTCTCTCTCACACAAAGTCATTTTTCTTTTAACCTTTCTTACCGAAAATATCTCTGCGTATGTGTATATATATATATAACTTTCTTTATGTCTCTTATTTCCTGGTTCCTGTTACCTTGTTTTATTTATAACCTTTAAATAACCTTTGAGTAAAACAAAATTTATTTTTATTTACATTTTAGTAAGTATATTGTTTAGGAAAATGCTTTCCTATACTATAATTTTTTAAATTGAAAATTACCCAGACATTTGATGAATATCTATTATTCAATTTGATATAACTTTAGATTCTCAATTATGACATTTGTTTGTAAGCATTTATTTTATTACATTTACCTGATTGATATATTTATTTTTAGTATTTTGCCTAGATTACTTATGAAAACTGTGATAGTCATTATTTAAAGGTATCTTCTTGTTAACCATTTTTACAGCCTATGAATTTCAGATGTCTACCTAGGTAAGAAACCTACGGGTAAATATTTGGAAATTTTACCAATAACTCAGGACTTAGCTGTTTTCATTAAACCAACAATATTAAATGTCTTAACTATCAATAACTACACAAGCAAAGATGATTCTGTTTTGCACTGGGTTTATAGTTTTATAACCCTTATGCTAAATTTGACACTTTATTGTATTTGGCAAGGATAAGCAGGAAACTGCTTCATCAATAAATTGAAAAAAAATGCTGACAATTTTTAGGACACTTCTAATATTACGTTACCAATAATAATTTTAAAGCCAGCTTATTTGTTAAATATTTTACTCAAGTCACATAAACTTAAAAAGCATTTGGGCTTATTATTTACTTAATTTATGAGTACTCCTTAACTTTAAGCCAATTTGGTACCTTGTGGCCATAATACATAACAAAGCATATGTACATACACTTACACAGTTATGCGTACTCATACAAATATCCTATAGCTTTTACTTCAGAACTCTAGTCATGAGATATTAATACAAACTCACCAGTTTATAAAAAAAAATAAACAAAGGAAAAAAATAGGTTGGATCCAAACAGTGTTTATTTTTTGTTTGTTTTGTTTTGTTTTTGAGACAGAGTCTCGCTCTGTCGCCCAGGCTGGAGTGCAGTGGTGCGATCTCAGCTCACTGCAAGCTCCGCCTCCCGGGTTCACGCCATTCTCCTGCCTCAGCCTCCCGAGTAGCTGGGACTACAGGCGCCCGCCACCACGCCCGGCTAATTTTTTGTATTTTTAGTAGAGACGGGGTTTCACCTTGTTAGCCAGGATAGTCTCGACCTCCTGACCTCGTGATCCACCCGCCTCGGCCTCCCAAAGTTCTGGGATTACAGGTGTGAGCCACTGCGCCCGGCCTTTTTTTCTTTCTTTCTTTTTCTTTTTTCTTTTTTGTTTTTTTGTTTTGTTTTGAGACAATCTCCCTCTGTTGCCCAGGCTGGAGTGCAGTGGTGCGATCTCAGCTCACTGCAGGCTTCGCCTCCTGGATTCACGCCATTCTGCTGCCTCAGCCTCTGGAGTAGCTGGGACTACAGGCGCCCACCACCACGCCCGGCTACTTTTTTGTATTTTTAGTAGAGACGGGGTGGGGTCTCACCGTGTTAACCAGGATGGTCTCTATCTCCTGACCTCGTGATCCGCCAGCCTCGACCTCCCAAAGTGCTGGGATTAGAGGTATGAGCCACCGTGCCCGGCCCAAACAGTGGTTTTTATCTCAGTGTAAAGGTAACAGCCAATTTAAAGAAGGCAGAAAAAATAAGGAAAGAGGAAGGAAGGAAGGAAGAGAGGGAGGGAGGGAGGGAGGGAGGCAGGGAGGGAGGAAGGAAAGAAAGAAACTTAGGAGCTCTGCAGTTGTAGGTCCACCTTTGGGTTCTGAATTTTTCTCTGATATAATTCGCCCAGCAGTTTAAAATGTGTATGATAGGCCATAATATGCAACCAGCAGGAGTACTAAGAAGACTGGCATGCTCTTGAACTTTTCTATTTATATTAGCACTTGCACATAGAGGCACCTTAAAACCAATGGGATGCCCAAATGTGGGTCATTATCTTTGTTGTTCCTCATTCTTAGATTATTTGACTCCAACTTTTTTTTTTTTCTTAAGAGGAACTGAATTGTGCCCTCGGGTTTTTTGCATGTGGTGGATGGATGTGTGCTGAGTGTGGGCAGGACTCCACAGTGTGTGAGCACTGAGTTATTTACACCCTCTTAATGTCTCAGTTTCTCTCTCAGAAGTCCATCACCTCTGAGAGGGCTCAAAACACTGAGTGAACAGCTCTTACATGCATTTCCTGGATGAACCATCTTAAACTCGTTTTGTTGTGGGGTGTTCCTTGTAGGATTGCTGCAAATTGCGGAGGTCAACCCTCCAGACTCTCCCACTTGGCCCTATGGTCACCCAGAGGCACCTTTCTGCTGACAGGAGCTAAATGCCCTTTCTTTTCAGAACTAAGGAGCTCCCTCCAACACACATCTATGAAAGTGACAGTTCAGTTCCTCACAGAGATGCACAGACAGGGCAACCCAGCTTAATTTTGGGAGAAAAAGCAATGGAGAAGACTCCTTAGAATGCACCCCCGAACATGAAACCAAATGAGGTGCCCAAAGGGGGGTAATTCCCCTTGTTTTTAGAAAAAGGCAACGAAGAAGACCCTTTAGAATACACCTCCAAACTAGGATTAGGATCCCAACAACCAAACTAGAAATAGTATCCTAAACAACAACTTCCTAGGAGGAAAAATAAAACCAGCTCAGAATAAATCAAGGACCATCAACCAAATGGGAGGTCTGGGGCTCAGGCAGATTTGCCATTTCCACCAATGAAGAAGCTTGACACTGGGGAGGCTTTTAATGGGCACCGGCTTTTAACTTAGCTCTGAGTTTGGGCAACTTCTTCAGGGTCCCAAATCTTCTCTGACGCCCCATATTGGGTGCTGAATTATTGCCAATGGAAAGAGTCAAGCTCTGTAAAATATTTGAAGAGATTTATTCTGAGCCAAATGTGAGTGAGCAATGGCCCATGACACAGCCCTCAGGAGAGCCTCAGAACATTTGCCCAAGGTGGTCAGGCTACAACTTGGTTTTATACATATTAAGTATACATACAGTATCAATCAATACACCTAAGATGTACGTTGGTTTGGTCCATAAAGGTGGGACAATTGGAAGTGGAGGGCTTCCAGGTTATAAGCAGTTCAAAGATTTTCTGACTGGCAATCGGCTGAAAGAGTTATTATCTAAAGACCTGGAATCCATAGAAAAGAATGTCTGGGTTATGATAAGGGTTTGTGAAGACCAAGGTTTTATCATGCCGATGAAGCCTCCAGGTAGCAGGGTTCAGACAGTATAGATTGTAAATATTTCTTATAAGACTTAAAGGTCGGCCAGCCGCCCCGTCTGGGAAGTGAGGAGCCCCTCTGCCCGGCCACCACCCCGTCTGGGAGGTGTACCCAACAGCTCATTGAGAACGGGCCATGATGACAATGGCGGTTTTGTCAAATAGAAAAGGGGGAAATGTGGGGAAAAGAAGGAGAGATCAGATTGTTACTGTGTCTGTGTAGAAAGAAGTAGACATAGGAGACTCCATTTTGTTCTGGACTAAGAAAAATTCTTCTGCCTTGGGATGCTATTAATCTATAACCTTACCCCCAACCCTGTGCTCTCTGAAAAATGTGCTGTGTCAACTCAGGGTTAAATGCATTAAGGGCGGTGCAAGATGTGCTTTGTTAAACAGATGCTTGAAGGCAGCATGCTCATTAAGAGTCATAACCACTCCCTAATCTCAAGTACCCAGGGACACAAACACTGCGGGAGGCGGCAGGGCCCTCTGCCTAGGAAAACCAGAGACCTTTGTTCACATGTTTATCTGCTGACCTTCCCTCCACTATTGTCCTATGACCCTGCCAAATCCCCCTCTCCGAGAAACACCCAAGAATGATCAATAAATACTAAAAAAATTTAAAAAAAAAAAAAGAAAAAAGACTTAAAGGTCCATCAGTCTTAAGGTCTGTGCTGATGTGAATGCTGGTCATGGGGCCTGAATTTCAAAAGGGAGAAGCGTATGATGAGGCACGTCTGACTCCCTCTTCCCATCATGGCCTGAACTAGTTTTTCTGGTTAACTGGGAAATGCCCTTGGAAAAGAGGAGGGGCCCATTTAGTTGGTTGGGGAGCTTAGAATATTATTTTTGATTTACAAATTCATTTATTGCTTTGTATATAAATTTACAAAATAATTTAAAAAATTATCTCTATTATTCTGTCAATGTATTTGTTTTAAACATGTGTTGGAATTGGGTATTATTGTAAAATATCTGGTTTCTCCTGAATTATAACATTTTATTGACAGGCTTGTTTCTTAAATCACATATCCCTGTCATTGCAGATGAAGCGTATCGTCTTCACATCCTCACTATTTTTAAATTATATGCTGTTGCTTATATAGTTGATAATTGCCTCAGCTCCATCATCTGCTATGTATGAATTCAAAATTAATGCATAATTTGTATGAAAATAAAATAACTATTATCAAAATTTATAAGTAATGTGTATGCAGAAGTATTACTGTTACTGTGTGTGTGTGAGAGAGAGGGAAAGAAAATGCTGTAGAGTTACTCACAATGGGGATTCAACCTAGCCTAATTTTTGCCTTACAAGTATGATTTTTTTTGGTTGTTCTTATCTTCCCTTGAAAGTAGCTAAGCTGCAGATTTTTATATCTCACTGCTACTTTGATGTACTCACTTTACATTCTCTAGGGGAGGCATTCCAAATATTTAACATGGCAAGGGTTCTGACCAGTGAGAGGAGACACTAGCTGAAAGCAATCACAGTGATCAAACAATGGAACATCAGCCTTGGAGGTGTGAAAAGAACTCCCTCTGTATATATGTAAGAGATGGTGATTGTATCCTGGCCAGCTCCACTGTCACAGACTGGTATGACACTCTCCCATCTGCTGTCAACATTGATTGCTAATGGCTCACACAGCAATCTCCTTCCTTACAGAATTGTCCTCTGCTAATGGAAAACCCCTCCTTTACTGGAAAGCTTTTAATTATTATTTCTATTTTTCTGGTACATTTAATGTTTTTCATATTATCTATTATGTTGGTGCAAAAGTAATTGTGGTTTCAGACCATGAATTTTAATTCATTATAACTAGGCTTAAACACACCTTTATTAATCAAAATAGGAACCATTACAATTAACACATTTTTTGCCAATGAGAAATAAGTTTGTTTATTCCTGTAGCATAAAAATCTGTGCTTTGGGATTAGATGAACTCTTGGAAAGGATTTTCTGCATCCTGCTGGTTGTGGAAGTGTTTTCCCTGCAAAAAGTTATTGAGATGCTTGAAGAAGTGGTAGTCAGTTGGCAAGAGGTCAGGTGAATATGGCGGGTGAGACAAAACTTCCTAGTCCAATTTGTTCAACTTTTGAAGTGTTGGTTGTGCAACACGTGGTCGGGAGTTGTCATGGAGAAGAATTGAGCCCTTTCTGTTGACCAATGCCAGCTGCCGGTGATGCAGTTTTCAGTGTGTCTCATTGATTTGCTGAGCATACTTGTCAGATGTAATGGTTTCGCCATGATTCAGAAAGCTATCGTGGATCAGACCAGCAGCAGACCACCAGTGACCGTGACCTTTTTTGCTGTAAGTTTGGCTTTGGGAAATGCTTTGGAGTTTCTTCTTGGGACAACCATTGAGCTGGTAATCACCGGTTGTCATATAAAGTCCACTTTTTATCACACATCACAATCGTATCAAGAAATGGTTTGTTATTGTGTAGAATAAGAGAAGACACTTCAAAATGAAGATTTTATTTTATTTTATTTTATTTTTGCTCAACTCATGAGGTACTCACTTATCAGACTTTTTCACCTTTCCAATTTGTTCCAAATGCCGAATGACTGTAGAATGGTCAACGTTGAGTTCTTCGGAAACTTCTCATATAGTTGTGAGAGGATCGGCTTCAATGATTGCTCCCAGTTGGTTGTTGTCAAGTTCCTATGACCCGCCACGATGTTCCTCATCTTCAAGGCTCTCATCTCCTTGGCAAAACTTCTCGAACCACCTCTGCACTGTACGCTCATTAGCAGTTCCTGGGCCAAGCGTGTTGTTCATGTTGCAAGTTCTCTCCACTGCTTTACAACCCATTTTGAACTCTCATAGGAAAATTGATCAAATTTGTTTTTTGTCTAACACGATTTCCATAGTCTAAAATAAACATAAAATAAATAGCAGGTAATAAGTAATTAGCCAAAAAACATAAAGCAATAAATGCCCACTTAAATGATGTTTAACATAACCACATTTATTTAGGAATGTATTCCAATATCAAATGACAAATTCCAACAACGGAAAAAACTACAATTACTTTTGTACCATCCTAATAGTTTTCCTTCTATGGGTTTTGGTAGTTTGCATCTTTTAAGAAATTGGTCCATTTTCATCTAAGTATCAAGTGTAGACATAGTTTTTTGTAGTATTCCTTTAATCTTTTAATGTTGGTGCAGTAAGTATTGATGACTTTTCTTTCATTTATGATTTTGGTACTTTTGTTTCCTTGACTGTTCTGCTCAGAGTTTAATCAATTTCATTGATATATTAAAATCAGTTTCATGTAATTGATTTGCTCTATTGTTCTGTTTTTCATATCAGGAATCCCCAACCCCCAGGCCCCCTACCACGCAACAGGGGCTGAGTGAGCATTACCGCCTGATCTCCTTCTCCTGTCAGATCAGTCATGTAGCATTAGATTCTCATAGGAGCCTGAACTCTATTGTGAACTGCGCATGTGAGGGATCTAGGTTGCACGCTCCTTATGAGAATCTAACTAATGCCTGATGATCTGAGGTGGAACAGTTTCATCCTGAAACCATCCTCCCAACCCCCAACCATCTGTGGAAAAATTGTCTTCTGTGAAACCAGTCCCTGTTGCCAAAAAGTTTGAGGACTGCTGTTCTGTACCACTGATATCTGCTCTAACATTTGTTGTTTCTTTTTTTCCTGCTTGCTTTAGGTGTTATTTGCTTTTTTCTAGTTTTGTAAGATGGGATCTTAGGGTACAGCTTTTAATTGATTCTTCTCTATCTATGAATTTAGCACCTTTTTTTTATAAACACTGCTTTATCTCAGCATCCCACAATTTTTCATAAATTTTATTTTAATTTAGTTTACTTTTTAGAACTTTTGCTTCCAACCATATTTATGTGAAAGTATATCATTTAATCTCCAAATATTTGGAGGATGCATTTCAGCCATCTTTCCTTATTGATTTCTAGAATAATTACACAGTGGCCTGAGAACATATATTGTATAACTTAAAAAAAAAATCATGAGACTGTATTTTGTGGCATAGAATATGATCTATCCCAGTGAATGTTTTATGTGTGCTTAAGAACGATGTGTTTTATGCAGTTGTTAGATGGAGCATCTTATAAATGTCAATAGATCAAGTTTCTCCATAGTGTTTTTCAGGTAAAATGTACCTTTACTGATTTTCTGCCTGTGTGATCTGCCAGTTACTGACAAAGGGGTATTGAAGTCTCTAACTAAAGTAGTGGATGTCTATTTTTCTTTTCATTTTATATATTTTGCATCATGCATTTTGACACTCTTTTTTTAGGTGCATTACCACTTATATTGTTTTGTCTTTTTGGAAAATTGACCCTTTCATCATTATATAATTCTCCTCATTATCACTGATGATTCTTTTTGTTCTGAAGGTAGCTTTGTCTAAAATCAATATAGCTACCCCAGATTTCTTTTGATTCATGTTAGTATAGCATGTCTTTTACCTTGACGTTGCCTTTTTAGCATATTTTTATCAATGAAAAATTTACATAGAAGTTATTATTTTAACCAGTTTAATATATAAAATTCAGTGGCATTTGTTACATTCACCACCAGACTTAGTATAATATTTTAAAGATTTATCCATGTTTTTGCAAGTATCAGTATGTACTTCATTCCTTTTTATGGCCAAATAATATTCTAGTGTATATCTATAGAACATTAGGTTTCTTCATCATTTGATGGATATTTTTATTGTTTTCATTTTTGGCTATTGAGATTAGTGTTGATATGAGCATTCATGTACAAGTTTTTGTGTGAATGTTCATTTTAAATTCTTTATGCCTAGATCTGGGAGTGGAATTGCCCAGTTATATGGTAATTCTATGTTCTAATATTTGAGGAACTATCGAACTTTTTTCACAATGATGAAACCATTTCACATTTTCACGAGAAATGTGTGTGTTCCAATTTCACTGCAGCCTCACAAACACTTATTTTCTGTTTATTATTATTATTATTAAAATTAATATTATTACAACTTTCCTATTGGACATGAAGTTGTCCTATTGGACATGGATTTGCTATTTATTGCCCTGAGAACTAATCAAACAGCATTTTTTTCATGTGCTTGTTGGATTTGTATATCTTTTCTGAAGAAATTTCTACCCCAACTCTGCCCATTTCATAATTGGGTTCTTTGTCTTTTAGGTGTTGAGTTATAGGTTTTATGTATTCTCAACACTAAAATATTATCCGGTATGTAATTTTCAAATATTCTTACAGTTTTGATCTTTCTTCATCCAAGTTCTCATATGTTGTTTACCTTTTTTATTAGAATACCTAATGTATTATAAATAGCTGTTATAAATTTTCTGTCCAATAATTTTAACATCTGTGTCATATCTGAGTCTGGCTGTGATTCTTACTTTCTATCCTCTTAACTATAATCATTTTTTTTCTTTTTGCCTTTTGTTGTGCATTGTGATTTGCCAGGACGAGGCATACAGGTTGTCCTGCTGTAATTTATTGTCCTGCTGATAAATTACAGCAGGAGAATCTGTATCAGCTAATAGAAACTGAGGAAATAAGACTTTATTGTGAGATTTAGAAGTTGGTTTGTGTTTAATGTTTATTGTAGGTATGGGTATCAGAGTCTCTAAGATCTAATGTTCAGTTTTGTTTTGTTTTTTCAACTTTCTTGAGTCTTTCCTATAAACTGCTTCTAGAAGTATCAGCACTCTTTCTAGTCAAATCCACTGTTATTAAACTGGAACCCTGTTGTTGTGGTGATAAAGTGTGGGGGAGGAGAGTGTTCTCGAATATTCTGATTAACTCTCCATCTTTTGGTGGTCCTCAGTCCTAGGGACTTTACCAGATTTTCTGTCCCTACTTCACTTACATAGTGTGTGTCCCTTGCCTCCTACTCTTTTAGCCTGGCACAGTGTCTCCAATACCTTTTTTAGAGCCCTATCCTCTGTTAAATATTTTTCTCCCACTCACAGGAGACAGGAACTCTAGAAGGGGC
This sequence comes from Homo sapiens, assembly GCF_000001405.40. Taxonomy (NCBI): domain Eukaryota; kingdom Metazoa; phylum Chordata; class Mammalia; order Primates; family Hominidae; genus Homo; species Homo sapiens. The sequence continues at coordinate 66,900,296 of NC_000018.10, forward strand.
TGGAGTGGGAAGAAATCTCTTGCAGCCATTGGGATGAGGTTTTGAAAGTATGCTCTGGTGAAGCTCATGAAATCTTTTCTCCTAGAGTGTAAGCATTGGCTCTAGAGAAAGTGTCTGGGCATGTTTCACAATGGTTGCTATTCCTCATCCTCTGCCAGAGGCACAAAACGCACATTCTCTGATTTTCAGCATGACAACCTGGTAGGATTTTTGGAGGGAATGCCCAGGAAAATGTGAGAACTTCTCTAACACCATGACTTGTAGAAGTTTCTTATTTGAAAACTCAGCCTTCATCTATTTGTCAATTACTATTTAAGTGTTTCTACCAGTTTATTGCTCCAGTAGCTTCCAATTCATATAAGCACATCTCAACAGCTGGGTCTCTATGGGTGCACCTGTCTCTCTGGATTTAAGGGTGATAGTTTACTCCACCCTTAATTCCTCTGATTAGTTGAAGAAAAAGTAATAAATTTACAGTTTGTTCAGCTATTTCTTCTTCTAATGATGAAAGAGGCAGCTTCCAAGGTCTTTACATATTGTTGCTGACATCAGAACTCTTAAGCTATTTTTCAAGCATAACACTTCTCTCTTTGGAAGATATACTTTCTGCCAAATCCTAGGGATTCTGTGTTAATTCCCTAGCTGGGTATTTTCAGAGCCTCCATACACTAAATACTTCTACCACCATTGTATAGTCTGGATCAAAGTCCACAAAGGGTAGAGCAGCTGGCCTGTGGCATGGAGCTATTGCATTGCTTAATCTTGCCTTGGTAACTATGTGAAACCAGCAGCTTTCAGAGTCTATGAAACAGTGGACTGAAGCTATATTCCAAAGTATAATGTGTGTTGTCTCCAAAATAAACAAAGTTCCACCAAACTCTGTGTCTTTTTATTATTAGTAGAAGGTATGAGGTGCAGCATCTTAACTTTTACATTGAACCGATGTGTGGGCTTGCGCTGGGAAACTGGAGTTTTGTGTCCTCCACCAAATATGAGGCTTTTCTCCTACTATCTTTCATCAATATATTAATTAGCATGATGTTCTTTGGAAGGTCAACATGATTCAGATGACTTTATACCATATGAGTACACAGAGTGGTATAATTAAAATGCCCTTTCATCCAGACATCAAATATTTTTTTTTTTGCCATGTAATGGCAACCTGTTTTTTATTTCCCCTCCTCATGTGTACTGAGAACAAAGTATTTAATAAAGTGATAGCTGTATGCCAAGTATCTGAAGCCAGGCCCACCTGCTCTGCTAAGCATACAACAGGCAGTACAGCAAGGGCAATTGAGAGATGACCTATTTACATTCATTGTTGTCCACACTATTGAGCATGATCCATTGTTTCTGCAGCATCCACATTGTTTCTGGAGTAAATTAAACATGGCTATGATAAAATAATCTATCTCTGCATTTTAAAAATATTTGAAGGGATATTAAGTTTTGTGACCCTAGTTTTGATTTATTCCATGAGTATGTGTGTGTATGGGGGATTTCATGGGCTTTCACTTGATATTTTTTAAGATAACTTTTATTTTATGGGGCAACAAATCAATGTGTGGCTTCTACCAGCCACTAGGTATATCTATTCCTTTATATTTTAAAATTAAAAGAACTGTAGGGTAGTTGCTTTAGTTTATTTCTTATTGTTGCAATAACTTAATTTGAGGCTTAAAGCAACAACATATTTTCTGGAAGTCAGAACTACAAAATAGGTACTATGGGGCTAAAATCAAGGTGTTGACATCAAAATAATTTCCTTTTGAGACTTTGGGAAGAATATATTTCCTTGCTCTCTTCAGCTTCTAGAAGATACTACATTCCTTGGCATGGGTTCCCGCATCACTTTCACCTCTGTTTCCATTGTCACATCTTCTTTGTCTCTTACTGTCCTGCTCCATCTTTATGTATAAGGTCCTTTTTGATCATACTGAGCCCAGGTGGATAATTCAGGATAATTTCTCCATTAAAAACTGCAATTTAATCAGTTCTAAGTCCCTCTTGCTATGCAAGGTAATCTTATAGCAGGTAGCTTGTGAGGTGTGAGCAGAGCAGGAAAGGGTTCCTCACAACACACACACACCAGGAGTGTTGGGCAACCATCAGGTGATGGTCAGGCTGTTGTTAACTGTCTCTCTAAAGTACTAATTGATTACAGCCAGTGCCAGGGAAAGGCCGGCTCCTAATAAATAGAAAGCACCTGAAACTGATCAGCAGCTTCCCTATAAGATCTCAAAAGTGGGGAGAAGTAGTGCAAGATCTGCAAGTATGCCAACATATAAAATCCCAAGTCAAGAGGTCAGGCTGGGCACTTGGTTTCTGAAGTTGCCCACTTGGTCCTCTTCCAATTTGTACTTTCCTTGTTTTCTTTCCTTTCCTTCTTTTCCTTATTTTCTAAAGCTTTTTTAAGTAAACTTTTCCTCCTGCTTTGAAACTTGCCTCTGTCTCTTCTTCTGCCTTATGCCCCTCAGTCAAATTTTTTCTTCTGAGGAAGCAAGAAGTGAAGTTGCTGCAGACCCATATGGATTTGCTGCCAGTAAGTAACTCGGGGTCTACCAAATGCCATTCTTGTTTTATTGCATAAATCAAGCAACACCACCATTAGCTACTTACCTATCTGAATGCTAGTGACTTCGAGATCTATTATCTAATACCATAAATTGTTGCAGGTCAGGAGAGCCTGCCTCCTGCTCAGGACAATTTGAAGTTATGTCCACCTAGCCCCTGGTGTTAAATAATACCACTTCCCCCTGTCTCCCTGTCATTAAGGACAAGGGCAAGTGACATCATCCCACTGTTATTTGAGAATCTATATCTGTGGTAGAATATGTGACCTATGAAGGAAAACCATTCCCAAGCTTCTCAGAAATCCTGGTCCATTCCATAACAGTGCATTCTTTTTTGTCTTAATAAAATTAGGATTCTCTGGACCACCCAAATAAATGTTAACAGACCAAATACAATAAATCAAGTAATTTATCCAGCCATATATAATGAATAAAGCCTAACATTATCACTTCTAGAAGCTGTATAATCTTTTATTCAACACTGATATATAGAAGACTTGGTTTCTCCATTTAGTTTAATAGGGATCTTAATTAAGTCCATGCTTTGAGTAACCATCTATAAACGAATAGTACCAACTTCAGGTATCTTTGCCACAATATTTAAGTCATGAGTGAGTACCTTATTGTCAGTAGTTTACCATGTAGGCAGCCCTTATATTCTACATTTTTAACATCCTCTCCTACATATGTTTCCCTAGATCCTGTCTGTATATACTAAATAGGCCCAGAGATTTATTTGTTGACTTGGTAATTTCTTCCTAGAGAAGAGTTTATTTTTTATTCTCTGGCTAAACTGAGCTACAGGCACTGGATTGCAACAAGAAGGGAGGAAAACTGATGGATCTTTTGGAGAAAAACATCATTTATAAGGCACTTGCTTCTAGTGAGATTATTTTATGGTTCATAGTCAAAGAGTCACTGTTCTCCCACAACAAGGGAGAAGAAAATATTTCAGGGAAATTTGGAGATTCAACATTTTCAGGTATCAAAGTGTCCTGTAACCTATAGTACTGGCAGGAAATCCTATAAGCTTCCAACTGGATAATGTGTGGAAGCAAGACAAAAGTATACCCTTAGTCTTCTACAAAAATATATTTTCATTTATACGTTAATACTTAAAATTAATATAAAATTAACAAAAATATCAGGAAATACTCTAAATAAATATATTTTAATTAAGATGTAAAGTATCCAGTTGACATAAATCTTCAGATCGAAGAGGTCTGATTTCTAAGGAAAAAGAAAGGCACATAAAGAGATGAAAATAGAATAGGTTTTAAAGGGAATAATGATGAAGCTCAGATAAAGGCATTATATAAAAAAGTAAAATTCATAAATAACTAAACTGCAACAGTAAAGGTGAACAACATAAGGGATAATGTAAAAAGCAAAATTGCCAGTGAGGCAATTCAGAAGGGTTAAATGGAAAACAACTATAAAATCTCTCCCAGAACAGAGGAACAGAAGTAACAAATCCAAAAAGTGGGAAAAAAGTCAAAAGAGGTAGAGAAAAGTGAATCAATGTCAAGCTTAATTCTAAATGTCTAAGGTGGATACCAGAATAATTTGAACTGATATTTAAATATTGTATTTGACATCATAGAATAACACATTTTCAAAATGGAAATAAGAGGACCATGCTCATGAAGATATTAAACTCTTTTAAAATATTATTTAAAAATAATTTCAAACTTAGAAGTTCATAAAGTAAGAATTGTAAATAGAACAGCATATGATCTTTACAAACTTAAGTATTGTTAAGGATACCCTATCCTGCTTCTCTTTCTTCCCCTTCTTTTCATTCCTGTCTTCATCCCCTGATATGGTTTGGCTGTGTCCCCATCCAAATCTCATCTTGAATTCCCATGTGTTGTGGGAGGCGCCAGGTGGGAAGTAATTGAATCATGGGGGCAGGTCTTTCCTGTGCTGCTCTCATGATAGTGAAAAAGTCTCATGAGATCTGATGGTTATTATTAGGGGGAGTTTTCCTGTTCAAGCTTTTTATGCTTGCCGCCATCCGTGTAAGAGGTGACTTGCTTCTCTTTGTCTTCTGCCGTGATTGTGAGGCTTCCCCAGCCATGTGGAACTGTAAGTCCAGTTAAACCTCCTTCCTTTGTAAATTGTCCAGTCTTGGGTATGTTTTTATCAGCAGCATGAAAATGAACTAATACAGTAAATTGGTACCGGTAGAGTGGGATGCTGCTGAAAAGTTACACAAAAATGTGGAAGCAACGTTGGAACTGGGTAACAGGCAGAGGTTGGAACAGTTTGTAGGGCTCAGAAGAAGACGGAAAAATGTGAGAAAGTTTGAAACTTTCTAGAGATTTGTTGAATGGCTGTGAACAAAGCTTGATAGTGATATGGACAATAAAGTCCAGGCTGAGGTGGTCTCAGATGGAGATGAGGAACTTGGGAACTGGGCCAAAGGTGCTAGCTTCCATTAATGAAAATAACTTATACAAACAATGTATATTATAAAAAGCATTAGAAATTAACATTTATATAAAATTAGTTGAGATATAGATCTTATTCAGTTTTCAGCAACTTTTTTACATACACGTATGTGTGTGTGTGTCTGTGTGTGTGTCTGTGTGCGTGTATGGTTCTATAAAGTTTCATCACATGTGTAGATTTGAATTGTCCCATCACAACACAGAAATGCTCTTCTGTTATCTCTCAGTCCTCACCTCATTCCCATAACCATAAACCCTAGTAACCAGTTATTTATTCTTTATCACTAAAATGTTGTACTGTGAGAATGCTACATAAATGAAATCACACAGTATTTAACCCTTTGAAATTTTTCACCTAGTATAACGTCCTTAAGATCCACACAGGTTGTTCCATATGTCCATAGTTTGTTTCTTTAACAAATCCGACAGAAAGAAACGTGTCAAAGAAAGGAAAATGAAATAAAAAGATATAAATCTTTACCAGTTAAAGTTAATTTTTTTATGTTTGCCAAATTTCAAAGTTGTGTGACGATGTCTGTATGTTGCTAGAGTTCCTCCTAGGATCTTGACAATTACAGACATCTTTCTCTCACCTTTTTTTGCAGGAAACTTAGAGCTATTCCTATGTAGATTATTGTAACTATGATTTGCCTAAATTAGAATTAATCTGATTTCACTCAGTGTTAAATGGCAAAGTTTTACAGATTGTAAAATGGCCACTGATTTGGAAAGATATATGATCCTTTAAATTGATTACCAAGGAAAGTAAATTAAAACAATAAAAATAAAGAACATTGATTTGAAACAAATGCCAACTCTGAACATCTTTAGGAGATAATTCCTGGGATAAAACTTTTCCATTTTCTTTACTTTGTCCATTATTGGTTTATTTAAAAATTTTCTTAGCTTACTGCATTAAACTTATCTACTCTCAGTAGTTTCTAAAATTAATTTAAATATCTAGAAAAATCTAGATGAGCTAGATTTTTAAAAATATTTTAGTTTGATTAATTCAACTCCCTTAGAGAGTTTCAGTTATCATAATAGTTATAAATGCTGTCTAAAGATAGAATAACTGCTAGAAACTTAAGAGAGTCACACTATAATTTAACAATAAAACTGCTTTTGAGTTAGACTAAACTTACGTAGTTATCAGGCTGAAATATTGCAGCAGTTGCCACAGGCAACCGTGCATGCACATAGGCAAAAAGAAAAAGAGTTATCTGTTGCTAATTAACTGAACCACATATTTCTTCTTCCTTCATTTTTTTTCTAATTACTTTTTTTGTTTTAATTTTCTTTTTTTATTATACTTTAAGTTTTAGGGTACATGTGCACAACATGCAGGTTTGTTACATATGTATACATGTGCCATGTTGGTGTGCTGCACCCATTACCTCTTCATTTACATTAGATATATCTCCTAATGCTATCCCTCCCCCATACCCCCACCCCACGACAGGCCCCGGTGTGTAATGTTCCCCTTCCTGTGTCCAAGTGTTCTCATTGTTCAATTCCCACCTCTGAGTGAGAACATGCGGTGTTTGGTTTTTTGTCCTTGCAATAGTTTGCTGAGAATGATGGTTTCTAGCTTCATCCATGTCCCTACAAAGGACATGAACTCATTCTTTTTTATGGCTGCATAGTTAATTTTCTAAGTGCATAAAGAATAAGCTTTGTGGATTTTGTGATCTAAATACAGGGAATAAGTCCATTGAAATCACCAGTGCATTGTCCTGTTGTATTTAATAATACAATATATAGCTAATACATATTTAAATGTACTAATTTAATAAGCATTGTTTTAAAAAATCTTTACAGCATAATATAAAATCCAATAATTTTCTTATTCACTATTACCATTATATAATCACATTGACATTTTTTCTGCACTGTTTTAATTAATAAATAATGGCTAATTCTTGTTATTGTTTTGGATTTAGTTGAAATAATAGGTAACACCAAATTTCTATGACAAAAATATCTGAAACAATCATCAAAACATTTGTATAATTAATATATTAATTTGCATGCATGATAATATTTAATTTGCAGTATTATTAGACTGAATACTTAGGACAAACTTGAGTAAATTTAACTTAATCTGATTTATTTCCATTCAGTATCATTTTAAATTTAGAAAAATAGTAAAACTTCAATCAAAACAGGAGCCAATTATATTTTGGGTCAGATTACTCTCTCCATTTTATTCTGTGATAAGAGGAATTATTTTAGTGTCACTTTCAAAAGCATCTTGCTTTGTCATACTTTCATTTGTTAGAGAAGCATTTATTATGATGCATCAAGGTTAACACTATGACAATTACTTATTTAAATTGATTGTTCCCAGAAGACAGTTTAAATGGCTTTGATGATTCCCATTGAGCTACAATTAAGCATGGTAATTGTGTTATATTTTGCTCTATAATGATATAGCTTCCCAAACCTGAATGATATCATATAAATTAGGAATGGACATTATAGCTGACAGCATATAAAAACTCTTCAACCTAAGAATTATTAACATTCTTAATATTTAATAAAGAAAAGAGTAAAATTATTATTTAGTGTGCTATTGCCAAATATCAAATTTAACTGAAGAGACATAGACATTTAGCAGGATTGCTTTGATTTCTGTCTTTATCATTCTTAATTTCTGCTCCCTCTCCCTCCGTACTCATCTTACACAGCATTGCATTGCAAGACTCTGTCTCCAATTTTATCTATTCTTTGCAGGATTTTCTTCTTTTGTTATATTTCACTCACCCAGAATTTTGCTGCTATTTCTTGTATGATGAATTACACATTTACTTATTTTTTCCTCTTGAGCTCTAAATCCATATATCCACTACTCTAGTAGATACCCTCTCCTGTACTTTTACAAATGCCTTAAAACTCCTGGTTTCTCTTCCCTCAAATATAACCCTTTCCATTCATCCTGCTAAATACAACAGAAATCAAACCCTGGAGATTAATCTCCCTAAAAATAGGTCACATATATTACCTATTTAAAACTGCCATACATCTCCATAACCTTAAATAGCTATGTCAATAAAGCACTTAACAGCCTATACTGGCTACTTCCAACCCAACCACCAAAGATTTTTTCTGATGGTTTTCTATGAACCCAATGAACATGCTAGCAAAAACATAAACATTTATCTATGATTCAGGCATATGTTGCTCCTACTTCATTTTATTTTGGCTACTAATGCTTAATAGCCTACCCTTGATATTTTTTCTAATTATTTTGCCAACTAAATTCCGCTTTTATCTGAGCTGCAACTTGAATTTTTACAGATATAATGTAATTCCTCCCAGTTTTATGTTTTATCTTTCTTTCCTGAAAAAAAAAATTATAGCATGCAATCTTATTGTATCATTATGTAAAGCTTTCTACACTTTTTAGTAAAAAAAACTAGAAAATGATACAAATTGAACTTAGATAATTTCTATAATATATTCATAACAACATGCATATAAATATATGGAGTGTGTTATACATTGTGTTTGAGCATGTGCATGAATTTGAAATTAGCAAAAATTGGAAATACAGCATACATGAGATCTTCCATTTATCAAACCATAATATTGCACCAGTACTCTTGTGGACTATTTTATTTTTTCTGTTACTCCTATTGCTATTGTGTAAATTACCTTTTCATTTTCCTAGATTCTGCTTTTAACCATATTTCTGGAATTTTAAATTTGCCATTAAATTTTTTAAGCAATTTTAATCTTCAATTCTGATTACATCACAAATTATAAGTCAGATTATTTAGGTCTCTGTATGTAAAGTTGATTCTTAATTGGCAATATTAATAATTCATAGTAGTTGATTAAAACAACTACTTACCCTTTTTAAACTTATTTTATATATGTAATTACAATAGAAAGTTATTTGTTTGCATCATGGTAAGTCACTTTTAAAATTTTCTGAAAGATTTAGTATTTAATCTACACATTTTAGTTTATTTTGTAGACTTTTGAAATGTAATTTAAATATAAGAATCAATTTTAAAGTTTATAATTTGATTAATTTTGGCATATATTTCAATTTGTGAAGCCTGATTTTGAAATACATAGGGTTTAAGTGAGTGTGGGCACTAAATGGTTATTGTTGCTAAAATACAGAGCAGCAGAGCCAAACACCAAATACATAAGCACTTGTCCACTGCTGTGAAAGAGAGTGAGCACAAGGTAGGCCAATTAGATTCCTGCTGTTTTTGAACATATTTTCTGTTTGCTCACATTCAAACTCTTGTTTATCTTTCTCCCAGTGTTAGAATCCTCCTACAACAATACCCAACTGTCAAAATGCTCCCAATTTGTCAATGTCTAAATCAAATCGTGGCTTGTCCTTGGAGTCCTCCTTTATGTCCTCCTAAAGATGTTCTATCATCCATCTTTTAACTCCCATAGTGTGTTAGCTGGCTTTTTTTTTTTTTTTTTCTGGATTTAACCAACACAATTTTTGGAGGCAATGGTGGGTTTATGATGTTTTTTTCAATAGAAAAAGAATTTAGTAAGTAGCTATAAAAGAATACATATTTATTTGTATTATTCATGTAAATAAATACATGAATCAATCTATTAGTCAGCTCAGGATGCCATAACAAAATGCCACAAGCTGGATGGCTAGGACAAGAGGTGTTTATTTTAACACAGCAAAGCAGGCTAGAATGCCATGATTTAAGTGACAGCATTAGGTATCTAGTGAGGGCTCTCTCCCTGGCTTGCTGAGGGCCACCTTCTCTTTGTGTCCTCTCATGCCCTCTTATCTGTGCATGCAGAGGGAGACAGAGGGCCCTGGTCTTTCCTCTCTGCCACTTCTTATAAGCACAACAGTTCTAACTATTAGAGTCCCACTTTTATGACCATATTTGACCTCAATTATCTCCTTATAGTTCCTATCTTCAAAACCAGTCACATTTGGGTTTATTCAACATAAGAATTTTGTACATTAATTTTAGGAGCATATAACTCAGTCCATAACTATCAGCAATGGGTTTACTTCACCATGCACTTATATTTTTGGTTTACAAATATGTATTTTTATTAAATTAACTCTTTCTAATTAGAGAATCATCAAACCAGGACAATTTTTCCTGTTTATAACATGATTTATCACTCTGTGTAGCTAAACCTTTCCAAATAAACTTTGTAGCAAGTCCGTCTAAACCATATCACATCTACTTAGCCAATATATTAGCCAAGACCACTGATAATTAAAACATGTCCTATGGAATCTAGAACATAAGGTAATACTGGTGTCCAGGAAATAATAATTTTAAAAATGTATTTTTAAAAATTGACCTATAAAATTTGATGAATTTATTGTGTACAACATGATGTTTTGAAGTATTCTTACAGTGAGAAAGCTTAACATCCAGTCTCTTAGCATTTTTCAAGAATATCATGTTCTGTCATTAACTATAGTCACCATGCTGTACAATAGATCTCAAACTTATTCCTCCTATCTAACTGTTAATACACATCCTTTGACCAAAATCTCCCTAAGCCCCCTCCTCCCTAATCACTCAGCCTCTGGTTACCACCATTCCTTTCTCTTCTTCTATAAGATCAACTTTGTTAGATTTCACATTTAAATAGGTTCATGTAGTATTTGTTTTTCTGCACCTGGTTTATTGTACTTAACACAAGGTCCTCCAGGTTCATCCATGTTGTAGCAAACAACATAATTTTATTCTTTTTTATAGCTGAATAATATTCCATTGGATATAAACAACATCTTATTTTCCTAGTCATCTGTTGATTCAACACACTTACCTATTAGGTTGATTCCATATACTGGTGATTTTGAATAGAATTGCAATAAATACGCAAGTGCAGATATCTCTCTGACATACTGATTTTATTTTGTATGCATATATACCCAAAAGTGGGTTTGCTGGATCATATGGTAATTCTATTTTTAATTTAATTTTTTGAGAAGCCTCCATAACATTTGTCATAAATGCTATTCTAATTTACATTGCCACCAATAATATGCAAGTATTCCCTTTCTATCCACACTCTCATGAATATCAGTTCATCTTTAGTGCTTTTTGACAATAGCCACTGTAACAGGAGTGAGGTACTATTTCATTGTGGTTTTCATTCCATTTCCTTGATGTTGAGCATTTTTTTTACATGTATATGTTGCCATTTGTATGTCTTCTTTCAAGAAATATATATTCAGATCTTTTGCTCATTTTAAAAATTGGGTTATTTGTTTTTTTGATGTTGAGTTGTGTACATTCCTTGCATATCTTGAACATTAACCACTTATCAGATATACAACTTACAAATATCTTCTTCCATTCTTTAGGTTGTCCCTTCAATCTTTCATTGTTTCCTTCGCTGTGCATAAGCTTTTTAGTTTGATGAAATCCCAGCTGTCTATCTTTGTCTTTGTTGCCTGTACTTTTGAGGCCATAACCAGAAAATCATTGCTAAGACCAATGTCATGAAGATTTTCCTGTGTGTTCTTCTAGTAGATTCATATTTGGGGTCATAAATTAAAGGCTTTAATCAATTTTGTGTTGGTTTTGCATATAGTGAGTGATAAACATCTAATTTCACTCTTCAGCATGTGAGTATCTGGTTTCCCAATGTCAATTATTGAAAAACCTGTCCTTTCCCCGTTGTATGTCCTTGGCACATTTGCTGAAATCAACTGGCTATAAATGTGCAAATTTATTTCTGGGTCTCTGTGCTGTTCCATTTGTTTATGTATCTGTTTTTAATGCCAGTACTATGCTATATTGCTTACTAATAGAGTTGTAGTATATTTTCAAGTCGGCTAGGGTGATACCTCCAACTTCTTCTTTTGGCTCAGGATTACTTTCACAATTTGTGTACATTTTGTAATTCCATATGAATTTTAGAATTTTTTTATTTATGTGAAGAATGCCATTGGTATTTTAATATAAATTACATTTAATCCATATGTCACTTTGGGTAGTATAGACATTTTAATAATGTTAATTTTATTTTAATTCCTTATTAAACTTAAATACATCAGTCAAGTTAGGCACACACAAAACAAACAAATTAAATGAATAAATAAAACAAAAAGGAAATCTGCTAGGGATTTGATTAGAATTACATAGGATCTACAGATTGGTTTGGAAAAACTGACACTATCAATCTCCCAATTCTTTTAACATGGCATAAAAATTTAGTTATTTGTTTTATTTTAATCTATTCAATAATAAATTATACTTTTGTGTGTAGAAATTGTATTAGTCCATTCTCACACTGCTGTGAAGAAATACCCGAGACTGGGTAATTTATAAAGAAAAGAGGTTTAACTGACTCACAGTTCCACATGGCTGGGGAGGCCTCAGGAAACTTACAATCATGGTGGAAGGCACTTCTTCACAGGGCGGCAGGAGAGAGAACGAGTGCCAGCGGGGGGAATGCCAGACACTTATAAAACTATCAAATCTCATGAGGACTCAGTATCACAAGAACAACATGAGGGAAACTGCCCCCATGATTCAATTACTCCTACTGAGTCCCTCCCAAGATAGATAAGGACTATGGGTATTACTATTCAAGATGATATTTGGGTAGGGACATGGCCAAACCCTATCAGAAGTATTGAAAATTTTATTTGATTTTTGTTGATTTTAGAATTTTTATAAATTACTAAATTTAACATGTTATGTTCTTACTTGTTGCTGATACATACAAATACAATTGTTATCAGTATTTTGATGTTGATTTTTCTACTGTGGTATTACTCTAACTTTTAAAAACTGATCCTGTTTCAGGGTTCTTATCCCTCAGATATTTATATGCCTCACTTCCTCACTTAATTCATGTCTCAGTTCAAATGTCATCTTTTCAAATATTGTCTCCTTAAAAAGGTTTTAGTTGACCACATTTGTATTGACTGTACTTTATTTTTTATCGTAGAACTTATAACTTAGCAATGTATTATAAACCTGATATTTTTGTCCCTCTAACTCAACAAAATACAAGTTCAATAAGGTCAATGACTTTGTCTTGTTCTCCACTGTGTTTCCCAGAATCTACTGCTGGAATATCATAAGGATTCAGTTATTTTCTGATTGAATAAATCACCCAGTAATTTAATGTCTGCGTTTCTGTTGCCAGTTCAAAAAAAGACACATATTTATCTCATAATATTCAGGCTGTTTGTTTTAGGAGTCAATCCTAAGCAGTGTATAGAACAAAAAATAAATACACTTTTGAATGAATGATGAGAAATGCTTTTGTAAAGAAAGTCAAATAAAAAGTCAACTGTTTTCCTTTTCTGATTTTAGATATAATTAAAAAGATGAATAAAGCATTCATCTAAGTGAGCAAATATACACATTATTATAAAATAAAGTATGAAACTAAAATATCTAAGTTTTTCAAAATCAGAGGCAGGAAGGGCATGGTGACTCATTCCTGTAATTACGGCACTCTGGGGGGCTGAAGCCAGAGAATCTCCTGAGGTCAGGTGTTTGAGACCAGCTTGAGCAACATATTAAGACCCCATCACTACAAAACATTACAAAATTATCTAGGAATGATGACATGAGCCTAGGCATTCGATAGCTGCAGTGAGCTATGATCACACACTTTACTCCAGCCTGGGCAAGTTGTAAGACCTTGTCTCTGAAAAACAAGCAAACAAACAAACAAATAAATCAGAGGTAAATAAGTTAAAAACCAAGCATTGAGCAATAGTGAATATATGTGCTATGTATATATAACCCCAGCGGATATATCAATATTTAAGTATATGAGAGTCAAGACAAAAACAGATATCAAAATATAAATGTCCATTGAAATATTGTAAAGAAATATTAGAGAATAATGACCTGAAAAAGTCATGTTCTTAAAATTGTTTAATGAGTGCTAATTAAAATAATGTATCTAGAACAAAAAAAATCCATTATGTTATTAAACATGACTATTCAGTCATGAAGTTTATAAAAATTTCTGAAAGCATTGTGAATGCTATTACTGAAGAACTTGAAGGCAAAGAACACTAGTTGTAATATAAGTTACTGAAATACTTTGTACAAAAGTATTGATACACTAGCAAAAAATGCAAACAAATAATTAAGTTTGGTAGAATAACAATAGTGTAATATATGTATAACACATTTAGAAAGTTATTGTATTTTAAGTTCATAAAATATATCATGCAAGTATATTTCTTAGGTTCCCTTGGTGGGAATACTGACAAAACTATTGCACTTCCTGTGATGCCAGAAGTCATCATAAAATTCCATCTGAATCAGCTACCAATTTTTAAGAAGGCGACTACTAGTACTACCATCCATATGACTATCTAAATTAAGTAGCTCTTTACACATTTAAGAATAATATTAGCCTAATTTCATCCTTAATATCTTGAATTTATGACAGAACATGAAGAACCACTATTGTCCACAGTTAAGTTAATAAAATTTTTTAGCTATATTTTTCATGATCTAGAGCCACTCCTAATGTTAAAAGTTCTTAAAAACTGAATATTAGACTGCCACTTGATATACTACACAAGAAGGAAAATATTTGATTTCAAGTTTCCTCTAAACATATTCAGAAATAAGAGAAAATGATCTCAGTTAAAGATATTTATTGTTATCTCAAGTAGCAACAACTCAAAAATAATTTAATGTAAGATGAAAAGTTGTGTACTCCTCCCCACTACAAATTAAAAGATTCAATAACTAAAGCCTGCATGCTTTTCTCATATGTTGTTCAAATAAACTAACACGCTGCTACACCTTTTTATCTTTATTTTCAGCTTATATTACTGCAGCACTATTCATAATAGCCAAGATTTGAAAATAACCCAAGTGCCCATCAACAGATGAATGAATAAAGAAAATGTGGCACATATACACAGTGGAGCACTATTCAGCCACAAAAAATGGGGTCCTATCATGTGCAACAATGTGGTTGGAACTAGAGGTCATTATGTTAAATGAAATAGGCCAGGCACAGACAAACTTTGCATGTTCTCACTTATTTGAAGGAGCTAAAAATTAAAACAACTAAACTCATGGAGAGAGGTAGAAGAATGGTTACCAGAGCCTGGGAAGGGTAGTTGGGGAGGAGGGTGGAGGGGACATGGAGAGAGATAATGGGTACCAAGAGAAATTGGCATAGTGAATAAGACCTAGTAGTTGTTAACACTATGAGGTGACTATAGTAAAAAAATAAATTATACATTAAATAATAACTAAAAGAGGATAATTGTATTATTTGTAACACAAAGAATTAATGCTTGAGGAGATGTATACCCCATCTACCCTGATGTGATTATTAGGCATTGTAGGCCTATGTCAAAATACCTCATGTAATCCATAAGTATATACACCTACTATATACTCAAAAAAATTAAAATTAAAAAAGAAAGAAAAAAATCAAGCTAGAATGGAGTGAAATAGCTGCTAAAATCATTGACAAATGAAAGTATACTAAAATTAAAAAGGATTAAATATCAGATCAAAATTTTTAAAAAGCCTCAAAAATCATCTCCTATATTTACAATTACTAAGAACCAGATTCCAGTAATAGATAACATATATGTATAAATTTGATAGGTGAGATTATATTTTATTTCTTGCATTTTACTTTCAATAGGTCAAAGCATTTTCTTTTTCAAAAAGTACACATCTTAAAATGAGACTTTTGATGCAATGTTTGATACAGTTGAATGAATATTCTGCTTCAAACCCGGACATGTAGGTTTGAAGCAGAATATTCATTCAACTGTATCAAACATTTAATCAAACAACTCCAGAATTTATTAACAGGTTATATTAGTTATTAGGTATATTAGTTATCCTATTGCTGCTGCAAAAAATTGCTTCAGATTTGGTGGCCTAAAACAACACAAAATTATTATCTTACGGTTCTTGAGGTTAGAAGTCAAAACTGGATCTCACTGGGCTAAAATCTTGGTGTTGGCATAAAGGTGAATTCCGGAGGCTTAATGGGAGAACCTGTTTCCTTGAACTTTCTAAGTACTAGAAGTTGTGGGTATTCCTTAGCTTACGAACCAACCAGCCTTCACAGCACCCTGAACTATCTGCTTCTGTCTTCACATTGCCTTCTCAGACTCTGACTCACATGTTTCTCTATTTCATTTATAAAGACCCTTATAATTATATGAGACTCACCCAGATAAACCAGATAATCTCCCCATATCAAGATCCTTAGGTAATCAGATTTCAAAGTACTGTTTTCCATGTAAAGTAAAGTATTTTCAGGTTCCAAGGATTAGGACATGTACATCTTTGGGAACCATTACCTGTGGTAGAAGTTTGAATAGATTCCTTTATCATTCTGAGATGTGAATATGGGGTGTTAGTATAAACGTAAGGTTGTTTTTGGGATTGAATGAAATAATGTGTTAAAAAGTGCCTTTAAATTATGCACCAGCACACAAATGCTTTTCATCGTGATTGTCATCGGGGAATTGAAAAACCATTTGTTATACAGTTAGCTTGAAACCAGAAACATTCTGCTTATAATCTATCTTAATTAATGAAGAGAAATAAAGTCTTGATTTTTATCTATTTATAAAGAATGTTTATGTATTGATGATAATTTTACCTAATATCAGAAGCAAAAGCAAAATGAAAAAAAAGGAACATTTTTTCCTGAAGTGCTCTGTGATTTTTTTTTTAAAGAGTATTGCTTAACTTTGTCCTTGAACTTGGTGCTCTCTCTTATGTAAATGCATTTGTGCTGGATTTGATTTATGAGTCATTGATGGAAGCTATGCACTGTAACACACAACATCAAGGTAACATCTTCTTGCCTACTTAATTCACAAAGGAAATTTGAAACATAACATATGAACTCTAGATTCAAGGGCAGAAAAGACAGTAAGGTCCAACAGGAACTTATACCCTCATTTTCTAATTCCTGTTTCATCCTGAACATCACTATTTTTCCCTAGGAAGAAGTTATACATAATAATTTTTCCTTGATTTTCTCTGTTACAATGGTTACTTTATTTTTTCATTACTTCTAGTGATAATTACAATTTTCATCACATTTTTATGTTTCTTAATATCTAACCATTCTAATTTTCAGTTTAGGATGACACGGTAACTTTCATCCTTTTTTATTTTCATTTTAGAAAGTATTGATTTCCTTATTTTTAAATCAAAAATATAATGTTGATTCAAAAAGCTTTTCATGGATTCCAAAATGTGTAAGTCCTTGAAAATTAGCTTTAAATTTTAGCAAACACACAAAATACACCATTTTATATATATATTATATATTTATATATATATTTGATGAATTTTATATATATATATATTTGATGAATACATGAGGCAATATTTGTAAATACCAGTGGAATATTGCACAATTTCTTTTTATTACAATTTTTCCAGTTAAAAATGAAAACAATTAGATTTGGTATTATTAGTTTTATTTGATTTTTAGAAGGCAGTTTTTAGAGGGTATAGCATTAGGGAGATGAAAGCTTTTGTATTTCTCTGGGCTCTGCTGATATTATAAGGTTCTAGAAGCAGTGAGATGTGTTGGTGATAGGTCTTGAAAAGAATAAATATCACTTTGAGTGTTCATTTCCTCAAAGTCAAAAATATGTTGTATTGTGTTCTTCCTTATTTTTCTTTCAAGAAAATCATCATTTCCTCAGTTTGAAAGAGGGCTTTCTATGACAGACACTTCTCTTGGGTATTCAAACTTCTCAGTTTTGTCTTTATGTCTACAAATATCCCTATCTCAAACATCAGGATCCAATTCTGTTTTAATAAATGATCACAGGTTGCTACTCTGTGCCTCTAAGTAACTATGCAACTTAATAAGCCAAATAATCAGGTCCTGGGCCCAATTATGCACCTATAGTGATCCCTCGGGTCAGCACACACAGACACATGCAAAACTGTTTCTCTTGTTTGTTTGTTTGTTTGAGAAGAGGTTTGAGCTGAGGGTTCAACTTGCTAAATATCTACAATCTATCCTTTCCTTCCTTCCTCCCTTTCTTCACCTTCCTTTTCCCCCTCCCTCCCTTCGTTCTGTCTTCCTGCCTTCCATCCTTCCCTCCTCCCTCTCTCATTTCCTCCCTCCCTCTTTCCCTCTCTCCCTTTCTTTCTTACTTCCTTTCCATGGTCAATTGATCTTCTTATACCCTACTATCTAGTAACATACCATGCCACAATAAAGGTAAATGTGAATAATTGTGATGGCACCATGTCATACAGACAACAAGTGTCACATTTGCACTCAGAAAGGAAGTCTTCAACGAGCTCATTAAATATGTAAGTAACCCAATACAGGAATCTGCTTCATGGGGCATTTATATGCAGTATACAAACCTCCATATAGCATTGATCTCTTGAAATACATTTTCCTAGTTTTGCATTAAGGATTATGCAACCCACAGACAATGAGTGAGAACTGTGTTCTATTTTTCCGTTACAAGAAAAGTTTGTAAAATATTGGTATATTTTCTCATTAAATTATTCTTAGACTTCAGCATCGCAGTGATATTTTTTGGTGGATTATTTTTGTGGGATGGAGTTTAATGTCAAATTCAAGTTCTATAACTTTTTATCAAATATTTTAAATTTTATTTATATACTTTTTAAGTTTTATAATGATGTACTTTTGGATAAATGCATCAATTTTATCCAATTTGTCAGATTTATTAATGTAAACTTGTGCTGCACATCTTCAGAAGTCTGTATGCCTATAAAATCTGTTTTGATGTTCCCTTTTTCATTCTTATTTTAGGAATTTGTGTTTTCTCGACTTAGCTTTCTTTTCAGTGCTGGGCGGGTATTATCAACATAATATTTTCAAACAACTGATTTTTGATTTGATTTGCCCCAGTGTATGGTTGCTTTCTATTTCTGTTCATATCATTGCTACTTTATTTCTAAGATCTGATATCTGTTTTTCTTTTTCTTATTAAGGTGAAGTTTTAAATCACTGATTCCCCAACTCTCTTTTTCCTAATATGTGCCTTTAAGTTCATACATGTTTCTCATCTTTAGCTGCATGTAACAAATTTTTATATGTTGTATTTCCATCAATATTTAGTTCAAAATGTTTTCTAATTTTAGTTTAACTCTTTTTTGACTCATAAATGACTTGGAAGTGTTTTACTTAATGTCCATGTGGTTGGAGCCTCTCTAGGTCTGTTGTTATTTAAGATTTTCACCTTACTTCTGTTCTAATCAGGAACATACTGTAAGGAGTTTTCCATAGACTGTTATAATGTCAATTTTGAACAATTTCACATGGCTTTGGAAAGTTTATAAGTCTGTTTGCTAACTACAAAGGCTTTTAAACTCACTCACGTCAAC
Source organism: Homo sapiens (assembly GCF_000001405.40). Taxonomy (NCBI): domain Eukaryota; kingdom Metazoa; phylum Chordata; class Mammalia; order Primates; family Hominidae; genus Homo; species Homo sapiens. Next base: position 66,919,652 of record NC_000018.10, read on the forward strand.
CTCTGTGATTCCAGTGTTCTATATTCTTATTAAAATTGTGTGTATTATTATAAGTAGACTAAATTATCCTATGTGATTAAGGATTTTTCTTACTCTCAGTTCAGACGATTGTTATTTTTAGTTTACAATTTCAAGAGTGATATTAAAAATCTATACATGTAGGATTGGGATGACTTTCTGTAAAATTGGCACTTTTATCATCATAGCATACCCATCCTTATTCCTAATAATACTTATAAAATAGATTGACCTTTACAATTTTGATATTGTAGCAATATATGTTCCTTTGGCTATTGTGTGCATTTTTTCCATTTATTTTCATTTTACCTTCAGCCTTTTTTGGACTTAATAGTTTTATTGAGTATATTTGCCATACATGAAATTAATATATTTAAAGCATATAGTTTAATGACTGCTAAAATGTGTACAACTATCATCTAAATCAAGACACTGAGCTTTTTTTTCACCATTAAAAATTGTGCTTTCTAGCTCAAACCGTTTTCCAGAGGTAACCATTATCCTAGTTTCTATCACTATAGGTATTTTTCTTGTAGATAATGATCATGTAAATAAATGCCAGAAAACAGTATGTACTTGCATATTTCTGGCTTATTCCTATCAATATGTTTCTGATACTCTATTTTGTGTATATCAGTTGTTCCTTCATGTTTGTATGAGTAGAATGCAGTGAAATAATAGACATTTGGGTTATTTTCAGTTTTGAGCTATTGCAAAAAATTTGCTATTACCACACTTGTTAAGATTTGTGTGTACATGTTTTCATTTCTCCTGATTAAATACCTAAAAGTTTACTTAAATATCATCGAGAAAGTATATGTTGAACTTTAAAAAAAACTATCTAAGGGGATTCCATTGCACTATTTATATGTTTACTGGACCTATTCTATCCCTCTTATACGTATTTGGTATTGTCAGCCTGCTTAATATAATACATTAAAGTAGGCTGTGGGACCTTTTCATGGTGGTTTAATATATACCGCTCTGATGAATAATGATGCTGTCTATTGTCCATTCACACATTTTATTTTGGGAAGTGTATTATCAAGTAATTTGCCCATTTTTAATTGGGTTGTTTGTCTTTGTATTATTGATTTATTGAAGTGCCCTACTCCGAATATGGGTATATATTTTTGCCAATAGTTTCAGCCTTTAAAATGTGTATTTCTATTTTATTAATATAGTCATTTGGTGAGTAGAATGTTTGTGAGGAAGCCTAATTTTATTAACCATTTTTTCACTTTTCCATTTATGACTAATGCTATATATTTTCTTTTTTTTCTTTTTCATTCTTCCTAAAAATTAGTTGCAAATCCCAAGTCCATAGAGATGTTTTATAGACTTCCATGTGTAAGGTTTATTGTTTTAGCTTTGAACTGTATGTTGTTTCTCAGTTATCTTCTGATGCTCTTTGATATCCAGTTTTTGCAATGCATGTGTTGAAAAAAATTCTTTCCGATTGAATCATAACTCTCTGTCAAAAGTGTTTTATATATATATATTTATATTTTTTTATTGTGTTGCATTGGTCTGTCTATTCTTGCATCAAGAACATACTGTCTTAATTCTACAGTGTTACAGCAAGTGCAAGTCTTGAAATTATTTTATTTATTGTATTAGGTTACAACAATGAGGTAATACACCATTCTAGGTCCTCTGCATCTTCTTATATATTTTTATTATCTGCAGAATTTGAAATGTTTCTTTTTTCATTTTTCATTTCTATATTGGCAATGCATGTATTCACTCTTCATCTTCTTGATTAGTTCTTCTAGGGTTCTATGATTTTTATTAATTTCATCAAACAACACATTTTGGTTTTTAATTTTTCATTAGTTTATGTCTTTAATTTACTTCTCATATTATTCAATACATCTTTAATTTTATGTTATAGAGGATACATTTTTGTGGAAGAATATATCTTCATCAATTATAAAATGTGATTGATTTTATTATTAGTCATTAATTACAAAATGTGTTTGATTCTATTATCAGTCATTAATTACTTAATTTTCCTAAGAAACAGGTTACAATCTTTATATGGTTATGCCTTCAACAGGAAATATATATATTTTTAATTCTAGATCTGAAATCCACAATTATTTCATTTCAAACTCCACTATTTGTGATTTTCAATTCTGCTTTATTTTTGTAATGGTTGGCCCACATCTTCAAGTACATTTCAAAGAGACTTTATGAGTATTGAATTCCTGCATTAATTAAGAATATTTTCTGTTATCTTGACATGTCAATGATAATTGGTGTATTATCTCATTGTTGTAACCAAATATATTAACTTTCTAAAGTCAATGTAAATTATTTTAGTTAACTTTTTCACAACTACATAACTATTTCTTATTCCTTAGTTGCTGCATGTTTATAATTGTTACTACTTGGATATTTCAGTCTTGATTATTTCTATTTGTTTTTCCTTGAACACATAAGCTTTTTATGTACATATTCAGAGGTCTACTTACAATGCATGTTTAATATTTTTAGTAGACTTTATGTTTAGAGAAGTTTTACATACACAAGAAAATGGAGCAGAAGGTAGAGAGATTTTTCAGGTAAACTTTGCCTCCACACATGCCTAACCTCTCCCATTATTAGCATCCCCATCCAGATAAGTACATTTGTTATAATTGGTGAACCTACCTTGACACATCATTATTACCCAGAGTGCATAGTTTACTTTAGAGTTCACTTCTGGTGTCCAATCTAAAGGTTTGGATAAACATATAATAACATGTCTGCCATTTTACTATATTACAGAATAGTTTCTCTGTCCTAAAATACCTCTGTGCACCAAACAATGTATTTTCCTGGTGTTTTAATGTATTTATTGTTTCTATTTTATTTGTTCTGCTCACTTCTCTAAAATATCAATTGTTCTCAGGTTATTTTTCCTTACCTCCCTCTTCTACACTCTCAATGATACTTGTGGCAGACAATGTTGATACTGTGCCCATAAATATGAGCACAGTATCGACATTTTTCAAGGCAGTGCAATGATAAATATGGGCACAGTGCCAACATTGTCCACCCTGAGTATCATTGAGAGGGGAGAAGTTTATCATTGACTGCATTATTCTACTGCAAGATCTCAACTCCTTTTCACTGGATGTGGCAACTTTAAAATATAACCACTACTATACATTTTTTTTTCTGTAATATAAAGCTCATGCTGGCCCTTTGTAGGCCATTTTTTTCTGATGCCCCACCCTGAAATGACTTTCTCTACCCTTTCCTTTATCTGGTCTCCTCTGAGAACGCTTCCTTAATAAATCATTTGCACACAGAACCTCGTCTTAATATATGTTTCTGGGAAACCCCAATTAAGTTAATGCTTTTAAAATAAAAATCTATTTAAATATTTGTCCTTTTCTGTGTCCTTCTCCTTAGTATTCTATGCCATTTTCTTTAGTCTGCTCTTCATACCAAGCATCTAACTTCATCTTTTAAAATGATATTTCTTAGTATTTCAAATGAGTTTTCTGTTTTATAATGTCTAACATCAATCTATTTCTTTAGAACTTCTATCTTCATTTTAATGTTTTAGTATTTATCATTTCTTCTTTGACTGATTTATCAGCTCTTCTTTGTGGAACTCTTATGTAAAAGTTTCTGCACTTAATACAATTATTGAGACTGTATTTTCTCTAAAACATGTCACTTTTCAGGAATAGTTTTTATATCTTTCCCATTTTTATATCATGCTAATTCTTTATACTTTTTTTCCTTCTTGTTTTAGAGATATGGGATGTATTTCCCCACACCGGATGATTTCTGTTTACTATTTACTTTTGATTTGGAGTGTTTATATCTAGGGCTGTAACTTATACCCCAAAAAAGTATGGACAGAATTTCTTGTTTTTATCACATCCTTTTCATCTCATTAGTTGTATGCTTTTGTTGAATTTTTTACCTTAAAGAATAATTTACAATAATGTGCTAAACTCGCAGCTATGAAAAACTTGGAGGGAATAGACCTGAGCTAACCCTGAAGTCATGTCCTTTGCATTATCATTTTTCATAGCTTATATGGTTTAATCTCCTTCAAACAAAAGAAACCACATGGTGCAGTAGTGGGTCCACTTAATTTCTATGATCAATTATATTGAAAATAGGATATGAAGTTATATGTCAGATCTTGCTGTCATTTCTTCACATCTGTACCAGTCTTTGTAATAAATCTCATCTCATTAGTTGTTGGGTATTCACGTACTAGAATTTTGAGGTCCAGAACTCAAGATACCCAACGCTAGACACATGTGAGTGACAGCAGTTTGTTAGTCACATAGACTCACAGCCCGGGGCAGGATACCATACATCAGACGGGGGCACATGGGAGCTGCATCCAGAGATAGAGTGAATGAACAATCAAGGGCAGTGGAGAGGCAGATTTTGTTATACCAAGAGGGTTATGTGAGCTCTGGTTCTTACACAAAGATGAGATTGGCTTGTGCGAATAATTTCCTGAACTGACAGGCAACTGATACTTGGTTCTCAAGAATAAGCAGGAGGTATCCTCAAGGATAATCAGGAAGTAATCAGGAAGGATAATCAAGTCCCTTTAATAAGGAGGATTGTTTGGCTCAAGGATTTTGTACACAGGGGTAGAGTGGGGAGGGTAATTTGTGGTTGGGTCATTCAAGGTCCTCCTAATTTTACCAGATTTCAAGGCAGCACATAATACCTGGCCTTAATTTTAGGCCTCATACATCTCTGAAATGCTCTTTCATATAACCTGTTCAACAAATTGCAAATGTATCCCCTGTGAGTAGATCATTGGCAGCCATGGTACAGTCTGGCTTCATCACCGTCTCTTCACCCTCACTGAGGACCCAAAGCACCCTCCTCCCAGCTTTCTAAAGGCCATTTTCAGAGTAGATCTCATGTGCTCCTCAAATAGAAAAGGGAGTCTGGAGTTGTAATATGTGAAGAATTGAGGTGTGGTAGTCACACATTTATTGGAAGGTGAATGCTTCCCTACATCATCTTCTTCATACCTAAAATGCAGTTCTATTGATCAGTCTTATTTTTAAATTCTAAGTTTGTGTTTTGTCTTCTTTTCATAGCATTGCCAACTGCTTCATCTATGCTCATAGAAACCAGGGCCCACACTATATTTTCTCAATCTTTGGTGATCTGATCATGGCCTTAAATACCATTTGTATTTACTCTATAGACCTCTAAATATTACAATGCAAAAGCAAATGACCTTGAATCATTTCACCACTCATGAAATACAGACTCATGCAAACAACTCATAGCCTCACAACTTCACATGATGTCTCACATATATTTAGCACTCAACATGCCCTAAACAAGTAGATTGCACCACAAAGTGGCTCCATCTTCAGTACTCTATCCTGGTAAATGGTGATTACATTCTTCTACTCCATCAGTGGGTGTGGGAGGAGTGGAAATTATTGTTTTTTTTCAAACATTTTACTATCAAGCCATTGGCAAATCCTGAAAGCCTATTGACTCTACCTTTAAAATGTCTAAAATCTAATTTTTTCTTGCTGTCTCCTCCATTTTTACACTAAACAAGATATTGTAATTATATACTGCTATTATGATCACATTGCAAGTGATAATTCTGTGTGTATAGTCTGTTATGTGCATAGTAGTTGGAGAAATCATTTTAAACTGTACATCCAGTCAAATCATTCTTCAGTTCAAAACGCTCCTCTTACTCAGAATACAGTAAAGTTGCTACTGTGTTCTACAAGGATCTAAAATATCCAGCCTGTGATAGTGTGCCCACCAGTGCCCCCAGAGAAAGCCACTGCAGCCACAATTGCCTGCTTCCGTTACCAATATTCCCCAAATGATCCCATTTTATCAGCTTTGAACTTGTTTGTCCTTCTGCCTAGGATTCCCATCCTTATATGCCTCTCTCTTATTTCCACACTTTATCCTCATGTCTGATTAATGTTATCTCACGTTCACTCCACTCATCAAAAGCATCACCCATCGCTGGCACTTCCTATCTAATTTCTCTGTCTTATTTTCTTCATTGTATTTATCACCACCTGACGCACTGTACACTTCTTCGTTTTTAATATAAGTAGCATTCATGTAAAATGTAAGCTCTAAGGGAATCAAAGGATTCAATAGTTTTGTTCACTTTTTGTGTTCATCAATAATGACACCTAATAGTGGCTCGATTCATTTGTTGAATAAATGATTGAAAGGATAAATGTATAATTACAACTAATTAATAAAATAACATTTCAGCTGATGCTTCTAAAGTATTTTCAGATGTATTTAATTTCTTTTGAGTACATTGAGAATACACCATATGTCATCTTCACACCTTAGCTTAAGGCAAATGTTTTTAAAATATATAACACAAAAAAGAAATTCAGCTAAGAAAAATTCTGAGTCACCATAGCTTCTAGGTTAACAGAGGTCAAAATGTTGATATTTTCTCAATTTCAGACAGTTTCCTCTCATTCTTGTATGCTGTCATTGAATTTTTTACCTTAAAGAAGAAAAAATTTACAATAATATACTAAACTCACAGCTATGAAAAACTTGGAGGGAATAGACCTGAGCTAACCCTGAAATCATGTCCTTTGCATTATCATTTTTCATAACTCATATGGTTTAATCCCCTTCAAACAAAAGAAACCACATGGTGCATTAGTGGGTCCACTTAATTTCTATAATCAATTATATTGAAAATATGATATGAAGTTATATGTCAGATCTTGCTGTCATTTCTTTTCACCATTAAAATTGTTTGTGTTTCACATCTGTACCAGTCATTGTAATAAATTTTTAACAACATTTTCTTATATTTTCCCTTTGATATTGCATGAAAGTCCCTGTTAGCTCTTCTTAAATTATTGATAATTCTTAGGTTAACAGGTTTATACTTTCTGCTCTATTGCATTAAAAATGGATTTAAAGCATGTTGCAACATTAACTTAGAATCATTATAGTTTACCCTCTATACTTTGCTCATTTGAATGTCCAAAACAGAAGATAACATGAAAAGAGATATGTATTTCTTTAGTTTAAAAAATAAAAAGGTGTTAGACATTGATTCAGGACTTTTCTGATGGCACTGAGGACTTATTACATGGGAATGTTCTAGTTCTTATCTATCCAGCTGGTGAGGTGGAACATTTTAAAAACATATATAATTTTAAAGTAGTATTTCTATTTTAAGTCATTTATCTTTCTGGAATGATAAATAGCAATATTCATATTATTTGTAGAGATGACCTCAAAACTTCTCATTTCTTCATATGAAGTGAGTTTTATACACATATTTCATTTCTTAGAACTAACTTAAAGTGAAAAAAATTAAGAACAAAATGTTATTTCCAACTACTTTTTTCCACAGTATTCCTTAATTTGTTTAATAAATATACATCACATTAGGTACAGAGAACTTTGTCATGTACTAAGAACACTCACACGACATTGTCTCTATTTTAATCTAATTACAGATGATGACTATTTGTAAAAAGAAAAAAAAAACTTCTAAGTTTCACATACATGATCTCATTAAATCATAACAAAAATACCTACTATTATTACCTTAATTGTATACCTAGAGAAACTGAGCCAAAGAGAAGTTAAGTAATACACTCAAATCAAACAGTTGGTAAGTGCAGAAGATGGAAATAGATATTTGGCCAATTTTCAAGTCTCTTAAGCGCTACAGAGTTCCTTCTCCTTATGGGCACCCTAAGACTGATATTCATACCTTCTTGGGGTGGCACATGAACTATGTTTGTATTCTGACTGGGCAGTTAATTCTTCTGAATTAATTAGAAAATATATGAGCTGAAACTGATAGATGGATGAGTGGTCGAAAAAAAATGCTAGAGAGAACTAGTTAATGTCATTCCCGAGAGAGGGATCACATGCACTAGTAAATGGAGGCTGTTAGGTCCAGAGAAACGTCATATTCAGAATGCATGGCGTGCAGGGTGGAAAACAGCAAGTAAGGCTGTGACAATATGAAAGCCGGAGCAGCAAAAAATAAAAATTTACATGGGGAAAAAGACATATAAGTCAGGGCCACGTGTGCCATACTAAGCAGTTCCATCTTTATTGCATAAGAACGGGAAGTCATGAAAGTTCATTGAGCTGTCTGTGATAGGGGGATGGCTTTAGGCAGGAGAAGAACCTCAAAATTATTGTATGATTTAGGCCGGACTTCATTAAAGCCTCAACCAAGGCTCCTGCTGTGGGGACATAGATGGATGATGTGAGTGGAGGACCAATAAAGTGACAAAGGGCCAAGAAAAGGGAGTTGAATGGTTGGGAGGGAGGGAGATGCTTAAAAAGGTAGAGAATTTAAAAAAACCGTTGCCAGACATATTTTTATATACTCGCACAAGTATATAAAAAGTACGTCTACTTACACTGATCAAGCAAAAAGGTTGAACAAGCAAAAGGGTTGAACAAATGACCCATATCCAGGATAAGAAAGGGGGAACCGCTTGACATCGCAAAGTAATAAAAAGTAATAAGCCATGTTATAAACGAATTCATTATCAATAAATTTAACAACATAAAGGAATACATTCATTGAAAGACACAAATTACTAAAGCTGAATCAAGAGGAAATAAAAAAATCTGAGGAACCCTATATCTATTAAATAAACTGAGCTCTTGATTAAAAACAAACAAACAAACAAACACACACTTTTATATAAAAGCATTGAGTTCCAGCTGGGAACATGGGTGGATTCTATCAATGTATTTTAGAAAATAAAGGGTAAGGGAACATTTCAAATCATTCTGTGAGTCAGGCATTGCCCTGAGAAGCAAACCAGGGAATAACACTACCAGAACGAAAGCTCTAGACCAATATATAAACATAGATGTGAACATTATTAAGAATGTTTTAGCAAATAATACATATCTAAGTCAAATCTGATTTAGTGTTCAAGTACCAGCAACTTAAATTAACTATATTAGTAAAAGTGAAAAACTATACTGTTGTTCAAACTGTTGCTTTTTTTTGAGAAAGAATCATTTGAAAAACACAGCACCCATTTATGAAATGAGAAAACAAGGATTAGAAATAACTTCCTTGACAGGATCTACAAAATCCTATAGCTGAAATTACACAATACCAGCTAATTTGCTTAAAGTCTTCATCTCTAAGTTTAGGCACCCATGTTAATTGGTCATATTCACAATAAATTTTACAGAATAAAATAAAACTTTTGAGATTTCTCAATATCTTTAGTTTTGATTTTTTTATTATCAGATTAATCACTGACTAAATTATTTTAAATTAATTGTGGGTTATACCTCAATAGAGGATTCTATTCTCCTTATTAAGCAAAAACTTCACAGTCTGTTTCATCTGCAGCTTTCATTAGTTATCCTCTTCTTCTCAGACACCTTCCAACCTGCTTTCTCGAAATTAATTTAATCGATATAGAGAATCGACATGCTTCAAGAAACCCACAGTAGGCTCACTCCTGTAGATAAAGCTTACCTCCTCATACCTTCTGCATCAAATTTATAGTCTACTTCTTATATGAACACCAGGCATTCAATTGGCAAGTGCACACATATACATCTTGACAATTTGGACATTTTTTGAGACTTTAAACTTTGAAACTCCTACTCTTCAAGTGGACAACATATCTCCGAGAACAATACTTAAAATACTTCCACAGTGATACAAACTTAGGCTGCTCACAAGAGATCCCAGGAGGACAACTGATTCTCTCTTTATGTATATTTTATAGAAAAAAATTCCAAGAAAATATAGTATGGTAAAATTATCAGTTACCCAAACCACAACCTGGAGTCCTAGAAAACTAATTTTAAGTCATTGACCAGGATTGCCATAGAGCATGGCATTTGCCCGTGCTTTCCCTTGACCAGAGTAAGAGATATGTGTATTACAGCTCATACTTCTTGCTGCACTTTTATAAATAGCACTATCTAGGTAGAAGCGTCTATGAGTAGACTAACAGAAAATTATACTGAGATCTTTATAAAACAACCAGCTGAACTTGGAACACATTTTTTGTAGTCTGGATGTAGGAGTATAGGTCTTTGACTCATTTTATTTTTTACAAGGACTAATAATTATTTTCCTTCTTGTCATTCCCTGCATTGCACTGGGCCATATGTCCTCAATTTACAATAGGCAGAGATCATTGCATTAGATCATTCCACAAACAGAACTCCAAGAATATTTACACATTTACCCTAAAGGCTTATGCAGTCTCCTACCTCAAAACTGCTTAGGACCATAAATGAATAATCCAGGAAAACTCCTGTTGCTCCTAGCTGCTCATGGCTCTTAGGCTCAACCCTTGGGATTGGCCCTCTGAATTTTCTCGATCCCACAGTAAAACATGAAAGAAGAAATCAATGACACAGAAAGGAGCTTAAATTTTCCCATCCACGGCTTTTCTTCTGGTCCTGCTGGGCTTTCCACATACTTGAAACAGCGGCCACAAAATGAAAAACTTCAATGAAGTTTGAATAGTCCATTGAATTAGAAATACCTGGATGACTCAATCAGAGAGGATGAAAATAAAACATGAGAAGGATTTCAATTAATTTTTTTCTTCCTCCAGAAATCTCAATTCATAAATACATGCGCTGACCCGTATCAGAGGCCTTCTCTTACAATCAGCAGTGAGGCAGAGAGACTAGAGTCTTTTTTAATGGTTAGGGTATATATATGGCATTGGAGTTGCAGAGAAAGTGTGAATTAATTGATATGAATGTTTAACTTTCATAACGAAGTTAGTAAAATATATTTCTTAAACCAAACCTTTGCCTAATGAGCTTGCACTGAGCTACCAGAACTAATCTAAAATTTCAATTGACCATTATCACACGTGCAGGAGTCATTCTTCTTCCCAGTCCTCCTGGAATGTCAATGCTCTTATTTGCAATGTTATGAAGATCAATGGAATAATTTGTATGTGATACCCTGAGTTTCCAGGGAGAAGTTTAAGCAGAAAGTGGTATTATTAATTGTTATATTACTACTCATTTTGGCCTCATTTTCAAATGAGATGGATGGCAGTAAGCTAAAAGACAGAAAGTAAAATTAAGTATGAGCTGCTTCATTAACACTTCTTAGGTTATTTTGTAACACTCCTAAATCTTTTCTAGTTCAGTGTTCTTTCAAGTGCAAAGTGCCCCTCACTTTTAAACTCTCTGTCTTTTTTTTTTTCATTCAGAGAAAGCAGAAAAATATAATTATGAAGAGCTCAACCTCTTCCCCCTCGTTTATTCAGGATATCGGATTCTGGATCACAGTTTCCCTCTTTATGTCCTGTTTTCTGGAGCATAATTATTTTTGTCATGAATCCCCAGCACCCTCACCTAGTCTAAGATTGCAGTCATTTCTTATGTCAAATGACCTCTTAACTAACAATGTGAGATCCCACACAGCACATGCACGTGCACGCAAACACTTCCGCTTCAAACGCTTTAATTGCAGAGAACACGTTTCTCCTTAGGCCTGTTCCTTCTGATACAGCCTCATTTTTTTTCCTAACATTCTTTTGCTTTGTCACACAAACTAAGATCATTCCTTCAGTATCAGGTCACTCATCCCTTCCATGCGCAGTGTTCTCTGACCTTCTGAGTTTTCGTCGATTCATCCTATTATAGTACCTCATAGATCATGGACCCTTTCTTCGCAGAATGGACTAAAGTTTCTGTGTTCATCTGCTCAGGCTGCCGTAGAATAATAGCACAGACCAGGCGGCTTAAAGAACAGAAATGTATCACAGTTGTGAAGGCTGCAAGTCCAAGGTCAAAGTGTCGGCAGGTTGGTTTCTAATGAGATCTCTCTCCTTAGCTCGCAGAGGCCGATTTCTTGCTGTGTCTCCACAGGGCTTTTCTCTTTGAGCACATCCCTAGTGTCTCTTCCCCTTCTTCTAGGGACACTAGTCATATTGGATCAGCGCCCCATGCTTGTGACCTCATTTGACCTTTATTACCTTTTTAAAGTCCCTGTCTCCAAATACTGTCACATTGAGAGTTAAAGCTTCAATTTATGAATTTTGCGGGGGAGACAATTCACTTCGTAACAGTTAGTGATATATATATATATATATATATATATATATATATATATATATATGCACTCACACACGCACACACACACACGTACACATATATGGAATACTTAAAGTCTTCCTCATCGTAATAGTATAACACCATTAAAAAAAGAAAAGTTCATTATTTTAAATTAACTTTATCTCCGTCAATTATCTCAGGGCCTAGCTCTGACTAGGCACTAAAAGAAAGAAACAAATACATAAATAAAGTTGATTGGATAAATTGATGAGTAAATTAATAAAGGTTAAGTATGATAACGTTGGTGAAGAAAAATGCATTCTAATAATTAATCAACAACAATCATTTACAAACACCTTTAAGTTAATGATGAATGCATTTTTATAAGGAAGAAATAGCTTTACACAAACTTAGCAAGTCAAAATATTATTTCTAAATAAGGTTTTTACATAGTATAACTAATATGCAAATCTTGGTGTTTTAATAAAATTAATTATTAGTTATTTATAAATAATTATTTTAAATCAGATTAAAATGCTGCTGTGTAAAATCTTTGTTAAGAAAAATATACTTTTCAATTGATTTTATAGTTCCAATATCTATAATATGAAAATATGACAATGATAAAATATAATATAAATCAATCTCACCTGAGAGTGCAAAAGTTGACATACAAAATAAAACATGAAAAGACACTAGAAATAAATTTTAAAAACATAATACAGAAAATTCAATATAATACTATGCAAACAGGATTTCTTTCAGAAAGACTTTATTAAACCTTATAATTAAATTAAAATCTGTGATTGTTCACTTGCCTCATAAAAGGTGCATTTGATTTGCTCTCTCCACGGAAGAGAGATGTCCATTTAAATAGAGAATTCATTTTCACAGTTCTCACAACCCAAGATAAACAATAGCATTTTATATTTCTGGATATAAAAAAAAAAAGGAGCTAGATCATCCACTTTGAGATTCTGCTTAAAGTATGCCTAGTGTCTCTTCTCCTGATCTGTCATGTCTACTGACAAATCAGGGGACATCACTGCTTGTTACATCCTCTCTTTTCCACTCTTAGCCACAGTTCCAGCATTGCTAAATAATATTCCTAATGGATCACGCTCTCTGTCATTCTGTCCAGTTGTGAACTGATTCTTTGTATAGAAAACAACTATGGCAGTACTTTTGATTCAAGACATTGACTTATGTAAAACTGAGTGTGGATCATGTCTGATTAGCATCCATAGACCACATATTCACTTGTCTGGAAACAGGTAACAGGTTCCAACAAGACCATATAATGGGAGAAATCTTCTAGTGTTTGGAAGTGATAGCATATGTGTGTTCTGAAGTCAGACCATTAACTTTCTAGGCTTTGTGATGTTGGATAAGTTATGTCATTATCCTGTGACTCAGTACCTCATTTGTGAAATAAGAGCCATAACAATATTTTATCATAGAATTTATGAGTATTAAATAGGTAAAATATGAAAAATCTGTAAGACAGAGTTCATCAGGCATGCAATCAGAAGTATGTGCACAGGCACAGAAATATTAGTTGTTATTATCTAATTCAAAGCCAAAATGTCTCCAGAATAATGACATAACTAGATTTCTTTGGACAGTAGTAAAGAGCTAGATTCACTGCTGCACATAAGCCTGACTTGGGACATTACTGTGTCCTTTTAATTTGTTATATTCCTTTTTATTTTTTAAATCAGACTTGAGTGATTGCTTCAATTATAAAAGATATAATAGACTTAGGTGTTCTGATGTTGTATTTGGGAGAAAATCAAAATTCATTAATCAACCACATTAGCCTGATTTAACTCTCTAGCTATGATCAGCTGTGTAAAAATGTTGGCAAACATCCTACCATCTCCACAACATGATGATGAAAATGCATTCACATTAAAATATCCCTGAGAGGTTAGGAAAGCTCTCTTGAGAAAAATCAGTAGCAACTTTTGATGGTTCTGTCTTTTGCTTTAGCAGAAAGAGCACATGTAATTTCAGCAAAGGAATAAAACCACATTTTAATCATTGAAGATTTGGAAAAAGATTTTAATAAATTTTATAACTTTCTGTAAATTCTTCAATTTAACAATAGGTTTATTTAACATGGTAAAGAACATATTTATATATAATAATTAAACCCAAAGGCATTCCTGATAAAATTCCAAGTAAAGAAAATGAGGAACAAAAAGTAGTTCCTAACTAGTATATTAAAATATTTGTATCGGATTATATATCAGAGACAAACAATAGAACAAGATAGGCAGTTCAGGAAAAAAAATCTTTCTATATTTGAAATAATAAAAATTATTCTGTCATTTGGTCCAGTTGTGAACTGATTCTTTGTATAGAAAACAACTATGGCGGTACCTTTGATTCAAGACATTGACTTAAAAATTTGATAGTATATATAACTGGATAAGTTATTATTCAATTAATTATATTAAGGCAATTGATTCGTTAGAAAAAATGTAAAGATTAGATTTTACTTTAGTGTAAAATGCTTGTGAGATAATGTTTAATTATGAAAGTGGGAAAATCATAATAAAATTAAGGAGATCATTGCAAGCTCTTGAAATATGAGAGAGCTTCTTAAATAAAAAACCAATGGGAGAATTTAAGTAAGATATTTGGTAATTATTCCAAATTAAAAAGTAAAAAATAAAATTTTCTTATATGAAAAAATTAAAACTAAAATTCATATTTAAAGGCCATATTGAGATTAAATATCTGCAGCAAACATAACAGAAAATAGAAATACCCTTATGATATTAGTAGCTCATGAAAAGCCTAAGAAAAATCTAATCAAATGATGTAACATAAATGAATAAATAATAAAGCTTTTTTTTCTTCCGAAGCAAATATAAAAACAACTGAACTAAAACAAAAGGTTGAACTCTTTCAGATTGCTTTTGAATATCCTTTCATTTTTGTTTGTTACACAAAATGTATGGTTTTACAACCTGTCTGGGACCTACTTCAGCAATTTTTATATTGTTTGAGCTAGTTATACAACTTTATTCAAGATAAACAATAGTATAGTTATTAAGGAAACTATCTTTGCAGAAAGTCTCCCACCAAATAGTTATGTGACATTGTAGAAATTATTTATCCAGTTTTGCCAACTGCAAAGTATTCATAATACTTTTATCTACATTAGTGGGTGGTTTGGGATATGACAGTATTGTACTACAAAAAAATATATAGTATTTACTTATTAAGTTACATTTTCAAACACCGCATTTTAAAAGATATTTACAGTGTAGATATTTTGTATCCTTTGTCTTCCTACTTTATGATAAAAGTCTGCAAATGAACTTGTTATAAGGCACAGACACCACACACAAAAACATGCACTCACATTCCTACACTCACGGAAAATTCTGTACTGTGTGTTTAGAGGTCATTTTTATTTTCTCTTTATGTTTATTTTGTTTCCAAAATTTCCATATATTTTGTTTTTAAAAAATATTCCATAGTAGCATGTGTAGTATACTTATTGAGTCAGGAAATAATATCAATCAATAAACTTTCCAAAGACGTCTCTTTGTTTTCATCTTTGTTTGCTGCGTAGTAATTAAAGAGTAAGCCAAAACTAAAATTGCCTACTTTTTTTTTTTATCATAAGAGTCCATATTTACTTCTGCCATCTGGAAATGTGGTTTACCTACACCACCAAGAGCAGCAGATCATAATCCAATGAACTACCATATGTGACAGAATTCAATATTATTCCAAAATGTTGCATAGTAAAATTTTTGATTGTGTGCAGTATTGTACCACCTGCATTGTCACAAAGAGGTATTTCCTTTGTTTTTTTCAACAATGAGATCATTCATGTTTTATTTTCCTCGAGGATATTAACACTATAGTTCATGTATTCTCCAGTTATTTGAACAGATATGCATTAAAGTTAGTCTAAGATAATTTCTCCTCCGACCTGCTACCCAAAGGAACTCTATCACTACACGCAATAGTGATCATATTCCTTAAAACAATGCAGTTCACTTCAGATATGACTTTCTATTTTGGAACTGCACTTTTACCAGAGAAAAGAGAAAACATCTTTATGAATATTTGCATATTATGAAATATTGTATTTGGAATATTTATGAGGAAAAATACCCACACACTGTTTTTTGTCAAAATATTCAAGTTATGTTGAGATTTGTTTGTAATTTAGCAAAATGTAAAGTCTCCTTTCTCTTTTGATGAAACTGTTAAGATACATATCTTGGTTATAGGGTGAATAATAAGATGAAAATCTCCCTTTTCCAGTAGTATAGGTAGAATGGTTGCTGCCCTCAACAGCAGAATTATTTTTCCTCACTTTTCATCTTCTTTTCTTTTTTGATGTGAGAGCTTCTCATCATTTTTATCACTGCCGCATGGTGAGCTGTGGGTAAGCATGGCCACAGGATCCCCTAAGTGGACAAAAACGAAAATCTCACAGGGGTATAAATAGAGAGATTACTCCAACCCTGACAACAAAATCTCAAAGACAGAAAATTTAATTCTTATTTTATTTTATTTTTTTAAGGAAGCATATTTTTAATCAAAGTTCGTTGGACCAAAAAAAGTCTATAAAGTAAATTAATCCAAGGTTGTTTTTTTTTTAAAAAAAGACTTTATTTTATTTTATTTTATTATTTTATTATTATTATACTTTAAGTTTTAGGGTACATGTGCACAATGTGCAGGTTAGTTACATATGTATACATGTGCCATGCTGGTGTGCTGCACCCATTAACTCGTTATTTAGTGTTAGATATATCTCCTAATGCTATCCCTCCCCCCTCCCCCCACCCCACAACAGTCCCCAGAGTGTGATGTTCCCCTTCCTGTGTCCATGTGTTCTCATTGTTCAATTCCCACCTGTGAGTGAGAACATGTGGTGTTTGGTTTTTTGTCCTTGCGATAGTTTACTGAGAGTGATGATTTCCAATTTCATCCATGTCCCTACAAAGGACAAGAACTCATAATTTTTTATGGCTGCATAGTATTCCAAGGTGTATATGTGCCACATTTTCTTAATCCAGTCTGTCATTGTTGGACATTTGGGTTGGTTCCAAGTCTTTGCTATTTTGAATAGTGCCACAATAAACATACGTGTGCATGTGTCTTTATAGCAGCATGATTTATAGTCCTTTGGGTATATACCCAGTAATGGGATGGCTGGGTCAAATGGTATTTCTAGTTCTAGATCCCTGAGGAATCGCCACACTGACTTCCACAATGGTTGAACTAGTTTACAGTCCTACCAACAGTGTAAAAGTGCTCCTATTTCTCCACATCCTCTCCAGCACCTGTTGTTTCCTGACTTTTTAATGATTGCTGTTCTAACTGGTGTGAGATGGTATCTCATTGTGGTTTTGATTTGCATTTCTCTGATGGCCAGTGATGGTGAGCATTTTTTCATGTGTTTTTTGGCTGCATAAATGTCTTCTTTTGAGAAGTGTCTGCTCATGTCCTTCGCCCACTTTTTGATGGGGTTGTTTGTTTTTTTCTTGTAAATTTGTTTGAGTTCATTGTAGATTCTGGATATTAGCCCTTTGTCAGAAGAAAACCTAGGCATTACCATTCAGGACATAGGCATGGGCAAGGAATTCATGTCTAAAACACCAAAAGCAATGGCAACAAAAGCCAAAATTGACAAATGGGATCTAATTAAACTAAAGAGCTTCTGCACAGCAAAAGAAACTACCATCCGAGTGAACAGGCAACCTACAAAATGGGAGAAAATTTTCACAACCTACTCATCAGAAAATTTAATTCTTAGAAAATAAGCATTAGGTTAGATGTTGGAACTTCTGAAAGAGCATAGTTTTCTGTGTTAGTGTAAATGCTAATTGGTGTTAATGTGCTGGCAAAAATAAAAGGCTCTGAGCACATGCTGCATTTCTGACAAACATTATCTGTCAAGTCTTCTGATTTTTGGATGCCTTGCTATTAGAAAAGACAGAATCAGTGGAGCACATATTTTACACACCCACATCTTCACAGTGCATAAATTTTGCATTGACGGTTATCTGTTTCAGAAATAAACAAATGTAAAAGCAATCTTGAAACCAGGCCAAGCCTGTTTCAAGCCTTGTCTTACTTGTCTTCCCAGTGAAACCTATTGGCGTAACTATGGCCACTGCAGTTCATAAGAAAGCTGCCCATTACTTTTCATGTATTTTGTTTGTTTGTTTTAATCTCACTGTTTTTATTGATTAGCTTATACTTAGATTTTATAACGTAGTGGTTGCAGAGATATTTCATAGAGGCAGCAAATCTTTTGAATATGTTTCAATTCTTCAAATGGGACAGAAAAAATGTCATAAATTTGGCATAAATTTAGCTCACTTGGTCTTCTCAGCTTTACGTCCTTTCTGGAATAGGTTTAGCCTGAATCTTCATGACTTTTTTGGACACTATTTTCCCTGTATTTGCCAAACTCATGACTTATCTCAGTCCCAATGAGCAACCAGGTGAAACCGGCCCAATTGTCCCATAGAACTGATGTTTACAGTTTATTTGAATAAACACAGAAATTGACTCTCCCAGTCTTAAACTTTGAGAAAGTTACATTTGCCTTATCTGAGTTCCTTTATCAGGAAACCAACCATCAAGGCTCCCAGATAGTATCAAAGAACTTAAACTCACCCAATCATATCACAGTATCTGTAAAATGATCTGCAAGACCCTTCACTTGTCATGATGGCCTAACTGACCATCCGCTTCCTGTTGACCCACTTCTCTTCCTTACCACTCCCTAATTCCTGTTTTCTTGCATGTAGTTATATTTTGTCCCTGCTCTACAAACCACTAATTTTAGTCAAGGAAATGGATTTGAGACTGATCTCCCACCTCCTTGGCTGCAGCACCCAATTAAAGCCTTCCTCCCTGGCAATACTTTTCTCAGTGACTGGCTTTCTGTGCAGCGAGCAGCAGGGCCTAGACCAAACCCCTGGGGTTTTGGTAACACAGGCTCCTTATGTAAGAAAGAGAGTCTAATTTGAAACATCAAAGA
Source organism: Homo sapiens (assembly GCF_000001405.40). Lineage (NCBI taxonomy): Eukaryota > Metazoa > Chordata > Mammalia > Primates > Hominidae > Homo > Homo sapiens. Next base: position 66,938,742 of record NC_000018.10, read on the forward strand.
CATAATCTAATTCCAGATATAGTAAAGAATTTGCTGTCAATTGTGTTAACATTTTTCTCTGCGTGTATGTGTGTGTTATGTGTGAGAGAGAGATATGCCTATTTATGTTATCTGTTACTTTTTGGTGACATTTTCAGTGAAATTAAAAAAATCACAACTCCTTTTTTTCAGTTTTCCTCTCTGTGCCAAAGAATAGCTTCTCAGCTAAACAAAATAACAGACATTTATAATTTCAAATTATACTCTCAGTCATATTCCTTCTGTAATTTTCATGAGAGATTTCATGAATTATCTTGTAAAACTGAAACACACATAATAAAATTACTTGACTAATTTCTAATATATTTGGGATTGTAGCTAGAATAATAAGAGATTCTTTTAGGGCAATTACATAGGTCATGCATAAAGTCCAGAAATAGATGAATAAACAATTGACATATATGGTCGATTGATTATTGATCAAGGTGTTAAGAATATTCAATTTGAGAAAGAATATACCTTTTTACAAGTGGTTCTGGAATAACTGGATAGTCATGAAAAACAATGAACCTTTATGAATACATTGTGACATAAACTAAATCTTATTTAAAACAAGTGGATCATAGGCCTGAATATACAACCAAAATCTCCGTCTAAAAGAAAAAAAGTATCTAATAGAAAAATATAAAACAAATACATTGCAAACCAAGATTAGGCAACGGTTATCTCAATAGAGCATAAAATTATGATTCATAAACAGTTTTATAAATTGAACTTCATAAAAATTGAAAACATGTTTTTTGAAAGAGAATGTTAATAAAATTAAAATGCTAGTCACAACTTGGAAGAAAGTATGTGCAAAATACAAAATTGATGTGAATTTTTATAATTCAATAATAAGATACACCCTATAAAACTGGGCAATAAATTGAAGACACTTCACCAAAGAAGAGATATAGAAAGAAAATAACCATGAGAAAATAATGTTTAAAATAAGTTGTCATTAAAAAAATTAAAACCACACTTATATCATTACATAACCTGCTAGAATGTCCAAAATTAAACAAAACAAACAAACAAAAACAGGTGGTAAAAAATGCAGGTGAGAGGCAGAGCTACTGAAACACACAAACTATTAATTCAATTGCAAAATATAGTAATAACTTACACTAAAAATGAACAATTTCTCATGAAGTTAAAGATACACTTACCATAAAACTAGTTATCCCATTTCTAAATTTTTATACAAGAGAAAATAAAACATATGTCTATCACAAAAATAAAGATGTGAATGTTTATAGTGACTTTCCTCATTAAACTAAAATATGGGTAAAACCAGATGTTCATTAACTTATAAATAGAAAACCAAATTGCAGTACATCTATACTGCACACATGGACATGTATGTTATGTGCACGTCTTCCTTTCATGTATTGACTACAGTCACTCTATAAGCTTATATTCTCAATAAGGCGAAGTTTGGCATTTTTCTATTTAAAGAAATGTTTGCACATCAATGATAATCTGAGAATGAATAGGTTGTATTTAAGATATCAGATAACCAACTCATATAACTTTCACTGTATTTTACATTTTTTGTAAAAGCAAATATTAACATTTTGCATATTTTGCATATGTATTTATTTACATTTATACAGACAATAAATACATAAACCCTATTTCTTCTCATTGCTGCCACATAAACAAGCTTTTGTGAAACAATTTCCTTAACTCTGAAAGCCTATTTTACCTTCATACAGGAAAATCCTGGGACCCTAAGTTCCTTCAATAATTCTAGCTAAATCAATAATTTAGCTTTTGTATAACTAAATTATTCATGTAATTTGTATTTCATCATATCTTTTCTAATAAAAAATAGAAAGGATCTGTGCATAGGAAGAAACTTTTTTATATATTTATTTCCAAAACTTCTTGTGTTGCTTATTCAGTCCAAGACTTAAGAAGTATGGAAAGTTTAAAAGCCAAATCTCATCCCCAAACTGTTACTTAATGCTCTATTTCAGCCTCTTTTGGCAAACTTTTATGTACCTACCAAAGGAACCCTGTAAACTGCTTCAGGAGGCCCACATGGCAGCTTGAGAAGTCCTCAACTCTTGCTTTCACCCCACCTATTTCTCAGTTGCTTCCTTCACTAGCATTGGCTCCCTATCTATACCCCTATTTTGTAGTTCCTTCCTTTTTCAAGATGTTTTTAGAATGCTAAACACAGCCTGGAATAGTCACCTCTGGGTAGTCCCAGCATTTTCTAATCTGCTCACTCCTTGTGATAACGAACTCTGTCCTGCAACCTTCCCCTTGATCTAAGCTCTATTTCCTTATTTTTATGAAAATGAAAACATTAAGCTGAGAAGGCAACACGTTAAATACTTCTAGAAATGAAGAATTAAGCATCATGGTAGAAATATTTCTCCTGAGCACTTAGTCTTATGTTTTGCCCCCACCCAACACAGAAAGATGCCCTTTCTTCTAAAAGGAATAGATTAGAAGATACTGTCCTCACCAGTACGTACATGTACCATAAAGACAATTGGCCGAGAAGCTGGAATTCTCCTGCTTATCGTACAGAGAACAATTGGATGTGGGAAGGGTGCTGCACCACTGTGCAAATGGGGAAACTACCTCAATTAGTTAAATATTAGGTAACATTTTACAGAGCAAACAAAAAGCAAATATTAGGCATCTAGTTGACAAAGATTTGACATCTAAATTGAATGCAAAAAAATTAAAGGAAAAATAGTGTCATCATAGTGCATAAAAACTTAGGACAAGAACAGTGCAGGGTGTGCAGGAACAAATTAGCAACACATTCTCTGGACAGACACATAAATTCACAATAGGATAAAACAAAGACAATTACCTTAGCCACATATGGCTAAGTATTTTTGCCAATTGCTCAGCATTGAACGCATGTGATTATTACACATTTGCCAAGATTGGATTACAGAATCTACTTCATTTAGCTTAAACAGAAAGGGTCTTGTTAGAGGCTATTTGTTGGCTGACAGTTTTTGAAAGGGCCAGGAAATCAAACTCTGTGATACACAGCCAGGAGAACTGTCCAAACTTACCATAAATTTTTAAGCAGAAATAATTTCAGCCACAGCAAACCACTGGCCATTCAAAAAGCCAGGGGCCAGATACCAGAGAGCCAGCATCCCTGCTAAAGTTCTCCAAAAAGAGCGATAATCTTCACAATGAATATTGCTACCAGAGCTGAGAGCACACTCTGCCATCATTCCAAATGTCACTTCTTCCTTGGAAATAGAGGCTGCTGCTTGGCTCCACTCTTGTGGCAAGGAACCCTGGGAACCTAACATTTTGATTCTACCTAAGGAAGGTATAATTCACAATGTGGAGAATTAGCAAATTGAGGTTTTGGACAGGCATGTTTAACAGATGGTGACTATAATATATTTTTTTATTTTTTGCATATGATTAGGCTTAAGCTAGATTGGAGTAAAATACGCATTGTTCTCACTCTTGATCACAACGCTTTCACTCCCAATTAACTGAAATGTAATCTTCATGAAGTCTAACAAACTTTACATACATGATGCAGTTAAATGATATACAAGACCTTAATTTTGATCTAAAATTTAGGCATACTGACTTGGAAAGCAAAATAAACAATATCGGTCAGAGAAAGTACAGTTAATAAGGCTATTTCTATCTAGATGAGCTAATTTTTACATTAGGAGTAGTTCTATTTGAAAGTGGAAGCAAGCAGTCCTTAAGAAGTGGATTCTCCCATGTTCTAAATAAAACATACACACACGTGTAGTACGGATGTGTATGTGTGTGTGTGTGTGTGTATGTATAATCATGTACATGTGGAAATATTACCACAAACCAAGGTTGACAGTCAAGCTATTTTCAGAATCTGAAATGAATATCCATTAACTTTCTGGCCAGTATTACTGAATTGAAAAATTGTGACACTCATAGGTCCTATCTCATGAAAGAAAAGATTTTCTACCAAACTTGATGAAGGTGTAAGTGCATTTTGTTGTTGTCTCTTCCTTTAGGTCCCTTCCCATTCTAACACCCACATATTTAGGGTCTCTGCTATCCAGAATTTGTGACAAGCAAGTAAGCAAAGATAATTAGTAGCAGTTTCTTTATTGCTTGATATTGTTTTCTCATTCTCCCCTTCAACCTTCCTATAACTTTACACCCTTATATACACATACACACACACACGTACATACACATACACATTTAAATCTACATTCCACTTCTATGTACTCATTTTGCAATTGCCAAGCCTTATTAAATGCAGTGCTCGCTCTACTCTGCACCTGGATAACAGTCGGTGAAAGTGGACTAAAAATAAGCAGCACCTACTCTCTTGCTCTGGTAGAAAGTATTAACATACTGTGTGGGTCTACACAGTCTCATTGCTTCAAATGCCATCTGCATGCTGATGACCCTGGGAAGAAAAGAGCAAACATCAGCTCTGTAGCTACTGCCCTTCCTCGTGGCACAGAGGAGGCAATGCTGACCTTGAAAAATTCTAAGTATAAACATGGCATTGGGATTTATCCCAGAAAGATATCTGCAAAAGTTCTTATCTAAGAATGTTTGTCTGTACTGATCATTGAAAATACTTGGAACTTATAGACTTAAAGAACAGAGCTGGCTGGAGAATGCAAGTTAGCCAGATAGACTATCTACCTATGTGAGTAATAAAGTATGGAAACCAAGAAAACTCAAACTAAAACTACTTTCTCCAAGTGAAATTGTCGCAGACACATATTGCAATCTGTTTCTCCAAAATCAAAACTCATTCCAGGGTGGGAATGAGTCTGGTTTTGCTTTGTTTGGCATTGTGTTGTTTTGTTTTATTTCATTTTGGAAGCTGTATCTGTTGGCTTTGAGGCTATTTGAAAGACTAATGTTGTAAGGCTGAAATGTCCCTACATTTTGTTTATATCTTTCACTAATCATTGGGGAAGTTTGACGCTGAGCAAGATCCATTATCCTTGTGCATCTGCTTTGACAATCCAGCCATCTGTGGTACTACAACAACCCAATAACACTATCCCAGATCTCATCCCTGAATTTGAGGTTTTCCGTCCAATGTATTACGTCTATGCTGATGTATTAGAAACATCTAAAGCTCAAAATCCTAAAATCTAGCTTATTTTTGCATAGCTTGAAAAGTTCGTCTCCTAACTTTCTATATTTCAAAAGTTGTAAACACCCTTCTGGTCCAGCTGCCTAAAACAAAGCTATGGAGACATCTTTGACTCTTCTCTCTATATATTCAAATCCTTTTCAAGGGGTTGTCTTTTCCTCAGAAATCTAGCAAATATCTATTGAGTTCATAAAACTTTTTTGATGACAATTCTACTCCAAGTCACTATTATCTTTGAACAGATTAGAGGATTTGCCTCTTACAGGGGCTCTCTTCTTCAATTCTAAATGGCAGCCACAATGTCTCTTAAGGAAATTAGAGCATGTCATATTTCATTCATTAATTCAATTATTACCTATTCAAATCTCAAGACTTTTTCCTTATGCAGAATAAATCTAAATGCACAACAAGTTCTGAACTTACTTATCTGTTGACTTTCTCCCTCAGTTACTTAATTCCAGGTAAATGTATTGTACATGATTGTTGCACGATATTAGTAAAATGGATTACATGCCAATTGATTAAATGTTCCTATACAACATGCTATCAAATACACATTGTAGGATAGTGTGCTAGATATTAAAATGAAAAAATAAAGCCAAAATGTAATATTTTTTGTCCCTGCATTTGAAATATTCCAATATTAATCTGGAAACATACATAAAATAGAAAATTAAAACAAAGTTTTCTAATAATATGAGGAAAGTTTTTTCTACAAAATATATTGCCTTTCAAGGAAGTACATTAAATTCTACAGTACAATGTTATATCTTGCATATATAAAAGTTGGGTAATTTAAATACTCTGATACTAGAAGAAAGACCATAGAAAATTATACCTTTATTTAGGATCCGTGTTTAATAAACTATAATAGAAAAAACTAAGTCTTTAGAAAAGAAGTAACCTAGATGCATACATCAAATATAATTCTATAAAGATTCATTGTTTATATTTTTAGAAGACTGGTAAATATGTATATATTACTTAAAAATATATGTAGGTACATTATTAAAGACATAAATCTTTAAAAACTTGATAATTTAATTAAATAGAAAAATAAAACACATGCACGTATGTCCTATATTAAGTTCAAAATCAAATAACATGTTGCAAATACATTCACAATATATAAGAGGGTTATAGTCTCAAAAATAAAGCATTTATACAAATAAATGAAAATAATAAAATGCTCTATCCCACCAGAAAAAAAAATTGGCAAAGTTTATAGATAACTAATTCACAATATAAAAATACTACTAGCTGTTTTAATCATACAAAATTATTCAAAATCACATATAATTAAAGGACACAATATTAAAACAATTTTATCACTATCCACATTGTAAAATATTAATACTATTTAGTATCATTAGAAGTATGTACACATATTATTAGAGAAGTTTAAATCAGTTTTCATTTGCAGGAACACTATGTTATAATATATATCAAATACTTAAAACTTGCATATCCTTGGGCTCAGTAACTCTAGACATTGGAACTTTTTACAAGAAAATAGTAAACATGTCTTTTCCTGGGAATATAACCCAAATACAATTCTATAGGATTCTACCTGAGGGTATCACTGGATACTCCTTGGTTTAGGGACTGGGACTTGAGTCTAGCAAGGTGGATATCATGGGGAGAGTGGAACGATATAGTGCAGTGGATGCTCATAGTGAGAGGGGAAGATTATGGTAAGCAGCAATGGAAATGAGCTACCTTAGCAACATATATGTGTCTTAAAAACACATTGTCAAGTGAAAAAAGAATGAGACATATAGCACAGTTTTCATAAATACAAAGTATATGCACAGTCTCAAAACATTTTACTAAAATATGTACACATAAAAGGAAGTACAGTAAACATATTTAGTGACTTTCTATAAGGGGAGTGGGAGTGGTGGAAGAAAAACTGGTGGGCCACAGGGACACTGGGAAATAATGATAGCCAAAGGGACCTTAATGGGGATTATGTGATAATGGGCAGTGGACTGATACGTACAATTAACTCAAGGCTCTGCATCTGCTTTTTAAGAAAATACATGTAATAACTAGATATGACCAGACATGCATTTACAAAGATAAGATGGAAAACCTATTATGCATTATATTGCAGAATACTGGATTGCACATGTTAAAATATGAACAGCAATATGTATTCTTAAGCATTAAAATAATGATGTAAGAAAGATTTACTGAAAAACATTATTAAAATAACCAGACAAAAATCATATGATGTGGTCACTTCGGAAGCACATATATTAAAATCGTAATGATACAGAGAAGATTAGCATGGCCTCTGCACAAGGATGACACGCACGTTTGTGAAGTTTTCCTATTTTTCAATATCGCGAAAATGACCATAGTGCCCAAAGTAATTTATGGATGTAATGTTATTCCTATTAAACTACCATTTACATTCTTCACAAAAGTAGAAAAAAAACTATTTTAAAATTCATATGGAACCAATAAGAGTCCATATAGCCAAGACAATCCTAAGCAAAAAGAACAAAGTTGGAGGCATCACCCTACCATACTTCAAACTATATTATAAGGCTACAGTAACAAAAACAGCGTGATACTGGTACAAAAACAGACACAAAGACAAACAGAACAGAATACAGAACTCAGAAATAAGATTGCACATCCACAATCATCTCATCTTCAACAAGCCTGACAAAAACAAGCAATGGGGAAATGATTCCCTATTCAACAAATGGTGCTGGGATAACTGCCTATCTATTTGCAGAATATTGAAACTGGACCCCTTCCTCACAACTTATACAAAAATTAACTCAAGGTGGATTAAATACTTAAATGTAAAACCCCAAACTATAAAAATCCTAGAATAAAATATAGGCAATACCATTCAGGACACAGGCATGGGCAAAGATTTCATGATGAAATCGTCAATAGCAATTGCAAAAAAAAGCAAAAATTGACAAATGGGATCTAGTTAAACTAAAGAGCTTCTGCACAGCAAAATAAACTATCATCAGAGTGAGCAGGCAACCTACAGAGTGGGAGAAAATCTTTGCAATCTATCCATCCGACAAAGGTCTAATATCCAGAATCTACAAAGAACTCAAACAAATTTACAAGAAATAAACAAACAACCCCTTTAAAAAGTGGGTGAAAGACATGAACAGACACTTCTCAAAAGAAGACATTCATGCAACCAACAAACATATGAGAAAAGCTCAACATCACTGATCATTAGAGAAAAGCAAATCCAAATCACAATGGGATACCATCTCATGCCACTCAGAATGGCCATTAATAAAAAGTCAAGAAACAACAGATGCTGGCAAGGCTGTGGAGAAATAGGAACACTTTTACAATGTTGGTGGAAATGTAAATTAGTTCAACCATTGTGGAAGACAGTGTGACAATTTCTCGAAGAGCTAGAACTAGAAATACCATTTTACCCAGCAATCTCATTAATGGGTATATACCCAAAGAAATATAAAGCATTCTATTACAAAGACACATGCACACGTATGTTCATTGCAGTACTAGTCACAATAGCAAGGACATAGAATTAACCCAAATGCTCATCAATGATAGACTGGTTAAAGAAAATGTGGTACATATACACCATGGAATACTATGCAGCCATAAAAATAAATGAGACCATGTCCTTTTCATAGACATGGATAAAGCTGGAAGCCATCATCCTCGCAAACTAACACAGGAATAGAAAACCAAACACTGTATGTTCTCACTTATAAGTGGGAGCTAAAGGATGGGATCACATGGATATGGGAAGGGGAACAATCCTCACTATGGCTTGTTGTGGGGTGGAGTCGGGAGAAAGAGTATTAGAAAGGATAGCTAATGCATGCTGGGCTTAACACCTGGGTGATGGGTCGACAGGTGCAGTAAACCACTGTGGCACACCTATGTAACAAACCTGCACATCCTGCACATGTACCCCAGAACTAAAAATAATAATTTTTAAAAGTTCTAAAAGATAACATAATAAAATATTGCAGAAAGCATGATGGCATTACTATAAAAATAATAAGAGATATAATGGCAATCTATATATCAGAGTTTCCAAAATATCCTATTATTTTCCTTTTGGAGTTTTGGGATTGTGGAAGTGCCCTGTTTTCTACCATTGAATTATGGAAATTTGAAACATTTCACACCACATGCTACTCAGAGATTTATCATGCTAATGAGTTTTGTGACAAGATGTAGTAAGCAAAATTTTCCTACTTAGAATAAAATGTGTTTTTTGGTTTGTTTAATTTCCTCTGCTTTCTTATGGAATTAACTTTTAGTATAAGATATTTTGAATACTGTTTATATTGAACAAAATGCTAAAAATATGATAAATTGATTTTTCCATACTGTCTTCATTTAGCAAAAATATATACTTGTTACCAAATTCCTAAAATATATTACAGAACCATTAAATAATAAACTTGAGTTGCTTATGTATCTAAATAATTCTTGCCCAGCTCTAATAGAAAAGATGAATATTTTATTTCTCTGGAATAATCTAGTTTAATTTGCAAATTTTTTCTTTTCTTTTCTTTTCTTTTTTTTTTCCAAAAGAAAGAGGTTTAATGGACTTATAGTTCCACATGGCTGCAGAGGCCTCGCAATCAAGGCAGAAGACAAGGAGGAGCAAGTCACATCTTACATGTACAGCAGCAGGCAAAGAGAGAGCTTGTGCAGGGAAACTCCCCTTTTTAAAATGATCAGATCTCATGAGACTTACTTGCTATCCTAAGAACAGCATGGAAATATCCTGGCCCCACGATTCAGTTACTTCCTACCGGGTCCCTCCCACAACACATGGGAAATCTCATGTATTATTTTCTTTACTTTTTTCCTGTCTCTTTCCTCTGAGTACCCTCTGTAGCATCTGAAATGGCTTAACTTATCCAATAACTAAACACATGGAAACTTCTGTCTGCCATACTTGGACTACCTTTTATACATCAGTTATTTTTCTTTAAATTAGTCATTTTAAATTAGTATCAGCTACATAGCTTTCTTGAGATAATTACATTGTTTGCTTTCTTTAAGGCACTTAGGATAATGTCTGGAAAATGGAAAATGCCATAATAGTCTTCTACCACCAATGCTGTTTTGTCATTTTCTCTTCCATTAAAATCAAGACAAATTATTGTCATATACTACATCCAACTCTACATATTTTATGTAGTTGAAATGCACTTAATTTTTAACCTAATTGAAAGTTCTAATTCCTTTGTATTGAAGTGGGAAAGGTTCCCATGTCCCTGTCACAGGGCATGAGATGGGGGAGTGGTTCGCTTATTCAGTGCCCCGCTGCTCAAACCTCTAGGGGAACAAACCTCTAGGGGACAGGTTGTGGGGCTGGGACCCCACGGCAGTGTCTAGGGGTGAATGTTTACAGCTCCTGAAGCCCCAGTGGGCATGTGTTACAGGGTGCTCTTTTAGTTTGCTGTCTATAGGCGGTTTGTGTTAACCAGCTCAATTAGACCCTCTTCCTTGTCGCAGGGACAGAAGGATTTCTGTATCCGGGGTTCTTGCCTTGGTGTACCAGAAAAATCGTATCATACGTGGGCTTGGAGAATGAGTGCAAAGTTTTATTGAGTGGAAGTAGCTCTCCGGCGATGGGGGAGCCAGAAGGGAGATGGTTTTCTCCTGGAGTTGAGCCGCTCTACGGCCCCAGCTGTACTCCAACCGCCCTGGCCAAACTCCGTCTGGTCCTGCTGGCCAATGGCCTGCCAGCGTGCAGGCATCTGTCAGTGTCCTATTCCACCAGCGTGCTCTGGGCGAGCTTCCTTGACATCCTCTCAGGCTTGTGTCTTCTTCCACTAATGCACTTATGCCTTCTTCCACTAGTGCGCTCCTTTCGAAGTTTGCCACCTGTTTGTCTGCCCGCTAGTGTCTCAGGTTCTTAGAGGCCCAGGATGGGTGTGTGGTGGGCCAGGGTGGTCTTGGAAAATGCAACATTTGGGCGCAAAGGCAGGAATGTCTGTCCTCACCTAGGTCCGTGGGGGTGGAGCCCTAGCCAGGTACCTGCCTTTCTCTACCCAGCACTTCCCTGCCCCCCTCCCATAGAAGTATGAATTCACATATTTAATAAATTATCTGTCAAAGAAATAGGAAGGATGAATGATAATTATGGAAAATGTAGACTGGTAATTGGAAAACAGAATAGAATAATAATGGATTGATGTAAAAATTAAAAAAATCTATTCATGACTCTTAAAAATATGACGTCTGAATGCTAATTTCTGGCTTAGTCAATTGATTTCCTTGTGCTAATATTCATTTAAGATGTGAGATATGATATGAAATACATGTTTAAGTGTAATAAGCAGGACTATAGAGCTACCTTAAAGCCTTGAGAGAAAACCAAGGATTTTGTACAGTTGGGAAAGTCATCTTTTTAACTGAATATAATACTCAAAATACCAAACTTGCAAGGTCCTTAGACATAGTCAAGATTCATATGTGTCACTTAAGAGACTTCATGTTGATTATTGATTAATAACTCTATTTTGAATTTTGTGACTAGCTTAATTGTTTAATGCTTAGCTTATAATCTCAAACTATGAAACATTAGAAATTAATTAATCTTGAGAAATCCCACAGTAATTTCAGATTTTTGTTGTAATTTTTTGAATAATTTGTTACCTACTGATATCTTTTAAATTAAATCATTCAAATCCCCCACCCACTGATAAAGCACAGAGCGAGGATTTGATTTCTTTCAAAGTGAGTATATATTAAAAAGGAAGAGTTTTGAAACAAGAACCCTAAAGACCAGCTAGACACAAAGGATGTTCAATAAAGTATAAAATAAAATAAAATAAAATAATTTTTAAAGAAGTAAGCCAATAGGAAACTACTGAAAGAGGACAATCTGTAAAAGAATTGTCTCAGTAGCCAAGTATAAAAAAATCAGAGGCCAGGCATGGTGGTGCATGCCTATGGTTCCAGCTACTTAGGGAGGCTGAGGTGGGAGGATTGTTTGAACTCAGGAGGCTGAGGTTGCAGTGAGTCAAGTTTGTGCCAGTGCACTCCAGGCTGAGTGACAGAGTGAAAGCTTGTGTAAAAAAAAAAAAAAAAAAATTCAGAAATTAACTCTCTTAAAACTGTCAACAGTTAAGAAAACAATATTGGAAGATTAAAAATAGTCTAGAAAATTGTAGAGACAAAAGCCACAGTGCAAAGATCTAGGAACGGAACAAGAAGACTCTAACAGAAAGCAACAAGTTTAAGACAATTATAAAAACTAGAAAAGAAATAGGAACAGAAAGTTGGTATACAAGAGAACATATGCAAGTCCCACGGGGCATGAGGTTGTTATTTTGAGGGCAGATGGAAAAGATCATGGAGAAATATAAAGACTGTGGTAAAAAAAAAAAAAAATCAATGTAGGTCAAATTAAATATTGATCACATTCAAGGGGACTATTCCTTGTCTTTCTAATTATTAGCAGCAAATTGAGATATTTAAAGAATAAGCTATATCTGAGCAGATGGACATAGTTGTCTCCAATTACAAAAGGACAAACATAAACATGGAGAAAGGTGGTATTTAGTCTTTATTTGATGCCTTAATTTTATAGACGTTGATGTCAGGGAAGACAAGTTTTTCACTTTGTCTTCAAGTAAATGGCTACCATTTTATAAAAAAGAGTACAACTAAGACACTCTGAACAGTAATAATAAATAAAATGGTCAAAATACTGGTTTATTAATAAAAAATATCATAAATATTTTATTTTATAAATGGCAAATAAATTTCAAAACTGAATTTACAAGAGACTTCAAGCTTTATATAATGCAATTTAAGGTTATTTTAATGACTTCTAAATCCTGGGGAATATTGCAAATAATTAATTTTGCAGGATGTTAGCCAACTTGAGAACAAGTAGATTTGACAGTATATTTAACTCACAATTATAAATATTAATATTATATTTAATAGAGTAGCAACAACTAAATGCACATTTCTTTATACACACACTCTTGTTTGGCACTATTGTTTATTTAATTATTGTTATAAGTATGGCAGGAATGAATTTAGTATTGTAATTGCCTTTCTGCTGACAAGGCTTTTATAACTTCATAGAGACATAGGTTAACTTATACAATTTTATCTGATGAAGATTAAAATAAATTGTCTGGTGGAAAATAGATTCCCAAATATTACGACTTATAGCTCTGTTGGATATTAAGCAATTGATTAATGGAGCAAAGTTTATTTAATATTCTTTTATTAAATAGCCTACAAATATCTAGTATCTCAAATGCTTGTTGAACAGTATCTGACATTTTACTGAATCCACACTAATGAGTTAAATAATACATATGACATGTAATCTTTTTATATTTGCAAGAGTTACAATTTTCGCTTATTAGAAATTATTATGAACAACACTTTACATGGTAGTGTGGTGATGGACAAGTAACATAAAATATTACAGTGTACAATTTGCTCCTATAAACAGGAATGATACTAGCACACTTCTCCTAAATATATTGGGATAAATAAATTGCTTAAAACATATAATTTATTTTAGAACAATGCCCCTTCCTTAGTAGGCTTTATATATTTTTCATAAGATAATGACAATCTGGACCTAATTTGTACATAGATAAAAGTATTAAATAAGATAATAGAGTTTCTGCCACAGATTAATTTATTGAAGGTACTTTATAGTTTTGTTACAATAAACATAATTACCAGAAATAGACAAAGGTTCTCTTTTATGCTCAACATTTTTAATATAACACTGATAATAAAATGTTATAGTAAATGTTTGGTAACCCAAAAATGTTACCAAATTTGAAAATTAATCTACTTTATTTATTAGATCATACTTTTTATTAGAAAAACATTGAAAATAGAGTTACGGTTAATGAAAATAGATATGTGTACATAGAAATATATAAGTAAATTGATATATCCACACATATAAACACATATATATATTGAAGTATATATATGTTGATGCATATTGCTATCTGTGTGTGTATATATATATGTGCATGAGTGTGTGTCTGTGTATCGATCATATATGTATCTTCAATATGTTTCAAATGTATATATTGTGAAAAATATAAACCCAAACGTGCACGTTTCACTTGGAAAGTGTAAGTTATTTGGATAAAAAAAGACTATGTTAAGTAACTAAACAACTACAGTGCAAATAGAAGCATGTCTTTTCCATTATCTTTTTCTATTTGTGGAATTTGTAGCCTTTTTTAACCCTGGAAGGTATAGAAATATTTTCATGTGTTCAGTGGATAGGTGGGAGTGCAGATAGGGGGCAAGAGACACAGAGAAAGAGAGAGAGAAAATTCTTGATAATTTTCTATACCGTTAATCATTATATGCAGCCAATATATTTGCATTTATGTTGTGTTTATGTGAAGTTAACATATTTAATAATGCATTATAAGAAATGCTTTTTCAGACTAGAATAAGAACCTCAGAAAGGGAGAAAATGTTTGCAATCTACCCATCTGAAAGGGGCTAATATCCAGAATCTACAAAGAACTTAAACAAATTTACAAGAAAAAAATCAAACAGCCCCATCAAAAAGTGGGCAAAGGATATGAACAGATACTTCTCAAAAGAAGACATTTATGCAGCCAATAGACACATGATGACACTGGTCATCAGAGAAATGCAAATCAAAACTACAATGAGATACCATCTCACACCAGTTAGAATGGTGATGATAAAAAAGTCAGGAAACAGCAGCCGGAGAGGATGTGGAAAAATAGGAATGCTTTTTCACTGTTGGTGGGAGTGTAAACTAGTTCAACCATTGTGGAAGACAGTGTGGCAATTCCTCAAGGATGTAGAACTAGAAATACCATTGGACCCAGAGTTCCCATTACTGGGTATATACACAAAGGATTATAAATCATGCTACTATAGGACACATGCACATGTATGTTTATAGTGGCACTATTCACAATAGCAAAGACTTGGAACCAACCCAAATGTCCATCAGTGATAGACTGGATTAAGAAAATGTGGCACATATACACCATGGAATACTATGCAGCCACAAAAAAGGAAGAGTTCATGTCCTTTGTGGGGACATGGATGAAGCTGGAAACCATCATTCTGAGAAACTGTCACAAGGACAGAAAACCAAACACCGCATGTTCTCACTCATAGGTGGGAATTGAACAATGAGAACATTTGGACACAGGGCAGGGAACATCACACACAGGGGCCTGTAATGGGATGGGGGGATGGAGGAGGGATAGCATTAGGATAAATACCTAATGTAAATGATGGGTTAATGGATACAGCAAACCAACATGGTGCATGTATACATATGTAACAAACCTGCGCATTGTGCACATGTACCCTAGAACTTAAAGTATAATTAAAAAAAAAAAAAAAATATATATATATATATGAACCTCCAGAAATTTTCTCTTCTATAAAAGCATTAAGAACACTGGCAAACAATGTATCTAACTCTACGTCTTTTAAAGCTCTGGAAATTACTCAAATGTTTGTAACAATCTGAGGAATATTTGTTTTTTGAAAAGTGCTGAATCTTGATAACAACAGCAAGTTCTATGATATGCTATCTTGCCCCATGACGTTCTCCACCCTCCCCGTCCAGTTCCGTGGTAGTCTTGAAGCCAACAGCCTCAAAAGCAGAGTAATCATAAAAATGAGCACTCTAGCTATCGTTAAAGGGGCATAATAGTTGGAACTACTCAAATAGCACTATAGCTAATCAATTGTCACTATTTGGTGTATCTGAAAGTTTCCTGGGAATTCTCCATTCATAGGGCTGTCTTTAGTTTACCTAACTCAGAGCTTATTTAGTGTGAACAGCCCTATCTCCTGAACATGCATCTAGAAAAATCAGAGGCAAACAAAAACATTTAAAAAGAAAATCTGGAAAAAGGTAGGGACATACGGGGACTTAAAAAGAATCAGTTTCCTGACAATCTAGAAGGCCATGTATGTGTGCAGGGCTGTGGGCATGAGAAATGCCTGAGAATGTGCAGAATCTCACCTGTGGCTCTTGTTAAGGGTCTACACACCAGGGAATGAAAGGTAAGGCAATTAAAAGCTGCTGGAGTGTTAAAGATGAGCCAGAAACGCGTGCATACCTACACACACACACACACACACACACAAACACACACCCCACTTTGGCAAATGCCAGGAGACATATAGCTTTAAGGCATTTAAGGAACTCTCTGTGTCAACATTATCTGAATAATGTACTAATTGAATCAAATTTCAGTGACCACATATGAAAAAGAATAATTAATGTCATAATGAATCAGAGGAATTCACTAAACAACAAGAAAGAGAAAAAAAATAATTGTTTTAAAATGCCAAATCCCACTTTTAATGATAAGTAGAACAACAAGGCGGAATATCAACAAGGAAACACATGAGGTGAACAACACTGTAAACAATCTGCCTAACAGATAAAGAACACTCCACCCAACAGTAGAAAGAATCCCAGATTCTTCTCCAAGATTCTTGTCCAGGGCACATGGCATATTCTCCCGGATAAAATGTGTATAAGGCCATTATGCAAGCCTCAAGGAATTTTAAAAAGACTAAAATCATACACATTACTTTCTCTGACTAAAATGAAATGAAATTAGAAGTCAATGACAGAAGGAAATTTGTGAAGTTCACGAATACATAAAAATTAAACAGCGCATTCCTAAATAGCCAATGAGTCAAAGAAGAAATCACTGGGGAAATTATAACAATTTTTGAGATTGATGAAAACAAAAATACACACCCAATCTCATGGGATAAAACTAAAGCAATGCTCAAAATAAAAATTAAGGCTCTCAATACCAGTATTTAAAAAAGATGACCCCAGATCAATAACTGAACATTCCACCATACCAAACATTAAGGAAAATAAAGTAAAACCCAAGTGCAACGTAAAGAGAAAATAATAAATGTCAGAGGAGAAATAAATGAAATAGAGAATAGAAAAATATGAGAGAAAGTCAGTGAAACCAAAAGCAACAAAACTAACAAAACCTAAGCTATATTGACCAAGGAAAACAAGAGAAAAGACTAAAATGATTAAAATCAGGAATGAAACAGGGGATATTACTTGACCTTAGAATAATAAATAGGACAATATAATAATACTTACAATTTAATACAAAAAGTAGATAATCAAGATAAGATGAACAAATTCATAGAAACACGTAAACTACAAAAACTTGCTTAAGAAATTAAAAATATAAATAAATTTAGGCACATAAAATATTGGAATAATAATTTTTAAAATCCCACAAATAAAACTCAAGGCCCACATGGCTTTCCTGATGAATTCTACCAAACATTTAAAGAAGAATTAACAACAGTCCTTCATAAACTCTTCCAAAATGTAGAACATAAGGGAACATTTCCCAGCTAACTCCATGAAGCTTTACCCCAGGAATGTAAGGTCAATCTAATATCTTAAAAGCCATCAATATAATATATCATATTAATAGATTACAGGACTAAATTAAATGATTATCTCAATAAATACAGAAATGCATTTCACCAAGTCCAGCAAACTTTCATGAAAAAAAAAACACTCAATAAAATAGAAATTGAAGGGGCTTTCCTCAGCCTGATACAGTATATCTATAAAAACCTGCAACTATTATCATACTAATGATGACAGACTGAAAGCTTTTCATTGGTTTCATTGACGAAATAAAATATCTGCTTTTGCCACTTTTTGTCAACATTTGCTGAAAGTTTTCCCAGGGCTATTCAGGGAAAAAGCAGGCATCTAGATTGGTGATTAAGAAGTAAAGTTATCTATGTTTGCTTGTGATATGACCTTATATATAGAAAATAGTCAGGAATGCACAAAATAACCTATTACAAATGATGAATGAGATCAGCAAGGTTATGTATACAAAGTCAGAAGAAATTCAGTTGCCCTCCATTTCTATACACTATTAGTAATCCAAAAATAAAATTAAGTAAACAGTATAATTTACAATTGAATCAATAAAATAAATAACTAGGAATAAATTATCAAAACAAGAGAAAGATTGTACACTAAAAATGTAAAAACACTGAAAATGTAAAGAATGTCTGAAGAAATAGTAAGGTGTCCTTAACTCATAGATTGGAAAATGTAATATTTTTAAGATGACAATGTTCTCCAAATTGACCTACACTGTCAATTCAGTGGACAAGGTAATACTAAATTTTTTATGAAAAAACAAGGCATCCTGAATACTCAAGATGGTGTTAAGTAAGAAAAATAAAGCTGTAAGACTCACACTTCTCAATTTCATGGTTTACTAAAAAGCTACATTAAGGCAACCTTTGTGGTTCTGACATACAAACAGGCATAAACACTTAAATTTATGATTAATTTTTTTTACCAGGGTATCAAAACAATTAATTGGAGAAAAATAATTTACAAATATGATTCTGGGAGAACAGGATATCCACATGTTAAATAATGCAGTTTGACCTCGACAACATAACATGTAAAATAATTAACTGAAAATGTGTCAGTAACCTAAATATACAAGCTAAAACTATAACGCTCTTTGGAGAAAACATAAATGTAAATCTTCATCTTAGATTTGGCAAATATTTCTTAGATAGGACACCAAAAACACAAATAACAGAAGAAAAATTACATAAAATGTATTTCATTAGAATGAAAATTGCAGTGCTTCAAAGATCACATCAACAGTGAAAATAACCCACAGAAGGGAGAATATGTTTGTAAATCATTCATCAGATAAAGGACAAAGAACATACATCCAGTAACCCAAGTAATAAGTGGGCAAATTACTTCAATAGACATTTTTCAACAGAAGATATACAAAGGGGCAGTAAGAACAGGGGTAAAATGCTACACATAATTAGATATTAGGAAAATGCAAATCGAAACCATAATGCAATGAGTTTCATGCAATGATTGGTTAAAAAACAAAAGCAAGACTGTGGAGAAATTGGAGCCTTCATATATTATTGGTCAAACTGTAAAACTGTATAAGCACTTTGAAATGCTTGTAATAGTTTGGTGCAAAGATAAATGCGGCTTTTGCAATTTTAAAAAAATTTTAATTGTAAAACCACAGTTACTTTTCACCTAATGTAAATGGTTAAACACAGTTACCATATGATCCAGTGAATCCACTCCTTGGTTTATATCCAGAAGAATGAAACATGTATTGTCTTTTAACTTGGGAATAGATAAATAAAATGTTATATGTATAAATACACACACACACACACACACAGTATAATATTATTCAGTCATAAAGAAGAACGAAGTACTGAAATGCCCTATAACATAGATGAACCATGGAAACATTATAAGTGAAAAATGTCAGTCACAAATAGCCACATATTTTGTGTATATGAAATGTCCATAATATTAATATTATAAACACAATGTAGATATGTTTTTTTAGGATCTGGTTATAGGGCATAGAAGGATGGAGAGTGATTGGTAATAGGTACAGGATTTCCTTTTTAGAGAATGAAAATATCTTAAAATTAATAGTAATGGCTGTGCAGCTCTGTGAATATACTAAAAATCACTTAATTGTACAATTCCAAAGGGTGAATTATGGTATGTCCATTATACCTCAATAACACCATCATTGAAAAATTGTATTAGACAGTATTGATGACGTCAATGAGACAGTGCAGCAAGCTCATGCATCTCAGCAGAACCTGCACGTGACCAAGCTATAAATGCCTTCATGTAAGCCAATCAGATCTGCAGATAATTTATTACTACAAAAAACTGATAAAAATTGAATGGTACACTACTATTTTTCCATACTGCACAAAAATAATGTTTATCATTCCAATATTTATTCCAGTCAAGACTCAATCATATTTTTGGGGCAATTTTTTAGGCTCAAAATTTGATTATTCTAGGCTGGTATTTCAAATAGATAGCTTTTCTGTTTTTATCTCGTGTTTGAGGTGCCTTTGATGATGTTCATTAAGCTAAAGGAGTTTTAAATAGGTGACTGAAAGATCAATGTATTGTTTTCTAAAATGGCTTATGATAACACAAAGAAGAGATATTTTTTAAAGTTGGAATGACAAAGTCACTGAAGTACCAGATATATTTAAATAGACATTTTAATTTCTACTAAGATTTTAATAAATATTCTGCTAAAAATTTGGAATTCAAACTGGCTGATTAATCTATTTAGCTACCTACTAAAAATGATCACTTAACAATAAATTATAAAATTGTTACAGTTTGATAGTGATACAATTTTTAAACAATCACACACCACAAAAAATAAGCATCCTAATTCTCCAAGCTTTTTTTTTTTTTTTTTTTTTTTTGAGACAGGGTTTGGCTCTTGCTGCCCAAGCTGGAGTGCAATGGCGTGATCTAGGCTCACTGCAACCTCCACCTCCCAGGTCCAAGAGATTCTCCTGCCTCAGCCTTCCGAGTAGCTGGGATTATAGGCTCCTGCCACCACGCCTGGCTATTTTGTTTGTTTGTTTTGTTTTGTTTTCTTTTGTTTGTATTTTTAGTGGAGATAGGGTTTCGCCATGTTGGTCAGGCTGGTTTCGAACCCCTGACCTCAGGTGATCCACCCGCCTCGGCCTCCCAAAGTGCTGGGATTACAGGCATGAGCCACTGCGCCCAGCCCATTTCCAAGCTTTTACATCCATTTTTAATTAAATTTATATGAGATTTTATACAAGTCTATCATATTTTAATATTCTCAACTCTTTGTATGAATAAATCAGTTGTATTCTTCTTCACTAAAAAAAACAGGAATAAATTGATATTTTATGAATAATTTTATTCACTACTCCTTATTTTAAAAAATATATTTGTTTCAACAGTTTCATGGTTTTCAAACATGTGGTTTATGATAGGCCAAATTTTTCTATTTTGAAATAGAAAATATTTATTCAAGAAAGTATCACCAATATACATCATGCAAATTTTAATTAAAAATGTTATGCTCCTGAGTTGTTTTGATAGCTAGTGTCCTGGAAGACAGATAGCTTCAATATTTTACAACCAGACTAATTTGGAGGTACTGATTTAAATGTTAAATGTTCTTCATATTGCAGAGGGAGTAAAAGTTGGGTATGAGAATGAACAAACAAACAAAGAAACAAACACACTCTACTTGAAGGGCAGGTGATAAAGGCATACAATTACCCAACAGTTGAGAAAAGTACACTATATTTCAAGTACTAACTTAATGGTGTACAGATTAAAATATGAGGCACACATTGTATTTGACTTCATAAAGTTATAGCATTGACATAACACAAGCATGTTTAAAGAATTTTAAGAGCTACATGAATGTTATTTACAAGGGTTAATAAGAAGCAAATGCACAATTTAATTTAATTGTTTCACAAAAAATATATAATGTGGTCAAATTAATAGAATACAAGTGTTGAGTATAGGAAGCTGGGATTTTAGCTTGACTTTCTATTTATTATGTTTCTTTTTGATCTTTAGATTCATTATCTGCAAAATAGAGATGATTAAAATATTTAAGCAAGTATTTAATAAATTTAGCTAACTTTTCCTTGGTCGTTTTCTGGTAATGGAAAACTAACTAGAATGAATTGTAAGGCAAGCCAAGGACCGCAATTTTTATGTTGTGAGATGCTCAGATCGAAAAACATGGATTCTTCAATTTCTTTCAATCTTAGATTCACAATCACAATTATGGGCCAGAATCAACGAGACAAAAAATAAAACAATTCAGCTATTTCTAAAATGAACTGTGTCATGACTACTTATTTGTATGATTAATGAGTAATGCAATACACTGTCTAATTGTCTGTTTTCTTTTTATTCAGGAAAAATGATGTAATTTAGATATGATATGTTTTAAGATGTGTATGTTAAGTGTAATAATGTTTATTTCCTGATTAATTTGGATTATCTTTGATTATCAAAAGGAAATTCGATTAAGTATGATTTATGAGTTTAAATAGCAGTTTATGTGGTTTTGGAATAACTGATAAATGACTGCAACTTACTTTTAAAATTATACCTTTCAGGAAAGACTGCTTCCTATACTGAAGAATGTATTTGAGGCTTCGAAAACAATCAATTAGAAACTTCAGGAGGGAAACACTTAGATCATTCTTCTGTGTGATACACTGCAAGTATTTATAGCAAATCCCAGATATTGACATCGTAAATTTGTTCTAAAAATGTCTTTTCAGTTTTTCAAGTTGACGAAGCACTTAAGCCCCAGGTTCTTAAAAATTATTTGAAGTAAAACTTAACTTTCATCTATTCTGTCTGGAGAATGAATTAAGGCAATATTTCCTTTACGTCATGATTGAAAGTCCTATTTGCAAACTTCTGCTATTATGTTTTAGTAAAAATATTTTATAGAAGAGTTTTAGGAACTCTGATTTAGTTTTCAAAGGTAACTCCTAGAAAAGTACTTTTGAAAAATTATAATTTTTACTCTATATTTCAGAAGCAGTAAGGAGACGCTATAGATTGATAGCTCTTTATCTCCACTGACATTCAGTGATGGAGCTTCTTTCTTCATTTCTAGCTATGAAGATTAAGCACCTCATAAAGTTGCAGTATAAATACCTAGAAATTCATCTGTGCCTTTTTCTGCATGATATTATGTTGACAAGCTGGTATCAAGCAACCTAACACACTTAAAGATTAACATTAAAACTGATATAAGGTTTTACATTTAAATCTTTAATCCATCTTGAGTTAATTTTTTGTATATGGTGATACATAGGGGTCCAGTTTCAGTCCTCTGCATATGATAGCCAGTTATCCCAGTATCATTTTTTGCAGAGGGAGTCTTTTTCCCATTGCTTATTTCTATGAAGTTTTTCTAAGACAACATGGTTGTAAGTGGGTTGTTTATTTCTGGGATTTATATCCTGTTCCACCAGTCTATGTTTCTGTTTTTGTATCAGTACGATGCTGTTTTGATTACTGTGGGCTCTTGTAGTATAGTTTGAAGTTGGGAAATGCGATGATCTCAGCTTTGTTCTTTTTGTTTAGGATTGCTTTGGCTATTTGGGCTCTTTCATGGTTTCCTATAAATTTAAGAATAGTTGTTTTTTTTTCTAATTCTGTGAAAAATGATGTTGGGTAATTTGATGGAAATAGTGTTGAATCCATAAATTGCTTTGTGTAGTATGGCCATTTTAATGATATTGATTCTTCCAATCCATGAGCATGGAAGCATTTTCCATTTCCATGTGTCATCTCTGATTTCTTTCAGCAGTGTTTTATAGTTCTTCACCTCCTTGATTAGCTGTAGTCTCAGGAATTTCATTTTCTGGGTGTGGCCATTTTAAATGAGATTGTGTTCTTGATTCGGCTCTCAGCTAAAACATAATTGGTATATAGAAATGCTACTGATTATTGTACATTGATTTCATAACCTGAGACTTCACTGAAGTCATTTATCAGTTGTAGGTGCATTTTAGTGGAGTTTTTTTCCTAGGTATAGAAAAATATCATCAATGAAGAGATATAGTTTTAATTATTTTCCTATTTTGAAGCCTTTTATTTCTTTCTCTTGCCTGATTGCTCTGGCTAGGACTTCCAGGAGCTGGAGGTCATTAACCAAAGCCAACTAATGCAGAAACAGAAAAGCTAATACTGCATGTTGTCAATTACAAGTAGGAGCTAAACACTGAGTGCACATAGACATAAAGATAGAAATAATAGGCACTGGGGGACTACTAGATTGGGGAGAGTGGGAGGAGGGCAAGAACTGAAAACCTATCTATTGTTTTTTTTTACCACTTGGGTGACAGATTTAGTCATTCCCCAAACCTGAGCATCACAAAACATACCTTTGTAACAAACCTGCAAATGTACTTGCTGAATCTAAAACAAAAGTTGGGGAAAAAAAAGTAACTAATGTCTGCCAAAAACACTGAAGTGAATAAACAGTAAGAATTATTAAATATATTAAAACTTGTGATATAAACATTGCTTACATCAGCTGAATTTTCCACAGCTGGTATTATACAGAGTGGGGGAAAAACTGAAAGCCTTTCCTCTAATATCTGGAACATGACAAGGGTTTCCAGTCACCACTGTTATTCAATATAGTACTAGAAGTCCTAGCTAGGATGATCAGACAAGAGAAAGATATAAACGGCATCCAAATTGGAAAGGATGAAGTCAGATTACTCTTATTGGCAGATGGTATAATGTTATATCTGGAAGAATCTAAAGACTACACAAGAAAATTATTAGAACTCATAAAATTTCAGTAAAGTTGTAGGATACAAAAGTGACATACAAAAATCAGTAGCATTTCTATATGCCAACAGTAAACACGGGGATATTTAATTCATCTGAAGATAATGGAATTATGGAGACAAGATTTTGCTTATTAAATCATGTAAAGATTTAAAAATACACAGAGGATAAAATACATTAGTTTTTAAGAAAGAAGACTCAGTCACACAGTTGCTATTAATAAGTTTTGTTCTCAATATTGAGAAGATGCTCTAAACAATTTCTATCTAAATTTATATACCATATCCCATTTATTGACTCTATTCTTGCTATTTGCCTTCTAATTATTCATGTTTCTTTCCTTACTTTTTGATTTCTCAGCAATTCCAATTTTTTTTCAGTTTCCTCTTCTCATCACCCTAATAATTTTTATTATCCTTCAGATTCATTCAATGGATATTTAATTGCCATTCATTATATAAGCCTGTCAGGAAGCTGAGGAAAGTAGTAGTTTTTACAACCTAGAAAAGCTTTTGGACTTAGTAAGTTACATCTGAGATAAATTTTCCCTTGCTATCCGATTGAATATAAGTTGTCACTTTTTTTCAAAGGAAAATTCTACCTTTAAAGTAGATAAATTAATTCTGCCTTGGTGCAAGCTTGCATTTTGAAAATAAGTCATATTCTCTTCTATTGTGGAATTCTGAAAATTTAAAAGTTAGTATAGGAATAGAGAATGCATATGTGTGCACATATGTATATGATAGGCATTATACATGAATACATGCTTGTGCATATATTTGTGAGTGTATAAACAGTGTTTCCAAAAATGTAGGATCTTTTTACATCTAATATTCAAGTATATTATTTAGTGTATTCATTACAGTTCACTACCTCTATATTTTGATCCGTTCAGAGACAAGAGAAATCTTTGTGAATAAATGATGAAGAAATGGAATTCCTGAAAAAATGCTGGGATTATATATTAAGAATGGGAGAATTATTATTGGATCGACTCAATGTTTAATTCATCAAAAACCCATATTCATAAACCAAGCAATAGCTTTAATAATATGATTTATATAGTTCTTTATAGTTTGTTATTCCTTAGTACATAAAATTAGGAGATATATATGATATATAATAATTATATATCATATGTTACTGTGTGTTTATATATGATACATATTATATAGTTAATAATAATATATAACATTATATATTATAATTATATAATTATTTTATATTTATATTATTATGTAGTATATTTAAATAAAATAATTTAAGATTATATATTTGTATTATTATAATACATATATACAATAATTATATATAAGTATTACATATATTTATATACAAATATTTCTACAGATATATTTATGTTATATATAAATATATGTAATATATTAGATATATTTACATAAATACATATAATTTATAATTCCAATATATATTATTGGAGAAATCTATATATATATAGGATATACAATTATTTTTGTATCAACATTGAGTAAATCCAAAATTATCGTCCCAGTTTTCTTTTTTTTTTTTTTTTTTTTTGGAGATGGAATTTCAATCTTGTTGCCCAGGGTGGAATGCAATGGCACAATCTCTGCCTCAGCCTCCGGAGTAGCTGGGATTACAGGCATGCGCCAAAACACCCAGCTAATTTTGTATTTTTAGTAGAGACGGGGTTTCTCCATGTTGGTCAGGCTGGTGTTGAACTCCCAGCCTCAGGTTATCCACCCGCCTAGGCCTCCCAAAGTGCTGGGATTACAGGCATGAGCCACTATGCCCAGCCTATTCTCCCTTTCTTTATGAATAATTTCAGCATTTTTTGAGACATTCAATGCTAACTTGAATGCACGTCCATTCTTTGCCAAATGTGTAGGTAAGAATCAACTGAAGACTTAAAACAAAATGCCATGTCTAAGCTTGACCAAAATTAATTCCACTTTAGTCTGTCTCAGATAGGTTCCAGACATTGCATTCTATCATTCTTTGTCAGTGATTTTGATGCTTTTTATTAGTTGTTTACCATTGACTTTAAGATAAATCAGGATTTCAATACAGAACACCGGGCTTTCTATTTCTGTTCCTCACATACCTTCGAATCTCCTCTGGAAAAAAAGCAAATGATACCTGCCATGTTATAGCACTACTGTTATGAACAAATATGGTATTTGAGATGACGAAACTATATATATAACCTGGCTATCCTATATAAATTTATACATGACTAAGCAAGTTAAAAACAGATATGGTTTTCAATACTCAATGCTCTCTTTAGCTGCATGATGGTAAAGGTTCATGTAAGTTTATTATAAATTTGATGAAGTCTAAACATATTTTATGAATAAATTAGTTTGTGAACATATTTGTTATAAAACAATATAGCCGACTTTCCATCATCAATTTGACTGCAGATTAACCAATTTGGTCATAGTTCAAAAACCACATTCACATTCATATAGAAACAAAATTCTTTGTGTATACTCAGGAAATTGCAAAAGAAATAAGGTAAGTTTTCAAGATAAATGTGTACTTACAGACAGAGAAAGAAATAAAGAAGAAAACATTTAGGAGTAAACTATATCAGGGGAGATTCAGTTTTTATTTCCCCATTTCTGTTTTTCTAAAGGTAGTTTAGAAATAGTAATCACAAATGAGTTAAACTATATTCTCATTTTCTTTTTGTATTTATTTCATTATTTTTTTCTCTGCAGCCCATCTTCTTTACTTCCCCCTCATCTTATCTAATTCTAGGCTTTCTTTCTCTGAGTTTTAAAATATGATTTATTGCATCTTGAGGGAAACATGGTTTTTGTAGCAATATACATCCAGTTTCTTAGGAAAACCAATTTGAACAAAAAACATAGATACACTATAATATCCTCCATAGATATTTTAGATAATTTTCTACCAATATTCTCATCTTCTTGAATTGACAGAGTGTTGTTAATAAGACACTTTTCAAAAACGCAATTTAAACAATTGTAGTTACTCAGTTATACTTTGCCCACCGCTGAAGAAACAACCTCATGCATAAGGATCAGGACATGGGAACGATATAGGACTTGATTTAGATATTTATCAGATTTACTATATTAGTTTGCTAGGGCCGCCATAACAAAATACCACAGACAGGATGGCTTTTACTGCAGAAATTCATTTTATCACAGGTCTGTAAGGTAGATGTCCAAGATCCAAGTGGCAGTGTGTTTTGGTGTTTTCTAAGGCCTCTCTCCTTGGCTTAGAGACAACTGCCATCTGTCTGTGTCCCCACTTAGTCATCTCTCACCCTGTGCGTGTCTGTGTTCTGATCTCCTATTCTTATAATTACAACAGCCGTATCGGACTCGGGCTTACCCTAATGTCCTCATTGTACCTTAATTACCTCTTTAATAGTCTCATCTCCAAATGTCGTCATGTTCAGAAGTACTACTAGAAGTTAGGGCTTCGACATTTGTGGGGAAAGGATACACAATCTAGCCCATAACATACATGTTCATAAATACAAACAGGTATTGTTCAGATGTTAGCTATTAGCCTTTTAAATCTATAATCATTGTTTAAATCTGTGAGTGTTATCATGTAGTAAAAACAATATTGTCTTAATAATATTAATCCTCTTTGGCGGATATAGGTTGTTTTGTTCCCTAGCTTGTCATTGATTTCTATCACTTTCTCTGACGCATATGAAATCCTTAATAATTAATGGTTGCATATACGGATGTGTGGTAGAATACATGGATGGTGAAGGAATGAATGAACCATCGCATGAGCAAATAAATAAAAATACAGAATTTATATAAACTTTTATATTGTTAGTACAATAAAAGTACAATTAGTGTTACTAGTAAGTCCACAATAAGTGTTAGGAGTATTTTGACTTTTCTAGCAATAGAAAGCTGGTTCAAGTTTACTTCCTTCAGGAATTAAAGTCAGTCTTGCTCTGACTAGTCTATTCTCACTACACTTACTCAGCATTTGTGAATTGAATTTGATCCATATGTTTGTTCACATCTGTTGGTTTGCCACTTACAGAAAATACTCAAATCCAGATGTGGATATGTTTTGTCTGTGCAAATTAATTGGTATGATTATCAAGACTAGAGGCTGTACTTTTCATTTCCCCATGTAGCACCTAAATAGGTTTTCTATACACAGTGGTAACCCAATAAATTTCTTGCTAACTAATGCATCTCCCATTCATGAGCCCCTAGTTGATATTTTTTATCTTTTGCTGCCTGCAAGTTGAAGTATACATTTCAATTAGATCTCCACTTACTGAAAAGAGAGATTTGTCAGAGAAACCAGAGTAAGCAATTTGTCATGTTGTTTTCATGCAGCCATAAAATAACATTTCAAACTCTGTTATATTTGGAGATTACTCTGCCATATCCTGAAATTCATAAAATGCAATATGTGGATGCATAACGGATGAGGTGCATTTCAGAAATGAAAATGATTGCAGTACACAGAGTTTGTAAATCAAATTTGTGAAGCACTTCAGGATGAAAGCCACTATACAATAAATATAGGTTGTGAAAGGATACATTTGTTGCATAAATACAATTTCCTCTGCCTGGAAGTTTTTAACCGCATAATAATCTCCAGGTCAGATTTCAAAACCTCCTTTTATTGATGTAATTTGGAAAAAAAATTGATATAAAATGATTCCTGATGTGTCAGCCACTGATTTCTTGATGTTTTCTTCTGCCTTCTTAATACATGTCCATGATCTGACAAAACTAAGATCTCTGTCACCAGATTTTCTTTCTATGAGATGCTGGTTCTTATTTTCTAAATTGTAATTTAGTCTCCCATGGTTTGACCTCATCTCAGCAGATAGCTTATATTATGTTTTACACATAAAGAAAAGGAATTTTATATATACCTAATTATAGATCATATCTATATATGTATATATCTATATATGTGTATATATGTATATATCTATATATGTGTATATATGTATATCAAAATCTAAAAATTAAATAACCTAAAAATTAAAATAACTTTTTTATGTGTGGAATTTACTACTTACGTTACAAAGTACAACCATTCCTCAGCAAGGGTTTCTCCAGAAATTAGCCCTAAAATGTATTTGTAGATTACTGAATGATATAATGTGCAGTGTTTGAAACAGCATAAATAGAATTAACTCACTAAAATATCCCATTAGAGTATTTGGAGATTTCCAATAAAACAAATATATCCAAGATAGTGTGATGCTCTAGCAAATATTTATATTTACACAATTCTTTCCAATGACAATTACCAAATGTACATAAAAGTAAACATGAAAACACAATAAATACCAAAATACATTCATATTTGATAACATATTTTAATATTTTGCTATAATAGTCCCTGAAGAATATTCATGAAAAGATATTTAAGCATGAGTCAAATAAAGACAATTGTCAAAACCACACCTAACAATTTTATAATAATTTCCAAACGTTATTCACTGCCCAGTGGGTATTTGAATTTTACTGATTATCCCCCAAATATGTTATTTACCTTGTTTTCTCCCAGGAGGCTCCAGTAAAAGACCATACATTACATTTGGTTATTTATCTTTTAGACTTTAGACAAAATTCAATATAAATTAATATAAAAGGCCAAGGAATACACAAAACAACAACACATTTCTGCAATAAATAGCAAATTTAATGAGATTGAAAGATGCAAGGTCAATATAAAACACTCAATCGTATTCCTATATAACATTAAGAAATAATTTGACTCATATAAAAAAGTAATAACATTGAAGTATGAAAGAAGTTAATAATAAATCTAAGAAAAATGGTGAAAGATCTTTATGCAAAAACCAAAAAATACTGATGAAAGAAATAAAAGATCTAGATAAGCACTGAGACAAGCCATGTTCATATTTTGGAAGTTTGAATATTTTTAATATGTTAATTCTTTCCAATCTGATGCTATCCTCTTCAAAGTACTAGCAAGCCACATATTTTTTCTTATTGTCAATATGAACTTGATTGGCATTCGAAGGTTAAACTGTCATTGGTTTGCTGGTATCAATACCATTTGTTTGTGGTATATGATTGATCCTTTTCGGTTCTCACCTAATACATAATTATTTTTATATGCTTCTGTTGGAACATTTGGTAACTAATTCTAAACCTTCTTTTATAGTGTGTTTGAAGTATACAGAATGCTCCCAAAAGAATAGTTTTATCACCATTCCAGTAACTTTTGTGTTTCATTTACATGTTAGTTATTATTTAGTTTAAAATTTGCCCCTTGTGATTTATCATTTCACATATGGATGTTACAGAAATGTGGTGTACAATTTCTATTGGTATTAGTGTTTTGTTTTATGTTTTTTCAATTTATCATCTAATTCTGATGTGGTTGAATAACATACTCTATATAGTATTAATCCTTTTAAATTAAATAAGACTTGTTTACTGGTCCAGTATATAAACTATGTTTGGGGATTTAACATGCACAGTAGAAAATAACTATGCATTCTTTATTTTTTGGATGTGGAACTCTAAAAATGTCAAATGGTTTCAGTGGTCAATAACGTTGTCCACATCCTTTATAAATATATTGATAATTTTTGTTTAGTTATCACAAGATAATTCAATAGGTATTTTAAAATGTCTTACTTTAGGAATATAGAATTTTCTATTGCTTTGTTCATTTTTTTCAATCATGTGTTTTTGAGGCCCTGTTATTAAGCATTTACACATTTGTGACCATTACAGTTTTTATTTTATTTTATTTTATTTTATTTTATTTTATTTTAACTTCTGGGATACATGTGCAGGAAATGCAAGTTTGTTACATAGGTAAACATGTGCCATGGCCGTTTGCTGTACTGTACCTATCAACCCATCACCTAGGTATTACGCCTTGCATGCATTAGCTGTTTATTTATCCTGATGGTCTTCGTCCCTCTGTACCACCACCCACCTAACAGGCCCCAGCATGTGATGTTCCCCTCCCTGTGTCCATGTGTTATCTTGTTTAGCTCCCACTTATAAGTGAGAACATATGGTGTTTGGTTTTCTGTTACTGTGTTAGTTTGCTGAGGATGATGGCTTCCAGCTTCATCCATGTCCCTGTGAAGGACATAATGTCATTCCTTTTTATAGCTGCATTGTATTCCATGGTGTGTATGTACCAAATTTTCTTTATCCAATTCATCATTAATGGGCATTTGGATTGATTCCATATCTTTGCTATTGTGAATAGTGCCACAAGGAACATAAAGAACATATGCATCCCTGTATCCTTATATTAGAATGATTTATATTCCTTTAGGTATATACCCAGTAATGGGATTGCTGGGTAAAATAGTATTTCTGGTTCTAGATCTTTGAGGAATTGCCACACTGTCTTCCACAATGGTTGAACTAATTTACATTCTCACTGACAGCATAAAAGCATTCCTATTTCTCCGAAGCCTCACCAGCATCTGTTGTTTCTTGACTTTTTAGTAATGACCATTCTGACTGGCATGAGATGGTATCTCAGTGTGGTTTTGATTTGCATTTCTCTAATGATCAGTGATGCTGAGCATTTTTTTCATATGTTTTTTGGCCACATACATGTATTCTTTTGAGAAGTGTCTATTCATGTCCTTTGCCCACTTTTTAATGGGGTTGTTTGTTTCTTGTAAATTTGTTTAAGTCTCTTGTAGATTCTAGATATTAGACCATTACAGTTTTTTGATTAACTGGCTCTTTTATCATTATGACATGTCCTTCTTATTTTTGTAGTAGCCTTTGAAGTTCATTTTCCCTGGTATTAATATAATCACCTTGGCCTCCTTAAGCCTATGATTTCCATGGTGTATCTTTTCCTATCTAGTTACTCTCAATTCATGTGTCCTTATATTTAAAGCGCATATTTATTATAAAGCCTATAGTTGATTCTTGCTTGATTATTCAGAGTGATTAATCAAGTAATAAAATAAAAGCAAAGACTATAGCTATGGTTGAGTTTGGAAGTCCACACATTCTAGGCTGAAGATTGTGGCTATTATACCAAATCATAACAGTTTTGGAAAATGCGTATTTCTGGTACATAATATGGAATGGCTTCACAGGAATGTGGGAGGAGCTGAGATAGAGAAACTTGCAAAGAGGTAGGTTGAGTTTCAGAGAAATAATTCCTAAACATATCAGCCTCAAACATTGATGCAGATGGAAAAGCTAGAGAGTGCAGGAGAGTCTGAGAATTTGAGTCCATCTGACAACCAGACTGGGACAGCAGATGAATTCTGGGGGAGCTTTGGAGAAAGTGCCTTGTCTATGGCAGTTGAAGGAGACGTGAATGGAGGCCACTGTGTCTGAGCAAGCTGTTCTCTGTGACCAGCAAGACCATTAATCAATAACAACCCCTTTTTTACTTCTACCTTTCAAATTGCACATGAGCTTCTCTGGTTGGTAAATGACAAAGCAATAGGATTTTGGAAGACATTTAACTATTATGTATATGACTGGTAGTGCCAAGTTGACAAAAATCAGGCAGTGTTAAACACTAGCCTGGTTTGTCACTCTCTTTCAACCCAATCATGTAATGAATGTGACTCTTTTGAAGGTGATGTGATATGAATAAGCAGAGCTTTAGGACATTTAAGCTGGCAGCATATTTTAAACCTTGTTTGGAAAGTGGAGAACATGGAATAAAAAACAATTTACACTTTAAAAGAGACAATAAGGAAACAGACGTACAATAGAAAAACTAGGACAGAGTACTCAAAGGCCACTACAAAGAAGCAATGGAAATGTATATCACAGATGCTTACGCTATATTTTATCAGATTTTTGATTTCTGTATTTCACTATTCAATGATGTAAGTTATCAAAATGATAGATTTCAGAATACATTTGGGACATAACATGGTGCAGCAGTCGTTAATGTCACTTACAAAATATTTATAGCTCTGTTTTTTCCCCGGCTAGAAGAAAAATTGAACTGCCCAGAGCTTTTCAAAGTGGTAGCCATGGGATTTGCTTTGGTCAATGTAATGTAAACAAAAATGTGCTCCTTGCACACAGAAGCTTAAAGGACCAGATGGCCTTTTACCATATTCTCTTTTCATAGCTGTGGTGATGTATCAAATTCATCACACTAGTTACAGTTGCCCTGTCAACTCATACAGGACAGACAGCCTGAGAAAGAGATAAACTTATTTCGTGCCATGTCACTGAGATCAGGCATCTGTTTCTACAGTACAACAGCCCATCCAAATAAATACAATGGTGTTAAAAAGACATGGCCAATGGAACAAGGTAAACATGAATTTAAACCCTTTTCCACACATTTTTATTTGTGTGACTATAGGAAATTGTGTACATTCTCTGAATATCAGTTTTCTTAAAATTTCTCTTGTTAGAGATAATACACACAAAATATCTAATATAGAAGGCATTCCATAAATCGTATCTATTATTAATAGAAATTGGTCAACAATATAACACTGAACGTGTTTATTCAATAAAACTATCTAGCTTATGGGAGCAAAAGATCATGCCAGGAATGAAAACACATACCTCTATGAAAAGTGATATGTTTTCTAGAAAGCTAAAGTAAATCTAAGGAAAAGGACAAGCAAGATCTATTGTTCCCCTGAAGATTTGGTTTTCTAAAAACAAAGATTAGCATTCTCTTCATTCATATTCACTTCTCAAGTAAAGCATGGAAATTAAATAAAACAAAGTGTAATAACTGTTTTCTCTGCTAGAGTTGATATCAGTGTCCATGGTGAGCGACACTTCATGAATAACACATTGAATCATTAGCATATCAAAGCAGCTTTCCTTTTGCTGTTATTTTACCACATGGATCAGGTCTTTGATTAGAACTAAGCAACATTTGGGCATGCTGTTACTTCACAAAGGATTAGCTAATGGAGAGAACCTAATCTCCTATCATTTGGGACATTTTGTATTAATTCAAATACTTAGAAAACAAGTCCATAAGTGAATGCTATGCAAGACATGCTGCAGCTCCAATCTGCGTTTTTCATCCCTAAAATAACTGAGTTTTATTATGATCCACTTTAGATGAGAGATTTTTTTTGCACAAACAATTTCATGGTTAGACACACTTTTTGTTCAAAATTACATAAAAAAATCAAGAAGAAAATATGCATTCCATGTAGAAAATTCTGCCAAAAAAAACAGAACTATCAGCCTGGGTTACAGCCTGGGATACAACTATCACTTGTACCCAGGAAAGTATTCGCTTATTCTTTTATTTAGACACTGTACTGCATTCCAACAACATCTAATAACATGCAGATGAACAGGACACTCTTCCTACTCATAGTTATCTCAGTTATCTTAGGAGTGATAAGCAAATCATTGTAAATTAATATTAGGCATGTTTAATTGAGTCAGATCGTATATGACATGGGAACTCAGAAAAAGTGGCAGTCTGGGTTATCTGAAGATGGCTTCACAGATAATTTAAACTTTAGGCTGGATCTTACTTTTAGCTAAACTAAAATTAGAGAAAGGAAGAGATGAAAAAGAAAGACAAAGAAATTAAAAATTTTGTTTTTAACCAAAGCAGCAGCAAATGAAATGTAGGCATGTGTAAAGAAGAAATTATAGAGTATACGGAAAACTGAAAGACACATATTTTAATTGGGAAGTCAGGTGCATTTTTTAGACTGAGATTAGAGAAGACAGAAAGACTAGCTTTAGGGTGGAAGCAACAATTATCTTAGATGCAATGCTAAGAAGAGACTTCTTTTCCATCTTCAATGAGAATAATAATAAAGTTTTTAGGTTTTAAAAATTAGATATGGTATTAAGTAATCACATTTATTTGTTCATTGATTATTAATATATTAATTGACAAATCATAATTGTATATATTAGGTAAAATATGATGTTTTAATAGATGCATAAATGTGGAATCATTACATCAGGATAATCATTATGTCTATCACCTCACTTATGTTTTTAGAGATGTTTGAAATTTACTCCTAGTTATTCTTCTTTTTATTTTTAATTGATATATAATAATAGTACATATTTAGGTATAGAGTGATATTTCCATATATGTATACAATATGCAATGATCAAATCAGGGAAATTGGCATATCTATTACCTCAAACATTTGTTATTTCTTTGTGTTGGGTGCATACAAAATCTTCTCTTCTAGCTATCTGAAAATAAGCAATACATTTTTAACAACTATAGCCACCCTACAGTGCTATGGAACACTAGAACTTATTCCTTCTATCTAGCTTTAATTTTGTATCCACTCGCCACCCTCTCCTCATCTTTCGTTCTCCCCTTTGTTTCCCAGCCTCTAATAAACACTATTCTACTCTTTACTGCTATGAGCTCAACTTTTTTAGCTTCCACCTATGAATGAGAACATATGCTTGCATGTTCTGTGCCTGACTCATTTAACTTAAGATACTCCAGGCTCATTCTTGTTGCCTAGAATTACAGGATTTTTTTAATGGCTGAATAATATTCTTTTTTCTATATATACAGCATTTTGTTTATCCATTTATCTGTTGATTCTACATTTTGGCTATTGTGAATAATGCTACAATAAACACGGGAGTGCAGACATCTCTTTGATATCCTGATTTCCTTTCCTTTGAATATATATATACTTGACAGTGGGATTACTAGATCATATGATAGTTCTATTTTTAGTTTTCTGAGGAACTGCTATATTAGTTTTCATAAGGGCTTCACTTTATTCCACATCCTCATCAGCATTTGTCATTTTTTGTCTACTTGATGATAGCTATTCTAACTGGGTTGAAATGATACTTCATTTTGGTTTTGATTTCTATGTCCTTGAAGATTGGTAATGTTGAGTATTTTTTTTTCATTTATCTGTTTGCTATTTGTCTTTGTATTTGTATTTGTCTTCTTTTGAAAAATGTCTATTCAGATCCTTCGCCCATTTTTAATCTTTTTTTTTTTTTATCTTGACTTGCTGGAGTTCCTTTTATAATCAGGATATTAATCCCTTTTGGGTGAATAGTCTGCAAATGTTTACTCTCATTCCACAGGTTGTCTCTTCTCTCTGTTAATGATTTCCTCTGATGTGTAGAAGCTTTTTAGTTTGATATAATCCCATTTGCCTACTTTTGCATTTGTCGCCTGTGGTTTTGAAATGTTACCTATAAAATTGTTGCCCAGACCAATGTTCTAAAGTGTTTTTTCTATGTTTTCTTCTAGAAGTTTTATAGTCTTGGGTCTTACATTTAGGTCTTTAAGCCATTTTGAGGACATTTTTTGCATATGATGAGAGATAGGGGTCTAGTTTCATTATTCTGCATGTGGATGTCCAGTTTTCCTAGCACTGTTTATTAAAGAGTGTGTCCTTTACCCAATGATTGTTCTCAGCACCTTTGTCAAAAGTCACTTGGCTGTAAACATGTCTATTTATTTCTAGGTTATCCATTCTGTTCCATTGGTCTATGTCTGGTTTTATACCTGACATTTACCATTTACCATGACCTGTACCATGCTATTTTGATTACTATATCTTTGTGGTATATTTTGAAGTCCAGTGGTGTGATGCCTCCAGCTTTGTTCTTTTGGTTCAGGATTGTTTTGGGTATATAGGTTTTTTAGTGGTTTCATGCAAACTTTAAAATTGTTCTTCTATTTCTGTGAAGAATGTCATTGGTCTTTTAGGAGAGAATGAATTGAATCTGTAAATCACTTTGCATAGTATGTTTGTTTTAACCAAATTAATTCTACCTTCAACAACATCAAATCTCTTTTCATTTTTTTTCTTCTCCTCTTCTATTTCTTTGTGACTGTTTTGTAGATTTTTATTGTAAAAATATTTCACCTTCATGGTTAAATTTATTTCTAGTTATTTTTTGTAGCTATTGTTAATGGGATTAATTCCTTGATTTATTTCTCAAGTACATTATTGTGTATAGAAACACTATTGATTTTTCTATGTTGATTTTTGTATCCTGCAAAATAACTAAATTCCTTTATCAGCTCTAAGATATTTTTGTTGGAATTTTAGATATATATATATATGTAGATATACACACATGTGCATATATGTCTATATGTTTTTATATATGCATGTGTGTATATATATGTGTATATGTGTATATATAGGTGCGTTTGTGTGTATATCTATGGATCATGACACTTGCAAAGAGACAATTTAAATGTTTTTTCAATAAGGATGTCATTTTAATTGGCAAATCATAACTGTATACATTTGGGTATATTATGTGATTTTTTTCTATACTTTGTATAGATTTCTTTTTCCATCTAAATTTTATTTCCCAATTATTTCAAATAAAATCATGCATAAATATATAATTTTAAATATATAAAAATATTTCAAGATGTTACAATATTACTAGATGAATCAAGATGGAGATTATCAATTATTCTTTCAGCCATCAAATAAACAAAAGTAGGGTTCCATATTTCATTTTTTAAACCCTGCTCATAGCACAATATATGGAACACAGTTATATGAAAGAATGAATTAACAAAAGAAAAAAATTTAGAAAGAATGGAACATAATTCAGAAAGACATGTGACTGAGACTGTACTACATGAGAAGAAAAAGGGGAAAAAACGTCATATAACATGAGGCCAAAAATAGGAAAGGTAAGAATATAGAGAATAGTACTTATGCATTGATAGTGTATTTGGGAATTATAAAAGATTCCACTTTTAAGCAAGGCCATAGAGAGAGGATGATGGAGAGAAGGATTGAAGGGGTGTGAGCTATTCAATAATGTGAGCTTTCTATAGTTATTATGACAATCCGTATATATGCTGTTATTCAGATGTCATGAGACTCACTTAATTCAGTGATCACCACAGCCAATTAGAATGGAGAACTATGGCAGGATTGTTAAATTTTATCCTAGATACAATTATCTTATGACCATCAACAAATATATAAGAAAGTGATATAAATAGCATGCCTTCCTTCATATCCTGCAGAGTCTATATGTGAGGTAGGTTATAAACTAGTGGATTAAAGGCATTTTATTTTCAATGCGCATGTCAGAATAAATGAACTTTCTCAAAATATGTGATTCATCACAGAATAATAAAAAATGATTCTCATCCTAATGACAATAAATATATACTAGAAGGATTGTCATTTATTCCATGCCTGCTGCATGTTCCCATAATTTTTGAAATGCTTTAAATAAATTTTTATATTTATTCTTCAAAATAATCCTGTATGTTAGAAATGTATAGCAGCAGTTTTTACTGCCTGCATTATTCTCCACTGACCTACAGTGAGCAGTTCAGTGAGAGCTCAGACCCACTCTGGCAGTTTCTCCCTTCACACTGCACTATGCTTGCAGCTTACTGCCTCAAGACTTACCTGGCAACTAACGGCAGGAGATTCAACTAACTGGAGTACAAGATCTAGTAGATTAATTCTCAGCTGCCCATTCCTCACATGAACAGGTCTAGGAGGACTCTCAGTTTTACAAAGGCCTTGTGGATTTGAACTTTCATTGTTTATATCTATCAGCTCTTTTTCATTCTTATTCCGTATTCAGCTCTTCTCACTCTCTCATTCCTGTTTCCTGTGATCATGTCCCAAATTAAATTCCTGCGCCTTCATCCTCCTCTTAGATTTATTTGATGGGGGAGGAATCTGAATTAAAGTATAATTGTTATCCAATTTTACATAGGGAGAAAACAAGTTTCAGGTAGATTAAGTGATTTACCAAAGTTTTTCCATTTGAAAAGTGGTAAACTCAATATATTCTTAAGTGAGAGCACAGCCACAGATTTGGAAGACCATTGAGAGGTGTGGGACAACAGTTGTGATACAGGCAAAAGCAGAGGCTTCTCTTCCTATTGGCAGCTCAAAGTGAGCAAGGGCTAATACTGAGAGTATTGTAATTAGCTGAATGAATGGGTCATCGTAGACAGGAGTGTCCAAGCTGGAGCATACACAGGGGGCTGGGTCTTACAGCTCATCTTCCTATGGGGCCTCAACAGAAGAGATTCTCTCTGAGCCAATATATGGTAAAACAGTGATCAGAACTAAGATTTGAGCCCCAGTGTTTTTGACAGTTATCTATGTTCTCAACCAAAAAGCATAATGATTCTCTTCACTGAAAAGACTGTATCTTAATCCATTCTATAAACTGTAAACTCACATATATACAACTCTGTATATAACCTCCCCTCAATGAACTGTTATGAAAAAGAATTACAGTTAAACACAGTGTTTTGGAAAACTAAGAAAGGCAGTTATTTTGGAAAATATATTTATTATCAAATATTCAAGAATCCCTAAAATGTTTTGAAGCTTCTAGTGTAATTATTGCTTTCTAATGATATGAATGTGCTCTCAATTTGATGTCAATGAACATGGATTATTTCTGCATACATAAACTAGATGTTTTCTAAGAAGATTTTTTAGCAGTTACCATTACATAAACAAAGATTAACACACTAACATTTCTTGTAGAGTTTATTCAATAATAAGGCAATATAAGTTCTCTGCATAGGAATGCCTTTAATCACTTTATAAAATAATGTGTATGGGACACTTCTGAAACCAACAGTTCTTGTTCATTTAATTACAGTTTTGTTACTATAATCACCCCAGTAGCCGATGTGTTACTCGGTGGGTGATATTTTCTTCACACCATGAGATACACACTCACAGTGTTGGTCTCTATTAACTTAATTAAGAAATTACAATTAGGAAAAGAGCTATGCATTGGACATTTATTTGAACACAAAGAGGAAGTAATGAGAATGAAAGCATGTGTGGTGAGGACCCATTGTCTATGTAAACCTTTCCGGATTACAGAATCAGCAGCTGGCATTTTAGTTATTGTTAAGGACTCTCTCATTGTCTTTGGCATTTTGAGCACATAAGCACAAATCAATGCCTAAAACATTTTAAAAATGCCTATGCATAAATGCATAAATATATTAATATATGCAGAAAACAACATTTCACATTAGTTTGCTCTTAGAGGAAGTGGTTGAGACCAATAAATAATGAGTGACATCTGCCTAATTCCATTTTGTTCTAAAGTTTTCTCTGAGGAAGAAAAAAATCAATCTAGTGTGTTCTTTCAAATGAGAAGTTATATGTATATTCTTCACAGCAGCCATTCTGAAATATATCCCTGAGGGCAAATTTGTAATAATATCCAGCTGTTAGTCAAACTATACCCTAAAATGTTCCTACTAAACAATCACATTAAACCAGAAGAAGAGGAAAATATGTATTTTCACAAGAACTTTTAGGATAAAAGAAATGTGTATTAGAGAATGGAGTTAATTTACATATTTAAAGGGAAGATTATTTGAATAATACAGGTAAAATGTAAGTTATTTAAAATGACAAATAGAGCTCATCACAGTCTGACTCCTATATATTCCCTCAGAACAATCCAGGGATACGATAGTTCCCTAACCACTATGACTTCAAGTCACTAAGATGCTCTCTCACCTCCCTCTAGTTTTGCCCTCCTGATTTATTTCATATAATGCTCTTTGCTCCCTTCCTAGTTTAACTAATTATTACTTATTTTCAAAATTCAAACAGGAAATCACCTCCTCCAGAAAATCTCCCCAAGCCTCTATAATTGGACTAAGCTGCTCCTTGTCTGCTTCTGCTGCCACCTTGGCAGACCCTTATCATAGGTCTTAAAGTTTTAAGCATGCTTTTTTTCTATATACTGTAAGTTCCTAGTAGATAAGACACTGACTTTGTCAGCATTTTATACAGAGTCAAATAAACTATCCTGAGGCTCAGGTGTATGAAAGGCAGTCCTGACTTTGTAATATAATACAAAGCATTTTATATGAGGAAATTAGGCCAGGTTCACATTTATTTTAGGAAAATGCTCAATCTACAATCATCCAGCCTCTACTTGAACATTTTTAGTATTGTGGAGCTTACAAGCACAGTAGAGAGTTTTGTATTTTAATAAATTATTTTATTTTATAAGTGTTTTAGGTATATAGAAAAATTGCAAAGATGGTACAGAGATTTCCCATACACTCCCCACTTGGTGTTCCTGACTATTAACATCTTACATGAGTATGTCACATGTGTTACAATTAATGAAGCAATGTTGGTATATTATTATTCACCAAAGTCTATAATGTACTCAAATCTCCTTTGTTTATACCTTAATGTCGCTTTTCTCTTCCAGGGTCTTCTACAGAACACTAAATTTAGTTTAGTTGTCATGTCCTTAGACTCCTCTTGGTTGTGACCATTTATCAGATTTGCTTCTTTTTGATGACTTTGGCAGTTCTGAGGAGTACTGGTGAGGTATTTTGTAGAATGACCCACAATTGGGATTTGTTTGATCTTTTTCTTATGATTAGAAAGGGATTCT
This sequence comes from Homo sapiens, assembly GCF_000001405.40. Lineage (NCBI taxonomy): Eukaryota > Metazoa > Chordata > Mammalia > Primates > Hominidae > Homo > Homo sapiens. The sequence goes on from NC_000018.10 coordinate 66,980,434, forward strand.
ACAATTTTAGAAGGAAGACTATAGTGGTAAAGTGTCATGGTCATCACATCATTTCAATGATTCATCCTACCTACATGACATATCAATGACATATCACTGTTGACGTTGATCTTGATCACAAGGCTGAATGGTATTTATGCTTCTCCACTGAAGCTATCCTTTCCTTCCCGCTCTCTATTCTTTATGGGAGAAACTCACCATGTGCAGCCCAGATTTAAGGAGTCAGGAGTTATGTTCCACCTCTTTGAGAAGACAGTATTTCATACATTATTTGAAATCTGCATGGGAATATTTTCTATTGCCCCCCATTTATTTATTTATTCAATCATTTATTTATACTAATATGGACTCACAGATCTTTATTTAGGGCTTTGTGTTATACCCAGTGCTCCTTTATTTATTTTATTGCTCAAATCATTTCACCTTTGGACATTGAGAACTCTTTAGGTAACTGCCTTGTTTCGTTGACATACCCCTGTCATTGTGTGTGTATGTGTGTGTGTGTGTGTGTGTGTGTGTGTCTTTGTGTTTAGTAATTTCTTACTCTCTGCCAGTATAACCTGCTCCAGGTTTCATCTTGTTTGTGTTTTGGTTCTGTCCTAGATCAGCTATTTTTACAAGGAGCTTTGGGTCCTTCTATTGAAGAATGATATTAGAAATAAAGACCTAGCTTCTAGGTGTGTTCATTGCTACTGGGGTGTCATTGCTTCAATAACTTCTCAGCTGACATCCCATGTATGTAAACATGTCTGTTAATATTTCTAGCTGCAACTATTTTCATCTATATTAAGCTTTAAGTGAGTGTATGATAATGTCATACTGATACATGACCTAATGGATTATTCCAACCTCCAATTATTATTTGGATAATTCCATCCTCCAGCTATGAAAATTTCCGCTTTAACAATGATAAATGCAGCTTCTACAATTTGCTGTCCATTTTCCTAATTGTTCAATTCCAGTATAATTGCATAATGGTATCAGAGTTGTTAACGTACACTTTCATGAGGAAAAAAATGCTTATTAGAGTGCAGTGCTTATATGCAGTTTCTTTTCATTTAGTTTTACAGGCTTCACTCAATTCTATTTTCTTTGATCAGTTCTCCCCATCCCACTCCTGCTCAATTTATTGGGATTGTTTCATGTATATATAGTAATATAGTTGGATTGTTTTGTCACATTCTGAAATCCATTCCCAAATCCTAAAATATAATAAGTAATTTTTTTGAGAAATCATATATCAAAGTATATTCTTAATGCTACTAATTTCCATGGATTTTCAAAAACGTGTTTTATGTGGTAGATAATTACTTCATAAAAATTCTGTGTTTCACTTATTTACCAATTTACTTTTTACAGAATGTTTGAGTCCACCTTTTGTCAATATAAAAAAGGTTCTATAACCATTTATATGCAAATATTCATGTGGACATATCAAAATTCCTGGAAAATACAATGAAATTATTTTTAGCTTTGTATGAAACTGAAAAATTGTCTGCCAAAGTTCTATACCATTTTGCATTCCTATTAGCAATAAAGAACACTTCTTGCTCTCTATTCTCAAAATCATTTGATATTGTCAGGCATTTGGTATTAGCCATTATAATAATTGTGTAGTTGTATCTCATCGTTGTCTGAATTTAGAATTATCTCATGACAAATAATGTTGTGTATCTTCTTATTTTTTGCCATATATACATATGTATATATATTCTTTAGTAAAATATCTGCTCAGATCTTTTGTTCATTTTTAATTTTTAAAAAAATTATGTTGAGTTTTAAGATATTTTTAAGATTTTTTGAATGTGTCCTTTCCTTAACCAGATATATATTTTGCAAATATATTGCAAATATATTCTCTCAATCTGTAACTTTTCTTTCATTTCCTTGATAGCGTCATTTACAGAAAAGTTTTCAGCTATAATAAACTTCAAAATATCAATTATTATTTCATGGCTTATTTATTTGGTGTTCTATCACCAAAGGTGAAGTTAAGTAGATTTTTTCTTATGTTTTCTTTTAGAATCTTTACAATTACACAGTTTGCATTTAGTTCTTTGATTCATTTTGAGTTGTGTGTGTCGGGGGGCAAGGTGTGTGTAAAAATTGTAATATCTGTGTCTAGATTCTCTTTCTTTTTTTTTTTCCTTTGGCAAATAGACCTCCATTTTTTTTCCACCACCATGTGTTGAAAAGAACATCCTTTATTCACTGGATTAACTTTACACTTCTCTCAAAGTTCAATGGTGATATTCATGGGGGGCAATTTCTGAGCTTTCTATTCTGTTCTGTTGAAATATGTGCCTATTAGTTCTCACACCTGTAATCATAGCACTTTGGGAGTCCGAAGTGGGAGGATCACTTGAAATCAGGTGTTTGAAACCAGCCTGGCCAACACGGTGAAACTGTGTCTGTACTAAAAATTAAAAAAAAAAAAAAAAATTAGCCGGGCATGGTGGCAGGTGCCTGTAATCCCAGCTACTCGGGAGGCTGAGGCAGGAGAATAGCTTGAACCTGGGAGGTGGAGGTTGCAGTGAGCTGAGGTCACGCCACTGCACTCCAGCCTAGGTTACAGAGCGAGACTCCGTCTCAGCAAAGAAAAAGAAAAAGAAAAAAGAAAAAAGAAAACAAACAAACAAACAAAAAACAGTATTAATCATAGCACTTTTAAAGTAAGTCTTGAAATCAGTAATGTAAGACCTCCAACTTTGTTCTCTTTCAATATTGTGTTTGCTACTCTTGACCTTTTGACTTTCTATAAAGCTGTAGAATCTGTTTGTCAGTGTCAATAAAATATTCTGCTGGAATTTTTATTATACTTGCATTGACTCCATAGATCAAAATAGAAAGAACTGACTTCTTGACAATATTGACTATTACAATCCATAAACATGTAGAGTTCCCTATTTTAGATTTTTTTCCACAATTTTTATATTTTTTCACATATATAGTTTGCACGTATGTTGTAAATATTTCATTTTTGTTGGTGCTGTTGTGAATGGATTTGTTTTTAACATTTCAAATTTCAATTTTTTTTATCGGTTTTGTAGAAGAAACAATTAATGTTTTACATAAACCTTGTATCATGTGACCTTACCATTAAGTCCAACAGTTATATTGTTGATTCTTTGAAATGTTCTAATAGAGAGTCATGTTGCCTGTGAAGCATTTAAATGTTACATTTATTTCTTTTCAATTGGTATAGCTTCTTGTTTTCTTGTCTTCTTACACTAGCTAGGACTTTCATCATAATACTGGGTTGAAGTGGAGAAAGGTACGTTTCTTTTTCCTCTTTTTTTGTCTTAGGGGGCACAGCACCTAGTTTCTCCTCATTATATATGATTACTCATTGGAGGTTTTTATAAATTTCTGCATCAAACTTAGGAGTTTTCAATTTATAGTGTGTTGAAAGTTTTTAATAAGAAGAGAATTTTGATTTTGTCCAAAGTTTTTTAAAATAAACTTATATCATCTTATGTTTTTTTAAAACCTGCTAATGTCATGGATAGCATCCATTGAATTCTGAATGTTGAACTAGCCTTGCATTCCTGGAATTAATCCTACTTGGTTATCATATTTTAGTTGATTTTGAATATGTGTCCTTTGTTAATACGTTGTTGAATTTCATTTGCTGATATTTTTTGAGGATTTCTGCATCTATATTCATATAATATATCAGTTGTTAATTCTCTTGTAATACATTTGTACCTTTTTGGTATTAAGTTAATGCTGGACCCATGGAATGAGTTAAGAAGTTTTCCTTCTACTTCTGATATAAAACAGTTAAACAATCTAGGTATAGTGCATAATTTTGGAATGTTATTCATTATTGATTCAATTTTCTTAGTAGATATAGACCTAGTAAGAGCTTATTTTTCTTTTTGTGTGAGTTTTGCTGATTATTTCAAGAAAGTGGCCTGTTTGCTGTAACTATTTCAATTTGGAGGTACAGAGTTTTTTCAAACATTTTGAAATATTTTTTAAATCATTTTAATGTTTAGAAGATGAAGAAGTAGTCTCATTTTTTTCACATAAAATCGCTCTCTCTTTCTCTCACTCTCTCCCTCTCTCTCCTCTCTCTCTCACACACACACACACACAAACAAACACACATACACCACACAGTTGCTCTCTCTTGCTTGCTCTTTTTTCTAGTTAGTCTAGCTAGGGTTTTATTCATTTTTTTAGCCCTTTCAAAGGACTAGATTTTGGGTTTATTTATCTATTATTTTTCTGTTATCAATATCATTGTTTCTGCTCTCATTTATATTATTAGATTTATTCTACTTTTTTAAAAACTAAATTTATCTTCTTTTGCTAGTTTTCTAGAGACATATACATTTTCTAGATCTTTGTTCTTTTTTATTATACACATTTAAGTACATAATTTTTTTATCTAACTACTGTTATATATCCATTCCCCAAGTATTAATGTTTGATAAATTTTAGTAACATTTTCCCCTAGATTAAAATATATTCAGTTTCCCTTATTTGGCCATTAAGTTCTGTGAATTTTATTATGTAATTTAAAAATATGTTGGAGTTTTTCAACATTTTTGGTATGCTTTTTTTCTTGATTTCTATGTTAAGTTTAATTCAATTAAAGTAGAAAAATATTGCAGTCTAAAAACATACTTTGTATGAGTTTTAATCTTTAAGGTATTTAAGGTATGCCTTAAGTCCAAATGCTGTCTGTCTTAGTAAATATTTAATGTGAGCTTGAACAGAGTGTATATTCTGCTGTTGTTAAATGAAGTATTCTATAAATGTTAATTAGCTCAAGATAATTGAGAGTATTATTCAGATCACATGTACTACATTTTTAAAATATACTCAAATTACTGGAAAAAAAATTTTGAAGTTTCCAGCTTTAGTAGTGGAATTGTCTGTTTCATCTTGCAGTTCTACCCATTTTTGCCTCATATATTTTTATGCTTTGTTGTTAGGTGCATATAAGTTAAGGATTGTTATGTGTTATGAAGAATTGATCCCTTTATCATTTACATAATGCCTATTTTTGCATTTGAGTATTTTCATTGTTCTGATATCAGCTTTGCTTAAATTATTATAGTTATTTTAGCTTTTCTTTGGTTAATGATATCTTTTCTCATCCAAATTCTTTTAACCTCTGTTTTAATATTTAGAATCAATTTCCTTAAACAGCATATAGTTGCAACTTAATTATTTTATTAAATATAAAATTGGATTATTTAATTGGTATATTAAAACCATTCAACCAGGCATGGTGGGTCACGTCTGTAATCCCAGCACTTTGGGAGGCTGAAGTGGGCAGATCACTTGAGGTCAGGAGTTCAAGAGCGCCTGGCCAACAGGGTGAAACCCCATCTCTACTAAAAATAAAACAAATTAGACGGGTGTGGTGGCACGTGCCTGTAATCCCAGCTACTTGAGAGGCTGAGGCAGAAGAATTGCTGGAACCCGGGAGGCAGAGGTTGCAGTGAGCTAAGATCGCACCACTGCACTCCAGCCTAGGAGATAGACCTATACTCCATCTCAAAAAAGAAAACAAAATTAAAAAATATATATATATTAAAATGACTATCTATATAACTAGATTAATATCTGCTATGTTTACAACTATTTTCTATACATTTAATTTGATTTTTGCTTCCCCCTTTCCTCTTTTTCTTCCTTCTCTGTTTTTAATTAACTATCATATTAACCCATTTTATCACCCATCTGATATAAATTATAGTTACTTTTTAAAAAATAGTTAAAAAGTACCACCTGTTCTGACATATAAATGGGAGCTAAATAATGAAAACACAAAGAGGGAAACAACAGATACTGTGACCTACTTGAGGAAAGAGGGTAGGAGGAGGGACAGGATCAGAAAAAATAACTATTGGATACTACGCTTAGTACCTGAGTGAAAAAATAATCTGTGCACCAAACCCTCCTGGCATGAGTTTACCTACATAACAAACCTGCACATGTACCCCTGAACCTAAAATAAAAGTTAGAAAAAGCAAACAAATACTTCTTAGTTTCCATTCTTTCTTCTCCTCCTGGTTTTAAAATTGTTGGATACTCTGTTTTGCTTTTTGTGTGTTTTTTTTTTTTTTGTCTCTCATATTGGGAATTTCTATTGTTCTATTATCAAACTGATTTATTCTTCCATTGGACATGTACATAACTGATTTGCCCATGAAAGCCATTCTTCAATTCTGTTCCAGCATTTTATATTGCCAGCATTTTTTTGATTCTTCTTTGCAGTTTGTATGTTTCTGCTTATATTACCTATTTGTTATTGCATATTGTCAACTTTTCCAGTAGAGCCCTTATTATACAAATTTCATTGATTTATTTATTTAGACAGAGTCTCACTCTGTCACCCAGGCTAGAGTGCAGTGGTGCAATCTCAGCTTGATGCAACTTCTGCCTCCCAGGTTCAAAGGATTCTTGTGCCTCATTTTCCCAATTAGCTGGGATTACAGATGTGTGCCACCACACCTGGCTAATTTTCCTATATTTAGCAGGGATGGGGTTTCACCATGTTGGCCAGGCTAAGGTGATTTGCCTGCCTTGGCCTCCCAAAGTGCAGGAATTACAGGTATGAGCCACCGTGCCTGGCCTATAGTCATTTAAATTCCCTGTGTGATAATTCTAACATCTGTGTCATATCTGAGTCTAGTTCTAATGCTGGTTTTCTCCATTAGGACTTCTTTTTTTTTTTTTTTTTGGCTTTTTGGCATGCCTTCTACTTTTTGGTTGAAAGCTACACATTTTGTATCAGATTTAGGAACTGAGGTAAGTTGCCATTTAGTGTGAAGTTTTATTTCATCTGGCTAAGTGTTTGGCTTTGTTTAATGTTTTCAATAGTTGCAGCTACCATAAGCTTTGAATATATTCAGTGTCTTTGTTTTTGACCTTGGGCTTCACTATATATTCTTCCTCAGCAACAGGCTGAAACTTGTAGCTGTTATTGCACTTTTGTACTGAGCCAATTGATGTGCTGGTAAGTTGTGTGGGAGGTGTGGGAACTGTAATCGTATGAAAAAATCTTAGTCTTTAATGAGTCTGTGTCTCTGGGCTGTAAGCTTCACAAGTTTTTCTCTAGTCCTGTATCCTTCCTTAACCCACCTCCCCAGTTTTAACTTAGCCAGAAAGGCTAGACCATGCTAGAATATGAGGATAAATTCCCCACAGTTGGAATAAGACTCTGGTATTGTATTTTCCTTGGAGAGCAGATTTTGTTATGGAAAAAGTTCTGGGTATAGTCTCTAATGATCACTCTTCCCTTACCCTTGCTAGATACATAAGAATATAATCTCATTTTTATTTGTAAGAACATAATGGAGTTCATGGAGAAAATCTCATGAAAATGTGGGATTCGTTATAAGGTTGGAGCAACCAGTTGTTTCTTTCTTCCATTTTTATCCACACTTGCCTTTGAGATATATGTCAAAATCAATATTTAATTGTCCTACTAGTTTAGGGCTCTAGTGGCTTCTGTCCCAGGTAGGCAGATCTCACTGTGATTATCTGCATTTTTCCATCTTTCCAAACTTGCGGGTGATAGTCTGCTGTGCAAGTGTAGTTCTCTGATATATCCAAGAAGAGCTGTTGCTTTTCAATTAGTTCAGCTTTTATCTTGTTGTAAGTATGGAGTGACAACTTCTAAGCTCTTTACATTTTTCAAATGAAGCTGGTTCTCCAGAGTACATTTTTGAGGATAAAATTTTCTTGATTGGTATTACATTAAATTAAAGGTAATCTCTCTTACATTGCATCAGGGATTTCAAACAAATCTCTAGATTCAAAATTAGGACAGTTCCTCTTCCTTATACACTCTTTCAAATATTAAAGATAATGTTTTCTCCCCAGTCCTTTATTTTCCTCACCACAGTTACTATTCCTACAGATATTCATTACTCACGTGTCTTCCTTGTATCAATAATGTGCTGGAGCTGACTTTTATCAGTCTAGGAAAGCTGATTCTTAAATTTTCAGAAATCGTTGTGAGCTGGTTGTCAAGAACATCATTATTAAAAGTGGAATAATATGCATTTAAAATTCAATATTTAATTATTGTTTATAAATGTTATGACATATTTCCTTTATATTAGTAACATTTTAATAGAATTATGTATGTAAATATAAATATAATTTTCTTTTCAGATTTACAGTTGTTATGTATTTGCGCACCATATCCCTGTACTGTGCATGCACTTTAATTACTAATGTCCTGCATTATATGAGATCCAATAAGAATAACGAAACCCTCAGGACACCTCTCATTGCTAAATAAATAAGCTATTGTCCTTTTTACAAATGTAAACCCTCTTTAGAAAGGTTTAAAGTAAATTCAATGAGCATTGGATTGCATTAGATTTGTTTCTCAGAAAGCTTTCTCTCTGTCTCTACCTCCCACTGTCACTCAAACATGATTGATAGAGAATTTGAGTAATACATTCAGTGTTACCCACTCTAACTATAATGAAGCAAATCAGGTTTTATTTTCTTGGTAGTACAGATTAAATGTGTTTCCTACAGTCCCATTTTCAGTCTTTTATACAAGTTCAAACATATTGACTAGACCTTTAAGCTTAATCTATAACTCTTAATAAGTCAATATATACAAAGAGTGATAACTAAAAAGGACAGGATAGCATTTGTCTTAGAACAGAAATCTTTTAGTTATTAAATATTCTTTAGGGCCTAATTGGTTTTTCTAAGGTGACATTTCAGGTTAAATAATTAATATATTTAAATTTAATTTTAGATTTTTAGGCATTATAAATTATTTTAGATGAGCTAAATATATCTTTTTTGTTGTGATGTTTCAAAGGTCAGTAAGTGAATTTTCAATCTTCTAAGATCATTTTTCCAATGTTGTAAGCAGCACAAAGTCAAATGATCTTCGATACATTTCCTTTAATTAATTGAAATTGCTGTCAACCTATTGGATATTCAGGAGATTATATTTTACCAAGACCAGCATATATAATCAACTTTTCAAGATATCTATTTGTATAAAATATGTTTTCTTTTACTTTCTTAAATAATTTATTGCATACATTAAATACCAATCCTTTATTATTCTTTACTAAGATATTTAACTTTAAGGCTACTTTTCTGAAATTATCAATATAAAATATGCTTATGAATTACTATTATTTATTGTTATCATAATAACAGCTCAATATTGCTCACAGTAATTTACTTATTGTTTAGTAAACCAAGGTTTTCAGTGCTTTTCTTACTAGGACTTTGTTTTCTGGTTTGTCTTAGGATAGTCAGTGTGAAAGGGTGACTCCTTATTCTCTTTCCTGTGAACATTATACTTCAATTAGTGTTACTCAAAATGGCATTATATTTATGGCAAAACTGGCTTATATTTACTATATTAAACAATCAATAAACATTGTTACAGATTGTTCTCAACAATGAAAGCCACATTTCTAAGTTGCTCTTACAGAGTTTTTCACAATTAATAGTTATATGGGTGTCTATTTTGTCTTCCAAGCTTGTTTCCTTGGAAGCAGATTCTGAGAAAGAGATAAATATATAGAACATGTTTAAAAAACACTTTTGAGATCAACATTTGAGGAAAAGAAAGGAAGAAAAGATTTGGCAAAACAGAAGCTTACATTCTATTCAGGCACAACGAATGCCTCGGCTGACAATGTAATGCTCCTGACAGTGTAATGCTCAGGAGATGGGATGTTCCTTCAGAGTTGTACCAGGTTGGAGCAAAGACTAGGACTTTATACATAGCATGAATCAGCCACTGTACATAGGCGAGTACTCATTTTCTATGGGGGAGCAGGCAGATAGAACAGATAAAGAATGTTTCTGACAGCAGACTTAGCACCTAAGAAAACAAGTCCTTCATTCCTCAGGAGAAATATTGGAGGTAAATCACAGTGCCCATCGCAATCTGCATTTTGTGTCTACAGATCCACATTCTTGCATAGGTTCTAGAAGTGGCTCCTCCGGGACTCAACTGTGTCTTTCTTCTTGAGAGATAGAGGAGAGTTACTGCATGAACCCCAGGCCCCACTGCTACAGCTGGTCTTGAAGCCACAACTAATGTTATTTGCCTACCTTTTCTACTTCTTTTTTTACATTTCCCTCACTCTAAGCTACACTTCTGCTGGGCAGTAATGACATACTAGGGCCATGACCAACCCTCATCCCAGAGCAGAATGAGCCCATGGTCCCTTGGCCTTTCTGAGGATCGAGTTGCTGCACTTACATATTTTCTACCAAAATTGGGCAAAAGGACACCAGGAGGCACCCATATAGAGCATGCAGGTGCTAAATATATCTATCTTTTTCCATCCCAGTTGGGTAATAGCAAAAATACATTTTCCTGGTGCCCACAGCCAATTAGTCCTGCCAAGATGCTGCCTCTTCTTTTGCCTGCTTCTTCCTTGACATAAGGAATCCAGGCATAGGCAATGGATCACATTATGTAATTGTTTTCCCTTTGATAACAAGAACCTCTAAACCTACAGAGTGAAGAATTAGGGAACATACACAAATTCCTCAAGTAGGTCATTGGGATAATTGTAAGTAGAGACAACTGCTGCTTTCAACCTGTTCGAATACTTATAATTGCTTTGAATCAAGCAGATCACACAAGATAAAGCCCTTTGATTCAAGATGTATATTCCATCCTGGAGGACAGAGCCCCCTTCTGGTCTAATATAATCTACCCACTGGCCCATGCTGTGCCTTCTCAACAGGTCGTCCGTCATTCTTTCAGGCCAGTATCATCAAGATGGCACAATACGATCTACATTTCCACTTTCTGAATTGATAAGTGTATTAAATGTTGTGGTCGTGAACCCTTTCTGCTATCTTCTTTATGGTAACATAGGTCCCTCTCTCTTACGTGGATCTATCTATATAGGATATTGATATTTTGGTTAAACGGACTATTTTTCAGTCCAGCATCACCACGTACCTAACTTGCTGAGTCAACTCAGACTCCACCACTAACAATAAAAAGGCCTAATAAGCCTCAATTGCCAAATTAAAATAATATGTTTTAGGATATGGCCAGCCTAGGCCAGCAGAATTACAGGTTAACAACAACAAAAAAAAAAATGTCAGCCGCCCTGCGTGGTGGCTCATCCCTGTAATCCCAGCACTTTGGCAGGCTGAGGCGGGCGGATCACGAGGTCAGGAGATTAGCCATCCTGGCTAACACGATGAAAACCCGTCTCTACCAAAAATACAACAAATTAGCCGGGCGTGGTGGCACACGCCTATAGTCCCAGCTACTCGGGAGGCTGAGGCAGGAGAATCGCTGGAACCCAGAAGGTAGAGGTTGCAGTGAGCCGAGATAGTGCCACTGCACTCCACTCCAGCCTGAGCGACAGAGTGAGGCTCCGTCTCAAAAAAGAAGAAAAAAGAAAAGTGTCAGCTCTGCTTTTGGGAAAAACTTAAAAAAAAAAAAATTCTACCTGAAGAAAGCAACACACAAGAAAACAAACAAGGCCGGGTGCAGTGGTTCAAGCCTGTAATCCCAGCACCTTGGGAGGCCAAGGCGGGCGGATCACGAGGTCAGGAGATCGAGACCATCCTGGCTAACACGGTGAAATCCCGTCTCTACTAAAAATATAAAAAATTAGCCGGGCGTGGTGGCGGGCGCCTGTAGTCCCAGCTACTTGGGAGACTGAGGCTGGAGAATGGCAGAACCCGGGAGGCGGAGCTTGCAGTGAGCTGAGATGGCGCCACTGCACTCCAGCCTGGGCTGCAGAGTGAGACTGTCTCAAACAAACAAACAACAACAAAAAAGAAGACCTCAGCTTATAGAGGCTCCCCTAAATGTTTGAATGTATTCATAAGTAAAAAGCTGATGACGCCCATTGTCTTGCTCCAAGGACAATTCTGGGAGACCTACTGTAGTCAGAGCTAATCAGCACAATAAGCTGATTGAAAAGGTATGACTCTTGCTTCAGAAATCCTTCTGTAGATCATACATGATATATATTTTACTGACTCTTGAGTTGTTGGCAATAGCATAGCTTACTGGCCTATTACTTGGAAGATGATAGTCAGATTAAGATATCCCTCTTTGGTGATGTGAAGTGTGGAAACAAATTATGGCTATTGATAGCATAGCCTGGGTACTCAAGCAGATGCCCATGATGAAAGCCAATTATCTAATGAGACTGAGTGGTTTCAAACTGCTGATCAAGACTCCGCTTTTCAGATTGCCATCCTTGCTTCCTGGATCAAATACCTCACCCGACAGGACAACAAAATGTTGACTGGATCAGCATAAAAATCTTTGTGTCAGATATTTAATTCCCCACTGCATGCCATATTTGTGGCTTCTACGAAACTCTAGATTGTTATGCAGTGAAAGAGGTCACGTGGCACAGGGCATTGTTGTTGCCTGATCCCGGAAAATTGACTACATCAAACCCTTAAGCTTATCTCAGGACTATCATTCATGCCTCCCTACTGTTGATACTGTTGCTTTTATAATCCAATCAGCAGACCCAAGCTACACCATTACAACACTTCAGAATAAACCGTTTTAGGCTTTAAGATTTATAAGCCATTTACAATCTGACAAAAAGGTGCCTTTCGTCTCAAATTCCACTCAATAAAGGGCCAAAAGTAAAAGGAATTTGATGAACATTCCGTGTTTCTTATCATTCACAGACATCTGGTATTGTTGAGCAGCTCCTCGCAAATCAGTACAAAAACTCTTTTTTGTCTTGGTCTCTTTTCTGTGCAAAGATTTTAATAAAGTTAATTTGATTACTGAGGGTGGTATGCCCATAAAGATATAATTTTCTCTTGGCCACAGTGTCGCGAATGATCAGGCACAAAGCAGATCGGGTATAGGAAGACTTATTTTAAAAATTTATTGTTATAACATGAGCATTTTTACATATAATGCCACTTTTTTCTCCTGGCAACAATCTCAAGACAGCCAGGTAAACATAACCTTCTGGAAAACAGCCCAGGGAAAAGGGGCTTGAGGGAATAAAACTTACCTTCAGTTCATTCACCTGGTTCTCATGCTAGATTGACATCATCCTAGATTACAGACAATGAATACTTGGTAGTGTGTGCCATTTGTCAGGTTCCCCAGCAGTGTCCCACACAGGCCAAAGAGAGATTATGAATCTTTATCAATTTTTATTAGAACCTCCTTGATCCTTTTGAATCTGACTAGTTAGATGAAAGGTCTCAGTGAGAGAAGGGGACTGTTAGAGAAATAGTAGGCTTATCATTGACTGGGACAGTTTATGCCAACTGTGTGACACATGGGAAAGGAATGCATTAAGCTCACAAGGTGAAGAGCAAACTAGGCATTGAAGGCTAAAGAATTCTACCTTCTTCCTGAGTCAAGCAGTAGCTGTAGTTGGCAATTAAACCTGCTTCTTGGATTAAAACCCCATTCACCTTCTATGAAAACTCAAACTGCTACTACTACTACTACTACTACTACTACTACTACTACTACTACTACTACTACTTCTAATAATAATAATAAACTTCCTGATCTATCATGCTGTGTCTGGTACCATCACCAGTCTCTCCTAAATGTGGATCTCCCTAGTATGTGTACAACATGACACAAGACCAGCTTTGTTTAAATCTACCTGATACAAATCCATATACTTTTTGCCTAAGCAGTGTAGGTTTATGCTCTATGTGGCTACTGGGCTGCAACCACAAATTGATAATTACATGGCTTACCCTAAACAATGTTTGGCAATCCAAATCCAGTTTCAATAAGAAACGCTGAGCCAACATGAGCTGTGCCCCTTCAGGTTATATGTTCTATAAAGATTGAGTGGTGCATGGGATATTTCTTCAGGGGAGACAAATGTTGCTTTTTGGGCTATTGTTCCAGAGAATTTTTGGTAGCGTCACCAAAGATTGTCAGGTCCCCCTTCCATCCATTGTAAAGGATAATAGACTTAACTTATAGTACATGGCAAAGCCTCCCTCCTCCCCACCCCCATTTTGCATTTTGGATCTATGAACAGTTTGCTGTGTCTTCATCCTTGGGGAGGGCAGCTTAGAAAACTCAACACTGTGGTTTGGCCTCATTTGGCTGGCCTCATTTGGCTCATTTTTGAGTCCTATTGACAGTAGCCTTAATTAAATGCTATATAGAACAAATTAAATGGATTTTGTCCCAGCACCTTCTGGTCAAATTAATAAGAATACTTGATGGAATGACACACTCATGTTAAAATTCAAGTTATTCAAAAATCTCTCAGGCTAAGGGATGGAATTTTGGAAGATGCAATCAGTTATGAGACTTGAATCCTTGCATTTTCTCACTGAGAATGCCAAGACTGAAGGCCCTGACTGCTCCTTGTCCAGCCATTCCTCAGCATTTTCTTTGCAGCATATAAAGAGTGCTTGCTAATAGTCCACTATTAAAGAATTGGACTCCCTAAGCTCATAATTCCTTATGTGTGATACAAATCCACAATTTGTGTATCATTCATCTGTGCTTCTCTGCCTAGGACCCATAAAATTGGTTGGGGGTAGGATGCAGGGGGTGGAGGAATGAGGAGATGACTCAAGATGAAGCTCATAGCACTTGGTGTGTCATAAGTAGTAAAATCTTTATTTCTGACCCAAGAGTATTGAGTCCTCTTCCAGTATTCACAAAATAGTGAGTGACAGGCTAGCCTCTAGACTATAAGCAAGAGTCTTAAATACCTTGCTTTCTAAGAGATGGCATTAAAATGAGGAGAGACGTTAAGACGATTTTAGATAATCACAAGTGCTCTACACCATAATAAAACAGAAATGATGACATGGAATGTAATTGGAAGGGCCATTAAGACAGTATCATAGGAAAATATTCTCTGAGTAGGTGATATTTGAGTTGAGACTTAAATTGAAGTAGAGAACGAGCCCCTCAAGCCACATTCTGCGAAAACAGCATTGGAGAAAAATGGAACAGTATGGAGAAAAGTCTTAAGGCAGGAACATGTTTGACATGTTTGCAGAATAGAAAGAAGGGCAGAGTCACATATCAGAGTGAACAAAGAGGGGAATGAAGTTATGCAATTTTTATTTTCAAAAGAACACCTTAGTCACTATGTAGTAAATGAATTACTCTGGAGTTAGGAAGAGGCTACTTAAGAAGACTTGATGGAAAGAACTTGCATTTCCCTGAATAGACCAATAACAAGTTCTGAAATTGAATCAGGAATAAAAAGCTTGCCAACCAGAAAATGCCCAGGTCCAGATGGATTCACAGTCAAATTCTACCAGATATATAACAAGGAGATAGAATCATTCCTACTGAAACTATCCAAAAAACTGAGGAGGAGGGACTCTTCCCCAACTCATTCTATGAGGCCAGCATCATTCTGATACCAAAACCTCGCAAAGTTACAACAAAAAAAAATGAAAATTTCAGGCCAATATCTTTGATGAATACAGATGAAAAAAATCCTCAACAAAATAGGGGTAGAAAACCGAATTCATCAGCACATCAAAAATTTAATCTACCACGGTCAAGTAGGCTTTTTCCTGGGATGCAAGATTAGTTCAACATATGCAAATCAATAAATTTGATTCAGCACATAAACAGAACTGAAAACGAAAATCACAAGATTATCTCAATAGAGGCAGAAAAGGCTTTCGATAAAATTCAGCATCCCCTCATGTTAAAAACTCTCCACAAACTAGGCACTGAAGGAACTTCAAAATAATGAGAGCCATCTATGACAAAGCCACAGCCAACATAATACTGAATGGGCAAAAGCTAGAAGCATTTCCCTTGAGAATCAGAACAAGACAAGGATGCCCACTCTCATCACACCTATTCAACTTTTACTAGAAGTCCTAGCCAGAGAAATCAGGTAAGAAAAAGAAATGAAAGGAATCCAA
Source organism: Homo sapiens (assembly GCF_000001405.40). Classification (NCBI taxonomy): domain Eukaryota; kingdom Metazoa; phylum Chordata; class Mammalia; order Primates; family Hominidae; genus Homo; species Homo sapiens. Next base: position 66,996,292 of record NC_000018.10, read on the forward strand.
ATAGGAAGACAGAAAGTCAAACTATTTCTGCTTGGTCAAAATATGATTTTATACTTAGAAAACTCCATAGTCAGCTGGGTGTGGTGGCTCACGCCTGTAATCCCAGAGCTTTTGGAGGCCGAGGCAGGCAGATTGTCTGAGGTCAGGAGTTGGAGACCAGCATGGCTAACATGGTGAAACCCCGCTTCTACTAAAAATACACACACACACACACACACACACACACACACAAAGCCAGGCAAGGTGGTACACACCTGTAGTTCCAGCTACTTGGGAGGCTGTGGCAGGCGAATTGCTTAAACCCTGGAAGCAGAGGTTGCAGTGAGCTGAGATCATGCCGCTGCACTCCAGCTTGGGCGACAGAGCAAGACTCTGTCAAAAAAAAAAAAAAAAAGAATACCCCATATTCTCTCTCCAAAAGTCCTAGAGCTGATAAACCACTTCAGTAGAATATTTAGTGGCATTTCTATACACTAATGATTGCCAAATCAAGAACACGATCTCATTCACAATAGCCACAAAAAATAAAATACCTAGGAATAAGCTAACCGGGGAGGTAAGAGATCTCCACAACAAGAATTACAAAACACAGCTGAAGCAAATCAGAGATGTCATGAACAAATGGGAAAACATTACATGCTCATGAACAGGAAGAATCAATATTGTTAAGATGGATATACTGTGCAAAGCAATTTACAGATTCGATGTTATTCCTATCAAACTATCAAGAACATTCTTGACAGAATTGGAAAAATATATTCTAAAATTCATATAGAACCAAAAAGGAGCCCCAAGAGCCAAAACAATCCTAAGCAAAAAGAGTAAAGCTGGAGGAATCACATTACTTGAACTCAGACTATACTACAAGGCTAAAATCCAGTAACAAAACTGCATGGTACTGGTACAAAATTTTACAAATAGATCAAAGAAGCAAAATAGAGAGCCCATAAAGAAAGCCACACACATACGAGCACCTGATCTTTGACAAAGTTGACAAGAAGAAGCAATGAAGAAAGGACTCTCTATTCAATAAATGGTGCTGGCATACCAGGCTAGTCATATGCACAAGATTGAATCTGGACCACTTCACCTCACATACAAAAACCAACTCAATATGGATTAAAGACTTAAACATGAAGCACAAAACTATAAAAATTCTTGAAGAAAACCTAGGAAATACCATTCTAGACATAGGCATCGAGAAAGATTTCATGAGGAAGACACCAAAAGCAAAAATTGACAAATGGGACCTAATTAAACTAAAGTGTTTCTGCACAGCAAAATAAACTACCAACAGAGTATATAGACAACTGAAAAATTGGGAGAAAAGATCTGAAAACTATTCATCTGGCAAAGGTCTTATATCCAGTGTCTATAAGGAGCTTAAACAAATTAACAAGAACAAAACAACCCTATTAGAAAGTGGGCAAAGGACAGACACTACAAAACAAGGCATATCTATGGCCAACAAATATATGAAACAAAGCTCAACATTATATTCATTAGAGAAATGCAAAGCAAAAGCAAATGAGATATCATCTCACACCAATCAGAATGCCTATTACTAAAAAGTCAAAAAATAACATATGCTAGTGAGGCTTTGAAGAAATGAGAATGCTTACACACTACTGGTGAGAATATAAATTAGCTCAGCCACTGTGAAAAGCAGTTTGGTGATTTCTCAAAAAACTTAAAACAGAGCTACCTTTCAACCAGCAATCCCATTGCTGGGTATATACTAATAGAATATGTTATCATTCTAGCATAATGACACATGTGTGTGTATGCTCATCACAGCACTATTCAAAATAGTAAAGACAACTGAGCACAGTGGCTCACGCCTGTAATCCAAGCACTTTGGGAGGCTGAAGTGGGTGGATCATCTGAGGTCGGGAGTTCAAGACCAGCCAGACCAACATGGTAAAACCCTGTCTCTATTAGTAAAAGCACAACACAAAAATTAGCTGGGCATAGTGGTGTGTGCCTGTTATCCCAGCTACTCTGGAGGCTGATGCAGGAGAATAGCTTGAACCCGGGAGGTGGAGGTTGCACTGCACTCCAGCCTGAGTGATGGAGTGAGACTACTTTTCAAAAAAAAAAATTGCATTAGTAAAGACATAGAACATAGAATCAACCTAAATGCCCATCAATGGTAGACTGTATAACGAAAATATAGTACATATACACCATGGGGTACTATATAGTCATAAAAACGAATGAGCTAACATCCTTTGCAGCAACATGGATGGAGCTGGAGGCCATCATCCTAAGCAAATTAACAGGAACAGAAAACTCAGTACCACTTGCTCTCACTTACAAGTGAGAGCTAAGCACGAGTACATACACATGAAACAAGGAAAAAATAGACACCAGGGCCTACTTAAAGGTGGAGGATAGGAGGAAGATGAGAATCAAAAAACTGTCTGTTGGGTACTATGCTTATCACCTGGGTGATGAAATATGTACACCAAACCCCCATGACATGCAACTTGTCTATAGAAACAACCTGCATATGTACTCCTGAAACTAAAATAAAAGTAAAAAAACAAAACCAAACAACAGAAAAAACACTTGGAAATAGAAATGGCATTAATATCTTTCTTCTTTTAGTTCCATTAACACTAAAATTTACAAAAGCATTGAAATAAATTTATTAGGTCAATGTATTCAGTTTCTTGAACATGTCAAATCATACCTAGTACATTTGTGTTCCCACAAAATAAGACATAATATTGAATACATAATCTTTATGTGTTCCCTCAAATAAAGTGATTTATAAGTTTAAAGTAAGAAAGAAAGAACTTGTTCTGCTGTATGTTATAATTGAAACAAAAATGGAACAGGACACATTTTTGTGGTAGAGCTAAGAGCATTTGTCAATGAATTGAATGTGGTTTGAAGAAAGAGAAATTAATGATTAGCCCACAGTGATTGGCTTGAGTGTTTGTTTGAATATTTGTATAATTTATAAATGGAAAAGGCCAGAAGAGCAGGAAATATGGAGGACTGAGATCAAGAGGCTTTTCATTTTTAATTTGTTTGGGGCCTTGTTAGAATAAATATACAAAGTAATCAGTTAGCCAATATGTAATAAAAATAAAATGGAAAAAAAAGTTTTGAATGTTGATATTACTCTCTTCCTTTTCCTGCAACCATTGTGACATTTTTTACAGATCTTTTAATATTGTTTGCATCATAGCTGAATATATGTGTTTGCAATATTTATACACTATGAGGAGATATTAAGCATTTTATTCTATTTATACTGATAAAATATTGAAAATGATTTAAAAAAACAAAATATTGCACAGCTTCAGAATTTATCAAGAGGGTAACACTAAAAATGCATTAGATACAACAGTCCATATAAGAATTAATGCAGTGGTTTACAGTAAAGTAAATGTCATAGAGCATGCTGCCTGTTCAGCCCTGCTTTCCATTGCCTTCTGCATTAACCTTTTCCTTGATTACCCAAGGAAGTCCAACTTTTGTTTTTCTAATTTATTTAGTTACTCTTAAATATCTACGAATTTATTTCTCCAATCAAAAATCGTTCTAAACTTCATAGAAATTCCAGAGAACATTTTATTAATCAATAGCATCTTCACCTCAATTTTATAGTTAGATCATAGACTTGTGACATGTATTTTGTAAGAAGGCACTAAGAAAATGGAAAGGAAGCCAGCTATTGTAAAATACCATTTTCCCAGAGAGTATGGACAGAATTTCCACGTTATTGATTGTCTTCCTTTCAATAATCCTGTCTCATATGTATTGTTAGCTTTATTTAACTGATGGAGAAAAGCTTGCATCTCCTGACCATGGCTGATGATTTTCATTTTGCTCTGCCTTGTTTCAAAGACTCTACTCTTTTCACTAAACCACCGTGTGTTAGCTGACTTGTATGGATAATGCACAAAAATTCCACGGTGCAGAGTACAGACGGACATGTAAATAATCACGACAATGGAAGCCTGCCTTTGCTTTTAAATGCCATTTTACCTTACATATTTTGGGCCCCTTGGAGTCTGCTGCTTTCAAAGTATAATCACAGATAACCATTATAAAAGGGTAAGGCCATGGTGAACAAAATGTATTATTTTGCCATATGTCTACAAAATATGGAGATTGGATGCATGTTTAGTCTCCTCTCTTATCTGGGGGTCTGTGATCCTTTGAAATCTGTAGGGAACCAGATCTGCTTTGCCATCATCATACAGTTCAGGTATATGCTGAGTAGACAAGGACACTGCTCAAGGCATTTCACAAGTTGTTCTTTCAGTGTGGAAATCATTCAGGCTCTGCGCCACCATCCTTCGTACCCTTTCGTCCTGTAAGTGGCATTTCACCAGGTATTTCTCTTCCTCCTCTGTAGTCATTGTTTTATCCAGCACTCTTCTTCTGCACTCACATATTTATTTGATGCTGAAAATGCTGCAGACCGTGGGTGACAACCTTTTTGCCACCAACACTAATAATTAAGAACAGGTGCTACACGTCCTCATTTTTGTCATGAGAAAATCTTCATACTATTTAATATTGCAGCACATACCTTAGCTTCTTTCACAGAACCAACCAAAAAATCTCCCAAGTACCTTAATAAAAACAGTTCTGTTGGACTGGCATATGCTTACATTATATGCTATGCTTCAAATATTATGGTAGTTTGTCGTATGACAGATATTTTCCCTAAAATAGCATCTGCGATAGAAAATGATTAGTTTTCCCTCTTTTTAGAATTATCTAAATAGATAATATTGGGAGCAGGTGAATAAAAATATTTAAAGCATTATGTGGCTTTGGGGTAATATATAATTGTTTGGATGCTTACATCTTGGTTGGAATATTAAGTGCTAAAGGTACTGTGGGTCCACGAAATATAAATAAAAGAGCTGACTTCAGCTAATGACTCACTTTCGAGCATGGCTCTTTGACAGGTTTTATTGGTAACTGAAAAAAATGGCAAAGCAATTTTATGACTGTGCTTGGAGAAAAGAGCCCCGTCCATAACGTGAAATCAGCCAACAAAGCATTTTTGCTAGGATTACTCCAAACCCCAAAGCAATAGGCCAATGCATTTTTTAAAGTTTCCTTGTTATTTATTTATTTTTAAACTTCACTGGAAATCATCACAGTCCACAGAAAGCAAGATACTGGTAACACAACCATAATGAATCATTTAAACAGCTTTTAAAAAAAAGAACAATAAAGGCCACATGCCAGATTATCTGCCATGCAATAATTATACACGAAAGAAACAGTATTTTCTGATAGACGATAAGAAAATTGAGTTGTGTCTGTTTTTTTCCTAATACAGTAGAAATTGTGTGACTACAGAGTTTACTGTGTTGGGAAAAAATTATTTGGACACAGAAGAAAAACACTGGGGAAAACATGTATTTATTCTGCATGCAACTGACCATTCTGGTATTCATATTAATTTAGTATTTCTGCGCCTTGTGAATTTATGTTTTAGACTTAAAGGCAGAGCATTTATGCCTTTCTCAGAACTTAGCAGAGTATTTCAAAAAATGTCAGTACTCTTAAAATTTTACTAACTCTAATCCTTTTTCAGTATAATTTCATATTGTTTTATAGACTATGATTAAGTGAATCTATGCAACCCCACATTCATAGAATGTTCTTGAGTGTCATTCATTGTTCTCCTGTGCATTTCTTGCCATACTTTCTCTTTTCCAATACCTTCATGATGACTTTCTCTTTCCTCAACTTATGTTTGTCCAGCCTCCATACTTCTTTCTTTCACAAAATTATCTTCCCACTTGATACAATTTACCTCAATATACCATTTTCCCTACATTTCAATCATTGTTTCCTAATTTCCTACTTTTTTCTATCACTTTTTTTATGTTATTTTCCACTGGTTTCCAAGCTTTTATTACATCTGTAGACTACAGTGTTTTTTAAAATGAAGCATTGTTTAATGAGCAACAACAGTAAATTTAGAATAGTTCAACTGTCTCATTCTTCTTTCACGTAGGGATTAGCTTTTGCTGAATTACAATCCACTCTAAACATCAGTGGTTTACTAGAATGTCATCTGATATTGCAGAAAAGTTTCTTGGTTAACTAAGAGCTCAGTTATCTTGGCATAGGGCGACAGCTCTTCCACACACCTTGACTCTACCTGGTCTTGGCTCCTTACTCAGGTTTGTGTTCAGGTATCAACCACAGATGCTTATTCTATCACTTTCTGCCTAGAAGCTACTTGTATGTAGTCTAAAAATATGCCAAGTATATATTTTCTTTAAAAAATAACTACATATGACAATTTTCCCAAATATTTTGGTTAGTCATTTTCCCAAATAGTTTGGGTTAGTCATTTTCCCAAACATTTATAAAAATTTCATACTCATTATCCAGCCTTTTATTTGGTTTCTCACGTCTAGCCACACTGCTCCAAAATAAATGCTCCTGATAAATATAGGTTTCCGCTACAGCAGCAACCCACTTCCAGGTATTAATTTCTGTATTAGTTAGCTTTTTTTGTGTAACAAACTATTTCAAAATTCTGTAGCTTTAGACACATACTTTATTCCACATTCAATTTTGGGTTGACTGGGCCAGGTAATCTAGGCTGAGACTAATTTGGAGGTTCTTCAAGCTATGAACCTGTCTAGGTTTGGCTCTTATCTGAGTTTAGGCTCAAGTCTACCCCAAATATGCTTAATCTGGGGATCACACTGGGTTAGTGTGTAGCATCTCAGTGGACATTTAAAAAAGACAAAGGCATCAAAAGGCAAGCAGAAATACACAAGAGTTCTTAAAGTCTAGCATCTTAACTAGCTCCCTTTCACCATAAACTATAGGTGACCACCAGACTCTTAGGTCGACTTGTGCTAAGGGACCTGCAGGCAGGTAGGTTATCATCTTGGTAGGGTTAACAGATAATGATCATTAATTAAAAGCAGACCTGTTACTACAGACTGAAGGCAGAAATAACTACGTTTGGTACCATTTTGGACCGCTTGGGTGTTCTTGATACTCTATAGTTCAAATTTAATGATAGAAGACAAGTGCAGTAAACCTGGCCTGAGAACGGTCTGACATGAAGTTCAGGGTCACATTACCAGTTAAGTCACTGACACCAGCAGAGTGCAATCATGGCTACTGCAGCCTCAACCTCCTGGGCTCAAAGATATGCTGCTGCCTTAGCCTCTTGAGTAGCTGTGATCACAGGGGCATGCCACTATGGCTGGCTACTTTTTTTTTTTTCTTTGTAGATAAGAGGTCTTGCCCTTTTACCCAGACTGATCTTGAATTCCTGAACTCAAAGGATCCTCCTGCCTTGGACTCTAAAACTGTTGGCAATACAGGTATTAGCCAGCATGCCCACCCTGTAAGTTTTTTTTTTTTTTTTTTTTTTTTTTGAGATGGAGTCTCACTCTGTCTCCCAGGCTGGAGTGCAGTGGTGCTATCTCAGCTCACTGCAAGCTCCGCCTCCCAGGTTCACGCCATTCTCCTGCCTCAGCCTCCTGAGTAGCTGGGGTAAATTTGTATTTTTAAGCTTAAATTATAATATGTTTCTTTGTGTGTACCCAAGTAGATGATTTTCTCCTTTTCTAAACCAGTTCCTATACATCTGCAAAAGATAAGTTTATGGAGATGGTTGTTTAGTACACCTAAAACTATATGTTAATTTTCTCTAACAAAGATCCCATATATTGCACAGAACAGAATCTGCTATTGGAGATATATCTTGGTTGTTTTTGTGGAGCTACAGTCAACATACATCCAACTACCAGCTTTGATGCCATGTTTGGTTTGGGGTGAAGTTTTTTGCTGATATTGGAGATGCAAATTCAACCATTTATTGCAATTTTAAAAATTAGGAAAATCAAATCAAATATTATTAATATATTTACCATTTATTGAGTACAGTGACACAAGAACTGTGCCAACTCTGTTCTGTATATTGTATCTTTTTCTGCAATATTACACAAAACATTCCACCTCTGTCTCCATGGATCTCCAAGGATGGCACTGATTTCTGTCATTTGTCTAGATTGTGACATTGATTTTCATCTACTCTCTTCATTGCAAAAGAGAAAATTTTAGAGAATTCCATTTAGCCTGTAAGAGATTTTTTTCCTTTGAAAATAATATGGTTATAGGAAAGATTTAATTGAAGTTGTCAAAATTATAAATTCTCTAACAATAAGATGAATCTTTGAAAAGAGTAAAGATTTTTTGTGGTTTTCTATAATGCAAACAGGTGTTATTAAATATTTTAACAATATGATTTTAATAGTTTTGAATAAAGTTAGTTTGTAGATCCACAAATTTAATAAAATGAATTCATCAATTAATACACGAATATGTCAAAATTATTTAATTTTAAATTGCATAACACTGTTTGCATTCTAAACAAGTTTTAACTTGAGAATGACATGGTATCACTATTTATAGATTCCCATACCTCTTCTTCTCTAGGGTTTCTCAATTTCTATTGATATAAAATAATTAAGAAGTAATTAGAGCACTCAGAAAATGCATTATGTTTGCAAAATTACTGTAATTCAAGCTATGATTTTAATTTCTTGCAGAACTACCTACCTTGATAAATGTTTCAAGGACAGTCCCTGACAGAAAGATTTAAAGTTTAATTTATCGTCTTTAAAGATGATAAACTGTCTTTCCTAAATCACAGAGTCTCTTTGACTGCTAAGGAACCACTCACAACCCTATACATACAAGTTTTCTTATCAACTAATCAGAGAACTGTGGCTCTCAAACTTGTGAAACATGAATTTTGAGATCAAATTATCTGTCACTTACAATTTGTTCATACCCTTTGACCAAAATTAATCACCCCTTTCTACCTCCTACCCCTAATTCCTGATAACCACTTTTCTACTCTATGTTTCTATGAGTTCAGCTTTTTTGTTTCCACCTGTAAGTGGGATCATGCAATAGTTGCCCTTCTGGGTCTGGCTTATTTGACTTAGTATAATTCTTCCAGGTTCATCCATGTTGTGACAAATGACAGGATTTCCTTATTTTTTAATTAATTTTTAAAATTTTACTGTTTATTTTTATTTCATTTGTTTTTTATTGATATATCACAATTGGACATATTTTGGGGGTACATGCAATATTTTGATATGTGTATACAATGTGTAATTATCAAACCTGGGTAATTGGAATATCTGGGACCTCAAATATTTGTGTTTCTTTGTATTGGAAACATGACAATTCATCTCTTCTACCTATTTTGTAAGGTACAATAAATCCCTGTTAACTGTAATTTCCCCACCTTACAATGGAATAGTAGAACTGACTCCGATCTAATTGTATCTTTGTATCCATAATCAAATTCTCTTCAACCTCTCTCCCTCCTTTCCTTCACAGCCTCTAGGAAACACCATGGTCCTCTCCAGCTGCATGAGATCCACTTTTTTAGCTCCCACATATGAGTGAGGGCATGCAATATTTTTCTTTCTGTGCCTGGTTTATTTCTCTTAACATAATGACCTCCACTTCCATCCAAGTTCCTGCAAATGACCGGAATTGATTCTTTTTATGGCAGAATAGTATTTCACTGTGTATATATACCACATTTTCTTTATCTGTTCATCCAATGATGAACACTTAGACGGATCATATATCTTGGCTCTTGTGAATAGTGCTGCAATAAGCATAGGAGTGCAGATGTCCATTTGATATACTGACATTCTTTCCTTGGAAATATACCCAGCAGTGAGATTGCTGGATCATATGGATGTCCTAATGTAATTTTTTTGAGGAAGCTCCATACTGCTTTCCATAATCGTTGTGTGAATTTACATTCCCACCAACAGTGTGTAAGGGTTCCCCCATCCACAACATTGTAAGCATGTATTTTTTATCTTTTTGGTGACAGCTATTCTAACTGGGGTGAGGTGATATCTCATTGTGGTTTTAATTTGCATTTTTTCTGAGTATCAATGATGTTCAGCAACTTTTCAAATACCTGTTTGAATTTGTATGTTTTCTTTTGAGAAATGCCTATTCAGAAATTTTGCCCACATTATAAATCAGATTATTTGTGTTTTTATTTTTTTGATGTTGTGTTGTTTGCATTACTAATATATCATAGATACTAATCCCTTGTCTGATAATTTGCAAATATTTTCTGCCATTTTGTAGATGTTTTGTTCAGTTTGTTGATTGTTCCTTTGTTGTGTAGAAGCTTTTAAGCTTAATGCAATCTCATTTGTCTAGTTTTCTTTTGGTTTACTTAGCTTTTGTGGTCTTATCCAAAAAATCTTTCCCCTAATCAGTGTCCTGTAGTGTTTCCCCAATGTTTTCTTCTAGGAGTTTCATAATTTCAGGTTTTATATTTAAGTCTTTAATTCGTTTTGAGTTGATATTTGTATATGTTAAAAGATGGGGATCTAGTTTTATTCTTCTGCGTGTGGATATCCAGATTTCCCAGCACCATTTAAAAGAGACCGCACTTTCTGCAGTGTTTAATTTTGATGCCTGTGTTGAAAATGAATTGGGTATAAATGTGTGGATGTATTTCTGGTTTGTCTATTCTATTCCATTCTTGTTGTTGTTGTTGCATGTCAACATTATGTTTTTTGGTTATTGCAGCTTTGCAGTATAATTTGAAATCAGGTGGCGTGATGCCTCCAGCTTTGTTCTATTTGCTCAGGATTCTTTGTCTATTCAGATTTTTATGTGATTTCCACAAATTTTATATTTTTTTCTATTTCTTTGAAGATGTCATTTATATTTTGATAAGGGTTGCATTTAAACTGTAGATCATGTTGTGTACATAGACACATTAACAATACTAATTATTTTGATTCATGAGAAAGGAATATGTTTCTAGTTTTGTGTCCTCTTCAGTTTCTTTCTACTTTGTCTTTTCTGAGAGGAATGAGTGGTTTGATGTTCACAAAGTTTTCTGAAGCCCAGCTCAATGTATGCTGAGTTTATGAGAAATTGAGTGTACTCTGAGGAAATATGCTGACATCGCAAACTGATTTTATTTGTGATGTGCTGACAACAGGATTCATTCATTTGGGGACTGGCAAGTAGCTTCCTGCTCTTCTATCCTCCTGTTAGAAGATGTGTGCTAACATTACAAAGGTAAAAATCAGTTGATACAGCAACTTTAGAGTTTGCTGCAGATTTTTTTCAACTTCTACTTCTCTTGATCTTCAATATCTTATATCTTTTATTTGCTCTTCTTTCAGTTTGTTATATCTGCTCTCCCACCATAATAAATTGATGTTCTGATTTTTGTATTTGAGTATTTGACTCAGATTAATTTTACAAAATTCAGCCAAACACTAATATAGTATGCCTGTATTGATGTTCTGGTACTTATTAACTTTTTTCAGCATTTTATGTGATAAACTTCATATTTTTTATGAATTATTAAAATAAATGTGTTTGTTCACTTATGAATTACTTTTGAGGCAAGCATTATTTTTGTACCAAAATTTGGAAGTCTAAGAAAGGACTTAGTCAAACTTAGAGTTTGCAAAATATATCATGAAAGAGATGTTTCATGATTACATAGCTGTTTCATGAGATGCCATGTCTTTGTAGAATTTAAAGGTATTTAGAAATTCATACTGCTTGAATCATCTTAGTGGTTCCTTTGCATAGTATCATGGAAAACTCGTTAACTTGCTTTTGTTCCCCAGAGTGTATCTTTCACTGATTTTATGCCATCAAAATTATGTCCATTCTCATGTGACTATCACTTGCTAATTCTGGGTTTGATTGAAGCAGATCATTTTAGAAGCTACAACATGGTGAAAAAATGACCCTTTTGAATATTGACAAGCTCTTTATATATAATTATAATTATTAATAGTTATATAATTGATTGTTAATTAATTATATAATATAATAATATATAAAATATTATATATAAAATAATAAAACAATATAATTATAATAATTATAATTATTATATAATTAATTAACAAGCAATTATATAATTATTAATAATTATAATTATTAATTATATATAATTAATAATAACGTGTGAAATTTAAAATACTTCTTGGTCCCTGGTGTTCAGAATAGATGTTGTGTTGGCAGGCATACAAACATTAATTCCCTTGTACATCCTCATCAGAACTTGGGTAACCAGGAGCATTGTCATTGAGCAGTAATAGATGTTGAAAGGAATCATTTTTCTGAGCAGTAGGTCTCAACAGTGGGCTTATTATTCAGTAAGCCACGCTGTACACAGATGTGCTATCATCCGTGCTTTGTTGTTCCATTTACAGAGCACAGGCAGAGTAGATTTAGCATAATTCTTAAGGGTCCTAGGATTTTCAGAACGGTAAATGAGCATTAGTTTCAACTTTAAGTCACCAGCTGCGTTAGCCCCTAACAAGAGCAAAGCTGTCTGTACTTTGAAGCTTTGAATCCAGGCATTGACTTCTCCTCTCTAGCTTTGAAAGCCCTAGGTAGCATCTTCTTCAAAAATAAGGTTGTTTCATCTTTACATTAAAAATCTGTTGTTTACTGTAACCGCCTTCATCAATGATCATAGCTAGAATTATGGATAACTTGCAGTTTCTACTTTAGCACCTGCTGCTCTACCTTGAGCTTTTATGTTATAGAGACAGCTTATTTTCTTAAATTTTATAAACCCACCTTGGCTAGCTTCGAACTTTTCTTCTGCCGCTTCTTCAGCTCTCTCAGACTTCAGAGAATTGAAGAGAGTTAGGGCCTTGCTCTGGATTAGGTTTTAGTTTGAGGAAATATTGTAGCTGGTTTGATCTTCTATTCATACCACTAAAACATTCTCCATATTAGCAATAAGGCTCTCTCTTATCATTCATTTGTTCACTGAAGTAGCACTTTCCATTTTTTTTCAAAGAACTTTGCCTTTACATCCACGGCTTGGTTAATAGGCAAAATAGGCCTAGCGTTTGGCCTTTCTCAGCCTTTGATATGCCTTCTCCACAAAGCATAATCCTTTCTAGCTTTTGATTAGAAGTGAGAGATGTGAAACTCTTTCTTTAACTTGAACACTTAGAGGCCATTGGGGGGCTATTAATTGGTATAATTTCAATATTATTGCATTTCTGGGAATAGGCAGTTTGAGGAGAGGGAGAGAGATGGGAGAACGGCCTATAAATGGGACAGACAAAACACACACATTTATTAAGTTTGTGGTCTTATATGGGTGTGGTTTGTGGTGCCCCAAAGCAATTGCAATGGTAACATCAAAGATCACTCTTTACAGATCGCCATAACAAATAGAATACTCATTTTAAAAGCTTGAAATATTATAAGAATTACTAAAGTATGACAAAGAGACATGAGGTTTTTAAAAATGGCACTGACAGACTTGCATAATGCAGAGTTGCAACAAACAAACTTATAAAAAATACAATATCAGTGAAGCACCATAAAGCAAAGTACAATAAAAAGGTGCACTGTATTCAGTTTACTTCAATAATTATATTTTCCTAGGTAGTATGTCTGATTATGAGTCTTCCTACATTTATTTCATATTTTCTAGGTGTTTCAGAACTACTTTTTCTCCCAGTTTTTGCTGTGTTACACTTTGCTTTACTACTCTAATTTTAAAACTCTTAAATTTTTCACAATATTTTCCAGTTAACTTTATGTCCTATTATTTCCCCTTTAAGCCTGTCTAAAATTCAATTTGAACTATGTCTGAAGATACGTTGCTGGTGAGCTGAAGAATAGCATAAACTTTTCTTGCTCAAGAGAACATGCAGCCCGGAGGTTTGCTCTACAAACCCCATAAAACACTGATACTGCTTAGAACACACATGGATCCAAGGGCCAGCAAAGTGTGTTTTTATTTTTTATTCCTCTTTCCACATGTCCACTTGGAGAGTTGATGGTTTTGCCCTGTCTATATACTACCGATTATGTGAACAAATTGCTTCATATCAGTAATCATTTCTAAGTCTGATTCCAGTTTTCTGTGCAGTTAAAAACCATTATTTTAGGACTTTTGTCCTTCCAGTTTCTAAAAATGTAATTCCTTGTGTATCCTTAATAACTATACTAAATTTAAAAATAAAGATAATGGACATTTTCAAAAGGTTATTATAGCATTCATACAAGTTATATGCATTAAAACTAACATAAATACATAGATGCATATGTGAGTGTATGTACGTATATAAATATTTGTATATACATGTCTATACAAATGTTTGTATATATGTGTGTGTGTATATATATTTGAAGTATATATATGTATATATGTATATATATATTTCAAGTATATACATATTTCAAGTATATATATATATTTGAAAACTGCAACTTTCAAAACTGCAAAAATGACTTTGGTTATGCCTTTAAGAAGAGGTTGGTTTAATTTTTTGTGAAAGTGAAATAAGGACATTTTAAAATTTTTGCTCTATTAAAAAATTATTACAACACATCCCCATAATGAATTGAATAGTCAGTACCATACTAACACCTTCAACATGTAAAACCCAATCCCCGGTAACAGAGTTAAGCATGTATCAATTTTCAAAATATGTTAAACTAGTATTTTTTTTGCACATCAAAATTTTTCATTTTAACTACAAACTATTTTAATGAGCTCTGGCTATAAATGAAATATCCTGGTACTTAATGTACATCTGACGTCGTGTATATGCAGGCCTCAAATCCTTCTATTTAAATAATCATCTGAAGAAATAGTGTGCCAGACAAATAGAAAAACCAGGAACAGGAAGTCCCAAATATAATAAAAACTTGTAGTTTTATAAGATATCCTAACAGTATATCCCCACAAGTTTGGGTGCTACTTACTTCAAACAAAACAATAGGCATTCCCTCCTATGAGGCATTTCATACTATGACTCATAGTCACTAAACACTATGTTTAGTGATTAGTCACTAAACACTGTGTTAAGTTTTAGTGATTAGTCAGTAAACACTATGTGTTTAAATTTTGTGTTTAAATAGTGTGTTTAAACTTTGTGTTTAAATTCACTAAAACACAAAAACAAAAATTGCTTTTAAGAAACCACAAAATAGGGTATATATTTTAAAATTTCATTAGAAAGAAAATGTCACTGGACTTTTTTTGTTTATTGTATTGTTATCAATATATTATCAGCAGTTTATGTATAATGTGTATCCCTAATTAAAAATTTAAGAAACTAACTGAAACTCAACTTGACTCTTAAACTTTCTTTAACTTTGAAGCATATTCACATATTCCCATTATTCCAATGAGGATAGATTCATATTAACATTCTAGCCCATTTTAGTCGTTGTAATGAGCCTAAAATAGCTGCCAGCTTGCAGTGCTGGAATTAATGATAATTAAATGTAACACAAAATGTATTTCCATATTTTGTATTGCTCAAATGATTTCATCTCAGATGTAGCATGATTCTTTTTAGAGATGACTACTTCTATTTAATCTCTTTTCCAATTTTAATTTGAATTTCATATTGTTCCTGACTGTTTAATGAATATTTTGGGAGATGGCCATAGTGTTGTTAATTATACTAAAGACTGAGTATAATTAATTCTTTTGGACCCAAAGTCAGCTAGTTAATCGATTTCTGATGAAACTGGAGATTAAGCACAGATAGTTCACCTCTTCCTTCATTCATTTTAATTCTTTTCTCTTTCAATTCAATCAGATTACTTTGGGAAGTCATTGCTGGCAAATCAATTGTGGAACTGTTTTGGACATTACCCAAGTGTTAATAAATGGGTGCTTTTTTCAGTCAAGTTACCTTGGTATTGATTTCTGAAAATGAAGAAATTTTAGTTTTAGTTATTGAGAAGTAAAAACTACCATTATCATTTAAAATTCATAGTGAAGTAGTTTATAATTGTCTATTAACAATAGGCTCATGTAATCACACAGAAGAAAGCTGTTGGCATGGCATTCCTAATAATCCTTAAAAAGTAGAGACAAAGGTTTACTGTATTTTCAAACACATTTCCTACCATGTAGCATGTCCTATAATTGAGTTAGAAACTCATGAGCACAAACTAATTTCTTAAACAGTTTTATGCTTATAGTATTGTCGAAAAATGCAGTAGTGTGTATGGCAGTTTATTATTTTCAGTGATATACATAATGACACGTTAAATTATAACACCAAAAAAGGCCTTAAAAGTAAAAATAGGCCATGAGAAATAGTAAATAATGAACTAACATCATTTCTTTTAGTCAACGAACAAAACATAAAGAGGATTCTTCACATTTTTCTTATTACCAGAAATAACTTTTAAGTGTGCTGTGCAATATTTTAACAATCATATTCTCAGATAATTTTGAACAAAGCACTGAGTTTGGTGCATTATTATTTTACAGTCAATCAATTAATGTTACTTAAGCTTGTGTCGGTAAAAGTCAAAGCTCCTGCTAATATATTTTCTATACTCTGGAAAAGGGATCACTCTGTATACTTCTATTAACTTTATGATTTGGGATTGTTCCTAAGAATTCTGGGAAAACCCCAATAACCTTATAATTTAACATTGGTTGTACAGATACTGCTTAGTCTGCTTTTGCATCTATGACAGAATACCACAGACTAGATAATTTATAAAGAAACATATCTCACAGTTCTGGAAGCTGGGAAGTTCAAGATCAAGGTGCCAGCCAGTCTGGTATCTGGTGAGGGCCAGCTCTCTACTTCCAAGATGGCATCCTGAATGCTGCATTCTCTGGAGAAGAGAAACACTGTTCCTCACATGACAGAAGACCCTGAAGGCAAGCCCCTCCTGCAGGCTCTATTGATAGCAGCATTGATTCATTCATGAAGGCAGACCCCTCATGACCTAAACACCTCCCATTAGGCTCACCCTCCCAACACTGTTGCATTGACAATTAAGTTTAGAAATGAATTTAGAAGAAAACAAAAACATTGAAACCATAGTGGATAAAATCCTTCCTAATCTGACCAATGAACGTGTAATTGTACTGTTGATTTTACTGACGAAGGTACCACATTGGCAAGTCTATAACTCATGCACTGCATAATGACATTTCGGTCAATGATGGACAGATATTAACAGTGGCTCTGTAAGATTATAATGGAGATGAACATTTTCTATCACCTAGAATTTACCACACTGTAACTTTATTATTATTTAAGTGTTTTCTTCTTCTATTTATAAAACATGATAACTATGAAACAACCTCAGGTAGGTCCTTCAGGAGGTATCCCAGAAGAAGGCATTGTTTTCATAGGATCACAGTTCCATGCATGTTATTACCAGTGAAAACCTTCCAGTGGGACAAGATATGAAGCTGGAAGACAGTGAAATTGAGTGAAATTGATGATCTTGACACTGTGTAGGCTTAGGCTAATGTATGGCTATGTGTCTTAGGTTTCAACAAAAAAGTTTAAAAAGTTAAAATTATTTAAGAAAGGAAAAATCTTATAGAATAAGAAAAAAATTAAAAAGTATCTCATACAGATGTAAAATATGTTCATGTTTTAAACTGTTATTAAAAAAGAGTAGAAACATTTAAAGATGTTAAAAAGTTTGTAAAGTAAAAAAAGTTATAGTAAGCCATGTTTAATTTATTATTGAAGAAATAAATAGTTTCAATAAATTTAGTGTAGCCTGAGCGTACTGTGTTTATAAAGCATACAGTACTGGCACAGTAATGTCCTAGACCTTCACAGTCACTTCCTACTCACCCAGAGCAACTTCCATTTCTGCAAGATTCATTCACGGAAAGTGTCCTATAAGTTGTATTGTTAAAAAATCTTTATACTACATTTTTACTGTCTCTTTTATCTGTTTAGATACGTTCAGATACAAAAATACTTATCATTTTGTTACAATCTCCTACAGTACTCACTATAATAATATGCTATATGGGTTTGTAGTGTAGGAGCAATAGGCTAGACCATATACCTTAGGGAAAATAGTAGGTTGTAACATCTAGATTTGTGTAAGTACCTTCTGTGCTGTTCACACAATGACAAAATCGCCTCACAATGCATTTCTCAGAATGTATTCTCATAATTAAGCAAGGAATCATTGTAGTTATATTTCAAGAAACTACTTCAATATGTGTAAGATTGATCATCAGGCAGTTTTTCTCTTGAATCAAATCCTTGTAGTTTGAATTTTCACAGCTGCTTATGAATGAGGAAGCATCCCAGTACTCAGCAGATGACACCAGACAAGGATGTCTTTCTATTTTTACAACAAAGTGAACCATATTCTAGACATCAAAGAATTTGAGAAAAAAGAATGTGTGATGTAATTTTATTGTGTAATGTCATATTTAAAAAGTAAACCAACATTAATCTTCTCATTATAATTAAAAAAGTTTAAATGAGATTTGATTTGCTTGAGTACAATCAAACGGTTTAAAGTGCAAATCTTATCTCTATTTGCTTTTTAACATGCCCTTTGCTTTCCTATGTGTAATATTATAACATGACTAAAGTAGTCGTAATTATGTTCCTGCTTTTTTCAGGTGATTATAACTTGGTTTTCTGAGATAGTTCGTATTAACTTATTTTCTGACTTAGAAGCATTTACAACCCTCCCAGTTGCATATCATTTTAGTCATTGAAATTTGAATTTGTCAACACAGAGCACCAGTTTTGCCAGAAATCTATTATTTGATATTAATAATATCTCAGATGTTTTCCAAAATTTCTACATTTCTTGCAAAATTATTAGGAGAAAAACAAAAAGTATTTGTAGTTTCTAAAAGCATAAACAAGTTTAACCAGGAAAAAAACAGAGTAATAAAACATGTTTGAGCAGATATGATAAATATAATAACCATGGGTGGGAAAAAATGAACATTGAAGCTACCAGTTGACTTATCTAAGATAATTTTCTGTGCAATTTAATGATGTTATAGTATATTCTCTAGCAGATCAACATCAAAACCATGTACATTCCATTGCATCTTTCCAGCCAAGTTGTTCTGCACTTTTTCACAACCCTCAATATCACTTGCAGTTTCTAAAGGACATATAATATCCCCAAATAAACTTTTTCCTTGTATATTCTCTTCACACCCAGTCCATCCTGAGATCCTCAAAACCTTATATGTGTTTGTCTTTTCTTGGTCGTTTACTCTGTGAAAATTTGGACTTCTACAAACTTAAAAAATCCTTTCTTCCTCAGGGATCCCACAGTAACTTCAAAAAATCCCTATACATCCAATATCATATTGTGTTATGATGGTGAGCTTTTACGATGGTTATTTCAAGATTCCATGAATTTCTTAAAGTCGTGATACTGGCTTATTCATCTTTGTCCCCACTAACCTACTACATTGCTGGTCAGTTAGAATTATGGCATGCTTGTTGAATGAAAAGACTCCTCAAAAGTAAGTTTGAGTTTATCATCTTAAAAATGACCATATTATTATTACGATGATTTCATATTTATTTACTGCTAATTCTGTGAAAAGCTTAATAGAATTTCACTGTACTATGTACTTTGGGGAAGCCAACATTCTGGAATCTCATCATATTTGCATCTCTGTATAGGGTTATATTGTTTTTAACTTGGTTCAAGTCATCAGACTGACTTCCAAAAACATCTGGCACAGAAGATGACCATGATATGTGCAAGGCAAAAGGCTTCCATTCACTTAGGCTGCTTTTACAGCAAACTGTTTATAGCGGTTCTCTTGTAGGCATAACAAGGACATAGCAACTTTAACTGAGGACATTACTAAGATGTATTGACCCACATGTGCTAATGTTGGAATTTAAAGGTCAAGAAGCTACAACATTGACACAAAATTATAAGTTTATGGATTTGCTGCCAGACATAGGGCCATTTTAGAAAGACAGCCCTAATTCCCCAAATTTTCCAGGTACATTCACTCTAAATTGTCTTTCTCTTTCCAAGATAAAGATAACAATGTTTCATTTTATGCTGCTGTTTTATGAGATTGGAAGACACAAAAATTATCACTGAATGGATTCAGATATTTTTGGACACAGGAAGGAAATACATTATGAAACTAATGTTGATACAAAAAAGCTCCCAGAAACTGATCATAGTCAATATTCAATACAGTCAGTATATGTATTCAAGTAGATATGTGCCTATGTATCATGAGGCATGTTGGTCCTTACATGCGGTTGGCTTAGTGTTGCCAAGTGGCTAAATTGACGCATATTCCATCTGTTTTGAAACAAAAGGATTTGAGCTTTAATTTTGTGAATATATCAAGGAAGAGATGTGAGCTTAAGGATATTAAAGATATTCACCTTTTATGAGTAAAGTGTAACAAATGACTGGCACAAATTATGTGTAGCATTATAAATACTTAATAATACTGCTTAAGAAGAATGATAGATACAGGATGTAGAATTTTATTGTTGTTGTTGTTTGTTCTATGTCAGGATTCCTCCTTTTGCTCCATTATTTTTCTCTCTTCTTCAGTGTAAATCTTTACCACTTTTAGTTCAGACATTTAGTTCCCTTAAATTTTCAATTCCTGGCCTCTACCTGAAAAGCTTAATTTTGGATATTATTTTACATGTATGGGATGACATAATCACAATAATTGATAAATTAATTGTAGATTGTTGTTCTCATGTTTTAAATGGAGAACAGAAAAATGAATACAACATTGCGCTAAAAGTGCCTACAATGCATTCTTGTCTTCACACTTGAGGTCAGGAGTTCGAGACCAGTCTGGCCAACATGGTGAAACCCTGTCTCTACTAAAAATACAAAAATTAGCTGGGTGGGTGGCGGGTGCCTATAATCCCAGCTACTCAGGAGGCTGAGGCAGGAGAAATGCTTGAACCTGGGCGGCGGAGGTTGTAGTGAGCTGAGTTTGTGCCACTCTGCTGCACTCCAGCCTGGGTGATAAGAGTGAGCAAGATTCAGTCTCAGAAAAAAAAAAAAAAAAAAGAAATGTTAGTTTGGTCCTAATATGTTCTAGGTACATTAAAAGAAGAAACAATCTCTTAAGTAGTTCACATTCTAGTGTAAAAAAATAAACAACTGCATAAATCCTTTTAATATTATACATATTATATGTACTATACTGCTGGGCTAAAAATATAAGGCAGAATAAGTGTTTTTTAAGATGTTTTCTTAACCTAATTCAGATTTGGAAGCCAGGAATTACATAGAATGTAATTAAAGGGTTGCTTAAGTAGAAACATTCATTTATCATCTACTCTGTGCCAAATTATTTGATATGTGTAGGGAATAATTAGTTGAATAAAACCATCTTCCAAATGAGTACATCTATGAGAGAGGTGTACACATTAACAGATATTTTCCATTTAAGGTTTTGAGTTTTTGCTAGCATTTGACACTCAGTTCTAAAAAACCAGAAGGGGTACTCATTCAACCAAACTTGCAAAAGGTCTCTTGAAGGATATGATATCTGAATTAAAGCTTAAGGCAATTATGCAATTGACATAAAAATAAAGTATGCTACCTTTCAGGTGTTGGAAAATTCACTGCTTATTGAGGATACCTTCAGACAATTTATAGAAAAGGTTGATGGCTTTTGAGCTAGTTCTCCAATGCTCAAGGAGTTCCAACACTCAGTGCTGTCACTTATATCTGAGGAAGAATATTTTATGATAATCTTCCAATAAATAAAACTTAGAACTAAATGCAAAAAGAAATAATTTCTCCACTTTGTCAGATTTTCATGCTCTCCATAAGAAAAAAAAAAAAGCCATCATGTGTAAGAGCCATTGTATACATGGATTTAGATAAATGATTATGGACAATTTTGTAAAAATAATGAAAAACAGTTGTTAAATAAAGTGGGGTTATAAAATTTGCATTAAACAACACCTGCCCAATGCACTATAAATCACGAATAACTGGTAGACTGCATTTTGCTTAATTTATGTCAATCAACCTCATTGAGCACTAGGAATTAAATGCATGTGTGACTGTGTGTGTGTGTGTGTGTGTGTGTGTGTGTGCATAATTACAATATTATCATCCTAATGTTTAATATATTTTAGTGAAATATGATAATTTGAAAGGTAATTTTAATGAATTGGTAGTAAAAATAAAACAATAGAACTATAAGAAGAGTAAAATTAAAAATCTAAAATTAAACAGTAGAATTAGAGCCATCTGTACTGAATATTAAATAAATATTTTGTTATTTCTACAATTGTATTTACTGTTATGGTACATAGCTATTGGCTATGCAAGAAATAACCCAAGAAAAGACTTAGAGATAGAAAATAAGAGTTCTGATAAAAAAACAATGAGTAGAATATTTTGTCTGAAATGTAGTTACTGTAGATCTATAAAGAATTATTTGGTAGAAAAGTGACATGACTTAAGTAATTATAATATGTGAGGTTAATTAGGTGAAATATGTACGAGGAAACTGATGCAATACACCAGATTATAGAGAAATAAGAATGAAATTTGAAAATAATAATGGAAACTAACAAACAAACAAACTGAAAAGTACTTTGCCAATGTAAACTACTTAATCCAGTACAAACATTTTCTCTGTAGTTCAGGGACTATATTTTTTTCATTATCATACTCCAAGCACACAATATCTTGCATAGCCCATGGTAAGTACTCAAAATGTTCATGAAATAAATAGTTACGGAGCAAATGCTGTACATAAAAAATAAATCAATGGTTATTTGCTTAACAGAAGAAATGTGATGTACATAATGAATTTGAAGAAAGAATACACGGGCTAGAGTTAAATATATGCACAGATAGAAGGAGAAAAAAAGACATAAAATAATTTCATGAAAAAGCCTGCAATACTGAAAGAGATTTGACTAATAGGCTGAGATAATTAGATCTTTTTGACACCATATATTTGCCAAGTCTGTGACTCACCCACATGGAGACACCAAATCAGGAATTTAAGACTATAGGGATAGTAAAATGTTCATCAAAGACAAAAGCTAATATGAATTCTTGTAATGTTCTATAAAGAAGTATTCATAATGAAACTTTTCAAATTTAATGGATTTTGTTTCTGGTGTCTTTTTATAGGTGACTGTATATTAGGACCCATCTTCTTCTCTTATTTTCATACATAGATATACAGCCCTGCTCACTCCAAACATAAGCAATCTTCCTCAGCCTTCAGCTTTCATGATGCCTCATTTTGATAATAACCAGCCCTTCCAGACTCCGCTGCACGGGAACACTATATTCTTAAATTCTTCTCCTTTCTAAAACCGTAATGATCTATATAACTCCTATTGCCTTAAAGCCTTTATGATTATGCTTCCTTATTTAGTTATGTCATACAACATCTAAGTAACAATTTTAGAAATAGCTTCTTGTGAAAACTTTAGTGGAGATGAGATTAACAGCAGAAGAGAAGTTTCCGTTGTTTTCTTATTTTGTTTTGCTTTACGTGTTTGGTTTGGTTTATCAAGCTATGAAATCATATATATATGTGTACATATATAGTGTATATATAATATGTGTGAGTGTATATATACTATATATACACGTGCGTATATATAGTATATATACACGTGCGTATATATAGTATATATACACGTGCGTATATATAGTATATATACACGTGCGTATATATAGTATATATACACGTGCGTATATAGTAGATACATATAGTGTGTGTATATATATGTGTATATATAGTATATACATATAGTGTGTGTATATATACACATATATATATACACACACTATATGTATATACTATATATACTATATATACACACACTATATATACACACACTTATACTATATACATACACATATACTATATACTATATACATACACACACACTATATATACACACACACACACACACACATACACATACACATACACACACAATAACCTCACAGACCTCACAGAAATATAAAGAGTGGGACTTGGCTGTGATTATTCATTTCCACTGCCTGGATTTAGGATATATCACTTTTATTAGCTTCTTCCAGATAGGATTTACCATTTCTAAAAGAAACATTTACTTTGAAATTGGAATTATCTTTTGCAAAGCCAACCCAACTTTCATTTTATTCTGAAAATATTGCTAAAACTAAAATAATCCCTTTGGGTTATTTCCATCCTGCTGTTTTCTTCCCTTTCTTCACTTAATCTTTCTTTTTTTCCTCAAATAACAAGTATGTGTCTAACAATAGTTGTATAAAAAAATAAAAAACAAGTTTTCTACAGGTCATCTAGTAACATGCAAGAACTCTTACTAAACTTAATGCAATTAACGTATGCTAGGTAACCCATTTATCCAGTCATTATGAAGATATGTTATTTTATGTGTTTACTTAACATTTGGATATTGTGAGTGAGGTTAATTTGAAAAGGTATCCAGATTCTAAAAATGTTCATGCGATATAATTTCCTATTCAATGTTTTCATATTATAAGGACATTATAAGCGCCTATATGAAATAGACATACTTTCTTAATCATGCTATAGTTTTAGCCATGTTCAAAACTGAAAAAAGAACATATTAGAAATGTCCCATTTTTAATTTTTAAGCATTTAAAAGATACTCCCCACCATATTATTTAAATAAACTAGGATTTTAAAAAAATATATTTAATATTTGTCAATAAAGTATTTATTAATTTCCCCCTGGTGACTAGAAAAAAAAAATCTGACTACAAATTTAAGATAAAAAATTTCAAGGAAGAAAAGAGTTAAAATATTGTATATGTTTTAAATAATAGGGTAATCAGTAGTGACTCATTAAAAAAAAAATAGCTTTGGTAACAAAAATGTATGAAAATGCTGAATTGTTAGTTTTTCCTGACACCAGCTTCTCATTTACTGGGTGTTGTTCTTAACACACATTCAGACATCCACAATCACATCATGAAATCGTGCTTACAAACTCAAAATAAAACCCTTAATATTTGCTAGAGTGAGGAAAACTGCAACTTATGTCAAATTTCATGTTTTTTGATACATGTGTTCTGTATTCTGTTCTTTTTGGGTGGCTGATAGCACTATTTGAAGGATATATGTTTTTAACTGCCATCACAGCAGTCGACATTATGTTCTTCATGGGAGAGATAATGCTCTTATAAAACAGTTTAACTGCAGTCTGCTGCGTTGAACTTCATATCCTTTTTAGTTTGCTTAGTGTAGAGTATCACTTTGGAGACTTTCCACAAGAAACATGCACATCATTTTCTCTAAAGTATGACAATACTGATTTCAACATTAATTATATTTTCTCTCAAGTTAGATGCTCTTAAAGATACTTTGTGTAGCTATCCTTTGACATCAGTGATATTTAAAATCACAGAAAATGTTAAAATTCTAACCCAATAGGAAGAATCTAGTAATTTTGCATGTAAATAACAAGCAACAATTAGGATGATTCAGTAATGTTTGTGGTTACAATTTAAATGTAATACTCTACTATGTCATGCAAAACTAATTTCAAGATATCATTATATTATTTGTAAAAAAAATTATTTGAGATTCAAAGACTTACATCTACGGTTTCAATGAATGTCTTGCTTTATACATTGCACAGTTGTATCTGAAAAAGAGAACAAAATATATCAGAGTCATGTTAGTAAGTGACAGAGCAGCAGCATTTGGTAAAATTTTTCTAAAAGATTAAGAATAAATGTTTTACTATGCGATAAAAATTCATGTATGTCCAAGAGTAGTTAAATTAGGAATTAATAATTTAATATTAAATATATTTTACTGACCCTAATTCTCAAATAAAACTCATATCCAGAAAAAGAAATGATCTGGCATGTAAATTTTAAAAAGTAGTAATTATATTATGTTATAAAGCACAGGTCTCCCCACCTACTTTCAAAATTATAGGCACCTGGATAATAGTCCTACTCTGTCGTTCCAACAAAATTTTCTAGGATAAGTTTGATTTAACCATAGAGCTATAACATTACCATAATTAACAATGGTTTGTTTCTTTAACCTTTCTACCATTATTTTCTATTTCAGTATTAGGTGTGTGTGTGAGTGCAAAAATCTTGTAATAGAATATGGCTCTACAATGATAAATGAATTGTGCATGGCCAAAATAACTTAAAAATAAGCATATTGAAAAAGTATTAAATATGTCATCAACAAATGTGATGTGGCTTTATATTGAATGTTAATTTATTACCTATATAGGTATCCATTCAAATCACCTTATCCATTCAAATCACCTTATCGGTATGTTGCTTCCAAAGTGTGAGGCTTATTCTTCTTTGCCAGGTGATAACTCTGTCACAGTGAGGGTCATATTGTAATGGCTATAGTGATTTCATTTGCTTTTTCAAAAACATGCTCAGTGCACCAAGCCCTAGTGTTTTCTTACTACATTTTAAATCATGCAGCTACCAGTAGTTTTATCGAGTTTGAAGTGTGTCTTCTGTGAATACAAATGCCATGAGACCAATAATTTTGTTATTTGAAACTAGGAATTTTATTTCAGAAGAAGGATAAGTGGAGACAAAAATATAGCCTTGTTATTTTGATTTGTGCCCAACTACACTGATAATAAAGTAAAAATAACATTATAATAAAAGACTCAAAATTGACTTATTAACAGTGTTAAATCAGTCAGAATCCTGTTTTGATAAATCTTGGTAAAATATAGTAATGTTTAGTTGGCATGATGTACGCATAATGCCCAGATCTTATTCTGAATTTGAAGATTTAAAGCCAAGTTTTACATGTAGAGATGAATATTAAAATGCAATGGAATAAAAAGTATTATGATTGAGCTTTTTCACTAAGACATGAGTATACTAGAATATCACACCATAGCTTTCTAAACTAAGGATTAACCTTCCATGAGAACCATTCTATGGAAAGAAAGAAAATAATAAAAATTTTAGATGCATACAATGCTACCTAAAGTCCTGTTTTAATTCACATTATCAGGAACTCAGCAGTCCTTTCTGTCATGGCTAATGTATCTAGTATTTTATGAAATTGGACAAGGAGCACAATTTGTTGAACTAGAACTCAATATGTCTCACACTATTGAAATAGTACAGTAGTTCACTCATAGAAACATCACTATTATCATTATATATTATGACATTTTAGACAAGGAAAAATACTGCTTTTGTCTCCACAGGTGCAAAGTGCTTTCACTGCAAAAAAAACAAAAAGGAACAACTGTAGAAGCATATTTTTGCCAATACATTGTTACTTTGTTGTACTAACAGTTTCAATTACAGTTTAAGATAAAAAGCAAGTGCCTATCTTTTCTCACAGTAAAATGAAGTGTCTTTTAAGAAAGGATTGTGAAACAGAAGCCATTTCAATTTTTTTCTTTTTTCTCTGTTGTTTCTAACAATAAGAAAACATGATAAAAATAGAACTATACCATTCTTACCTTCCTGAAATATTACATAACAAAACTGTGTGCTATTTAATGAAAGTATTCAAATATTTATGTGTCTTAGACATTATTCTTGCCCATCATAACATTAAATAGAGCATAGAGACAGGGTCTTGCTCCGGTGCCCACGCTGGAGTGCAGTGCTACAATCACAGCTCTCTGCAGCCTTGAACTCCTGGCTCAAGTGATTCTCCCGCCTCAGCCTCCCAAGCAGATAGAGAAAAAAAAATTTCAATTGAAGTTATTGCATGTAAATTTATTTTTACCAACAGTGTAATCTATTATTAAATATTCCTAAGGCAACCTATGCTTTCTCTTCCTATCCTAAATGTCTCAATTGTCCAGAGTCTCTGTCCTACTCTCTTAGGTAGTAATCTTCTGTAGTCACCATGTACTGCTGTGAGATACTGACGTGGCCTCTTATCAGAGGCATCTCCTCAACCATTTGCAT
Source organism: Homo sapiens (assembly GCF_000001405.40). Taxonomy (NCBI): domain Eukaryota; kingdom Metazoa; phylum Chordata; class Mammalia; order Primates; family Hominidae; genus Homo; species Homo sapiens. The sequence continues at coordinate 67,024,030 of NC_000018.10, forward strand.
TTTATTCTAAGGAAGGCATGTAGAACCTTGGGGTGCAGAGCCTCTCAGCATTTCTCAGAACTTCACTATGAAATGGAACTTGGGGACTAAAGAGAATGCCATCGAGCTTCATCTTATGCTCTTTCCTGGAGATGCTAACTGACTGCATCTCATTCAGTTACTGTGATGTCTTCACTGTCAGCCTATTAACTCTTCACTTGCTCACCATTTGACACAGAAACTCAAAGTTCTTTGGCCTGCTAATTTGCAGAAGAAAAGCATCTTGCATCTATACTTCTAATGAAAGCTTTTATTTTCTTGGGGATTTCACTTTGGTTCATCAGCAATCATTGTTCTTCAGTGTGTTAACATAGAGATGTTAGAGACGTTAGAACCATCTATTTATGATGGAAAGTGTAGTATTAATGTTTTTGTACCACTGTAAGTTATTGATAACTAGATTAGTAGTAAAAGATGATTTTTCATTTAACATATGATAGGACACATGCAATTAACTACAATAAGGAGAATTATTTGTGTTGTCAGTAGATGTAGACTAAAATTATAGGAGAAAGTTTCATTTTCAGAAAAATAATATTTTTCTTTCTACCAAATAGCAAGTAACTCACAAACAAAAATGCTACATATTTCAGTAAGAGCAGATGATCTACATGCAGCTATAGATTTCAGTAACACTAGATGTCTTTTAATAAATGTATTTGTTTGGCCGAGCGCAGTGGCTCACGCCTGTAATCCCAGCACTTCAGGAGGCCAAGGCAGGTGGATCACTGAGGTCAGGAGTTTGAGGCCAGCCTGGTCAACATGATGAAACTCCGTCTCTACTACAAATACAAAAATTAGCTGGGTGTGGTGGCAGATTGGATGTAGAGTGTGAGAGAAAAAAATTGTAAAGGATGATTTTAAGAGTTTTGACTGGTACAAGGGAAATAATTGAGTTGACCATTACAGAAGAAGAGCACAAGGAGAGAAGCAATTTGGGGAGAAAAAGATAAATAGTTTTGTGACATAATAATTTTGAAATAATTACTATCACTCTAAATAGATTTGTACATCAGAACCTCAGAAGTTCTACAGGAATAATCCATGCTGTATTTAAATAAAGGGGAAGGAATCAGCCTTTATTTTGTATTCAAAATAAAGAGACTAGATGAGCTGACCGAAATAGGAAGTGCATTGAGAAAATAAAGGGGCTTCCAGGACTAAGGGCTGAGTTCAGCATTTAAAGGTTGAGAAGATAAGGATTAATCAGCAAAGGGGACCCAGTGGGAGCAGCCAAGGGAGGAGGGACTATGTTTATCAAGGAGAAAGGTGAGATCTGTAAAATCTAACACCGCTGATTGGTTAAAAGATGATAAGATCTGATGAGCTACTTAAGATTACATTTGTTGTCATTGATAAGAATATTTTTATTATTATTATACTTTAAGTTCTAGGGTATGTGTGCACAACGTGCAGGTTTGTTACATATGTCTACATGTGCCATGTTGGTGTGCTGCACCCAGAATTTTTACAGTGAGGTAACAAAGACAAGACTACTTTGATAGAAACCTACCAGAGAATGTGAAGAGAAATCCTAGAGACACAGAGTAGAGATCATGCCATAATTTTTGCTTGATCATAATGTTTGCTTGATTGGAAGAAGAGAAAACAGTAGTAGCTAGAGGGGAAAAATGGAGTGAAGACAAGTGGTGTGATTTTATATTAATGGGCATGGTCTGGTGGAGGAAAGAACTGATGAGGCAGTACAGAGAGAATAATTACTAGAACAGTTTTGTTGAGTAAGTTAGAAGAGATAATTCTCAATAAACACAACTACTATTTAGTCATTTTTAGAAATAAAATCACTACTAAAATCCCACGTTTTTAATTATTTTGTTACTGAAAATGAATATAACTTTTGAAGAACTATCGAGATGAATTATTTTTAAACATTTTTTTCATATTTCCTATAAATGGCTTCTGAATACACATACACAATTAGAATTGTATAGAAATCAATATTAATATTGTCACTGTTATACCAAATTATATATTACATGATGACATTATTTATTTTATTTTGTAAATTAAATGGCAAAAATATATGGGAAAAAGCCATTTAATGCATGCTATTTTTCTGTCATTGTTTCTATGATATTTGTGTGATGGATACATTTGGATAGACCAAGGTTCTATTAGATAGATATATATATATATAGAGAGAGAGAGAGAGAGAGAGAGAGATCTTCCACTAGTGAGTCAAAAATGTTTGTTTCCTTTGAAGACATTTAATCTAGTCAAGTTCTAAATTAAAGACATATGATTTTAAAATAAACAAATATTTGAGAGAAATTATTTCTCAACTACTTGGAAATAGCATAGAGAGAAACTCTGCATCTGATACATTAGTAAATTTATAGAGTAGCTAAAATAAGCCACCTCCTTCATAAAACAGGAAATTGTTCAAAGGAGAGGACAAATTTTTAATTTGAATATGTACTTACCCAAACATGTTAGGAAAAGTTTGAACAAAGCTGAGTTTTCCTGTAAGAAACCTGAATATGTTCTTGAGTATTAGGCATAACGGATCTGTGAATTCAGAAATGGTTTCTTTTAATGATTAAAGTAACAGTTTGTACAACTGACATTTATGATTATGGGGGTTGTTTGGGCGTTGTTAGAATTTTTCTTATCAGGCTTATGCAAATAATGAAAAGATCTCAGATATTACTTATCATGAAATAATAACCTCAGTCATAATACAAAACACAGCATTTTCTCTCCATGAATTATCTGAACTTTTTGTTTTGTTTTGTTTTGTTTTGAGACGGTGTCTTGCTCTGCCGCCCAGGCTGGAGTGCGGTGGCGCAATCTCTGCTCACTGCAAGCTCCGCCTCCCGGGTTCACGCTATTCTCCCGCCTCAGCCTCCCAAGGTGCTGGGACTACAGGCGCCCACCACCACGTCCGGCTAATTTTTTGTATTTTTAGTAGAGACAGGGTTTCACTGTTAACCAGGATGGTCTCAATCTCCTGACCTCGTGATCCGCCCGCCTCGGCTTCCCAAAGTGCTGGGATTACAGGAGTGAGCCACTGCCCCCGGCCTATCTGAACTTTTAAGGCATGGTTATTTTTAAAATGCAGATTTAAGTTTAATCAAGGCATGATTTAAAAAGTCTGTTATCCTCTTGAGTGGAAAAATATTTCATAAATAACATAAAACATTGATCTAACATTAATTAGATTTCAAAGGAATGTTTTCTATTAATTGTTTTCAAATTACATTAAAATGCATATTAAAATCAATACAATTTTTACATGTAGCAATATGCTTAACTCAAAATCAAAGTGTCTATTATTACAGAGGACAATAGCACCACACCATTGCTATTATTCAATCAATAGATAACAGTTGATTAAATGAATGAAAAAATTTTGGTGAGAAAAGGCTCTGAAATTATTCTTTTTAATATTTAAAAGTTTGTATTTCCTGGAAACAGTTGATGCATCTTTAAGAGGTAGAAAGGAAAAAACTCAGCACCAAGCTTGAACCTTCTCTTAGAGATGTTTTGCAGTATTTTGGCAGATACAGAGAAAACTAGATAAAATCTTTTTCTTCTGCTAATGAATAATTTGCAATGAGTTAAGAATATTGAGTGAAAATAAAAGTATGAATGGCTTATCTCTCCGAAGTATATTATGAATTTTTGAGTAAAAATGTAGTGTTAAAAGGTCTACGAAGTATGTTCTCACTGTTGAATATATATAGATATATATTTATGTATAGCAAACTTGAAAGATTGATGGCAGTTCACAGTATCATTGTTGACAGGTGACAAGCTTTTCAATGTTTTATTTTCTTCCATTTGTGTAACTTGTTTAACAATATATGTACATGTATTATTAGGTAATAGTAAAAATTGATTTCATATTCTTTTATTTAGAATTTTCTAAGTTACTACATGTTCTCAACCTTCCTTACATAAGATAGATTGCAGTGATAATTTACAAGATGGTAAAGGAAATAATTTGAAGTAAAGCCCAAATATATCACATTATTAATATTGCTGAATTGATGATATAGTCTGTGACTGTGAGATTGAATGTAGCTTTAGTTGTTTATTTAAAGTGTATTAAAAATATAATTTTGACATATTATTTCAGAAATATATAAACATGTAATTGCTATTTTTTAACTATAATAAAAATATTTTGAAGCATATTTAAAAAAATAAATCACATAGAACTTTATATAGTCTATATTATTAACAATAGTTTAAAAACATGAGAAAATTAAAAATTGTGTTAAGCCTAGTTGGCAATATGAACCTGCATATATCAGATCAAATAGGTTTTCAAATCATTTGATAATTATAGATTACATTTTATACTTATTTTTGTTATTTATAGATTTGAGAAAAATTAGATAAAAGTAAGATAGAATGTTATCAAGAAAAGTTTTCAGTTTACAGTAATTTAAGACTTTTGACAAAATGGAAGTATGATTGTTCAGATAAGTTGATTAATTTGGATGTCTGTTACATCTATGGTTCTTACTGAAGACAGATGACAGTGAAACTAGACAATTCTGATAACAATACATTACATTAGAAGTGAAATTTGACCTAAGGGAGAGAAAAGCCATAGGTCAGTATTTTGCCTTTTAAGTAACTGCTTCAGGAGTGGCTGCGATTGGTTAACTCATATTATCTCTTGAAGGACATTTGGATATGAACCATATTATAATGGTAACTCTCAGTGCGGTGGCAGAGTAACAAGCACACATGGATGAAATCATCAGGTTCACAAGGCACAAGACAATAGAGACCTTATGTCAATAGAAATACTTAAGAAAACAAGCCCCTTATAAGGGAAGCCATGAAATACACGAGAAATAAGTGGTAGCTTTTTACCTATACAGTAACAAAACAAAACAGAGAGAAACCCCAGGTTGGAGTGCAGTGGCGCGACCTGGGCTCACTGCAAGCTCCGCCTCCCGGGTTCACGCCATTCTCCTCCTCAGCCTCCAGAGTAGCTGGGACTACAGGCGCCCGCCATCACGCCCGGCTAATTTTTTGTATTTTTAGTAGAGACTGGTTTTCACCGTGTTAGCCAGGATGGTCCTGACCTCGTGATGCGCCCGCCTCGGCCTCCCAAAGTGGTGGGATTACAGGCGTGAGCCAGCGCGCCCGGCCAAAATACTCTGTAAAAAGCGATAGAAATCTGCTTCTGGAGTGGAAACAAGAAAGGATATTAATTACAGGCTCATGTTTTGATATGTTATGGATCCACTGTACCACTTAGTAATGTTTTCCCCCTAGGCAAGTTATTGGATCCTGTATACCTCTACCTGCTTCAAAATATTTTGTAATTAATTTAACAAAGGTAGAAAACATGACTATCATAAATCTAATAAAGATTTGGCTTCAATTCACATCCCTGCATGGCCCCAGGAAGAGTTCTAACATTGCATTTACATGGTATTACATGATTTTTAGTAATTTGTAAAAGAAAAAACACTTTAATGGCAAGAAGCTAAGACCACTTTTGAATTCTAATTGGCTGTCCTTTATACTTCCTCAATTGTTAGTTGTCAGTGAGGATTTCTGAGGATCTAGGTAATGGGAAATTGAAGTGGGGAGACATTTGGTTTGGTATTCATATGTTTATGTGGCTCACGATAATTTGCTTATATAGATAAATTGTTTTTAGTGGTTGCAGGGTAGGAAAGGCTGCTTCAAGATATTATGACAACTCACCCATAATGATACGAAGTGTTGGCATAATATGTAACATGCCTGGGTAAGATAATTCTGAATATATTACCCTAATCAATGGCCAGTGAATTGTGAGGTTTTCACAGTCTGATTGATGGAAATGGGCACTATTCTTGGCCTGGTGAAAACACCAGGTACTGTTCTATAGTTTTTTTGAGTACCTATTTCCCTTGTTTCAAACAGTTTTCTTATGCCTATGTGCAAATCCCAACACTGCTGGATTCTCCTGGAGGATCCTGTGTGAATCCCTGTAGTGCTCCCTTAGCAACTCTCTCCTCTCTCCTGGGAGCTCTGACCACCTTTGTTTCCCAGTCTGTCAGCTCTGGCATCTTCATTAAGGGAGTTTGCCGTGCTCTGCCTCATTCAGACACATAGGTATAACAGCCTACTCCAGAATTTTCTCTATAACTGTATTATTCAAGGTTCTCCAAAGAAATAGAACGAATAGAAGATAGATAGATCGATAGATAGATAGATAGATAGATAGACAGATAGATAATTTATTATGAGAGATCGACTCATCCACTTATGGAGGCTGAGAAGTCCCATGATCTGTACCTGTCTGTAAACTGGAGGCCAAGGAAAGCTGGTACAATTCCCATCTAGGTCTGAAGGCCTGAGAACCAGGAACACCAATGTCTGAGGTCAAGAAGAGATAAATGTCCCAACTCAAGCAGAGAGAGCAAATTCTCTCTTCCTTTGCATTTTTGTTCTATCAGGCCCTCAGTGAATTGGATGATGTCTGCCAGTCTTCTACTCATTCTATTGATTCAAATGCAAATCCTTTCCAGAAACACCCTCAAAGACACACCTAGAATAATACTGACAGGTAAAATGAACCATCACAGAAACCATCACAGGACTCTCATATATCTATGATACAGCTTGGATATCTGTCCCTGCACTAATCTTGTGTTGCAATACAATCCCCAATGCTGGAGGTGGGGTCTGATGGGAGGTGTTTGAATCATGTGGGCGTATCTCTCATGGCTTGGTATTGTCTTTGCAATAGTAAGTGAGTTCTTTTAAGATCTGATCATTTAAAAGTGTGTGGCACTTCCCTCCCACTTTCTGTTGCTCCTGCTCACACCATGTGGTATGCCTGCTCCCACTTCACCTTCCGCCATGATTGAAAGCTCCCTAAGGCTTCAGAAGTCAAGCAGATATCAGCACCATGCTTCCTATAAAGCCTCCAAAACTGTGAGGCAATTAAACTTCCTTTCTTTATAAATTACCAAATCTCAGGTATTACTCTAGAGCAATGCAAGAATGGGCTAATATAGTATATATGTACACGTATAAGTTCATCATACATTTTGTTGATATGAAGTATTCATAGTACAAAATTTAAAAACAATAGTAAAATATAAAATATTCTTTATTACATAGTCTATATACCCAGTTGCTTCTCAGGGAATATGCTAATTGAACAGAATCCTTTTATCTATAGCCAACTTGTGGCTGAAATTAGCCATGATTTGACAAAATTAGACAGTGAATAAATGCTTAACTACATTCTGATTCATCAAAGAAGTTATGTCACTGATGAATGAGTATTGTTCTCACATAAATATTGTCTGGTATTCATTTTCCTTAAAGAAAAAGATGAAAATAACACAATGAAGACATTCAACTAGCTTATCAATGATGGGAGTGGCATCTTTGCTGAGCTGGATAGAAGCATTGGAATACTGACAATAATTCTCAATATTTTTCTTTTTTTTTCTTTTTCTTTTTTTTTTTTTTTTTTTTTTTTTTGAGACAGAGTCCAGCTGTGTTGCCCAGGCTGGAGTGCAGTGGTGCGATCTCAGCTCACTGTAAGCTCTGCAAGCTCGGCCTCCCAGGTTCATGCCATTCTCCTGCCTCAGCCTCCCAAGTAGCTGGGACTACAGGTACCCACCACCACGCCCGGCTAATTTTTTTTTTCTTTCTATTTTTCGTAGAGGTGGGGTTTCACCGTGTTAGCCAGGATGGTCTCCATCTCCTGACCTCATGAGCTGCCCACCTTGGCCTCCCAAACTGCTGAGATTACAGGTGTGAGGCACTGCACCCGGCCCTAATATTTTTCTACTATTCACAATGTAATAGCTATAGACATGATGCAGCTTTAAGTTTAATTACCATTATTATCATTTTCCATCATTTTCTTATTTCCAGAAAATTGAAAATCAAGTTTTGATATTTATAGTATTTTTTAAATTCCATGGCTTAAATGCATCCACAATGATCTATATTGAGTTACTTTAAGTCCAGTATAGTGACAATGAATGGAGTTGGAGAGAAAGTCTCAGTAGCACACTATAACGTTGTACTCACACTGTATTAGTCCGTTCTCATGGTGCTATAAATAACTCCCCGAGACAGAGTAATTTATAAAGTAAAGAGGTTTCATTGACTTACAATTCTTCACAGCTAGTGAGGCCTCAGGAAACTTACAATCATAGCTGAAGTGGAAGCAAACACATCCTTGTTCACAGGGCTGCAGGGGAGATAAGTGCCAAGCAAAGGGTGAAAAGCCGCTTATAAAACCATCATATCTCATGAGAACTCACTATCATGAGAACAGCATGAGGGCAACCGCCTCCATGATTCAATTACCTCCCACCAAGTTCCTCCCACAATATGCAGGGATTATGGGAACCACAGTTCAAGATGAGATTTGGGTGGGGACACAAACAATATCAATCACCATATGAAAAAATAGGCATGAACCTTAATAGCATCGATAAAAGTAAAATGAATTAAAATAACTAATAGGCAATGAGCTTTGAATATTTATTTTGACTATAATTTATTTACTTGCAAATCATCTAATTTAATTTTTAATAGTGACAGAATTTAAGAACTAGGTTGTCAAATTTTTGAAAATTAAGAATAGTTTCTTGCAAGAAATAATACAAGAGGAGTTCAGCACACCACTGACATGCCATATTTAAGTAATCCAAAATAAATACTTTAACTTTCGTTTTTCAGACATTCTTTCCTCTCCATCTTCTTCCATTGTTCCTTCAGGCTTTTATTTACTCAGGTCATACACACATTAAAACAATTATTGAGCTCCTTCGTTCTCTCACATCGCTTATTCAAACCACCAACACATGCTGTTTGTTTTTGAAATATTTACCAAAGTGGAATATTGCCTCTCATATCCTCCATCACCACACTGAAGAAGTCACAGGCATTCCTCATTTAATAGCTTCTCAAGTGTGCTTCATGCACCCCCTCCTTAATCTACTACACACACTTGTCTCTCCCCTCATTTGAGACCCTCCAATGGCTTCTCACTTTATTCAAAGAAAAGATAAAATTCATACAATGTTGTGCAAGATAACACTTGATCTTGGCCCCAGTTACCTGTATAACTTTTCTTACCCAATTTCTTCCCAGCATCATTAACCTCATTCCACAGACGTTGTTTTCTTGATGTTCCTTAAAGATAGAAAGGACAGTCCTGCCTCAAAGTTTTTATAGGTTTTGTTCTCTTAGCTAGAAGTGCTTTTTTTCCCCAAGTCATCAAATAGTTCACCCTTATATGTCCTTCGGATTTGTACTACTTTACTTTATTTATTTTATTTATTGCACTTTATTTACTTTATTTTTTATTTTATTTATTGCACTTTATTACAAAATCTTTCATATAACCATATAAAATACTCAAGTAATATTTTTTCTTTTATATTTCATAATCATTTCCGATATTTCACGCTTTTAACTCAGATTTGTCTCTCTATTCAGCAAAATGCACAAGCTTCAAGAAAATAACAGCTTTGCATCATTTGTCCACTTCTGTAACTGTGTGTATTCTAGAATTCTGACAATAGTAGGTAATGCATAATTATTTAATAAATAAATGAGATTGTAATTAAACTTGCTTTTAGTATGATAAACATAAGATATGAGTATTTTCCTTCAGTTTCTCCTTTCCAAAATGAATATTTCAGTTAATTTAGAACTTTTTGGTTAGGGAAATATTTCAAATTTATATACTCAATGCACATAGCTGGATTATGCAATATCACATTGAGCTACTGGCTGGCTAATTTTCTGCATGGCATATGGTGTTTCTTCTTATTTTTGTGGAAACAAATCCAAATACATTAGCAATGGGATATTCACAAATTTGATTAATTTGATTCAGAACTGTTTTTTAGTATTAATTCACTCTAAGAGAAAAAATTGAAATAAATAGCAAAGTTAATCTTTTCCCAATTATTTTTCTAGTTACAGATTACCACTGAATTGGCTCAACATTGGGCAAACAGGAAAATACAGAACAAAGGACTTTAGAATAATCAAGCTCTATAAAACTGTTTATTGACAGCATTGAGGAGAAAAACGAGAAAGAATAAGACACATTTACTGAAGTCAGATATTACGCCAATCTCTTAGATATCTCTGTATTGTTGATGCATTGCTGATCCTCTCTGATGACAGCAACATATATAAAAAATATTTTTACCTGTAATATAGAAAATAGAATTAATTATACAAACAATCCTAGAAAGCATACATACAAGAATGCAATTTAATTCACGGTACCTACAGAATTTCCAACTTTTTAGCTTTTAATATTCATGCTCTTCTTAAAACATAATTTTCCTCTAGACAGAGCAAATAAACAGTATTTTTCAAATAATTGCTTTTTTTTTTTTTTTTTTTTACAGTTTTACTGATAGACAAATTGATTCTGTTTGTACACTCTGTTAGATTTGGCCATGAACAAAAAAAAAAATGATTCAGTGAATGAGGTTAGCTGTCTGAAACACAGCTTTAATTAATTCCATTAAATTGCACTTCAAATGCAATGTACCTGGAATAAGTATTCCTCCAGACATTTTCAATAAAGGCTGTTTATCAAAGTAATTATGTTTCCCTTGAGTAGTTTCTTAGTATATTCCTTTTTAGTATGTGAAAATTAAGATAAAACAAACAGGCTTTATCTTTCAAACCTGAAAACTCTTCATTACTATCTTGAAACCCCACCAATAATTAAACCATATAATTAAAGTTATATTAATGCATCGAACTATTGAATATGCTCTCCTTTTTTTTCAGGATATAATTATTTCCTTGTGGCAATTTATTGATGCTATGTGTGTTTAACCTGATTTTAATTCACAATACCACAATAGATGCTTAAATGTATTCTTGATGGCATTCAATACTTAGAAATCACCATGAACTATTTCCTAAGATTAACGATTTTCTCATTTTTATGAACTATACCTTAATGTAAAAAAAAGTATATTTTAAATCACTTTATCATTTGAATTCAGGTCCTACTACCCATTGGCGATATAAGCTATGGTGCTGTCTATATTTCCCAAATTTTATTATCAGCTTGTGTTGTAAACCAGCTAATGCAAACGCCCCTCCACTAATCCTCATGGCATGTGAATCCAATCTTCTAAAGCAAAAGGGATTTGGAGAATGTGATTCACCTGAATTCTCCAGGTGGATCTGATGTAATCACAGATTTCCTTGTTAGAGGAAGGAAGGAGATCACAAATGCAGCAGTCAACCTCATTACAGAAGCAAAGGCAAAGAAGGGAGGGAGAAATTTGAAGAAGCTACACTCGTGGCTTTGAAAACAGAAGGCGCCATAAATTAAGGAATGCAAGGAATATAGCTCTAGAACCTGAAAAGGGCAGGAAAACAGATTCTAACCTATAGCTTCTAGGAGTACAGCCTTGTCTTCCCCTTGGTTTTGACTCTGACCTCCAGAAACGTAAGTTGATCAATTTCTGTTTTTTTAAACCACTAAGCTTGTGGTAATTTGGTAAGCAGCAATGGAAAAAAAAAAATACAGCTAGTGTTTACAGATCATTACAGGTAATCTTTTTTTATTAAAATTTCTTTAAAATATTGCTATAAGTGTACATTCAGATGAATCTTTTAGAAAATAAAAAAATAGAGAAAGATTCAATGTACCCTTAGCCCAGTTTATCTAAATGGTAACACCTTACAAAACAATAGTATACTATCACAACCAGGATATTGATATCAATACAGTCAAGAATATTTCTTTGCTACAAGGACCTCTCCTTCATACTGCCTGATATGATTTGTCTCTACCCAAATTTCATCTTGGATTGTAATCCCATGTGTTGAGGGAGGGACCTGGTGGGAGGTAATAGAATTACGGGCGTGGTTTTCCTTATCCTGTTCTCGTGATAGTGAGTTCTCATGAGATCTGATGGTTTAAAAGTGTGGCACTTATTCTTTGCTCTCCCTCTCTATCCCCTGCCACCATGTAAGACATGCCTTACTTCTCCTTTGTCTCCTGCCACAATTGTAAGTTTCGTGAGGATTCCCCAGTCATGTGAAACTGTGAGTCAATTAAAACTCTTTCCTTTATAAATTACCCCATCTCAGTTAATTCTTTATAGCAGTGTGAAAATGGACTAATACACTACCCTTATATAACTACACCTATTTTCCTATTCTGCCCATCCTCTACTTAACTTCTGGCAATCCATAATATTTATCCCATTTCTATAATTTTATAATTTGTAGACTATTATATAAACAAAATCATTTGGTATGTAACACTTTAGGATTATTTTTTCCATTTATAATTTTCACTCAGCCGTTGCTGGATTGTGGTGTAGTTAAATGTTTAGTTTTATAGGAAATTGCCAGTTTTCCAGAATGGCTGTACCATTTTACATTGTCACCCACAATGTGTGAGACATCCAGTTACTCCACATCTTTGCCAGCATTTGATTGTTCTTATCTGCCATCTGTAAATCATATTCAAGGAAATATCTCTTCATATGTTTTGCTCATTCTGTAATTGGGTTTTTGTTTTTCTGTTAAGTTTCAGATATTGACTCTTTTTCAGATATATGGATTTAAATTGCTTTATTCAACCCTGTATCTTATCTTTTCATCCTTTGTAACAGAGTATTTTGAGTTCAAAATATTTAATTATAATGGAGTCAAATTTATCAAGTTCTTTATGGATTATGCCTTTGGTGTCTAGTCTAAAAATTCTTTACCCTTCCCAATATCATTAGATTTTTTTTTTCTAAAAATATTATGGCTTTATATTTTACATTTAAATTCATGATAAATTTTAATTAGTCATTATAAGAGTTGTATATGTTCAAGGGTTTTTTTGTAACATTTATTAAATTCTAACTTTATTCCATTGAATTGCTTTTGTGCCTTTGTGAAGCAAATGTAGGTCCTATTTTTCTGTGCATATTAATAGGATCTCTATGCTAATCCATTGGTTACAGTGGGTATTTCTCTGTTGATACTAATAGGTCTTGATCACTGTGATTACTTTAGCTATGTAACAAGTTATGAAATTAAAAAGACAATCCTCCCAACTTATTCTTCTTCAAATTGTTTTCATTAGTTTTTGCATTTTCTTATAAGTTTTAGAATAAGTTTGTCTATATCTACAATTTTTTTTTAAAAAAGCAAACACGAAACCTCGAAAACCTTTCTAGAATTTTATGGAATTGTGATAAACCCACACAGCAGCTTGAGGACATATGACATATTTTTTTCTTTGAGTCTTCCAATCAATTATCATAGTATGACTTACCATTCATTTAAATATTTTTATTCCATCCATATTTTTAGATAATTGCATAGAAGTCCTATACCTTTTGTTAGATTTACACCTACTTACTTCATTTATGAGTGTTTTTAGTGGCATTGTAACTTAAATATCGATTTACAGATCCATTGCTAGTGTGTAAAAATAAAATAAATTTTTGTATCTTTATCTA